>NC_000016.10:5635000-6260000 GCF_000001405.40 Homo sapiens
TGGGTCATGTGATCAGGGTCAGGCAGTCTCAGAGTCTATTACTAAAATAAAAGAGATGGAGGGGAAATATGCTAGCCAGCCCCAAATGGGAACTAATACAGTGTATCACTGAACTACACTGCTCCTCCTCATCTTTCTTTAACATTTTCACTTTTGACTTTTCTGCATAGTTACATTCCATTTAAAAGAAAATCTGTTTGTATTGATGGTCAGCCATCTGACAAAAGTCTCAAGCTACTTCATTCTATTGACCTCACTGAATAAATTGAATAAATAATTTACATTCTACACAGGGATCATACAAAACAGTTTTGGCATGGAGGGAATATGCAGCCTCCTAGCCTGTCCCTCTCTCTGAATGTGGTTCTCTAGGCAGCAGAGTAATGGCATATGTTGTGAACACCTGGTGGCCTCCATTCCTCATGGAGTTAAGCTGAAAGTTAAAGAGAATGAAACTAGGGCCGGGGACTGGAGGGGCTTCATTGATTAGAGCCTTCTGGCTTTGAGTGACAAATGTGTTGAGATGTGAAGGAGAGAAATATGTATCCCATACAGATTTGCTTTTCATGTAAATAAGCGTTTTAGCCTCAAACTTTCTGGCATCTCATTATGCAGGTGGCTTAGTCATTGACATGCATGCAATTTGCATTTCCCCCTCTCTATGCCAAAAGTTGAGAGACTGTAACTTGGCTAAATTACATATCCTGGGTGCACCAGTAGACTGCCATCTTGGGTGCATTTGTAAATACTGAGGGATAGATCAAGCCAGAGCAGGACTCAGATCCTGTTGATTTGTAGCACTGGGTTTTTTTTGGAGGATTTTTATCCTATTTGATTTCTATCATGCATTCCATTCATTTTTCGTGTTATAGATACACCAGCTAGACAGGTCTAGGATGAAGGGGTGATATCAAAACTATTTAACATTCCAGGTGCAGTGGCCCATGCCTGTAATCCCAGCAATTTTGGAGTCCAAGGTGGGAGGATTTCCTGAGGCCAGCAGTTTTAGACT
Source organism: Homo sapiens (assembly GCF_000001405.40). Taxonomy (NCBI): domain Eukaryota; kingdom Metazoa; phylum Chordata; class Mammalia; order Primates; family Hominidae; genus Homo; species Homo sapiens. Next base: position 5,636,013 of record NC_000016.10, read on the forward strand.
AGTCTGGGCAACATAGTGGGACCCTTTCTCCATTTAAAAAAGAGAAAAAAAAAAGGCTGGCATGGTGGCTCATGCCTGTAACCCCAGCACTTTGGGAGGCAAAGGCGGGTGGATCACCTGAGGTCAGGAGTTCGAGACCAGCCTGACCAACATGGTGAAACCCCATCTCTACTAAAAATACAAAAATTAGCTGGGTATGGTAGCAGATGCCTGTAGTCCCAGCTACTCTGGAGGCCGATGCAGGAGAATCATTTAAACCCGGGAGGTGGAAGTTGCAGTGAGCCAAGATTGCGCCATTTCACCCTAGCCTGGGCGACAAGAGTGAAACTCTGTCTCAAAAAAATTAAATAAATAAAAATTAAAAAACCTATTTAATAACCAGTAAGTTGTGGACACTTTACTGGTTATTGCAGTGTATCAGAAATAATGCTGGCCAAAGCACTGGATGAGAATCTGAAGGACTCCTCCCGCTCATGGGGCCAGGCATTAACGTTTTATTGGCTGGGTCATGGAGATGGCCAGTGGCAAGGTCAGGGTTGTCATGTTTTTCTGACTGGGATATCAAGATTTTATTGGCTCATGAACTGGGCAGCTACTGTGGCACATAGCAGCTTGACAGCCAACTTTCGTACTCGTAGGAATATGAATCTAGCAAAATTCTTGGTAGACCTGAGATCATACCCTTGGAAGGGCCATCTAGGGAACTCCGGGCAGTGGACCAGGTGAGACCGCAGGGTTGCCTTCCAGAGCTATTCTTGCTTGTTTTTATTTTCAAATGGGAATTTGATTTAGGACCGGCCTTTGGTTTTCCCCAGACCTGGGAAGTAAACATTTCTCATTCTCAAAACCCACAAATTAATCATTTTTGCAAATCAGAGCTGAGCTCTGAGCCTCTGACCAGGAGGCCTGAGCCTGCTGGCCTTGGGAGCCAGGATTTGCCAGCGTGCGCTGCTAATCCATATGCATTTGTTCTTCTTGTGGGAGTTCGGGCCCCTCAGGCTTCAAGGGGTGAAGCTCTGCTCACTAATCATAATGCAATATCAGTGTTTTCTGCAAATCCCCTTATTATCTCTGCATCATTAGCAGTTTCTGAGCTTGTCTACAACTAATTTCACAGTGAATCTTATTTCTACCTGATATTTTAAATAAGCTGTCACGCAGGGCAGCAGCTGACATGCCGCTGAGAAAGAAGCAAATCAGCCTAAAGTAGGCTTTCAAGCAGCCTCCAACAATTAGGCTTTGGGCCATCGTACAAGGTGGGAAAATGGGGCAAGTGTCTAGAGCAAACCCTGCCCCCTACCCCAGTTTAAATAAGTCATGTCTTAGTAGATAGGTAAGTGGTCTCCAGAGCTAGGTTTCCAGGGGGCTCATTTCTGCTCAGCTCCTTCCCACAGGTGACCCATAGCGAGTGAATTGATGTCTCTGAACTTCAGACAGTAAAGGAATAAAACCTCCTCATAGGGTTGTTGTGGGCTTAGCAAGCTAATGTCTATAATGTGCTTAGTGTGATGCACCTAGACTATTGAACACCTAGTGTATCCTCAATAAATCTAGTTTTAATTGCTGTTCATATGTTTATGAATTAAATAACAAGTTACCCTTTTGTGCCTTGGGTTTTTCAAGGCCCTGACACCATTTGGGCAGTCTCTACTTCTGATGAATCCAGTAGTTCCCCAGGGAGGCAGATGGGGAAGGATCCCTAAGGGTGGAACAGGAGATGTGTATATCCAGGCAACAGGAAGAGAGAGCTCACATTCCCATGCTGAAGACCACCCTCCCTGGTAGTGTGGTGAGGAGGGAGGGCCACAGGGCTTAGCCCCACTCTGGATTCCAGGGGCCTCTCCTACCGCCTTAGGTGAAATCTGCTACTCCCTGGAGGAAATGACCCTGTTTCCTTGGCCAAGCACCAAGCCTTCTTTTGAAAAATGCCTAGAGGTCCAGTGTTCTCAAGTATTTCTACTCTGATGATGTCGGAAGTCCCCTGACTATTCTTTCCTTTGGATAAAATGGGCAATCCCCCATCTCATACGGGAGTTCCTTTTCTAAATGACTGAAGGCAACAAGAGATTAATCTTAGAAAATATTACAGAGAAGTTCCCATTCATAGATACAGTGCTGAGCATTTTACATATGTGATTATTGACTAGCCCTGTGGAGGGGGTGCAGTGGCAATTGTTACTGTCATTTTGTAGCTAAGAAGAGTGAGGTTTGGAAAGGTAGCATAACTTGCTATCAGCCACCCAGACAGGTGGAAGAGCCTGGGGTCCAACCCACACATTCTGGTTGTACCACCACTTTTCTATCTTGCCTTATGACACAGAGGTGATTAAAGATGCTAAACGTTGTTTGGTACTTGACAAGATGGTTCCAGGACACACAGCCCTAGCAGGGGGAGGGCTTCTGGGGAGTAACCATGATGATTGAATAAGCTGGTGTTTCTAGGGGCCTCCATTGCCTCTTACTTTTCCCTCTGCCTGCAGCTGCTAGGGATACTCACCTGCCACCCCCAGTCCCCAACAAACACAGTGGCATCTTTGGGGCCTAAAGGAAGGGTGGAAAAGTGGGGTTATAGGAATGGGATTGTGCCTCTACCTTCTTTATTTACATCTTGTATTCATAAGTTTTTATTCACTGTAGATTCTAGATGGGGAGGATTGGAATGGGTTAAGGAAGGGAATAGAATTTCCATTCCCTGTCTGTCCCCACAGACACTGGCTCTCTACATCATAGAGCTTGAGTAGGATCCTGTACTGGTTCAGAGACATCTGAGGAAGGGAAAAGAGCAGCCTTAAGTTCTGGGCTGAATGGGCTCAGAGAAAGCCATGAGGGAATGTGTTTTGGCACTTGTGGTTCCTCTGTGTGATAGCCTTCTTCTGAGCAAACTCCTGTGTATCCTGTGAAACCCAACTCAAATGTCCCCTGCTCTGTGATTCCTACAGAAATGCCATTCTCTCCTCCTGCAGGTTGTCACAGGAGGAAGATACTTTCTCAGAAGAAGTGGACCTCCTAAGAATGCTGAGCTTTACTCTTGTCCTCTTCACTAACCCCACCTTCTCATTTTCTTAATCTGTGAGATTTCCTAGATACCTCTACTCTAGAGACTAGGTTCTTTTGCTCTGATCCTGCGGTACAATACAGTTTTATTAGTCACTTGAACTTGCTTTTGGCTTCCTCTTGCGTGATACGTTCTAGAATTGTGTGCACACATTTCATCTATGTACGTAAGGGAATGCCCCCACTAATTGCACAATTGTGCTGATTAAAAAACCACATAAAGGCCTGAATTTCAAATGTCTCTGCTGTTGTCTCAGAAGCATGGCCCTTGGCAACATCTCATCCACAGTTGTATTTTATTTTGCCTGCAGAGTTGTTAAAATTTTGGATTACTTGTCAATGTTTCAAAGCTGGGAGGTTCAACAGAAGTCTTGATATGAATCAAGACTTCTTTTGGAAAGTGAGAAGGCCTCGGAACACTGGGTCCATGTTCCTACATAACACTAGTCAAATGGGACTGAGTAGTGGCTTCCCTTTTAGAGGGAGCAAGAAGTGTGTTTGCCACACTCTCCATCACTCTCTATCATCTCCTGAACATCAAGTGGCAGGGTCAGCATGCATTCATCATCACTGTAGTGCTGCTGTCTCTCTCTTTCAGCCTTGCCTCACCCATGCACATGCCTACCAGGCTGTAGGTGGCTGAGGTGGGAGGCTGCTCGGCATTTGGGCGGAACAAGATGACTGAATTTACTGGAGTGTCTGGCAAAGAGTGGGTGTGGTTTCCAGTCCCCTGGGCTGGTGTCGCTCTGTTCTCTTTGTTATGATTGTGAGTTTCTTCATCTTGTGCCTTTGAAGCCCCACAGCATTTGATTAGTTATGAGCTATTTTCTGCTAAAGCATGAAACATTGTGCTAACCAGGCAAGCTGAGCATCTCTTTTACTTTTCTCTGCCCAGAGCCTTGTTTTCTGATCAGGAGTGTTCACTGGCACTGGACTGATTTTCCCCGTGGTGCTGGGTGCTGCATGTGATAAGGATCTTGTGGCTCACCTTTGAGGCACATGCAGGTCAGGGAAATAAGAAAAAGGTAAAAGAACCTTCTGTAGCAGCTGAGGGGTAGAAGTGGCCGCTTACCCAGGCGTGTGACTGGGGCCCCTTCCTCAGCATTGAGCAGGACAGCATTGCTCTCTGGAGGACTGCTCATTTCCAAAGCACCCAAGAATCTATATTAATGAAGGGACATTTTGCAGGAGCGTTCACTTTAGCCATCGGTCTGAAAGTACTGTGAATGGGAGAGAGTATTTAATTTTGCACATGCACACAGAGACACATGCACCTGCACATTGGCACAAGCATGTATGCACATGTACATCATGCATGCATGCATGCATGCACATATACACATGCACACCATGCACACATACACATGCACATGAACACCATGCATACACAGGCACACACACATGTACACCATGCACACACATATATGCACACCATGCATATACATGCACATACACACATGCACATACACACATGCACATACATGCATGCCATGCATACATATGCACACACATACACAGATGCACACCATGGATACACACATGCGCATACATATGCACACCATGCATACACACAAACACATGCACAGCATGCATACACATACATGCATACACACAAGCACACCATGGATACACACCTATGCACACACGTACACTATGCATAGAAACCCATGCACATACACACATGTACACCATGGATACACACAGGCACATACACACACCATGCATACACACACATATACACATGCACACCATGGATACACATACATGCACACACACACACACACACACACCATGGATACACACACACACACACCATGCATGCAAACCTATGCACATACACACATGGACACACGTGCACATACACTCATGCACACCATGCATACACACATGCATACACACATGCACACACATACATGCATATCATGCATACATATGCACACACATACATGCACACCATGCATAAACACCCATGCACACACATATGCACATACACCCATGCACACCATACACACACACACATGCACACCATGCATACACATGCATACACACACATGCATACACACATGCACACCATGAATACACACACATGCATGTACACACATGCACACCATGGATACACACAGGCACACACATGCACACCATGCATACATACATGCATGCACATACACACATGTACCAACTGAGTACCAGTTATTAAATAGGCTGTGTTCTAGGTGCTGAGAATACAGTGGAAGGGAAAAGACAAAGTCTCTGATCTCATGGGCAATATATTCTAGCAAGGAAAATTATGCAATAAACTACATACACAAGTAGATACCTGCTGCAGTGTCCAGTAGTAGTAAGTGCTACAAACAACTGCAAAGCAGGCTGAGGGGAGAAAGAGTGATGGGAAGCTGCTTAGGATAAGGGTAAGTAGAAAGGCCTCTTCCAAGAGATAGCTGTTACTCAGGTCCTGGCACAGGGTCACTGTGCCACCTAGCTCCTGAGTGAGGCTGCAGGATATACCATTTATTGCAAGTGTGATATGAATGGCACCCCTTTTGGGTGTGCCATGCAGCAGACCTGGCACTGCAGTGGCCTGGGGAAGTATGCTTGGGCAGTGAGCTCAGCAGGGCAAAGGCCTGGAGGCGGGGGCATGTTGACTTTGTCTTAGGAATAGCAAGGAGCTCAGCGGAATAAAGGCAGGGGGTCAGTTCTTGGAGAGCCATGAAGACCAGTGCATCTCAAACTGTATGCTCTTCCTATGGCATTTTCTGTAGGAATCAAGGAGCACATCACAGAGCAGGGGCCATTTGAGTGGGGTTTCCTAGGATGCATAGGAGTTTGCTCAGGAGAAGGCTATGATGCATATGTCACTTGGGGATTTCACTAAAATGCAGATTCAGTTTCTACAGGTCTGAGGTGGGACTCGTGATTCTGGATCTCGAGTGAGTTCTCAGGGGATACCAAGGCTGCTGGTATCTGGACCACACTTTGAGGAGCAAGACTGGGAGGAGGCCATGGTCTGGACTTAGGGAAAGTCACTGAGGATCTCAAGCTGGGAGTTTATTCTGCCTGGCTGAAGAGTGATTCACTTTAGAGGCCATGTGCTCATTGAATCAGTCTGTCGGGGAGCAGTTTTGATCCCTTCACTGCCCAAGCAGGCAAAGGAAAGCTGCCAGGAGAGATAAGAGAAGGTTTATTTGTGTAGCTGCTCAAACTTGGGGCTGTTTATAGTCGATGAATATCTTTCTTTAAGCAGCTGTGCGAATTACCCGAAATACATGAAAGCAATCCATGCGAGATCAAAATCCTTAATTCCAGACCTTTCCAGGTTGATACGTCTTAAAAGAGGGAGGCTTGGTAACATTGTTGAACATTAATTAGGTAACACTTGTGCTGGACTCTGAGGATGAAAAGCCTTCTGTGTTCAAGTGTTTGGGAACGTCGCTCTTAAATGCTGCAATCTGAGGCTGGGATTGAAATGAAAATTTCACATAAGCAAGTGCTTATTCCCATCAGGTGCGGTGATTGGAGATTGTGCAAACTTGAATGTGCCTAGCCGCCCCCCCTTCCCCAGCCACCCAGCCTCATGTCCTCACTGAATAGAAGCTGGCTAGCCGATGAATGGGGAATTTACTAGAGGTAATTACAGAAGGAGGGAGGGGGAGGACTCATGTGCTCCCGGGAGGGGCCTCTCTTCCTTGCCACAAAGGACTGGTTTCCTCTGATGGTGTTCTCCCCTGATGTGTGTCTTACCCAGGACTTGGTTACAGACATAATACTAGAGGCAAGGTGCTGCCTGATGACTCTGTGGCCCCTAGAGTGAGGGGGTCTGTATTCAAAAGCTAGGCTCCTTGCCTTTCTCACCTGTCAATGCCCGCTCACCCACCTGGTATTCCTTTTGAGTTCCTCCAGGGCTGGCCTAATCCACCGCCTCTCCTGAGCACGACTTCCTGGAGCCCTTGCAGCAGGTCAGAAGTTTATGTCCTCACCTTATGATATATTCTTGCTCCTCCAGATTGTGGGATATGGGCAGAGGCTCCGTGTTAACCTCTAAAAGCCTCAGCAGCCAGCCTCTAGGCAGATGCTAGCATTATGGTTGCCACGGTAGGCATGAAAAAAAATGACATCAGAAGCAGGAGGGTGAGGAACTTGCCTAAAGTTACATGGCACATGGGCAGGTGAGCCCCGCTTTTGACCTTAGACTGCCTCTTTGTAAAAATGATGTGGCTTCTTGGCTGTCCTTGATTATCGTTTTTTTAGGGTGTGGCTGCCCCCTGCTCACTCCCTCTGGGCACCCAGGAAGGTGGCTAAACCTTAGGCATTATCATTTCCTTCTTGATGCTTCATTGTGGGTGGACTTGGCCCCATGTTCTCCAAGGAAGACAAGGTTTCCTGATACATAAAGTAGAGCTTCTCTGCTGAGAGGTATGGAGATTCTGAGCATCTGACTTCACACACCCAGCCTAGGAAAATCCAGATGTGTACCCCACATTGATTAGGGTGGTGAATGCTTCATGATTTTTTATTGTCAGAACCGCAGAGTCATAGCAAGGTATTTTTAGGTACAGAGTCTTCCTGCAGCATTTAAATTATGATTTGATGTAGGAACTTCAGCTTTCCCCAGAGCCTGGATCTACTTAGATGCACAGGATCGTGCCCTTTATTTTATTTATTGATTCTTTTACTGATTTGAGAGTCACCATTTTACTGATTCTTGTGGAAGAAACTTTCCATCCACTACTGTCCCCTAATCACAAGCTAAGCCAATAATGTGCCAGGCACATTCACGTGGGATGGAGCTCACCCTGCACACGCATAAACAGTATGAATAAAAATTAACTTAAAAATCTTTTCTTTCCCTCTGTAACAATGACATTATACCAAATGGGCCTATTTAATTTCTTACATTTGTACCTTTTCAAAAGGGCCCGCTGTTTTACGATGTCAAATGTGACCTTTACAACAAAACGTGCAGACTGCGTCGTACACAGAGGACTCTTCGAAGCTAGTAATTTTCATGATGCAAATTTCAGAGCAGAATGAGCCCATTAACCAAATTAGCAATTCATAAAAGCAGAAGTTCATGGTCAGGAAATAATCGCGTCTTTCCATAAGGTATAATTTTAGCCCCTTGTAGAGTTAAAGTGTGTGTGTTTTTTTCCTTTAAAAAAAGTAAATTGGGGCTCTAATTAAATAGGTTAAGGCTGTATATGAAGGACAATGCAATTTATGTGTAGTAAAATGAATTAGGGACTTGAATGGTGCCAGAGATCCTTGATAAGGGCATAGTAACAGCACCCTGAATGTGGATGAGTGATTTTGGCCATTGTGCAAAGGAAATGCCCATGGTAGAGGGAAGGAGAATTCTCTAAGTCTGTGTTAAAGGCGCTTGGGCTCCAGATGGGTTGAAGTTGGACTGTACACCATGGAGGTAAAGTTCCACCTTAAAGTCCAGAACCACCCATGTGGCTCCCTCTGACATGAGGAGTTAGTCTGAGATACATTGCAGGAACTCAGCCGTGTCTCTGATTTTGAAGCGTGTCAGGCTGGGAGACACAAGGTTGGCAATGTTGCTGATTCACAATTTTTTCCTCCACAAATTGTGGGGGATAAAAATACTGTGCATTCTGCAATCTTATTCTGATTATGAACTGAGATCATGTCCACAAAAAGCCCAGGTATGGCTGAATAATACTCCGTTGTATGAATATACCATGTTTTGTGTATCCGTTTATCAGCTGATGGACATTTGGGTTATTTGTACTTTTTGCCAATTGTGAATAATGCCGCCATGAACGTTCATGTGCGAGTTTTTGTCTGAATACCTGTTTTTAATTATTTGGGGTATATACCTGAGAAGAATGAAACGCTCGCACATGCCATGGCATGGATGAACCTGGAAAACATGATGAAGGCTGGGGATGGTGTAATCCCAGCACTTTGGGAGGCTGAGGCGAGTGGATCACTTGAAGTCAGGCATTTGAGACCAGCCTGAGCAACATGGTGAAACCCTGTCTCTACTAAAAATACAAAAAAAAAAAAAATAAAAATGTTGAGTGTGGTGATGCATGCCCGTAATCCCAGGTACTTGAGAGGCTGAGGCAGGAGAATCACTTGAACCTAGGAAGCAGAGGTTGCAGTGAGCCAAGATCGTGACATTGCACTCCAGCCTGGGCAGCAAAAATGAAGTTCCATCTCAAAAAAACAAAAACAGAAACAAAAACAAAAAAAAAAACATGCTGAGTGAAAGAAGCTGCACACAAAAGGCCACATATTGTATGATTCCATTTATATGAAGCATCTAGAATAGGTATATACACACAATGTAGATTTGAGGTTGCCAGGGACCGAGAGGTTTAGGAGAGCTGGGATGAGGTTTCTTTTAAGAGTGATAATGTTTGGGAATTGGATGTGATGTTTGCACACAGCTATGAATATACTAAATGCTTATGAATATACTGAATGGTTCACTTTAAAGTGCTTAATTTTCTATTTATGTAAATTGTTATATGAATTTTGCTTCAATTAAAAAGAGTCTCATATATACATTGACCTGTTCCTTGATTGTGAATTTCCTTGGGAAAGATTCTGTGTGTGCTTTATTATGTATTTACATACGTATTTTTTGTTCACAGACAGGATCTTGGTCTGGCACCCAGACTGGAGTGCAGCGGTGCAATCAGAGCTGACTGTAGCCTCAATCTCCTGGCCTTAAGCAATCCTTCTGCCTCAGCTTCTTGAGTAGCTAGAACTACAGGCATGTGCCACCACATCTGGCTAATTTTTTTAAAAAAATTTCATAGACAAAGGGTCTTGCTATGTTGTTATGCTGGAATGCAATGGCGTGCATCATAGCTCACTGCAGCCTCAAACTCCTGGGCTCAAGTGATTTTCCTGCCCCAGGCTCCTGAGTGAGTAGGACTATAGGCAAGTACTACCGCACCTGGCTAATTTGTTTGTCCTCTGTTTTTTTTTTAATTTTTTTTTTCTATTTTTGAGACGGAGTCTCGCTGTGTTGCCCAGGTTGGAGTACGGTGGCACAATCTTGGCTCACTGCAAACTCTGCCTCCCGGGTTTACACTATTCTGCTGCCTCAGCCTCCCAAGTCGCTGGGATTACAGGCACGTGCTATTTTTTTTTTTTTTTTGTATTTTTAGTGGAGACAGGGTTTCACCGTGTTAGCCAGGATGGTCTCAATCTCTTGACCTTGTGATCCGCCTTCCTCGGCCTCCCAAAGTGCTGGGATTATAGGTGTCAACCACTGTGTTGTGGAGATAGGGTCTCACTATGTTGCTCAGGCTGATCTCAACCTCCTTGACTAAAGCAGTCCTCCTACCTCGGCCTCCTAAAGTGCTGGGATTAGAGCCATGAGCCACTGTGCACAACCTCTGGTTCCCAGCACAGTGCTTGTCATCTTGTGGGCTATCAGTGAAAAATACTGACTGTGACAATAGTGTGCATTGTGTATGTAGGATGTGCAGGAGGAGAATGCAGAGGAGACACCTGCTATGTCAGAGGGTCGCAGTGTGCAGCATGTGTCAGGGAGGGCATGGCAGGGGTCTGGGCAGGTAAGGGAAGACCCTCTTATTTTTTATTTTTTTGAGATGGAGTCTCGCTTTGTCACCCAGGCTGGAGTGCTTTGGCGTGATCTCTGCTCACTGCAACCTCTGTCTTCCAGGTTCACACCATTCTCCTGCCTTAGCCTCCCAAGTAGCTGGGACTACAGGCGCCCATCACCACGCTTGGCTAATTTTTATATTTTTAGTAGAGACAGGGTTTCACTGTGTTAGCCAGGATGGTCTCAATCTCTTGACCTCATGATCTGCCTGCCTCAGCCTCCCAAACTGCTGATATTACAGGCGTGAGCCACCACGCCCAGCCAGGAAGACCCTCTTGATGGTGGGAGGGAAATACCGAGAAAGGGGAGCGCAGCCGGCGGCTGCGATGGAGGCTTCTAGGGAAGGATGCAGATGCCATTCCTGTGTGAAATACACTATAGGACCCTGTTCTTTCCTTCTAAGAAACACTTGATTGTTAAATGCCTGTGGACTCAGAATGTGTGTGTGTGTTTTAATGCATCAGTGGACAAAATCCTGCCTCAAGGTGGACCAGTGATATGTGGGTGGCATGTGCACCGTTTCACTGAATATGAACCCCAGGTTTATGAAGCAAAACAGTGAGGCAACAGGAGGTGAGGTCATTCACCCAGGGCCATGGAGCTTGGAAGGGGCACAGCTGGGATTTAGTTCTACATCTGCTTAATGGTGGACATTCTACTGCCTCAGAGGAAATTGTATTTTAGAAAAATTAGGTCCCTTTTCTTCTTAAATGTGCCTGCAATTTATTGCCACTGTGAAATAGGATCCTTTGGTTTCATGTTTCATGTTTTTGGCAACATGTAAACACTGCTGTCCACTTCACGGGGTTATTGTGAAGTCAGTCGAGGCAAGTTATCTGAAGCTCAGGGCACACAGTAGGCACTGAGCAAATGTTAGTCTCTGTCCCGTGGAAACCCCACCTCTTCTCCTTTCCCTTTCCCCATTTCTCCAGTGTGGGAAAGGAGAAAAAGAACAAGAAAAGAGTAGACCTCAGTAAGTCAGTACCTTCTCTGATTATTAGGGTAAGAAGAACTAATCCGTAGCTTAACAATAAGAACCTGCAACGCCAGGTTCAAGGCTGCATTCTTCCCCTAATCAGCTGCCAGGCTTGGTACAAGTTTCCCGGAACAGATTCTGTGTGTGCTTTATTTTAAAAATCTCTGCTTCCCAACACAGGAAGATTGGCACCTTGTAGGCTGTTTTGTTTTTGTTTTTGTTTTTGTTTTTTGAGATGGAGTTTCATTCTGTCACTCAGCCTGAAGTGCAGTGGCATGATCTCAGCTCACTGCAACATCCACCTCCTGGGTTCAAGATATTCTCCTGCCTCAGCCTCCTGAGTAGCTTGGAGTATAGGCATGCAGCACTGTCCCTGATTAATTTTTGTATTTTTGGTAGAGACAGGGTTTCACTGTATTGGCCAGGCTGTTCTCAAACTCCTTACTTCAAGTGATCAGCCTGCCTCTACCTCCCAGAGTGCTGGGATCACAGGCATGAGCCACTGCACCTGGCCACCTTGTAGGCTTTTGATGAATAACACTAACCACGACAATACATACGATATGCAGGAGGAGAATTCAGGGAAAACCTGCTGTGTCAGAGGTTCTCAAGTTCTCGGAGCCTCAGTTTTCACATCTGGGCAATGGGTGTCACAACCTCACTTTCTTAGGTAGTGCAACTAAAAAACCAGAGTAAGAGAATGCATGCGAGTGTGATCAGAAGGTGCTGAAGGACTGCGCAGGTGTGGTGCACTCTGCCAGAAGAGGGGACACTGGGCTGACATAGGTTTCATCTAGACCAGGGCTTTTCAACCAAGGGTGATGTTCCCTAGGGGAATTTGGCAATGTCCAGTGACATTTTGCTTAGTACAACTTGCGGGGAGGTGGTACTGGCATCTAGTGGGCGGAGACCAGGGATGCTGCTCTGTGCCCTATGATGCACAGGACATCTCCCACCACCAAGAATGATCTTACCCAACACGTCAAGAGTTGACGCTGAGAAACTCTGATCTAGAAGGAGAAAAGAAAAAAATGCATTTAGACGTGGGCAGGACTGGAAGTTATTGAGGATATGGAGTTAGTTTTCCTTGTGTCTACCTCCTCTTTTTATTTGCATATTTTAAAAATCACATTTTAGGCCAGGCACACTGGCTCATGCCTGTAATCCCAGCACTTCGGGAGGCCAAAGCAGGCGGATCACTTGAGGTCAGGAGTTTGAGTCCAGGCTGGCCAACATGGTGAAACCCCATGTCTACTAAAAATACAAAAATTAGCCGGGTGTGATGGTTCTCACCTGTAGTCCCAGCTACTTGGGAGGCTGAAGCTTGAGAATCACTTGAACCTAGGAGGTGGAGGTTGCAGTAAGTAGAGATTGTGCCACTGCACTCCAGCCTGAGAGACAGAATGAGACTCTGTATCAAAAAAAAATATATATCAGATGTTTAAAGATACATAAAAGCGATTATATATATATACACACATATATACATACATATACATATATATACACATATATATGTACATATGTATATATGTACTTTGTGTTTTGAGATGGAGTCTTTCTCTGTCACCCAGGTTGGAGTGCACAATTTTGGCTCACTGCAACCTCCGCCTCCTGGGTTCAAGCGATTCTCTTGTCTCACCCTCCCAAGTAGCTGGGAACTACAGGCATGCGCCACTATGCCTGGCTAATTTTTATATTTTTAGTACAGACGGGGTTTCGCCATGTTGGCCAGGTTGGTCTTGAACTCCTGACCTCAGGTGATCCACCTGCCTCGGTCTCCCAAAGTGCTGGGATTACAGGCATGAGCCACCATGCCGGGTCAGAAATAATATTTTTAAAATGTGTTTCTACCACCCCACATTGGCAGTTGTTATTGGTCTCTCCTAATATTTTTAATAAAACTAAAAACAGAAATCATAGCTAAGCTCATCCCATCGTCTCCCTCTCTCATTTCCCTTTCTTCCCTGAGAGATGCAGCCTCTGTCATGAATTTATTTTTATCTTCTTTGTCTGTTTTTTGGTACTTTACAATTAGCAATATCCACGCACAAAGTACTGCATGAATTTACATTTCTCTTTTCAACAAACACAAATTGAAGGCCATCATGTACAACTCGCTGTTTTCACTCAACAACTGCTTGTGTTGACAACATGTACATGGGGTGGATTTGATCCAGGTGTTTTCAGGCTGGTGGATTGCCCTTGAGCTGAGCTTGTTAGTCCTTCACACTGTGCAGATTATAGAGGGATGTGAAGCACTTCATCAGAGGAGGTAGCACTCGAGTTCGCAAGAATCGCCTCCCGGTGGAACACGCGGGGAGGTCGGCCCACAGGAAGAGGCAGAGTCGATGTTTTGCAAACACCACATTGCTCTCTACATGAAGCATTGGCCGTCTGGGCTGCTTAAGCAAACACAAGTTTTGAAGGCACGTTGGGGTCTTCATGGATGAGCTTTCCTCTCAATAACCTCTGTGGTTTCGACAGGGACTCAACAGCCTCCAGCCCCCACCCCCAACTCCTGGTGAAATAGTCGTAAGACGAGGCTCTCAATCTTACCTGAGCAAACAGAGGCAGCTGCTTGGGCCAGAGAGGCTGACTCTGATGGCCTCGGGAGATGTGAAGTGCCCCTTTCTGGGCTCTCAGCCACACTCCTCGTCCTCTTCAGAGGCAGCCACGGCGGTGGTGGTGGTGGTGGTGGTGGTGTGGAGGGAGGGAGGGAGCCCCGTCGAGGGCCTCCTCCATCATCCTGGCATCCTGCAAGTGGTGCGGGAGAGGCAACCTGGATGCCCAGTCTGCATTTTTAGAGACAGAAATGGAAAATAAAGCAGTGGCTTCCTGCTATTAAACGGGAGTGTGATTAGTTATAGGAAAATCAATTCATTCTTTGGCTTTGGGGAAGGCTTTTAAGTGTGAAAGGGGATGCTAATCCCCTGGGAAATGATTTTTAAGCAAAACTGCCTTAGTTCTGCCAGCTGCTTAGATAAACACCAGAGGGGAGGGAATGGCAGCTTTTCTCTTCATTTAACAGGGGTTACCAGGAGCCTACCTTCCTCTCTCTGTCTCTCTCTGTCTTCCCTTGCCTCTCTCCCTCCTTCTCCCTGTCTTCTCCCACATTTATTGAATGCTCAGTTTGGGTCTTGTTAACAGACGGACACAGTCTTTGTCCTTATGGAGGACGGGGCAGCAGGCGACGGGTCATGAAGACAGGAACGAAGCCAGTGAATGAGACACAGGGAACACCTTCCTGTCTCCTCACTCTCTCCTTGATCACTTTTCACTCCTTCTTTCCCTCTGCCTCATTTCTCTCTTTTCTTTCCTCCCCTGTCCTTCCTTGCTGTCCCTTCTCCCTCTCCCTTTCTCTTCCCTTCCTCTGGGAGAACACTACCTCCTTCTTTTTTTTTTTTTTTTTTTTTTTTTTTTTTGAGACAGGGTCTCACTCTGTCACCCAGGCTGGAGTGCAGTGGCGTGATCTCAGGTCACTGCAACCTCTGCCTCCTGGGTTCAAGCGATTCTCCTGCTTCAGCCTCCTGAGTAGCTGGAATTACAGGCACCTGCCACCATACCCAGCTAATTTTTGTCTTTTTAGTAGAGACAGGGTTTCACTATGTTGACCAGGCTGGTCTGGAACTCCTGGCCTCACGTGACCCACCTGCCTTGGCCTCCCAGAGTGCTGGGATCACAGGAGTGAACCACCATGCCCAGCCGGAATCCTAGCTTCTTGCACAGCCATTCCTGGAGCAACCTGCAGAATGTTGGTTGGAGGACACAGGCGAGTGTCTCTGCTGCCACCCCAGGTAGACACACACAGAATCCTGCCCCAGGCCACCTTGCAGAACGGAGGGACCAAAGCACAGGTTGCCTTTGGGACCTGGATCAGGTTTCACCCTCCCAGGGTTGTCAGGAGTCAGCATTTTTTCGGGGGAAATGAGCACCCCGTCCTGTCCTGTGTGTGACCTTGTCAGTCACCACCTTTCCCCAACCCTCCATCAGCTGTGTGAATTCCCAGTGCCCATCTGTGAGTGAGCCGTTTCAGTCTAACTGATTCCGCATGGATACCCATCCCTGCCTGCTTTTTATACTTCCCTGTTAGATTTGCATGAGGAGTTCTGGTTACATAATTTCTTCTGAACAATATTGTTGTCCAATCATAAGCATCCATTTGCATATCGGTAACAAAGTAAACTAATAATAATAATGCTTTTAGGCCGGGCACAGTGGCTCATGCCTGTAATCCCAGCATTCGGAAGGCCAAGGCAGGAGGATCGCTTGAGGTCAGGAGTTCAAGACCAGCCTGGCCAACATGGAGAAACCCCATTTCTACTAAAGAAAGAAAAAAATAGCCGGGCTTGGTGACACATGCCTATAGTCCCAGCTACTTGGGAGGCTGAGGCACAGGAATCTCTTGAACCTTGGAGGAAGAGGTTCTAGTGAGCCAAGATAACACCACTGCATTCCAGCCTGGACAACATAGTGAGACTCCATCTAAAAAAAATTATACTTTTAATGATGATGATGATGAAGAAGATATTGACAGAGTTAACATATCCTGAGAGATTACTAGTCTTTAGATACCACTTAGCACTTTATATATTTGATTTTATTTACTTTTTAAAACTACCTTATAGGGTAGCTGCTATCATCAAACCATGTTACAGATGGGAAAGCTGAAGCTCACTAAGGTTAACTAATATGCCCAGAGAATCAGATCTTGGAAGTGAATGCAGATCGGTCTGACCCCAAAGCCTGTGCTTTTAACCACTGGCTTTCCTACCTTGATGGCATAGTTGGAAGGGAAGCCTGTATCACATGTTACAGGAGCCTAAACATAAATTATTATCTTTAATCAGAGTCTTTGTGCAACAGGAGGGATGACAGGATTATACTAGGGTCACCTTTTTGTGCTTCGCCAAGGCCATACCATCCAGACCTCCACTCCAGAAGTCTTTGCACGTCCTCCTCTCAGCCCCCACCCACTCACCCACCCGGCTTCACATTCAGAAGCTTAGCTGGGAAAATGGGTGCAGGAACCCAGCTACATAAAGGGTATAAATGTGCCTTTCAGAGAGGCACAGTGGGAAGAACAAAGGATTTGAAACCAGACAGACTTGAATTCAGATTCTGGTTAGTGACCCTGGGTGGATTACAGATCTCCTTTTCCCAGCTCAGCCACCTTATCTTTGTAAGCTTTCCAGGTCACCAGCTAACTGCCAGGACTCAGGGGTCACTGTAGGTAGCATGATGTGTATAGTACATATGTGGTTGGCATCTTACCCTTCCTTTCTCATATCAGGGGTGACTGGGTCTCTGCTGCACCCTGTGCACACTCAACCTGCTGAGCTGCTGTGCAGAAGGTGGGGTGCTGAGCCGTGTGCTGGGCTTCTGTGCGGAAAGTGGGGTGCTGAGCTGTGTGCTGGGCCTGTGTGAGCAAGGTGGGGTGCTGAGTTGTGTGCTGGGCCTTTGTGTGGAAGGTGGGGTGCTGAGCCGTGTGCTGGCCTTCTGTGCGGAAGGTGGGGTGCGGAACCGTGTGCTGCACTTTTGTGCGGAAGGTGGGGTGCTTAGCCATGTGCTGGGTTTCTGTGAGGAAGGTGGGGTGTGGAGCCATGTGCTGGGCCTATATGCGGAAGGTGGGGTGCTGAGCCGTGTGCTGGGCTTCAGTGCAGAAGGTGGGGTGCTGAGTTGTGTGCTGGGCCTTTGTGCGGAAGGTGGGGTGTGGAGCCATGTGCTGGGCCTATATGCGGAAGGTGGGGTGCTGAGCCGTGTGCTGGGTTTCTTTGAGGCAGGTGGGGTGTGGAGCCGTGTGCTCCACCTTTGTACGGAAGGTGGGGTGCTGAGCCGTGTGCTGCGTCTTTGAGGAAGTTGGGGTGCGGAGCCGTGTGCTGCGCCTTTGTGCAGAAGGTGGGGTGCTGAGCCGTATGCGGGCCTGGGGTGATTGCCTCTCCCTGACCTCCTTTGCCTCTCCCTCCGCTAACAGACCAGAAGCCTGTTCTGCCGCATGTGCAGCTGCCGCTCTCTTTGAAATGCTCGGCTTTTGGGGCAGGTGCTGGCTCTGAGAGATACTGTTCATTTTCCAAAAGTGCTTAGAGCCGCTCATTTCCACAGGCCAGGGGTGGGGTGGCTCAAGCCCAGCCGGTTTACCTGCAGCCACTGAGTCCAGGCCATATGTGCCCTCTTAGAATGGATGCTGGGTCAGGGGTCCGTGGCAAACTCAGCCAAGACCAGTGGGCAGGAGGGCTGCTCTCGGCCCCTGAAAGATGAGAGGATAAAGTCAGTGTCTGCTCGTCTATTCTCCTTCTCACTTTGTGGATGTTCTCAGATCCCATCTGGTCGGCCACTCACGCAGCAGGGTGGGCAGGCGGGGCCCAGCTGGTGCGAGCTTTTGGTTGATAAGCCTGATGTCAAGAGTTCCATCCCTGCCTGTAGTGAAAAGTGCATAGACTTTGCAGTGAGGACACGTCTGGGTCAAATACTAGCTCGAGCATGCACCTGCTGTGTCAGTCTGGACGAGTCGTTTTCTGAGCCTCAGACCTCTTATCTGTGAAATGGACTTGAAATTAATGCTTTGAGTCTGTTTGACATGTTGTATATAAAGTGCATCAAGCTGTTCTTTGGCCTGTAATATGCTGGAGCCAATCCATATTGGCTTCTGGGAGCCAAGTGTTGAATTCTCAGGAATCCTGCAAGCCAGATGTTAAGCCATTAAGCTGGAAATGGGCCATGCTGTAGTGGGAGTATTTATACCATGGAAATTAGCAAACATTTCAAATCAGGACTCCCCCCAACCTAAAGTCCATACCATTTCTTGTGGAGGTTGGGAAGGAACGTTCTCACCTGTCCTTCTTCCTTCTTTGTGGTGTTTTCTTCTCTCATTCAGAATCGTCCTCCAAGACTCCAAGCACAGGACTTTCTGGTTCAAGCCTGTCCTGTGCTGGATGTGAAAACACCCTGTTCGTTTCTCATCCAGCCCCACTGAGCCTCCCAAAGCCTCAAGCCCTTTCGCATCTCATTCACAACCTGGCATGACAGTCCGAGACTGACCAAGTCTGGGTCCTGTGGATCCTACTGCCTGGTGTGATGTGCTCCTCCTCCTGCAGCCTTTGCCATGTTCTCCTTTCCCTTCCTCCTTCCTCCTTCTTCCTTCTTTCCTCTCTCTCTCTCTCTGTCCCTCGCTCTCTCCCCACTCTCTCCTTCCCTCGTGGCTTCCATTGTATTCCCCCCTTTATTTGTAAGCAAGCAGGGGAATGAAAGGGATGAAATGCTCTCTTCTCATCTCTGTACCATTTCAGCATCCAGGACAGCTCCCCCCCAGCAAGTAGAGGCTCTCCTGCTTTGGATTATACGTTGCATTGCCTTGCACACTGGGTCCAGCCTACGCTTCCTACCCAGGAGTCCTAGTGAGGACGCACACACTAGGGCGCATCTGTCTCCACACTTAGGAGACAAATCTAAGAGCAGGGCTGACAGATGGTGCCATCTTCAAATGGAACATATTTTATTATTTGTTTGCTATCTGGAATTTAGCCCCGACGAGGGTGGCATTTGCACACCATCATATGCAGAATCTACTGTGGAAATCAGGCTTGTGATAATATGTGAGGAGAAGGACTGTGGGCAGGAAACATGTTCTATGATTTTTTTTGAGTGTGGACTTGATAGTTTTCACCCATTTCATGCGGGTAAGATATGTGGGAAGAGTCAAGACTCCTGTTGCCTGAGAATGGAAAGACATCAAGCATCACAGACTTTCTCCTGCTCCTTGGAGGTGGAGGTCAATTGAGGCTTTTCATGAGCATATCTGGCAGGAAATGACATCTGTAGCAACAGCTGGCTGGAAGAACACTGAAGATGGGGTGTGGCTAGGTTCAGCGATGAATGGTGCTTTAAATTCCTTCCCAGAATTTTTCAAAGTGGGTTCTGCTACAACTGCAAAGGGAATGATTGGGTGAGGAGCTGTAATGGTTGTCCTTGATACAGCAGAGTGCCCTGTGTGTCTTTGTTCAAGCTTTGCAGGCAGATGAAATGGGAGTGCATTTGTACCTCTTTCTCATCTCACAGGTACAGTGTAACCCTTGAGAAGGTCGAAGTGGAAATGGAATTTAATAGCTTGTTGGAAAGCGAAAATAGCCCTACACTTTGACTTTGCCAGCAGTATGAATTAGGAGGAGGTGCTGTTGAAGCCTCCATTTGACTCTCTGTTTGTCTTTGGAAGTACTTTGCACACTGACAATGATTTGTTTTAAAGCATGTGCAATTGTAGATTAGGTAGATCTCCTGCATGTCTCTAGATTGTGAGCTCTGAGGAAGAAGGATGGTCACTGTGTCTGTCTTGTTCACCACAATGTCAGCCACTTTCACAGTGTTGGACTTGTAGTACGTGCTCGTTAAAAGCTTGTGGAAAGATTGACTGGGATTACTTTTCTGGAGTAATGAATAATATTAATTATTACCAATAGTAGCAAAATATTAGTAACTTGAATGATTTGGGGCTTAGGGAAAGCTGGATTCCAAACCTTGTTTCTCTTCTTAGGTGCATGTGTGTAGGCAAATCATTTGGACTTCCTATAGTTTTGAGTTTCTTATTTTATAAAGTGTGAACAGTAATAGCTTTCACAGAGGGTTGTCTTTCAGGATGAAAAAAGTAATGTCTCTCAGCACTCAGTGCAGAGGCGAGCATATCATTAAAATCGTTATTTTTGTTGTTAATATAATTATCTTTATTAGTATGTCTTGCAACTCTCTCACATTCATTTAAGAGTGCTGGTTGGAATAAGTTGGCATTTTCAAAATTTAAGCCACTTTACTAAGGTGTGATTAATATACAAAAATCTGTACATAGTTAACATATACAACTTGTTAAGTTTGGTGATAAGAATACATCTGTGAAACCATCACCACATCTTACACCATAAACCTGTCCATCACCTCTAAAAGTTTCTTCCTGATTGCTTATTTATAATTGTTAATATTTTTAGTTTCATGTAAATTAAGAACACTTAACATAAGATCTGTAGCTCTTATAGCCATACCCAAGGATTCTTAGAAATAGTCTTCTCTTCATCCATACCCCTGCAAAGGACATGAACTCATTCTTTTTTATGGCTGCATAGTATTCCATGGTGTATATATGCCACATTTTCTTTATCCAGTCTATCATTGATGGGCGTTTGGGTTGGAATAAACACAGGAACAGAAAACCAAATACCGCATGTTCTCACTCATAAGTAGGAGTTGAACAATGAGAAAATATGGACACAGGGAGGGGAACATCACACACTGGGACCTGTCAGGGGGTGGGGAGCAAGGGGAGGGAGAACGTTAGGACAAATATTTAATGCGTGCGGGGCTTAAAACCTAGATGATGGGTTGATGGGTGCAGCAGACCAACATGGCACATGTATACCTGTGTAACAGACCTACATGTTCTGCACATGTATCCCAGAACTTAAAGTAAAATTTAGAAAAAAAAGAAACAGTCTTCTCTGAATATATGTGGTATACATCTCTTGATTGGGGACCTATTTATTAGTTTTTCTCTGGGAATGATCTGGTTGATTGGAGAACTCTGGTTTCACTGACTTCAAAGCAAGCCATATATGGTCTTAGAACCATGATTTCCTGACAAATTCACATTAACAGCCCTAATAATAGTTAATGTATAAACAATTTATTGTATCACAAACCCTTTGTGGTCTTTCTCACACTTAATCCACATTATAAGACAGTATGGTTGATCCTGCTGTTGCTGTTTACAGAGGATGAAATTGGGACTGGAGTGAATAAAGTACTCACAATCACAGGACCAGTGAATGGGGTGGAATAAGAATGCAAGGCCTGACAGCCCGACTCTAGGGTTTAAAGTATTGAGCAGCACAGTGTGGCTCAGCTGTCATATAGAGGCACTCACTTTTCACTTGCTGGACTTGGAGGGTTTGGTTTGAGGTCTGTAAATTCTTTCTCGCTCGCTTTCTTTCTTTCTCTCTTTCTTTCTTTCTTTCTTTCTTTCTTTCTTTTCTTTTCTTTCTTTCTTTTCTTTTCTTTCTTTCTTTCTTTCTCCTTCTGTCTTTCTCTCTTTCTTTTGTTTCTTTTCTTTTCTTTTTTTTTTTTTGAGACAGAATCTCACTCTGTCACCCAGGTTGGAGTACAGTAGCACGATCTTGGCTCACTGTAACCTTCACCTCCCAGTTCAAGCTCTTCTGTTGCTTCAGACCCCCAGGTAGCTGGGATTACAGGCATCCACAACAACGCCAGGCTAATTTTTGTATTTTTAGTAGAGACGAGGTTTCGCCACCTTGGCCAGGCTGGTCTTGAACTCCTGATTTCAGGTGATCCACCCACCTCGGCCTCCCAAAATGATGATATTACAGGCGTGAGCCACTGCGCCCAGCTAAGGTCTGCAAATTCTTGATACCATTTCGTGATCCAGACTCCAGGGCAGGGTTGGAGAGAATGCCTGCTCTGTGGCTACAAGTCAGTTGTTGAGCAAAGCAATGCCAGGATTGA
Organism: Homo sapiens; assembly: GCF_000001405.40. Classification (NCBI taxonomy): domain Eukaryota; kingdom Metazoa; phylum Chordata; class Mammalia; order Primates; family Hominidae; genus Homo; species Homo sapiens. The sequence goes on from NC_000016.10 coordinate 5,658,146, forward strand.
TCCAGCAAGTGGAGTGAGCAGAGGAAATGAAGAAAGGCTCGCAGACCTGGGCATGATTTCTTCTCTTTTGTTACTGGAGACCTCAGGCAAACAACCTGCTGGGAAGCTGAGACCCCAAGACTGGAGACATCAGGATTGGAAAGATATCCTGAGCCAAGGGGAGCAAACTCCTCGTTGCAGTCCAAGTTTGTAGCTGAAACAAGCTGAGGGGACCCAGGCTGTCCTTCCTGAGCCTGAGCCTTGAGTGGCCACGTTCCAGGGTGATCATCTAACTTTGATCATCAGATTGGGACACTTAATTCACTTGATGAGACTTGGGATGGTGCTTCTTGACCCTGGAAAATGGCAGTGATTTTCCAATTTAACTCACTCTGTATGGGTCATTCGTTCTCTGGGTATTACCTGGAATACCCAGAGGGCACAGAGCTTAGCTCCCACTTATAAGTGAGAAGATACTATGTTTGGTTTTCCATTCTTGAGTTACTTCCCTTAGAATAATAGTCTCCAATTTCATCCAGGTTGCTGTGAATGCCATTAATTCATGCCTTTTCATGGCTGAGTAGTATTCCATCATACATACATACATATATATAAATGTGTATATATATATATATGTGTATGTATATATGTATATATGTATATATATAATATATGTGTATATATGTATATATAATATATGTATATATGTATATATATAATATATGTATATATATGTGTGTGTATATGTATAAATATATATATATATCTCACATAGTTTCTTTATCCACTCGTTAATTGATGGACACTTGCATTGCTTTTACGTATTTGCAATTGCAAATTGCGATGCTATAAACATGCATGAGCAATTATCTTTTTTGCATAACCTTGGTAGATACCCAGTGGTGGGATTGCTGGATCAAATGGTAGATCTGCTTTTAGTTCTTTAAGGAATCTCCACACTGTTTTCCATAGTGGTTGTACTAGTTTACATTCCCACCATCAGTGCAGAAGTGTTCCCTGTTCACCGCATCCATGCCAACATCTACTGTTTTTTGATTTTTTTGATTATGGCCATTCTTGCAGGCATAAGGTGGTATTCTTTTATGGTTTTGATTTGCATTTCCCTGATGATTACTGATGTTGGACATTTTTCTTATGTTTGTTGGCCATTGGTATATCTTTTTTTTTTTTTTTTTTGAGATGGAGTCTCACTCTGTCGCCCAGGCTGGAGTGCAGTGGCGCCATCCCCGCTCACTGCAACCTCTGCCTCCCGGGTTCACGTCATTCTCCTGCCTCGGCCTCCTGAGTAGCTGGGACTACAGGTGCCCGCCACCATGCCCAGCTAATTTTTTGTATTGTTAGTAGAGACGGGGTTTTACCATGTTAGCCAGGATGGCCTCAGTCTCCTGACCTTGTGATCCGTCCGCCTCGGCCTCCCAAAGTGCTGGGATTACAGGTATGAGCCACACCGTGCCTGGCCGGTATATCTTTTTTTGAAAATTTTCCAGACATTTTAAACCTGGGGTTAGTGGATAGGATTCAGGGAGTCTGAAAATGTGGCTGTGAAAAAAGTGACATGATTATTTACATGAACTCTAACTGATAAGTTAAAGAGTTTCGTCCAGTTACCAAGGTAGAGAACAAACCACAGGTGGTTTTTAGCAGAATCTGTGGCTTTGTCATCAGTCAAATCATTGGTATTTTCACATCACATTGCAGTTGTTGCAGGTATCCCCAAATACTAGTTATCCTCATCCCTACCTTGAAATTATGGTGGTTATTAGGTGTGCTGCTGGATCTTGTTATTTAATGCATTAATACAGAAGCATCAATTGATAAATCACAGGTTGCAGTATTATCGATATATTTTATAGTTCTTTTTATTCTATTTTTATGAATTTAAAAACATCCTGAGAGGGGACCCATAGGCTTTGTTAGACCAACGGGGTTCAAGGCGCATAAAACAGTTAAAAATCTCTCATTTAGATACAAATGCCTTGTCTGCATTTGGCGAGAATGGGACTCAGGTTGACTGGGGGACCTGGAGTGTGGAGGTCAGGGAAATGATGTTTAGAGTCAAGGTTGTTTCGTTGAGTGTCTGGTATTAAATGGTATTCTCAAGCGCCCCAGTGAGAGAGGGGAATTTGGTGCAAACCCTAGATCCCTGTTGAGTCTTTGTGACCAGCAGGTCCTCCTCATTGCACTCTCCTCTCCCTCGCGTTTTCGGCTTAGCTGGTAGAGTCCGGTGACTATGAAGGGGTCTTTGGCTCATCATTTTATAACTGGGACTCAAGGAGAGATACTGTCCTCTAGATGCTTGTCTCAGACCTGTGATTTCGTTATCAATGCAATGTGAGTCATGAATGCCATACGTTGTGTGTGATGCGTTCTTTTAGGTTTATTAAATCACCCAGGTGCTATTCTGATTGGGTGTTCTCATCATCTCTTGGGAAGATAGGGAATTTATGGTTGCCGTTTGCTCTGTTTAGATAATTTTCACATTTCTTTCTCTGCACAGTTCATTATTTTTTTTTATATTTTCCATAGAGATAAAGTGCTTAAAATATCCAGTTGAGAGCTAAGCTGATAAAGCTAACAGATCCATAAATTGGGCCATGAATGACGCTTTAAGATGCCTGCTATGCCGGAGAGGTGAGCTGAAGCAGGCGGAGTGGTGAATGAGGGCGAAGAGTAGACAGGAAGAGATTCCTGTCATGGAGCATAAAGGATTCTGAGCTGGCTTTCCTATGGCCGTAGCTGCTGCGTGTGCAAATTGAGGATGAATTGCCTCCAACCCAGGAGGAAGGAGTGCTGATGTTAGAGGTCCCAGAATGGCTTGATATAGGGTTGAGGAGGTAGCGCCATGTTAAATGAGTCCTAAGCTTTGCTGTGCTGGGGCTGGGAGTGCTAATTCAATGGCATACTCATTCTGCACCTGCTCACTTCAGCCTGGCCGTCTTCCTCCTGAGATTGGGAAAAGAAAGGAAACTTAAAAGGCCTCCTGTCTTTCCTCACTATATATCTCTTTGTGACACAAAGTTGAATCTACTTTCCCAACTTTAATTATTTTCCCAACTTATTTATTACAAACATTCCACAGAACATGGAAGGAAAATATAACAATGAGTAATATGACATACGCTATATACTTACCATCCAGGGTCAGTGACAGTGAACATTTTGTCACCTCTGCTTTACCTACATTTGTGTATATTAAAAGAGGTATCTGCATGTTTACATGTGTGTGGTGTGTATATAAGCCACAGTAAGTTGTATGTATCCACTGTAGAAACCTTAGCCTGCATCTCCTCAGGATAAGAACAAAATTAATAACTCCTTCATATTACCTAGTCTCCAGTAGATATCCAGATTTTCCCAGTTGTCTCACAAATGTCTTTATCTATTAAGTTTTTAAGATTTAAAAATACTTAATTGACAAAACTTGTATATGTTTAAGGTATACGGTGTAATGATTTGATGTACATACACATTGTGTAAATGAGTATGACAATCAAATTAACACGTTGGTCCTCACCCGTAGTTAGTTACTATTGTGTATGGTGAAGACACTTAAAGTCTGCTGTCTTATCAAATTTTAAGGAAACACAACAGCATTTTTAACTGTAGTCAGCATGCACTACATTGGATTCCCAAAACTTAGCCTTTTTTTATTTTTTTTGAGATGGAGTCTCACTCTGTTGCCCAGGCTGGGGTGCAATGGTGAGATCTCGGCTCACTGCAACCTCCACCTCCTGGGGTCAAGCGATTCTCCTGCTGCAGCTGCCCGAGTCGCTGGGACTACAGGCACGTGCCACCAAGCACAGCTAATTTTTTGTATTTTTTTAGTAGAGATGGGGTTTCACCATGTTAGCAGGGTGGTCTCCATCTCCTGACGTCGTAATCCACTCACCTCGGCCTCCCAAAGTGCTGGGATTACAGGCATGAGCTACCGCGCCCGGCCAAAACTTAGACATCTTGTTAACTGAAAGTTTGGACCCTTTGACAAACATCTTTCCATTTTCCCCTTTAAATTCCCCTCAGAAAACTGGGATTCGTATCAAAGTTGATATGGTCTGTTTGACTATTTATACCTTTGAGTGTCTTCTAATGTAAAACAGTAGTTCTGAACCATTTTAATTTCAGGACTCCTTTATGCTCTTAGAACATATTGAAGAGCTTTTGTTTGTGTGAACGCTCTCTCTCCATGTTTGTTGTACTAGAAATTAAAATGAGAACTTTCTAAAATGCAGGGTTACCTGACCACATAATCTATTATGTGTGAAAGTGCCAATATCATCACTTTCAGACACGTTCTGGAAAACTCCCCCATACACTCATAAGAAAATGAGAGTAAAACATGCCCATAGCATCAGAGTATTACCATGAAGTTGTTTTGACTTGGTAGATCTCCCTGAAAGAGTTCTGGGGACCTGGACCACACTTTGAGAATTACTGACCTGGAGTTACCCCCTACCATTTTTATTTTATGACAATTTTTTCTTTCTTTAAAAATGTGTTAGTGAAAACTTAAAACACATGAAATATGGAGAATTGTGTGGAATTTTTTGAATGTTTCTAATAAGTCACTGATAACACAGCAGTAGGGGGTGGAGGTTTGAAGTTCCAGTGCTAGTTGAAACTGAAGACAATCGGGTTCACTGTTTAGTCCCCTCCACTTCTAAGTTGTGTAGTGGCCCCTTTGCTTCAGTTTCCTTATCTGCATAATGAGAATAGTAACACCTATGCCACTGTTAGGTTAAAAGGATTAAATAAAGAGCATATATCATGTAGCTGGGATAGTGCTTAACACATAGTAGACGCTCAGTGCATGTTATCTATGATTATCTGTAGTGGGGTTTCCAGTGGGCAGGAGAGCAATTTTGCCTCCCAGAGGGCAGTTGGCAATGTCTGGAGAAATTTTTGATTGTCACATCTGGGGCAGGGAGTGTGTTGCTGACATGTGGTAGGTATAGGCCAGGGATACTGCTAAACACCGTACAACGCATAGGACAGCTGTCTACAACAAAGAATGACCCGGTTCCAAATGCCAAGAGTGTTGAGGTTGAGAAATCCTATTATTTATTGATTATTTTATTTTATTTTCAAGACAGAATCTTGTTCTGTCACCCGGGCTGGAGTGCAGTGGCACGAACATGGCTCACTATAGCTTCAACCTCCTGGGTTCAAGAGGTCTTTCCATTTCCCAGGTAGTTGAGACCACAGGCACATGCCACCATGCCCAGCTAATTTTTTTTTTTTTTTTAGAAATGGGGTCTCACTATGTTGGCCAGGCTGTCCTCAAACTCCTGGCCTCAAGCTATCCTCCCACTTCAGCCCCCGAAAATGCTGGTATTAAATGCATGAGCTACCACACCTGGCTGAAAAATCCTATTGAATAGCCAATTGAAATAGCTTCAGTCAAGCAGTGACCAGTTGTTGAGAGTGCAGGGGGTGCAATCCCATATTCAACACTGCATCATTCAAAGCTGGTTTATGTACTGAATGAAGGTAGCCAGCAGCTGTAAAGCCCCTACTTGGTGTAAGGCACCATGCTGAGGACTGCAGGAATCACGTCATGTAGAGCGCCCTGCTGCCAGTGAGCGTGGAAGCAACAGGAAAGCTGGAGACCACACCATATTCTGGGTCACCTCTTGTCTGTATTTGTCCCAGCCTCTTGTGCTTCACACGTCAAAGACATTCAAAAGGCAGCTGTGCATTTTAGTTTAAAGTTGGTGGCTGAAGCTTGGTGGGGAAGCTTCCCTTGATGCTCCTATTTTTGTTCCAGTTGAAGCAAATGGGGCAGTCGCCTTCCCTTCAGGGACAAGCCAGCACTCGAGATATTCCGGCCATGGCGAAATTCCTCAGTATGAACATCAGAGCTGCTCCTGGGGACCCCACACATGGAGGAGACAGACAGAGAGAGCACACTGTCTTCTCTCGTAGAGACCCACCCTTCTCGGCAGCTGCCTCTAGGCGTGCCCCTCTCACCATAGCTGCTGTGTCTGCTTCATCCATGTGTTGTTTCTTCGATTGGCTAAATTTTAAATAATCACATCTTTAAGGAACTGCATCTCTTGACTTGGGGGTTCTCGAGCCAAGCTGTGCAACGGAGTCAGTTGTGAACTCTTTAAAAGTGGATTCCTGGCCGGGCGCAGTGGCTCACGCCTATAATCCCAGCACTTTGGGAGGCTGAGGTGGGCAGATCACGAGGTTGAGAGATCGAGACCATACTGGCCAACATGGTGAAACACTGTCTCTACTAAAAATACAAAAATTAGCTGGGCACGGTGGTGTGTGCCTGTAGAGCCAGCTACTCGGGAGGCTGAGGCAGACAATCAATTGAACCCGGGAGGCGGAGGTTGCAATGAACCGAGATTGCATCACTGCACTCCAGCCTAGTGACAGAGCGAGACTCCTTCTTAAAAAAAAAAAGTGGATTCCTGTTCCTGCTCCCAGAGTTTCTGCCACAGGACCCAGTAATCTGATATGCAGCAAACTCCCTAAGGGTTTATCCTACTTGAGATGGAGAATCTGTCCATTTGTCCTAGTAAATGTGCTTTGAGTATCAGAAAATCAGAAGTTCCTAAGTGGGAAATACTGACTCTTGGTCCACACGGTCCTAATTCCTTTTTGCTTTTTCCAAATTCCTGGGATCCATGGAGAGGTAATGCTGCTCCTAGTTTAAAATCCTCCTCTGGCTTCTCATTGTTCTCAGAATGCAATACACATGGCCTTGATCCTGTGTAGAAGGCCCTGCACACTTGGCCTCCTGCCCACCTCCATATTGTCATCCCAGGTTGATTTCCCATTTGTTATCTCTGCTCTTTTTTTTTTTATCGAGATAGGGTCTTGTTCTGCCATTCAGGCTGGAGTACAGTGGCACAGTCCTAGCTCACTGCAGCCCTCTACCTCCCATGCTCAAATGATTTTCTCGTCCCAGGCTCCCGAGTAGCTGAGACCACAGGTGTGCACCACCATGGCTGGCTAACTTTTTGATATTTTTACATGGGGGGGGGCGGTCTTGCTATATTGCCCAGGCTGGCCTCGAACTCCTGGGCTCAGGCGATCCTCCCACCTTAGTCTTCAAATTTTCTGGGACTACAGGCAGGAGCCACTGCTTCTGGCCAACCTCTTTTCTGTCTCAGAGCCTTTGCATCCATGTCCCCTCTGCCCCAAATAGTCTGCCTCTTGCTTTCCAAGTGTCTGGCTCCTTTTCCTCCTCCAGGTTTGGCTTTAAGGACATCCTATCTTATGGGCCTTCTCTGGCCTCCTTCCTGATAAAAGTAGTTCTCCCTTATACCCCTTGTTCTCTGGCCTCCTTCCTGATAAAAGTAGTTCTCCCCACATACCACCTTGTTTTTTGCATTTCTTGAAATAGTCGCCATTGATAAAATTAAACGGGATTGTATGTTTGCTGTTTCCCTGACCAGCTAGTGCCACAGGGGCAGGGACCTTTGGGTCACCAGTCACCATCAGAGAACCAGCGCCTGGTTCAGTGTTTGGCAGATAGTTGGCACTCAGTTAGTATTTAGTGGATGAATGAATGTGTGGCTGGATTCCCTCTAACTGTTTCTCCATGTTTACTGAGTGTCCTGATCTTAGCACAGATCCTGGAAAACTCAGCTGCCCCAGTCCCTCAGGCCCTCACAGGGGGTTCGGGCACAGTCGTGCTCCCGGGTTTATACCCACGTGCTGCTGAGTGGGAGCAGAGCCATGCTGTGCCCTGAAAGCCCACAGAAGTAGGTGCTGTTTTCAGCAGGCCTCAGCTTCTGAGAGGCATCTGCTGAAAGCTGTTGTTGGCACGCCTGCGTTGGGAGAGAAGCAGAGCTGACGAAATGTCAAAGGGTGAATGGGATAATCAGGCCCCAGCCGTCAAAACTGCCACCCACTCAAACCAGTCAGAGCCTACAAGAGAAATCTTTCAGACATGTCAGCTTCTCCACGTGTCTAATGGCAGAGAGCAAGGATGCCCCCAAGGGAGGTTTGCAGGGGCCGGTTCCGTTTGCCTGGAGCCTTTACAAGCCACATTTGGGCACATCCATCATGGATACGGAGGCAGCTGGGAAGGAAAGGGAGGGCAGTTCTTCGCAGAGCGCGGGGCATCTGGTCCAGTTCCCAGTGTGTGGAGTAAATGCATGATTGGAGCCTCATTATCCCATTTCTGTGACCTTCTTCTTTTCTTCAACATTGGTACTCGTGAAGCAATGTGAAGGTCTTACAATTCCTCAGCACAGTGAACAGAGCTCACGGGAGCCTCTGGGAAGATTACGTGCTCCTTTTATTCCCATGACAAGGTCCACTGAATTCCATTGAATTCACTTTGTTCCCTGGATCTCTCAGACATTATCCTAGATCCCAGAAATAGAGCGATGGACAAGACAGACCAAATAGGTTCCTTTGGAGCCTGCGTTTCTGTTGGAACAGATAGATGATATATTAAATACGTACCTAAGCCAACAGTGTACTTAAAGACTGTGATAGAATCCACAGAAGAAGGAGACAGCTAATAGGACTGGCAGTGAGCTAGGGCAGCCACTTTAGATAGATAAAGAATGTGAAGGATGAGCTCTAATCCACATCTTCCTCCCCATCTGTTTTTTCTAGGTAGGGAATGGATCTCTATTTCTCCTGCTTAAGGAGTCAGCATGAAGTTGTTATGTGAAGACATCAGGGTAGTAGAGATGTGACTTTTGTGGGGTAACTCCGGATTTTCATTTGAGCCCCAGGAGGATGAGTCTTGATTTTACCACTGCTCAGTTTGCATGTATTAAGTATATCTCTGCTTTGTGGATTGCCCTGTGTGTTTCATTCTATCTGCTACCAGACACATGAAGAAAAAAATAGGGCAAGGCCTCTGAGGGTTGGGCTTGTTTTCCCAAGGGCTGCTTCCGGAGTCCTCAAATTTCATTTGAGGTTGATAAGATGCCTGTTCTGCCGTCTACCTTCAGGATAGGTCATTCCCTATTTCACTATTATTTATAAAGTAAAGTCGTTTGTCTTTATGGGTATACCCCAGTGTTTTTGTTGTTGCTTACTTAGTTTTTGGCTTCATTAACATTTTGTTTTCTCTTTATTATGTTTTTGTATTTTCTTAGGGTTTATTTCATTCTCCACTCTCTCCACCCCCAAGATTCCTGAGTTCAAGCTATAGCTATTTGCCCTTTCTTATTTTCTAATACGTACATGTAAGGCTATACATTTTCCCCTGAGAACAACTTTGGCTGTGTCCTGTCACGTTTGCTCTATGGCACATTGCCATTTGGTTCTACATTGTTTATTAATTTCTATTTTGATTTTCTGTTTAGAAATATATTTTAAAATTAGCAAGTATGCAGATAGTTTTTGGGATTGGTTTTGGGTTACTTGTAGTTTTCTAGGATTGATGTGAGTGAGCGAGGTCCATTAGTTCATCAACTTAAAAATATTCTTGATTTCCTTTGTGGCCTGTACTAGAAGTGTACTTGAAAATTCTATGTATCTTGCTTGTATATTCGGGTTGAACAAACTCTCTTTGGATTTTCTTATTTTTCTGATTGATCTCTGGATATCTTTTCATTTATCCTTTCTAGTTGGTGTTTCTGCAGGTGAAACTATTAGAATTAGTTTTTCTTTTTGCTTAGCTCTAGCACCAAGCCAGGAATTTCAAAGTAGGAAGAATAAAACTAAATAACCCCTTTATCATCTCCCCAGGTTCACCAAGAGGATATTTCTGGTAATGAGACTTTATAGTGAAGTGGGGATGAGCTTATTGATGCAGCGAAACTGCCTGTGGCAAGGATGTCTCTGCAAAGACTGAGAGATCTACCTGTAGACCACTTTGAGGGGATGGCAGCAGTTGCCCTGGTTGGCTTCTTAATGAGGCATTTCTAGAAATACACCATTTTGTCCACCAGGAAAAAAAAAAATTCCAACAACCACATCACCAACAAGCATGCTTTAAAAGGCCAGGAATTCAGGACCAACCTGATCAATATCGTGAAACTCTGTCTCTACTAAAAATACAAAAATTAGCTAGGCATGGTGGCATGTGCCCATAGTCCTAGCTACTCAGGAGGCTGAGGCAGGAGAATTGTTTGAACCCGGGAGGCGGAGGTTGCAGTGAGCTGAGATCATACCACTGCACTCCAGCCTGGGCAACAGAGCGAGACTCCATCTCAAAAACAACAAAAACACCAATTTAAAAAAAAAGAATTGCTAAAATATATAATTAAGGTCATCTCTGAGCTGAATAAGCCTTGAAGCAAAAAATCATCTCTTTTTCCCGACCTTAACACAGAGCTTTAGAAACCTGTGAGAAAGAGAAGTGCTTCAAAAAGACTTCACTGGTAGCCAAAATCATCAGAGGTGGTTCTGATAACCACTGGCACTGCTGGAAAGTACTTAATAGAGCAATCTGTTATTTGGGAGCATTAACAGGGTGGACTGAGGCTGGACTGTTTTCCTCTTCAGATTAAACTGCAGCCTGGGAAGGCTTTGGGGGAAGTGACAGGTAGGTGTGTTATGCATAACTCTTCATTTTAACCAAACCAGCAGTTTCTTCCTCTCCTTTCCCCTATCATCAAGATGTCTCTGTATGTGACAAGTCTGTTGACAGCAGGCTCCTCCTCTCCTCCCTCCCACTTTTGTTTTAGGTGCCTGGTCTAACATATGAGGTCATTCACCATTATCTCGGAAATGCTCGTAGCTGGTCTGAAGTTGCTGGAGAGGTGGTGGGTGGAGCACACTTTTGACTCCTTCAGCATTAGATTCTCCCTAGCTTGCTTATCTCAGTTCACAGTTTTGGAGATGGATACTCAGGCTTTGGTTAGGGGGAGCATTGCTCCAGCAGGATGCCTATGTAGTAGTATTCATGATACATTACAGAATTTAAATGAAAATAATCCTTGCCCAATCAGTCCACCCATTGGTACTGTCTGAGCACCCACATAATGGCACTTGGATAGCACCCCAACAAAGATCTCAATTCAAACCAAGTTGAATAGACCCAAAATGTAATCTCATGGAGCTGAAAATTCCAGAGGGTTGGCCTTTACCCCTAAGTGTGACGGAATCTGGATGCTCTAATGATGCCTCGAGGCATCTGTCCTACTCTGTCCTTTCCTTCTGTTTTTGTTTTATTTGCTTGGTGGGGGAGTGGCCACCCTCAGCTCCAAACTCTGTTTGACTATCTCAGCCTACCCAGCAGCAGGAGGGAGCCAAGTTTCTGCAAAAGCCTCAAGGCTTGGGCTCTTTGGGTTCACCTGGGTCAGAAACCCACCCGTAGAGCAGTCCTGCCAAAGAGAATGAGAACAAGTTGGCTTTTTTTTTTTTTTTTTTGGAGACAGAGTCTCGTTCTGTTAGGCTGGAGTGCAGTGGCACTATCTTGGCTCACTGCAACCTCCAACTCCCTGGTTCAAGCAATTCTCCTGCCTCAGCCTGCCAAGTAGCCGGGATTGCAGGCATGCACCACCATGGCTAGCTAATTTTTGCATTTTTATTAGAGACGGGGTTTCACCATGTTGGCCAGGATGGTCTTGTTCTCCTGACCTCATGATCTGCCTGCCTTGGCCACCCAAAGTGGTGAGATTACAGGCGTGAGCCACCACGCCGGGCCCAAGATGGCTTTTTGAGATGAAAACACAAGGAAAGAGCATGATGAAAGAGATGGTTCCTGAGTAGAAAATAAGAGTCATAGAAGTGGAAGAATTTAAACAATTGCCATAGGGCCCAGCAATTCTTTTGTCAGGTATATGTATATGTCCACAAAAGATTTGTACATGAATGTTCATAGCAACATTGTTCACAATATCCAAAAGGTAGAAACTAATCAAAAGCCCATCGAGGGAAGACTAGATAAACACATTGTGGTCTATCCATACAGCAGAGTATTTTTTATCCATAAAAAGATATAGAGCACTGACATGAGCTAAAATGTAGATGAACCTTGAAAACATGCTAAGTGAGGGAAGCCAGACACAAAAGGTCACAGACCTTAGGATTCCATTTACCTGAAGTGTCTAGAGCAGCCAAATTCATAGCGACAGCAGATTAGTGGTTACTGGGGGCTGGGGGCTGGGGGAGGGGTTTTGAGGAGTGGCTGCTTAACGGGTCTGAGGTTTCCTTGTAATGAAAATGTTCTGGACTCAGATAGCGATGATGGTTGCTTAATACTGTGAGTGTATTAAATGTTTCTCATAATACATTTAATCTTATATGCATTTCACCACAGTCAAAATAAATATTAACCCATTTTCAATTAAACAACTAGATGGAGCAAATCAGGATTGCTGAGTGGGCAAAATTATTCTGTAGCCCATGTCCATAGGTGCCATCAAGATCAAAACCAACACCAATGTAAGTTGTGAATGTAGGCTGAGCTATGGAAGATATGGGAACATATGCCTTTGTCTCTTAAGCCACAAGCCCTGATTTTCATTTCCAAGTTTCTGCACTGTGATACTGCCTGAGGTCCTGGGTTTCTGTAAAAGAGACAACTGTCACTCTGTACAGTACTAATCCTACACTCATACACATTTCTTGCCTTTTTACTCATGTGCGGTTTAAACTGCTAGGCACCTCACAGGGTTATCCTTCTTACTAGTTCAACTGTTAGAGTTTATTGAGTCTCTCATATGTGCCTGCAGGTTTTCTTAGACCTGTCAACAAACTTGGAAGTGTATCAACCATAAACCCAATAACTAAGTTTAATAAGTACTGACTGTCTCCTAGCATCTCTGTTCAATACATTATTTTTTTCATTGCATTGTCTCACTCCAGCCCTGAAAGGTAGGTGCTATTATAAGCTCCACTTTGCAGATGAAGATATTGAGGCTCAGAGAGCACAAGGAAATGGCCCAGCTGGCAGGTGGCAGGGACAGAATTCAGACTCAGAGCCCCCCTCACTGAAATCCCTGGTGAAGCCATCCAGCAGAGTAAATGAGGACATCAGCAAATGCTGGGTGCTCTCAGCCTCACACAAACCAGAGAAACATCCATTAGAAAGCACAAATTAGACCATCTTGCTCTCTTCTGTGGATTCCCTATTTATAGAGTGCCCAGTGGATGCTATTTCTAACTTAAGCTAGGAGGTTTTCTTTGAAAGTTTCAATCTGCAACTTAAAAGCAAAGCAAGAGAATAAAAGAGCTGGGAGTGCACTTCACTAAATGCGGTTCTGAAATCTAAGAGCAAGGAGGCAGGGGGAGAGACATGATCATCTTATTAGTGTAGAAGGATAAAGATGATCAGAGAGGGATGCTCCATTATTTATAGGAATCCGGTTCTTTTCTATACACTTCACTGAGGCATTTGATATATTTGTGCTGGAGATTAACACTGATGTTATTTTCTTTAATGTCTGTTTTTAGTGTATGCGGTGCATGTTGGCATTCAGGAAATTCAGCCAGAGGAGAAAAACAATAGTATTAATTAGGAATGTCAGTCATGGGTGTTATGAAATTCAAAACTGCCAAGTTTCTGGAGCATTTAGTGGTAATTATAATAGACTGTAGAGACAAGCTGTTCTTCGTTTCCTATACAGAAATGCACAGTTTGATGGGCAAGTGATCAAAGTGCTAATGCAAACCCTTCTGAAAGGGGTGCCTCTCTCACCCTGTTATTTTAGGAGCTAATGCTTTTGCTAATTCAGAGCTGCCCAGAGAGAGGAGACTATCCAGTGAATATAAGGCCCCTTGTCTTTTTATAATTTAAAATGACTATTCAAATTATATCTCCATCCAAGTTGCAGTGTGAGCTGGGGGTTGAAGGATGCCACCTATCAGCCTTGCAGAATATTTAGATTTAAATCAGAGCCATAGCTTTTTCCAGGTAGAGTCACACTTATAATCAGTTTTCTCTCAAAGTGATGAAGAATAAAAGCCTGTCCTATGTTCTTCAGGTAACCCAGTTAAATGGGTGGAGAGATTTGCATCTTTGAGAATTGGAAAAAAAGGGGTGCAACTTTCTTGGACTTGCCTGGGTTGCTGGTTAGAGGTTTATGTCTCTTGGTATGTTTTAGAGTCATTCTCTCAGTCTGGGGGCAGGCAGTGGATCAGGTAGAATGGCAGGGATGGAAGGATTCCATCCTCAGTACCCTAATGTATTATATTCTCTTAGGTGAGCTTCATAGTGGCCCTTTGGAACTGTCTGGGCAGATGCCTACCTCTCTGATGAGTAAAATGAATTACAGATCAATAAACCTGCCCCAGGTTATTCTGATGCCATGTGTCAGGAGGGCTCTTGACTTCATGCCTGGTGCTGTCTCTAGTGCTTCCCACCATTTCTGCACCTCTTCAGTGCCCTCCTGCTCCAGGGCCTTTGCACATCCTAGTCTTCATTTCTGCTATGCTGAACCTTTGAAGGCTGGCTTTGGGTGCACCTCATTCTTTAAGGACAAGCACACCCCTCCAGACCCTAGCAAGGACCCAACTGTGGAAACAGTAAGTGCGCCACGTTCTCTGTAAGATTTTCATTTGAAGAAAACAAAACAACCCACAAAGAGTTAAGTCGTATTTTCCAGGAAAAGGCAGAGCAGTGGGAGATGAAGACTCATCCATCTCTGATTTTTTTTCTTTTATAACCACCACCTCCATTAGCTGGAGATAATGATGTCAAGAGGAAAAAAACTTTAGCGGTTGTTGGTTTGCCTGTAATTTGTGTGGCTCACAAGCAGCCCAGCTAAATTCAGTGGTTTCTGATGGTCCTACCTAGACCAGAGAAATAAGAGAGGGATGATCAGAAATCCTTCACCGTAGGTGTGTGTGTGTGTGTGTGTGTGTGTGTGTGTGTGTCTGGGTTTTCATTTTTAATAATTAATAGTAGTTCATTCTCCATCCTGAACTTTTGCAGAAATAATTAGGGAGCTTGGGGTTGGGTCAGTAATTGCTCAGAAACGTGCTTGGCTGCAGAGAAGCCTCCACTCTGGGGTGGGTGAGATGGTGGAAGCGCCTCCACCCGCTTCCAGCGGTTTGGAAGTATGTCTAGCGGCATCTCTGCATCCTTTGGAAAAGCAGGGCACGCATTTTCCTGCTGACACACACAAGCCTTATAATTTAGCATTAGAAAAGAAAAATGGTTTTGAACAAGAAAATATATTTAGAGCTCATTATTCAAGTAGAAGTCACAGAGAAGGGGCAAGGACGGAGCCAGTCAACAAGAAGCAACCCACATTACAGGGTCAGAAGGAAGCCTGTGCCTGGCACCCAGGAGCCAGGCAGGAAGCAGGTTCCAAGGTCGACAGGGTTGATATCAAGGTCACACCTCAGTAAAGAAGGTGCATGAAGCTATCTTCTCTCAGAGGGAACCCATCCTGAAGGCTCTGTCCAGAACTACTTCTGTGGATTTCCTTCCTCTCTCTGGCTTTCAGCACAGGTCATCTCACAGTCCATTTCCATGTTCAAGCCTCAGCAGGGTCTCGCTTGGCACCTAAAGGTTGACGTCAGTGTCACTGAGGCCAGACCTGGTTGTTCCGTCAAGTGGAAGGGGCTCCATGGAGGGCAACTATCTCCATTCAGTGAAGTTCATGTCTATCTTTGGGGGAAGCCCACATTGCAGTTCTTTTCCATCTTTGACTTGCATTTCTTCTCTCCTTCTCTAGCTACTTATTGTGGCATCCCTCCTGTCTGTATCCACACCTTTTCTCTTCTACCTTACAAATACGTATACACATGGCAGTGCATCACTGTAATTCTTGGCCTCATTGTAGGCCTTGTGGCTCTTTCCGATGTTGTCTAAGACTCATTAGCATTTCCCAGCTTAGCATTTTGCCTGCATCATCTGCTTCAGCCTTCAGCTTTTCTCTTCTGCATCAAGGCTGGTTACAAAACCGAAAGGGGGAATGAGGAAGCCCCATGGGTCTTGATGCATCCAGGGGAGAGGAAAGATAACAAGTGCTTCTGTGTGTGACAGGGACTATGCCAGTTGCTTTATAAATACCATGTTGCCATTGAATCATTCATTCTTGGTTGTCCATCCTCTATGTAGTATTGTTCTAGGAGGTGATTCTACAGCAAAAGACACAGCAGATATAAGCCCTGTCTTCATTGTTCTTAGGGTCTAGAAGTGGGGCATGTAATTAAGAAGAAATTACAGGTATACCAAATGTTATTCTGGAAGGAGCATAGGGTATTCTGAAAATCTTTTAAAGCAATTGAATTTAACCTGATTTAGGGTTCAGAGAAGCTGTTTCTGAGTAACAAAGACTTGAAGGATGAATATGACTTTTATTTCCTATGTAATCTCCACTTTCCTCTACAATGGGTAAAATATTCATGTCTGTTTGCAAGTGGGGGAGCTGAAGTTTAGTGAGGTAGGGGTAACATGCCCGGGCGCAGGTTGATAGTGACAGGGCCAGGACTCAGTCTCACGTTTGACTCCAGAATCTATGGGACTCTTCTCTCACATATCAGAAAGTCTTGACAAAGGAACTTACAGAGCAAAGGTAGACAGAAGGCTTCCTGGCAGAGCCCAGGTTCTGTTTGTTTAGAATTGGAAGCATCTCATAGAACATAGTATTGGGTTAGTGCCAAAGTTATTGTGGGTTTTGCCATTACTTTTAATTATTTTTGCACCAACCTAATACGTGGCGAATGCATGGACGTTGGAGAAAGGTTTTGATTCAAGTTCTATTTGGTGATTTTCACAGATTTGTAACTTCAGATGAGCCACTTTTCCTTCCCTATGGTGAAAATCTGTTGGACAGATTCAGATATATAATGCTGGTCTGGCGCACGTAGTACGTTATGTAAAAATAGCACATTGTGGCTGAATATGGTGGGTGGCTCATGTCTGTAATCCCAGCACTTTGGAAGGCTGAGGCAGGAGGATTGCTCGATCCCAGGAGTTTGAAACCAGCCTGGACAACACAGCAAAACCGCGTCTCTCCGAAAAATTTTAAAAAATTAGCCAGCCATGGTGGTGTATGCCTGTAGTTCCAACTACTTGGAGCCTGAGGTGGGAGGATTGCTTGAGCCCAAGAGGTCAAGGCTGCAGTGAGCTGTGATTGCACCAGTACTCTCCAGCCTGGGCAAAAGATAGAGACCCTGTCTCAAAAAAAGTGTGTGTATAGATATGAATATACACTGTATATATACATCCACATGCACATGCATGTACTCACGCACACACACACACACGCACACCCACCCACACACACATAGAAAGAGAGTGAAAACACATTTTTGGGTTGTAAGGAACAGAAGAAGGGATGAACCAGCCCAGGAAGCTCTCCTCTTTGGGAGAGACCATTTACTACTGATCATTTCTAGACTTTGGGCTAAGCACATTGGTGCTTGAAAAGAGAGAAGCATCCCTGGGTTTTCAGCCAGGCGGCCACAGATGTGAACAATAGAGAACTCAGCTCACGTGCCCAGTGGGAAGAAGACAATTGCTCCCCAAACACAGCTGCCTCTTTCTCAATTGGACCCAACTTGGCCAGATAATGGAAACACAGAAAACAAGGCATGGGGAAAACGAGCTGTTTATGTTTAAACATGGCAACGGAGCCTCAACACTGAGCCTTCTTGGATGGCTTCCGCGTGTCATCGTGCAGCCCGTGTGGCTGCTGGGCCCAGCCTATGGATTTGCAAGGCTGTGCTGGAGCCCATCTGTCAGGGAGGGATAGATGATTAATAGCATCTGTTCTAGTCATCCACTCTCCTTGTGGATGGTATGTGGAGACATGCTGCTCCTCTCCATTCTCCTCTGGCAGCTCCTGGAAGTTGCAGCAGACATTGCTTTGAAATAAAGATGAGGGGCACAGAGCTCCTCCTGCTGGATGTGGTTTGGGGTAATGAGCTCTCATTTGGGGGAACATAATTTTCTGGGTTATGAAGACTCAATGGGCTAAGTCTTTTGTCTATAATTAGGTTATTAGAGGGATCATTTAAAAAAAGAAGGCATCGCATGTTCTCAGTCATAAGTGGAAGTTGAATAATGAGAACACATGGACATGGTGATCGGGAGGGAACGTCGCACACCAGGGCCTGCTGGGGCATTGAGGGGCAGGGGGAGGGAGAGCATTAGGACAAATACCTAATTCAAGCAGGGCTTAAAACCTAGATGATGGGTTGATAGGTGTAGCAAACCACCATGGCACATGTATACCTATGCGACAAACCTGCACGTTCTGGTATTCCAGAACTTAAAGTGAAATAAAAAAAAAAAATAAAGGAAAACATCACACCTTTTTACCCACCCATTTGTGTATCCATTCATCTATACTTGCATCTATCACTTATTAAGGTAACTTTTATGAAACATTTATTGTGTAGCTGCCCATATATGTGTGTGTGTGATATTACATATCATTTAGGAAGTTAAGAGAGCAGACTCAATCTCACATCTCCCTCTCACTAGCTGTGTGACCTTGAGCAAGTCACTCAACCTCTCTGAGATTCAGTTTTTCCATGTGCAAAATGCAGATAGCAATGAGTTGTTGTGAGGATTGAATGAGATTGTGCCTGGAAAGTGCTCAGAACATGCTGGGTGTGGTGGCTCATACCTGTAATCCCAGCACTTGGGGAGGCTGAAGCAGGAAGATCACTGGAGGCCAGGAGTCTGAGGCCAGCCTGGCCAATGTGACAAAACCTCATCTCTACTAAAAATACAAAAAACTAGCCAGTTGTGGCAGCACATGCCTGCAATTCCACCTACTTAGGAAGCTAAAGCACGAGAATCCCTTGAACCTGGGAGACAAAGGTTGCAGTGATCCGAGATTGTACCACTGTATTCCAGCCTGGGCAACAGAGCAAGACTCCACCTCAAAAAAAAAAAGTGCTCAGAACAGTGCCTGGGCACATAGTACTATTCAATAAATGTTGGTGATTGACTTTTATATTTGTACATTGATGAACCAACCTGAGGTAGCAAGTATGACTCTCTGTCCACAAACAGGTGTGAAGTAAATATCTCAGTTTTCCTTTTTCTTTTAGAAAATCAACTAAAACCGGTCTCCAATTCTGCATCTTCCCAGGCTGGTGGGAAGTTCTTGCTCAGTCATTATGGAGGGCAAGGTCAAACGGACAGAAGGGGAAGACCCAGAAGTTGAACCCAGGCCTCTGATGTTGGTTACTATGACAGCTTCTCTTGCTCTATCTTTCTAAAAGACCAGAGATACCAATTCTCTTGAGGCTGTTGAGTATCACTAGAGAATAGGTAGTTCTGCAAAGAATATGTCCTCCTATGAGAAGGCAAGTTTCCAGTGTGAAATCCACCTGCATATTCACATTTTAGTTAAACTGAGTTTTGTGTTTTGGGTAGTAAGGGCTAGTAAGAGATAGTCAAAGAATTCTTAGGGGAAAATGAATGCACTTTCTATGGGTCCCTGTTTACAGTAGATAAATGGGCATGTAGGTAAATGTGCTTACGAGTGATTAGGAGTGAAGGATAGACTGCCTACGACTCGCCTGCCTCCCTCATGTTGCTTTGATTTGAAGTCAAGTTTGAAAGAAATTCACCGGACCAATCCATATTAAACATTTATGAATGAGACACTAGATTAACTTCTATGGATACAGCAGAGAATGACACAGGCATATTCCCTGCGCTCATGGAATAAACATGTCGTGTTAGTAGAGCTTGTTATAGGGTCCTTCTATCAAGTCTGAAAAACACATTTCTCTGAATTCAGAAGGTGAGTAGCAGTTAGCTAGGGGAAGAGTGTTCCAGATGGAGGAAATTGCATGTGGAAAGGCTTGGTGGTGAAGCAAACACTGTGTTCTGGAGGAACGTGTAAAAGTCTTATGAAGATGGATTATGGGTATGAGGGGTGCAAAGAGAGATGAAGTGAGGGAGGCAGGTCTTCAGGACCAAGATTGTTAAAGAGCTTTGCTTTTATTCCATGAGCCGAAATGTGTTCTATGTCAGATGCTCATGGTGGAGCACCGTGGGGCTCTGTGTGTGTACATATTTCAGCTGCTCAGCATCTGAACCCTTTTGTGTATTTAGGGATTCACTATTGTGTTGGTGTCGATGAATGTCAGGAATATTAAAAATACCAGATACTCATTCCTCTCCTCACCTCTGCTTTCCTTTCTTCTCTTCTGGGCAATTTGGTGCAGCCTGATGCTTCCTTCTGGGACACTGGCTCTGGTTCCAGCAGCCCACAGATGCAGGGAGAGTTTAGAAATTGTTCTGAAGGAGCACCAGCCAGTCAGTGTCCTCTGAAGAGGGCAGTGCAGTCTGAATTAGACTGTTCTGTGGTGTCATCTGGGTTTAGCGGCTGGTCTTGTTCTTAAGCCTCTGTTGCAATTTGTTGAACAAACAAGTATTCGTCCCAAGAACTCCTTTTCTTTTGAAAGAAATTCCTGCCAGTTTCTATTGTTCTTAAACAAGAACCCTAATCAATATAGAAAGTAAATAGATTTAGGGCATATGTGCAAGCGGGTAGGGCAAGGTCTTCATGATGATCTTTTGAGTATTTCAAGTTAGAACCCGGTTCCTAAGCTCAGTGAGCCTTGTCCATGGTGCTGGATGGTTACGTGGTTAATCATTGCTTCCTCTGGGTGCTTGAGCCCGTCCCACAGGAATCTATTATGCGGCGTAGGCAAGTGAGAACCTCAGCTGAGGTCTCTGCTCTTCCTCCAGTGTTTCTCACTTCCCATTGTCTTTGGACAAATGGTACATGGAGTTTGTCGACATTTGTGTTTCCAGATGAAGGTGGTGGCATTGTGTGTAGAGTGGTGGCTGCTAAAATTCACTTTGAGTCAACCCGCTGTTCTAGCACGTTAAATTTGCTACTCAATGCTCACTCTTCTCATTCTTATTTGTAGACCCAGCTCATGGGTAAGGATGGACAGATTCACGGAAGAAGAGCGATGGCTTAATTAATGGTAATGCGGAGGATGTAGGTACCTCAGTGATTGGGGCTACATGTATGCAGAATTGGATGGAAGGCTAAGATGCAAAATGGGATAATTGAACTGTTAGCTGAACTGGAATTTAGCAGTTAATCACTTTTATGAAACCTGCATCTCAATTCATTACTCCATTTATGCCTTGTTGCAATACATAGCTGTTCAGCTAATTGGCAAAGAGAAACCAGGCAGAGTACCCTGGAAAGGGCAAGGCTATTGAAAGTACTGTGATCTTTTCTGCAAGGGCGCATCTTCATTTAATCCAACCAGGAGTTTTCTGTTCATCTGAACCTCATGCTTCTCTTAAGGTGAGCACTAAATAATATGCTAAAGTCATGCTGTTACATCCGAAGTTGTATGACTGACCACCAATTCTCTCTCTTTTTTTTTTTTAAAAAACAATTTAAGTTCTGGGATACAAGTACAGAATGTACAGGTTTGTTATATAGGTATACATGTGCCATGGTGGTTTGCTGCACCTATCAACCCATCATCTAGGTTTTAAGCCCTGCCTGCATTAGGTATTTGTCCTGAGGCTCTCCCTCCCCTTGTCCCCCACCCCCCGACAGGTCCCGGTGTGTGGCGTTCCCCTCCCTGTGTCCATGTGTTCTCATTGTTCAACTCCCACTTATGAGTGAGAACATGCAGTGTCTGGTTTTCTGTTCCTGTGTTAGTTTGCTGAGAATGATTGACCATCAATTCTCTTTCATGAAGTCCTCTACCCAATTATTACCTGGTAATGAACTTTTTAGTATGGTGATTAAAATAATGGGCTTTGGCAACACAGCCATCCAGATTTGAAATTGGACTCTACCACACGTTTTCTGGGTGACATTGCATAAGCTCCTTCTCTCCAAATTTCTGTCTCCTTTATAATTAACTTAAGGGAGTTGTAGTGAGGCTTATATTAAAGTACAGTTCATAGTGAGCAAAATGTTTAGTCTGGTGCCTAGTGTTTAGTCTGTGTTCTATTCATGCTTCCTGTCATTGCTCTCTTTCACCTAGGAAACATATATTGTTTTAAGAAAAGGAGGAACAAAGGAATATCTCCCTATGAGTGTGTTGAATCAGAGATAAAAAATGGAAATGGCTGTTAGAGTTGGGGCTCGATTGATTTAATGGACAGAAGTTTATCAACAAAGGCGTCAGAAGAGGGACATCATGAGACTGGCAGAGGAGAAGGAAGATATGTGTGGGGGGTAAAGGTACAAAAACACATGAGCTGTGCTTGCAGGGGCATTGCTGCAGGACACCATGAAACCTTTCACGATTTGGGTGCAGTGTGGCTTAATGAAAATGGGAGCTCAGTCTGGCGGAGATTTGTTTGTTTTGCTTGATGGAGGAATAAGAAGGTCTCACCTGAAAAAAATCTTCACTTTGCGGCCAAGTCCATTGAACCCTAATGTCCTGTTTAATTTCAGATCTCTCTTTTCACGGATATGGATCCATGGGGGCTGAGGCAGGCACATATCTGAGTAAGGGACTCCACTGTATACCTGGAATTGCTCTTCCTCTTTAAAGACTGAGACTCCCAGTGAGTCAAGCTATTAGGTTTCTGGTTCCCTTGCAGATAGACTTGGAGTACATGTCACATGGGAGTCTCTAGACTTCAGTAGACAGACCTGTTGGAGGCATGGATTTAGCAGTCATAAGTAGAAGTGGCTGTTAAAGTCAGCGGAGTGAAGGAGAAATAGTTGAGAGGGAAGAAAAAGTAGTCTGAGGTCTTAACCTTGGAGAATGCCAAACTTTAGGGGCCAGCAAAGGCACTAAAAACATCTTTACACTCCGGGTGAAGCTGCCTATGATAAGATGGTTTACTATTCATTCTCATCCTCAACAAATACTTGCTGAGAACCTCTATGTCCCAGGCATAGTTCTAAATGCTAGACATAGAGTAATGAACAAGACGTGCAAGTTCCTTGCCCTATAGAGCTTGTATTTGTGTGTGTGTGTGTGTGTGCTTGGTTGGGGGGCAGGGGTGCAGCAGCTATAAAATTAGCAACTATAAAAAGACCAACTTGAGATGTTTTAAGTGCCATAAAAGAAAGAAGGTAAAATGATGAGTTTCTAGGGAGAATCTCTTAGATAAGATGGCCAGAAAAGACCACCCCATGAGGTAATATATATATATATATTTTGAGATGGAGTCTCGCTCTGTCACCCAGTCTGGAGTGCAGTGGTGCGATCTCGGCTCACTGCAAGCTCCACCTCCTGGGTTCATGCCATTCTCATGCCTCAGCCTCCCGAGTAGCTGGGATCACAGGTGCCTGCCACCATGCCTGGCTAATTTTTTTTTTTTTTTTTGTATTTTTGGTAGAGACGGGGTTTCACCATGTTAGCCAGGATGGTCTCGATCTCCTGACCTTGTGATCCACCCGCCTCGGCCTCCCAAAGTGTTGGGATTACAGGCATGAGCTACCGTGCCCAGCTTTTTTCTTTTTTTTTTTTTTTTGAGGTGGAGTTTCTCTCTTGTTGTCCAGCCTGGAGTGCAATGGTGTGATCTCAGCTCACTGCAACCTCCCCATCCCCGGTTCAAGTGATTCTCCTGCCTCAGCCTCTGGAGTAGCTGGGATTACAGGCACGTGCAACCATGCCCAGCTAATTTTTTTTTGCATTTTTAGTAGAGACGGACTTTCTCCATGTTGGTCAGGCTGGACTCGAACTCCCGACCTCAGGTGATCCACCCACCTCAGCCTCCCAAGGTGCTGGGATTACAAGCTTGAGCCACTGTGCCCGGCCGGTAAGATTTTATCTGAGACCTGTAGGATAAAATTGACGTAATGCAAAGAACGAGAAGGGGATATTTCAGGCATTTTTAACAACATGTGCAAAGGCCTTGAGGTGGATTAAGCTAAAGTGTCTGAGATATTAATATACGGGAGTGGGGGAGGGAGAGAGAGGGACTGACCTGGCTGAAGAAGAGTGAATATGAGTGGTCTGAGATGAATCTGGAAGGAGTAGAATCTTGAAGACCATTGTAAGCAGTCTGACTATTTTTCTTGGAGTATTGGGATACAGTAACACATCTCCCCCTTGTTGAAATGCGTAATATATATATGAGCCTGGGGTTGATATTAGAATGCTCTGCACCTCCTAGGTCTCTGGGGCTGTGATACATTCACTTATGTAGGACAGCATTACAGTTGGGTTTCAGATTGCCGTTTCATGTCGGGCACTGGGGTAAATGACACCAAAAGCTATTAATGTAAATTAATGATTGCTCCTGCTGGCTTTGTTACAGTTTGCTCCAATGAGAGATTAATAAATGCATCATGCCTTGCAAATTTGCATCCATTAAAAGCCTTCCCATTGTGGGAGCACCATTAATCCCCTTTGTGGTGGGGTGGGAGTGGGTCTGAAGAACTTTTTTAAAAATTGCACAGCTGTGAAACCTAGTATTTAATATAAACTGGTTAAAATGTGGTAATCGATGGAAAGACACCTGGAAAAAGAGGGTCACTCTACAATTTATCAGGTGGTGCTAGAGATAAGCATCATACAATTTGACAATCGGTCCGTCTAGGTTTCTAAGCCATGTATTACTTTCGGTGGAAGAGATGACCATTTGTTAATCCCTGGTTTGTGCCAGGACATTTCATTAGTGTGATTACTTTAAATCCTTGTGAACCTGGGAGGAAGGAATTATCCCCATTGTACAGATCATGCAACTGAGTTTCATAATAGATAAGCAATTGGCCCAAAGTCTCAAAGCTGAGAACAGGAAAAGCTCAGGTTTTATCCAAGGTTGTCCGAGTCTAACAACACTATGTTGAAAGAGAGGTGTCTTCATCCTTGGCAGCCACACATTGAATTCATGGAAGAGCTTGAGAGGTCCTTGAATTTTCCTCACCAGAACTGGCAGTCTGATATGTGAAATGTATTGCTACTTTCTCTTTAAAAGTGAGAACTGCACATTTTAAAGACTGGCTGCCATGAAACAGCTGTGGAAGTGCAGACCCCAAAGCTCCCAGGGTCTAGTGTGAGTCCTGGCTCTGCCTCTTGCTTGAATTGATACTTCAGGACAATTCTTTAACCTCTCTGAACCTTTGTTCATTCACTTACAGAATGGGGAGAATCAGAGTGTCCACCTTTTAGGGTTATAGTAAGGATTTACTGAGATAAAGACTGGACAATGCTTTGTTTTTGCTAAGGTCTTGCCCTCTAGGGCTTGTATTTGTGTGTGTGTTGGGGGTGGAGGTGGAGGTGGGGGGTGGGGGCGCCAGATCCTTGGCCAAGTCTCTCAACCTTAGATGCAAAGCTGTGGCACTTGGGAAGCCTTCGAAAAATAGTAATGTGCAGGTCTTACCCAAGAGATTCTGACTTCCTTGCCAATGCCCAGGTTTAACCCCAGAGCATTTGTAACCTCCCTTAGGTGAGAACCACTGCTTTTGATTGGCTGTTGTGATGGTCAATACTGAGTGTCAACTTGATTGGATTGAGGCATACAAAGTATTAGTCCTGGGTGTGTCTCTGTGGGTGTCGCCAAAAGAGATGAACATTTGAGTCAGTGGGCTGGGAACGCAGATCCACCCTGAATCTGGTGGGTACAGTTTAATCAGCTTCCAGTGCATATAAAGCAGGCAGAAAAACCTGAAAAGGAGAGATGGGCCTAGCTTCCAAGCCCACATCTTTCTCCCATGCTGGATGCCTCCTGCCCTTGAACATCAGACTCCAAGTTCTTTAGTTCTGGGACTTGGACTGTCTCTCCTTGCTCCTCAGCTTACACACGGCCTATTGTGGTCTTGTGATCATGTAAGTTAATACTTAATAAAGTCCCCTTTACGTGTATGTGTGTGTATATATAATATATAATATATATACTGTATTATTTATATTATATGTTTTATATATTATATACAACATATAATTTAATGTATATTATATGTAAATTATGTATTACATACAGATACCTATATGTATGTAAAATTGCCTAAGGTCTTCCCCTAAATCCGTCAGCCCAATATGAGCTTGAGTGCCTTACTTGATTTTGACATATTATCCCAAGGTATTCTCTGATGGTCAAGTGGCTCATTCATTCAGTTATCACAGCGTAGGAGAATGCAGATGCATTATTAGCTTTTAAAAAGATGTAACTGGTGATTAAAAAAATTAAATTGAACTTTATAGGTTTTCTCACATAAAGTAACCCATTTCTTTTTTGTGTGAAAAGGTGAGCTCTTGGCTCAAGCTAAGGCCATCTCATCCTATATCTAAAAAGGATATCCCTGGAGGTGGGGAGAGGATGGCGCCCTCTTCGAGGGCTGACAGGATTGTAGGTTGGTATGCTCTCTTTGCAGAACAAGTTGGCAGACAGAATCTAACAGATTTGAACTAATAGGATATATATCTATATCCTATGAGTTCTGTCCCTGTAAGAGAACCCTGACTAATACAGCTGTGGAATTCAAAGGTCATGAGATGGATGTCTCTGCTTCACCAGACATGACCTAGTTGGGACAAATGAGTGACGCCACAATGCTCTGCAACTCCCACGTGGCACCAGCTCTCCT
Source organism: Homo sapiens (assembly GCF_000001405.40). NCBI lineage: Eukaryota > Metazoa > Chordata > Mammalia > Primates > Hominidae > Homo > Homo sapiens. The sequence continues at coordinate 5,684,464 of NC_000016.10, forward strand.
CTGTAGAGCCACTGACTGTTCCTTGTGTAGGTTTGTGTGTGTGTCTGTTTTCTAGGATTAGCCTCACACAAACACCTACATTTCTCTTGGTTCCCTCAAGCTTTCCAAGGACGGACACTTGTTTATAAAATGACCCCACGGTTAATAAAGTAACTTCTTGATGCGTTTTAAATGGGACCCAAAGTTTGGAATGATTCAGCCTTTTCATCAGCTTCTCCCTCAGCAGGGAGCCGTTGAAGCTATCAAACGATATTGCAAATACATCACCGCCTACTGTAATGAAGTGCATCCAAATAAATGCTTGGCTGGTATATCTGGAGCCCTGTCCTGAGCTGTGTATCTCTACTTTAGGGTTGCTTGGGGGTATTTGGTTTCCTGCGTTATGATGTGAATGGGTATTTAAAATATTTTTGTAGAATGCTGCACTTGAGTTCCAGGCATCAGGGAGCTCTCCAGCGTATGAGACACAGTTTATATTATCTCCCAGGCACAGATAGATAAAGTCACTAATGAAGTTGGGGCATCCAGCCTGATGGTTGGTTTTGTTAGGATCTGGTGTAAAGTGCATGCGATAGAAGCGGTTGTGATTCTCTTCCCAGCTGAGATGAATTGGTCTCATAAGCAGACATGAAAAAAGGAGAAAAGAAGCAAGGGTGTTACTGGCTTCAGCAAGATCAGCAGGAACTGGAACTGTGTAAGTTGGAGAACTATATATTACAGCTCCAAGAAGGAGATATCACCAACCTATTAAGGATATTATTGGCTTTTTTGATAGGACATCCAGAAATTGATGCACTGCCTTTGGTTCTGTTATGTTTTCAAACTTAATTAAGTTTATACCTCTCCCACCTGGACCTCATAAATAGTTAGCCTCCAAGTAAGTCATTTGTCATGGAGGGGCTCTTATGAGTAGATTCATCTTCCAAACAACATTATTATTGCCTAAGGTTTTGCCTTAAATCCATCAGCCTAATAGGAGCTTGAGTGCCTTACTTGATTTTGACATATTGTCCCAAGGTGTTCTTCTCTGATGGTCAAGTGGCTCATTCATTAAGTTATCACAGGGTTGGAGAATGCAGTTGCATTATTAGCTTTTAAAATGATGCAACTGTTGATTAAAGAAAATTAAATTGAACTTTGTAGGTTCTTTCATATAAGTTAATCCATTTCTTTTTTGTGTGAAAAGGTGAGCTGTTGGCTCAAGCTGAGGCCATCTCATCCTATATCTAAAAAGGATATCTCAGGAGGTGAGGAGAGGGTGGTGCCTCCTTCATGGGCTGACAGGATTGTAGGTTGGTATGCCCTCTTTGCAGAACAAGTTGGCAGACAGAACCTAACAGATCTGAAGATGTATGCTCCTAGTACATAGCAATTTCACCTTTAATTATGTGACTTGGACAAAATCTTTTACATATGCAGAAAGAGATGTTCATTGCAGCAATGTTTGTCATGCTGGACATTTGTAAATAACCTAGATGCCACTTAATGGGGACATGAATGAAGCAAAGGTGGTGTATTTCGTGATAGACTACTGTGCATCAGTCAGAAGGAATACAAGTAGGTCTCTTTTTAATTTGATACTGCATGTGGGTTCCCTGCATTAATATGGACAGGCTCAGAAACGATATTGAGTGATGAAAAGAAGATGGAGACTGGTATCTACGTTGGATGTTACTTGTGTGAATTTTTACTCAATGTACCAAGCAACATGGAATGTAGAAATGTATCAAGAGGAAGATACACACAGAGTTTGGCAGCTGCCTGGGGAAGGGGAACAGGTTGGGGTAAATGGAACTGGGCACTGTGGGGTTATGGAGGATGTTTAGTAATATCCGTGATGTTCTGTTTGTTTAAGGTCTAGAAATCATTGTGACAAAATATAATTTGTAGTTTTGGGTGGTTTGAATATTAGTATTTTCTCCATTATTTTTTGAGAATAGAAGAAAGACTTCCTGGGAATAGGAGGTAGAATATAGTCAGAGTCAAACCCAAAGCCTGCAGTGAAGGTAGCTGTTTCCTGTGCCTCCACTGAGAGATCCTGGCTTTGTCTATTCAGGTGGCCACTGAGGGATTTCTACTTAATCGTGGGTCTTCTTTCTTGACTTCTGATTATTCACTAAGATATTTGGTCTGGTGTTTGACTACTGCCTCCCCTAGAGGCCATATGAATTGATTTCTCTCTATATATTGATTTGACCCTCAGTACTTAGTATTGAGGGTAATATGGGAAAAAAATGCCTAACTCTCATAGTGGAAATTGCCGAAATATAGAATAGATGTTTAAATAACAAATGAAAGTATTTTTTCCAGTAGAAATTCCATTTGGCTATCAATTAGTCAGCAAAACTGCTTCTAGTTCTGACAGAAGTCATAAATTGTTGACTTTCATCTGGGGCTGAGAATAACTACTGTTGAAAAAGGAGGAGTCCAGGATTTAATGAGCCTGGATTTACTTCAGTTTAAGCTTCGAATACTTCATCTTTGTAGAAAATTCAGAAATAAGATGGATATCAAAGTCATTGCATTTTGGGTTGGGTACGGATACCCATGCTGCGTTGGGATCTATTGCAAGAAGGATTACTCACTCATATTGGCTAAGAATCAAATTAAGGAGTTAATATGAGCCAAATAAGCCTCTTTTCCTTATAAATTACCCTGTCTACTCTTTTATAGCAATGCAAAATGGACTAATAAACCCTCAGACTTCTCCCAGTACAGTGGAATAGGGGGAGACAATTAAGGTTGAATGTGATGTGTGCTTAATAGGAGTGGAACAGTAGGAGGAAAACCCAAGACTAGAAACTGTGGTGCCTTCATGATGTCCTGGTTTAGTGCAGTAGTGTGTGGACCGAGAGAGACAAAGGTGTGTAGAGTCGCCTGCTTACCACTCCCTCCCCACCAATTAGTGGGTAGCCAACTTTGGGCCCGTCCTTAAACTTTTTAGCTTCCTCCTCTGTAAAATAAGACACTGATATGTACATCTCACAACTGTTGGGAGTATTAAATTAGACAGCAAAGATAAAGAGTCATTCTGAAGCTATGTTCGAATGCTTTGATATCAATACATGATTAGGTGAGTGGAACCCATGTAAATAGTATCTTAAAGTTTCAGACTAAGTCTTTGGCCTCTCTGAAAGCCATTTTAGAGAAAGTCATTGTAGCGTCACCATGAAACCAGTATGCTCCTAGGGTGACCGACCATTCCAGTCTGCCTGATACTGTCTCAGCTTTAGCACTGGAAATCCCACACCTGGGAACCCCTTCATTCTCAGGAAAACTGGAAGAGTTAGCCTTTCAAATCTCCACTAATGGCTCTGCTGTCGGAGTCTGAAGTACCGGGTATGTATGGTCTCAATGTTAGGTGGACGTTTTATATTTTAAAAAGTTACATTTGTGGTTGGCATCCCCTGTGTACCAGCTTCATAAACAAAGCAGACTCTGCTCTACACCTTTAAGGAAATAGAATGTATACTGGGTTTGTTTTTCTCCTTAACTCACAGTTGTGTAATTTTTCTTCTCGTTCTCTGCAAGGGCCCAAGTTTTGGTAAAAAATATACTTTCAGAAATCAATACAAAATTTGATCCAACCAGGTCAAGCTCCCCAGCTGACCTAATCTTAACACATTGTGAAAAGTATTTCAATTTATTATACTCTTGTAGTTCTAAGGAGAAGCTGAAAAAATGGTGTTTAGGTATGACAGAAAAGGAGCTTGGAAGGCTAAATTTAGATTACACCTGAGTCACTTTGCTGCTAAGTAGAATTTCATAGAGGTGCATCTTTGCAATCTTTTTATGTGTTTGGCATGACAATTTATTTTGTTAGTCAGAAATGATCCTTAAGAAAAAAGCATTTTTTGCATTGCAACAAGAATTTTATATCAGTGAGAGCCATTTTGACTTACAGGCTACTGCTACTAATTTTCCTTAGCTAGGGATAATTTATGTCTGTACAAAGCTAGTTACCCTCATGTTGCCTGCAAGAATTCCTGAGTGCATTTTAGCCTCTTGAACGATGCATTTCCTATTTGTAAGAATACAGAGAGGTGGTTCTTGTACCTCCCAGATGTCCAGTGATGTTCCCTTTCCTCCTCAGCTCTGAGATACTGCAGTTGGTCTGGTCCCAACATGAACTGGATGGGTGATGGCCTGAACTGGATGGTTGAGGGCCTGAACTGGGTTACATTAAAGAGAAATTCATTACCTACCCAGAGTCTCACATGTAAATTAATGAGACATCTTGGGTGACATAATGGCAAAGACTGAATTAAAATAAGCTCAGACAAAAAGGAGAATTTATTGGAGAAATGTCAGGGCATTCCAAGTAACTTGAGAAAGTGGAATGGAGCCTCTAGGTCTTTAAGAAAACTAGAACTAGAGACTCAACGTTTGCCAGGACTCTCTTCTACTGCCTCTCATCTCTGCTTCTCCTGGTATTGAGTTTCAGTCTCTAGATTAACTATGGGGAATGTGGCCACTAACGCCAGGGGCACAGCCCTCACAGCTCTACCTACCAAATGTGAACCCATCTCTTCTCTTGGTTAAAAAAAGAAACAAAATCAAGGCAGGATTTTATTTTGACATCTTGTGTCACTTACCTAACTTTGAACCAATAAGCCAAGGTCGGGAGGCTTGGTTATGTAACACAAACATGGCACTTGGAGATTAAACTCTGGATGTCAAGGTCACGTCCAGAGAACTGGAATTGTGGGGAGGGCAGCCACACAGGTGGTGCTCAGTATGGCACTCATTAAGGATTGCTTATCAGCTCCATCACTTATGATTTTGAGGCTTTGAGCAAATCATTTACAAGTTACCTGCTGGTAATGTGGGTATCATAATGGTTACCTATCAAGGGTTGTTACACAGAGTTAGATAACATATATGCAGGGCATAGTACAGTGCCTGGGTTACAGGAAGCAATTGGTAAATGGTAACTATGATTGTGGGAGTTGTAAATTTGGTGATGAGGGTGGGGAAAGCGGAGGATAGGACTAGTTGCCTGCTCAAATTTCTGTGGAATCCTAAAGAAAGATTGTCTGGTATGTGGGAAATATTACACTGAACTGAATAGGAGGTCTTATGTGGCACACCAGGAAAGACTTTTTGGGACCTTAGAATATTTCTCTTTGTCCTCTGCAGAGACTGGAGACCTATCAGGACAAAGCATTTCTTAGGGAATTTCTGCGTTATGGTCACATTCACTTATTCAGTCATTCGTACATCAGATATATATTTTTGAACTGTATGTCCCAGGAACCTTTTAGGAACAAGGAATACAATAGAGAACAACAGGGACAAGATCTTTGGTCTTAGACCAATCATTTTAATAAGAAATACAGACCAAAAAAAAAAAGAAGGAACACATTTGTAAATAAGTTATGTATTATGGTAATCACAAGGAAGGGAATGAACTGTTTGACAGGGGAATGATGGAACAGGATAGTCTAGGAAGGTCTCTCTGAAGTATTGACCTGGAGACGTAGAGCATGGCCATGCAGAGAGACAGCAGGGGAGTGCTGCTTGCACATGGAACAGCAATTGCGTAAACTTTGCAGAGGAAAAGACCTGAGTGTGCTGGTGAAGCTGAAGGAGAGCTGGACAGTGGTCAGGGAGAGAGGAGTACGGCCTGAGAGGCCAGCGAGGTCATCCTGGTTAAGACGCCCCGGTTGGTTTTATTTTCCCTGAAAAGGAGTCTTGGTTTTCATGTAATGGTATCGCATACTTATCCAATGAAAGGGCATACATTGAAGACAGTCATCCATGAGCTCCACCTGAATGCATGTTATTGTCATCACAGTGTCATCAATGCCAACAAAGTGCTTCTGTATGATGGATTGCATCCTCTCCTGAAAGGAATACTCCTCAATGTAGAACTCCCAAAAGCCAGTGATGACCTTGAGAAGGATTTGGGCCACCGTCTACCCATATCTTGGGGCTCAGTGAATCTGTTTACAGCTCTACAAACAGGATAGCCACTACCTTCCCCACCATGTTAGGAGAACTGGACAAAATACTGCCCGTAACGCTCTTGGCATAACGCCTGGCATGATGGAGGCACTCAGTCCATACAACACTCACTTCTGTTGTGGCCAGTCTGCTTGAAAACAAACAAACAAACCTTTCCCATCAGATTTTGAGGGATTTGAGGGCAAGGACTCGATTTTACTTCCCTCTGAATTCCAAAATCTTAACGGAAGATTTAGTACATGACTGACATTAAATGAGTAATTTTCAAATGAATGGGTACAGAAAGGAAACTGACGTTGGGGTGAGGGGCGCGTATGTCTTTCTCTAAGAAGCTGTGTTCTCCTGAATTGGATTTGAAACCTGACCATGCCTAGGCTGAAGTTTCCTGATGAGTACAGAGTGTACTTCCATTGTTTTTACATGCCCAGTTTTTATTTCTACTTATGCCAACAAAACCCTGATTTGTTTGGGGGAACTGCTCATTCCCAGTAGGTGACAGTTTCAGAGAGACTGTAAAGTGGCCCCATATTTCCCAAGAAGGGAGAGCAGGTAATCCAGTGCAGCCCAATAATCCTCTTTACCCCAGAACAAAATTTTGAGTACAGTGACACAGAGATGGAAATAATATGAGCTTATTCACCCTGACTGTGGCTCTCTGAAGAGGCTGTCCAATAGGTCTAATTATTTGGATGCTTAGAGATAGTTGTTAAGTTTTCCCTTATGTTTTCTGAGCTCCTCAACATCTTTGTAATAAATTTTCTGTTTTGCATAATTTCCATCATTAGTTTCTGTTGCCTGCAAGCAAAGAACCCAGAGCAATTCAGGAGGATTGGGATATTAGTCATGAAGCAGAAACATTGTATGCGGTACATAAGACCCTGGGAAGCTGGTAGTCTCTGCCTGATCTGTGCTGATGCAAGATGTACTGGAGTGCTGCATAGAGCCATGCAGCTGGTCGACCATTTGTCCACTAGGGCAGTGTGTGCTCTTGGGATGGTACTGCTTGAATCAGTGGTTGAATATTTGTTAATTCAATGTTCATGGCAACTTTTAAAATATGTATATATTTGTGTGTGTGTACAGGTTGAGTATCCCTTACCCAAAATGCCTAGGACTAGAAGTTTTCAGATTTTGAATTTTTTCAAATTTTGGAATATTTTGCATTATACTTATCAGTTGAGCATCTCTAATCCAAAAATCTGAAATGCTCCAATGAGAGTCATGTTGGTGCTCAAGGAGTTTCAGATTTTGGGAAATTGTGGATGTCATGTTTTCAGATGAGGGATGCTCAACTTGTATATCTCAAGTAGCCTGTAATCTTAAATCCTGTAAACATTATCTTTTTTTTTATTTTACAAAAGAGGAAACGAGGTTCAGAAGTGCTTGATTTGTCTGAGACTGTCCCACAAATAGGTGCCAGAGTTGGGATTCAATCCCCATCCAGTTGGGATTCAAGCCAGAGCTTCTTGTACTCTCCTATACTGCCTTCCTCCACTTTGTGGTCATCTTGCTGTGAGACATGTAACACGAAGGCTGAGTGTCACATTCTTCACCTCTGCTAAGAATGTGCACATTTGGTAACTCTTTTTTTATTTTTTTTTGCCATTCTGTGTACATCCCCAAATGACTGGGAAAGTGTCATGGTTATTGATTTGAAGGTTATGGATAAACTGTAGTAACTTTAATAAACTAGGCAAATTCACAAATACCAAACCCATGCATAATAGGGACTGACTGTGTGTGTGTGTGTGTGTGTGTGTGTGTGTGTGTGTGTGTGTGTGTGTTTGTGTTTCACTGCTAGCAGATGCACAGAAGCTCCATTTGTTGGCTTTAAAGAAGCAAGATGCCATGTTGTGAGAAAACACTGTGGAAGAGGCAACAAGCCAAGGAACTGCAGGCAGCCTCTAGGAGATGAGAGTGGTCTCTGGCCAGTAGCCACCAAGAAAAAGCGGACCTCAGTCACACAGCTGCAAAAAGATGAGTTCTGCTAACCACTGGGGAAGACTTGAAGTGGATCTTTCCCAACTGAGACTCTGTGTATTACAGCTCCAAAGAGCGCCTGAGTTGCATCCTGGTGAAGACCCTGAGTAGAGAAAGTCCATTTCTGCTGTACCCGGTCTCCTAATGCAGCAAATTAGTGTTGTTTTAAGCTTCTGAGTTTGTGAAGATTTGTTATGCAGCAATAGAAAAGTAATGCAGGAGGTGAGTACGTACACACTCCTACGTAGGGACCAGAATCCCTGGCTGGGGAGCTCAGTGCCTCATCTAGTAGTTCTTTGTGTACTTGGTTTGTTGAGAATTCAAGCCAGCAAACCTGCCGGGATCATCAGGACACAGCCCACCGAACAAGAAAACGCACAGAGTCCAGGCAAGAGGGTTGTGCTCATCTGCAAGCCGAGTAAGAAAGAAGTGAGACCATACCTGGAAGGCAGGTTGAACAAAGAGGTATCAAAGGTGAAGACATGGCACATGCAGCTTAGCTGGGAGGACACAGGTAGGTACATTCTGAGACAGAAGCATTTAGACGGCTTTGCAAACATCTGGACTCACTACACAATTCACTATTTTTCCAGCTTCCCCCCAGCTCTGGATGTCAACTGAAGGTGTTTTAAGTATGGAAGTTTGTATCTTCCCGAGAAGGCAGTATTCTGGTTGCTATGGAAGAGAGCTGAGTGGACAGACGTGGGTGTGAGCATCCTGGTGTGAACTGTGAAGCACACAATCCTTCTGTTGCTTTCCCTTCCCTGAGATGATACATCTCTTCTCTCCTGCCCATGGGCCCTTTAACCCTCTCCTGACCTAACTTCATAAGTAGGAGATGAAAACTGTGGGTAATGAGGCTTGGAAACCATCCAAACTGTAGACCTTTGCATTAAAATAAAATGATTTTTAGTTTACAAATAGTATGACTATTTTAAAAGCATATATAGGCAGATCAAAAAAAAAACAAAAACAAAATATCTGAAACTCTGAATCAAAACACTGCAATGGATACGCCTGAGTAGGGCAAATGAGACCAATTTTATTTTATTTTGTTTTGCCTGTTCTTTTTTTTTCTTATACATAATACTTGTGGAACAAAAAAGGTTAAAAAACTCATTATATGTTGGGGGAAGGAGAAAATTCTTCCCTGCAGGTCAGGCCCTTCTTTCAATCATGCTGCTGTGGAGGGTGGGTGGTGATGGATTTCAGTGTGGGTGTTTGTGAAAGACGCAGCGAGAATCTTGGTTCCAGAACTTTTGATGCCAGTTAAATTAAATAATCTTAAATGTCACCTACAGTGACTTCCTCTTTCCCATTCTATCCAAGATCAAGCCTGGCTATGATTCTTTTTGCGTGGAATTCCTTCCTCTCCCTTCTTATAAGTAGGCAACTTCTCACTCCTCAAACTCAGCTCAAGTATTGTCTTTTTGTGACAGTTTTCCTGATCTAGAGAAGGTTGGGGTTCAGTGAGAGGACTGTCTTCTGGGCTGCCTCATTCCCCCACCTCGTCACAGGTGGCAATGGCCTTGTGTTACCCATTTTCCCCAGTTAGAGTAGACATCTTGTCTATCTTTTGCTAGCATCTAGCACACAGCTTCGGGGCATCAGAGTAAAGTACAGAGTAAGTGAGATAAATTTGAGCTCAGCTCTCATTTTGCCTCAGAGTTGAAAAGAAAGCCCAGCTGTGCTTGGCTCAGAAGTAACCCTAATAGGATGGGAATGAACATTGTGCTAAACCAAAATGTGTGGCCGGGGATTTTGCATTCTGCATTTTTCACAGCCTAACTGGGGTATGTGTGCAAGCCTGAGGGGTTTACCAGCCTGATTTACCAGCCTCAATTTCCAAGACTGTGATCCTTCATCTTGACACACTGCTAAAGTCATTTAATTATCACTGTTTTACCTTGTCATTATAGAGCTACTGTGATCCATTATTGAGGATTTTCAGGTTTTCTGCCTTCCGTCTACTTAGTGGGGCAGCAGTTGAGATTTCCTGAGTGATTTCGGTTCTGTAACTTCGTGAACACAACTTCTGAATGATACCCACTTGGTCTATGAAATCGGTAGGCATTTCTGGGGTGATTTGGAGGACCAGCTGGTCTTCAGTTTTACCAAGAGCTTAATGGTACCCAGCACTGCCTTGCTGTACTCTAGCTTTTCCTGTTCCACACTCTAAGATCACCACTGTGCTAGGGTTTGGGTTATGTCTGCCTGATGCAGTCCTTCCTGAGGGCTTTGCTCAGTCAATTGTTTCAAATGATACCTCTTAGGGAGACTGGCCCTGACTCCCGATTTAAAGTAGACCACTCACAGCCCCCAACCCCACTATCATCACACCATTCTGCTCTTCTGCTTGATTTTCCTTTTTTGGGGAGTTGGGTTTGTTTTTGTTTTTGTTTTTGTTTTGCTTGTGCAATTGGAGCGATGGGGAGATGGTAGAAGAGAACAGATTTTGGAGAGACAATGAAAGCAGGAATTCTGCTTTGAACAGTTTAGATATAAGATGTCTGTTAAGTAGTGTTTAGTTAGTAATGGTTGTGGAATTTAGAAAGGAGGTTGGATTAAAGGTGAGGGTCTGGAAGCTACAGAATATGGATGACATTTAAAACCATGCGACTTGAGATTACCAAGACACTGACAGTAATATATGTTTTTATTGATAAATTGGCAAATACAACAGTGTGTAAATGTCACCTGTAGTCCTACAACCTTGACATAAATTAGGGTGAGATATTTAGTGTATTTCCTTTCAGTTTTTTCACTAAGCATTTCAATTTTTATTTCACTTTGTTTTTAATTTTTTACTCTAATATTGAAATTTTCAAACATTCAAAAGTGGAGTGGATAATTTAAGAAGTCCCTGGGTACTCATCATCCAACTCAATAATCATTACATTTCTATATATCAGGGCAAATATTTTATAAGGAAAAGTTTTCTATGAAAGAGCCACAGCAATAAGAGCAAGCAGGATGGTAAATCGCTTAGAAATCACTGAGAATCTCTAAAAAACCACTCTTTTGTAGGTCCTAATTAAATAATGAAGCTAGGCAATCAGGATCCATAGCTATGAAAACCACTAGGTGAAAGGTGGATGGGGAATTTGATGATAGATGGATGGGATGATGCCAGTCAAAATAATTGGTCAATCTTAGGATTGCTAAAACTTGGAAAATCAGATGTTATGCACCTCCTTATGTGATGCAATCATCGGTAATAACAAGTACCACCACGACGTGGTTTGGCTGAAAAGAAAAGAAATTGCACCTTTGCACCCTTTGACCTATGCTTGGAATTAGGATGACTAAATCTAAGGATCTAGTGGACAGCACAGGACTTAATACTTGTAATACTTACTAGTTTTGTATACTGAACATTTAGATGCTCTTCTAAAGGAAAGGAGGTAACTATAGAATGTAATAGATATGTTAATTTGCTCACAGGTACTAATCATTCACTATGCATATATGTGTGGATCAGAACATCATGTTGTACCTCTTAAATATATGTAATAAAAAATCGATAAGAGAAGAATTTGCCCCTAAATCCAATCAACCTTCTAGATTTAATTACAGTTATAGGGAATATGAGGATTAGAGGAAAATGTCAAACACGGTTTTAGATTTGAATACAAATAGCTAAATCCAGAAAGTGGGAAATTCTGGTAGAAAATTACAGAGAAGAATATAGTGAACCTCCTGTAGTCACCTTTTAGCATTATTATGTTTTAATATTATTTTATATTTGCTTCAGAATTTGTAAATATTTTAAAATCCATGAAAGAGCTGATGCCTCTGGGTACCTTCTCCCATTTTCATTGTCTTCCTTAGCTGCCAGAACTATTATTCCCATAGGTATTTTCTAAATATTTATGAATCCATAGGCAAAACAAGGTATCTCATGCATCTGGGTTTTCACATGTAATGCCAGTTTATTCATTTTAACTTCTGTATAATATCTCCCTGTATGATTACAGCAGAATTTGTTAACCATTTTCCTACTGGTGGACATTCAGGTTATTTACATATTTTTACTTATTCAAGGCTGTAAGAAATAATTGTGAACTTGCTTCCTTGTGCTTTGACTAAATATGTAGGAATAAAATTATGTGATCCAAGGCTATGTGCGTTTTCAAATTTACCGCATATTTCTAAAACCATCTCCAGAATGCACTGAAGTCTTTACTATGCATAGTCCTTTGCACCTCTATGTGAATTTAAAGATCAGTGTATTAAAATTTGATGAAAATAATTATTATAATTTTGATATGAATTGCATGGAATTCAAATACTTGAGGAGAGTTTACATTCTTATGATATTGCCTTCCCATCTATGAATACAGTATGTCTTACCATTTTTGAAGACTTTCTTCATGTCTGTCTATAATCTGCATCTTTATATATTTGATTTATATATTTAAATTATGTATAAATTATCTATCTTACATATCTTCTCTGTTTCTTTCTGTACACATATATACTTACAGAGACATATATGTTTTTGTTTTGTTCTGTTTTTTGAGACCGAGTCTCATTCTCTTGCCCAGGCTGGAGTACAGTGGCACAGTCTTGACTCACTGCGTCCTCTGCCTCCTGGATTGAAGCAATTCTCATGCCTCAGCCTCCCGAGTAGGTGGGACTACAGGTGCAAATATTTCTAGATAAGTTAGAATTTTGTACTATGTGAAGGGGTAGTTTTTTCTCATATAATTTTGGATTGTTTATTTCTGGATATAATATTAATTTTTGCATGTTGATTATTATCCAGCAATCTTGCTAAACTCTAATAATCCTAATACTTTGGTTGTAGATCTTCTTAGATGTTCTATTAATGGTGTTCACGTCATTTGTCAAGACTGTTTTCGCTCTCTCTTTCCAACCTAAATAAATAAAGCATATACATCTCTATATAGGAAAAGTATATAATTTATAGATACATAAAACTCATATAATATGAATAATATGTAGCATATATGCTATCTATAATACATAGTGTTATATATAATAATATATGTTTATATATTATGTAGATGCCATATTTATTGCCTATTGCACGAGCTAGAGGACCAAGAGAACAATGATGAATAAAGGTAGTAGTTGTGGGCTTTTCTTTTCTTTTCTATTCTTTTTTTTTTTTTTTTGAGATAGAGTCTCGCTCTGTCACCCAGGCTGGAGTGCATTGGCATGACCTCAGCTCACTGCAACCTCTGCTTCCCAGGTTCAAGCGATTCTTCTGCCTCAGCCCTCCAAGTAGCTAGGACTACAGGTGTGCGCCACCACGCTCGGCTAATTTTTGTATTTTTAGTAGAGAAGGGTTATCTGCATATTGGCCAGGCTGGTCTCGAACTCCTGTCCTCATGATCTGCCTGCCTCAGCCTCCCAAAGTGGGGTTATTCTTTTTCCATCCCTGACATTAGTGGGAGTCCATCTATAGTTTCAACTTTAAGCATGATCTTTGCAATAGTCTTTGGTAGATAACCATAATAGGTTAAGAAAGTTCCCTACTGTACCAAGTTTGCTAAAGGCTTTTATAATGAGTAGGTATTAAGTTTTATGAAATGCCTGGTCTTCATAAATTGTTGTTATATGCTCTCCCCCTTAATCTTTTGATGTGGTGAATTACCTTAATAGGAGTTCTGGTTTTGAATCGTTATTGGATTTTTGGACTAAACATTATTTTATCATGATGTATTATTATTTTTAGACTCTGATGAATCCCATTGGAAACTGCTTTATTTGAGATTTTTACATCTGTGTTGATAAGTGAGAATGGTTTATAATTTTCTCTTCTTACACTGTTCTTGTTTGATTTTGTTACTAAGGTAATACTACCCCCAGTGAGTCATGACTTTCTTTTTATATTCACTGAAAAAAATTATATAAGGTAGAAAGTTATCTTTTCCTTGAAAATTTGGTAAAATTTACCTGTAATTTTTTGCTTTTGGGGTGTGTATATTAGATAGACAAGGCAACTTTGATCATTACTTCTATTTTATGGTTATTGGCTTATTGTAGTTTCCTTACTTTTTCTTGAGTCCATTTTGGTAATTTAAGTTTTTCTAGAAAACTGTACATGTAATATACTAGTTTTTGTTTTTTGTACAGAGCTGCTTTATAGTTTATTTTTTGATTGTAAAAATATATCTAAACAAAAATACTGTATGACCCAGCACTTCCACTCCTGAGTATACATTCAAAAGATTTAAAAACAGGTGTTCAAACAAAAACTTACAGATGAATGTCTGTAGCAATACTGTTCACCAGGGCCAAAAGTTGGAAGCAACCCAAATGTCTATTAACTGATTAATGAATAATCAAAACATGGTATGTCCATACAACATAAAGTCATTTGTTTATGAAAAGGAATGAGGTACTGAAATAGGCTACACCATGAATGAACCTTGAATACTTTGTTTTTAAAATTTTGTTTATTAAAGATTTTGTTATAGCTACATCAGCTTTATTTTGTGTAGCATCTGTATTGCAATGTCTTTGTTTTCCTATTTCTTTCTTTCCCATCCATCTGTGTAGCTTGGTTTTAGATATCTCTCTTATAAACAGCACCTGGTTGGATTTTTTTTTTTTTTTTTTTTTTGAGACAGAGTCTTGCTCTGTTGCCCGGGCTGGAATGCGATGGCATGATCTCGGCTCACTGCAACCTCCATCTCATGGATTCAAGTGATTCTCATGCCTCAGCCTCCCGAGCAGCTGGGTCTATAGGTGCATGCCACCACACCCAGCTAATTTTTGTATTTTTAGTAGAGATGAGGTTTCACCATATTGGCCAGGCTGGTCTTGAATTCCTGACCTCGTGATACATCTGCCTTGGCCTCCCTAAGGGATCTCGGTTTTCTATGCAGTTATATCACCTCAGTCTTTTAAAAAGTAAATTGAAGTATTTACATATATTGTGATATGGGTATATTTAGATTATTAAACTATATTTTCCCTTAATTTTCCTTTTTTTTTTTTTTCTCCTGCTCTTGGGTCAATAAAGTTTAGTTTATTTCTTCTATGTTCTACACTGGTTTGGAGACAGTAGATTGTTCTATTTTTAGTGCAGTGGTTCTTAACTGAAGGCAATTTTGCCCCCAAGAGGATGTTTTAGATAGAGAGTTTTGTACCATATGACTATTGCACTAATTGCCAAATGTCTGCTTGGGGGCAAAATTGCCTCCAGTTAAGAGACATTTTTGGTTGTCAGCTCTGGGTAGACATTTTTGGTTGTCAGCTCTGGGTTGGGGTGTGCTACTGGGATCTAGAGGATAGAATCCAACTATATTGCATCCTACAATGCACAGGACAGCTCTTCATTGTACAAAATTATCCTGCCCAAAATACCAACAATGCCAAGGTTGAGAAATCCTTCATGATAAGATGGCATGGATTTTAGCAGACATTATCTTTGTGTTCTGGTTTTATTATTTATTTATTTATTTTTAAGACGGAGTCTTGCTCTGTCGCCCAGGCTGGAGTGCAGTGGTGCGATCTCGGCTCACTGCAAGTTCTGCCTCCCGGGTTCACGCCATTCTCCTGCTCAGCCTCCTGAGTAGCTGGGACTACAGGCGCCCGCCACCACGCCCGGCTAATTTTTTGTATTTTTAGTAGAGACGGGGTTTTACCGTGTTAGCCAGGATGGTTTCGATCTCCTGACCTCATGATCTGCCCGCCTTGGCCTCCCAAAGTGCTGGGATTACAGGCGTGAGCCACCATGCCTGGCCAGTGTTCTGGTTTTATTAACTGAAATTTTAGTTTAATATTTTTTGAAATAGTTATTTGAAGTCAGCATTTAAAAAGAATGCAAACTATTCGATCAATTTTTGTGCTGAATTTATTATATGCCTCAGTATTCATTATCTTTATTCAAAAGCCCACTTTGACAGTTTTTTTTTTGGCAAGGGTTAGTGGGTGGTAATGTGTCCTGGTCTTTCTATATCTAAAAATATCTTTGTATTGCCTTCTCTCTGGAATCATAGCAGGTGGATCTAAAATATTAGATTCATAGTTGTTTCTCCTGTTATTCTATTGGCTCACGTTCCTCATGAAAGCGTTTCATGAAGTCTACGTGTCTTTCTTTATAGGCAATAATATTTTCTTCTATGTCAGCTTTTAAGATCTTTACAATTCTTTTGGTTATGCAGTTTCACTGTGGTGTATCTAGGTAGACATTTCATTGATCCTGGTTGGAACTCGCAGAGAAACAATGTGTTTTCAACTCTGGAAAATTCTCCATAATGATGTCTTCAATTTCTTCAGTTCTGTTATTGTTTTTGCCCGCTTCTGAGACTCCAATTAGATGCATGTTAGAGCTTCTCAATCCTTCTGGTTTATTACTTACCCTTCTTTTATTTTTGCCCTTCTTTAGTGCACTGTGGATGAATTCTTCAGTTATCCTTCCTATGATCTCAATTTGGGTCCCACACCCATCTGTGAACCAGTCATAGGCTGGCCAGTTGTAGGTCACATGTCCACTCCAGGAGCTGAGCATGCTGTGGTGTCACCCATAGTGTCTGAGAGTAAGAAAAGGATGGTTCTTGAAAGGTTAAGAGGAATGCTACTACTTCCAAAAGGTAGAATGACACTGGGTAGGCAAAAAGAGGAGATGTTCACTGCAAATATGCTGTGTTCTTGATCTAGATTTTTCTTCTTTTAATAGCCTCTCATCCCCATTTCTTCTTGCCCTGATGATACCAGAAAATGCCTGTTTATTGTTAAAGATCCTGGACCAAATAAATCAATCTTAAGTCTGTGTGATCTGTTTCTTGCATTGCATTATTGGCTAATTGCTGGCCTCCCCTGCCAGACTATGCTGTTTCAGCTTTGGAGACTGTTTCTTCATACTTGAAGCTAAAATACAGCATAACAGGTTATGAAGACCTTGAATTCCAATGTAATGCAAACAAATACAAAAGGAAATCATTTGAAAGTTTATTTTGCATGTAGAGTTAAGGGACTTCTTGGGAGAATATATTGTGATGCCTCAAGCTTGTCTCCAAGGAGTGCTCTCTAGCCAGCTTTGTAGAGATCACAGAGCTCCACCTTCCTCCATGTACAAAGGATGGAAGATTTTTTTTTTTTCTGGAATGCAGTAGCACCACCTCAGCTCACTGCTACCTATGCCTCCTGGGCTCAAGCCATTCTCTCCAGTGGCTGGGACTCCAGGCACACTGTACCACACCTGGCTAATATTTTTTGTATTTTTTTGTAGGGACAGAGTTTCGTCATGTTGCCCAGGCTGGTCTCAAACTTCTGGCCTAAAACAATCCGCCTGCCTTAGCCTCTCAAAATGCTGGGACTACAGGTGTGAGCCACCACATCTGGCCAAGGTGGAGGACCTTTGATGACCATCTTACCAGAGGCATTTTTTGTCCGTGGCATCCTTGAAAAATAGGTCATCTGGACGTTCATCAGGCCAGTTCAGCCTTCCTGGACCTTAGGTTTAAATGCCCATTTTGAATGGTCTTAACTTCGTAATTTATTTCTAGTAGAGGTTTTGCTAAATTCTTCCACACAGTATAAACTCTAGGAGAATGGAGACCTCTGTCTTGTTTCCTTCTGTTCTTTCAGTGTCTAGAAGAATGCCTGGTAGAAAGTAAGAGCTCAATAGACACGTGTTGATGGAGTGAAGAGAAATCTAGCCATAAGTAGCTATCAGTGAGAAGGAGGTGGGGAATTGGCTGGGAAGTCTTCTGTATTTATCCCATTCTCACACTGCTGTAAAGAACTACCTGAGACTGGGTAATTTATGAAGAAAAGAGGTTTCATTGACTCAGTTCCACAGGCTTAACAGGAGGCATGACTGGGAGACCTCAGGAAACTTACAATTATAGCAGAAGGTGAATGGGAAGCAAGCCCCTTCTTCACATGCCGGCAGGAGATAGAGCAAAAGGGGATGTGCCCCACACTTTTAAACCATCAGATCTCGTGAGAACTCACTCACTATCATGAGATAACAGCAAGGGAGAAATTCACCCCCATGATGCAGTCACCTCCCACCGTGTCCCTCCTTCAATTCGACATGAGATTTGAGTGGGGGCACAAATCCAAACCATATCACCTTGGTAATCAATTAGCTAGGCCAGCGAGGAAACTAAAGGATAATTGCTGTGCAGATGTCTGAGCATTCCAACAACTTTCCCCTAATAGCCCTGGAGAGGAACAAGGTTTGAGAGAGGATTTTATACTTCCCTGGTTGTTTTTGGACTTTGTTGAGGTCTGTTTTAACAATAAGCTTCTATAACCTCAATGAATGTTAACAGTCTATGAGTATCAATTGACCCATCTGTAAAATGGGGTTCATAGTGGTGTTGACCTCATAAAACCTTTGGGGAATAGATTGAGATGCATGAACATGCTGCTTGGGGGTTGGCAAGTAGTGATCTTTGCTGTGTGTGTTGTGGAACTAAGTTTAGTAAATGCTCATGTTTTTAGATAACACCCTCTATGCCCATATGAAAGGTCTTCTTGGTTGTGAATATGGGGAATAGGGGATACTTTCATCTTATTGTATCTGTTACTATGTGACGAATTTCAGGCCTCTGCATGTTACTATGTGACAAACATCATGTACATCATGATGTCTCTTAAAGCTTCCTTTCCATTGTGTCATCTGGTAAATAGTTACTAAATATGTCCTGTGTGCTGGAGTTGATGGTAGGCACTAAGAAGATGATGATGAAAAAGATGCCAGGTCTTTGCCCACATGGCATTTACAGTCTAAGGCATGAGAGAGATATGGAGCAAATGATCCTGTATAATTGCAACTTTGCTATGAAAGAGGGGCACAGGATACTTTGAGGTATTACAGGACACATAACACAGGGGCATGGAGCTGAGTATGGGGTAAGGGCATTGGGAAAAGGCTTTCTGGAGGATATGATATTTGAACCAAGGCTTTTTGAAAGATGTATAAGAATTGGCCATGCAAAGAGGGCAGGGAAGAGCTGCTGAGGGAGAGGAGCAAAGCCTCTAAATTGGGATGGAGTTTGGTTCACTGGAGGGTCGGCAGGTGGGTAGGAGAACTGGAGCCCAGAGGGCAAGCTGGGAGTGGCATGAGGCGAAGCCAGAGTACAAATATCACAGAGCATCCTCGTATATTCTTCCAAGGATTTTGGTCTCAATTCTTTGAGCCATGGAAGCCTATTTAAAGATTTTTAGTGCACAGATGTTTTAGTGCAGAGGTTAATGCAGAGACTCTGGAGTCAGGATGCTTGCATTTGGGTTTCAGCTCAGCCACTGAATAGGTTACTTAACTCTCTGAGCCCAGTTTTCTCATCCGTTAAATGGGGATAATGTCTTTATTGCATAATTTTTTTACAAGTGTCAAATGTGTGTGTATATATGTGTGTATATGTGCATGTGTATTTATGTGTGTGAGTATATATATATGTGTACATATTTAATATGCAACCCATGATGTAGGGATATTATTATCTACATGTTATAGATGATATGCAGTGTATGCATGGCTTACAAAGGTGCTTAGCATATTCAAAATTTTACAGAAATTTACACTAATCATTATGTGAACTATTGCCATGATTATTATGCCCAGGTTAAGCCCCCTCAAATCGTTACATGGTCGCTCAGATCTGTTCTACCTTCAGAGATTAGAGCAAGCTGAATGGTGCTCTTGGGTTGACCTGGTGAGGTTTCCAGGTTCTTATTACCCACCTTGAACTGCTTGTTGGGCCAGTACAGAAGACTTGGGGCACATCCACTGAGGACATGACAGCAAGAAGAGGGGAGGTCCCAAATGCAGAGACATTTAGTACCCAGATGGAGGAGGACAGGAATCACAGTTGCAGAAGCTGCTGGATAAAACAGTAATAATTTGGATAAAAGTTATGCAAAGAGAAGCCCCAGCCAAACTCCTCTGGAGGAACTCTGGAGCCTAATCCATCACTAGAAGGTAGAAATTAAGTACTCTCTGCTTATCTCTCAGAGAAGAGTAGCACACAGAGGGGCCCTGGGGGTCTGGGGGTCGCCACAACTCACAGGGAGTGGTGGGGTGTGATTTATTAGAATGTGCACAGCTCTGTTGGCTTTTTGTCCTTTGAGCAGTGCTGGGAGCCAACCAGGCCCAGCTACTTTGCATACTAATAAAGATTGGTGCATGTAATTATTCAGCAGTCACACCGTTATTCCTCGGAGATAAATCATCCCTGGTTTATTTACCCCTCTTCCCTCAAGTTATTTTAAGTTGCTTTAATGCACCGGATCTCAAGTTGAGTGGAAGTAGCCAACTACTTGGGTTTTTGACATTCTGAGGTGGCTAGGGTTTCATTTGGCTCATTTATATTTTGGGGGGCTCTCCCAGGACCCCTCAACTCCATCCTCAGCTTGGCCGGGTTACTATGTGTGCTCTGGCAGCACATATAATGACAGGGTGAGTTGGCCAGTGCCAGGACCCCCTTTGAGTTGTTAGGAACTTTTGGAAACATGGGGTAATTTGAATTAGGAATGAGACTTATCGGGCTTCTTACATCATGGGGATTTAACTACCCTCCTTCAACCAAAAAGTCATATGGGAATGAGGCAGTGGGAAAACCTGCTCATCTCCAAGGGCACATGTGTAGATCATCTCTTCCACCAGGAATCTCTCCCTCCAGCCCATTTTTGACCCACTGGTATCCATTTTGCAAAATCAAATATGTAACCACACATTGTATGTCATTGAGGAGTAGGCGAAATTATTATTAGTAAAGATAGGGTAAAATAAATCATTTGGTTCCTGCAACCTTTGATCTTTGTCCTTGAAGGCTATCTTCCTATCTTCCATCATGCTTCATATTCTTTCCATCAGCACCAAAACCAGCACCATCCATGTGCTAATGGATCTCTTAGGTTTGTTTTTATTTTTTTAGTTTTAGACAGGGTCTTGCTGTCTTGTCCAGGCTAGGGTGCAGTGGCATGATCCTTGATCACTGCAACCTCGAACTTCTGGGCTAAAGCTATCTTCCCACCTCAGCCTCCTGAGTAGCTGGGACTACAGGCATGCACCACCATGTACAGATAATTTTTTAATTTTTTGCGGAGAAGGGGTTCTCACTATATTGCCCAGGCTGGTTTCAAACTCATGGGCTCAAGCAAGGATCTCTCAGCTTTTAAACACCTCTGTAATCACGAGCGAAACATTGACATTAGTACACACAATTTGTTTTTTGGACTAACAGCAAACTAAGAAACATTCAAAGACAGAGAGGAGGCAACTAATAATCAATGTGGGACCATTAAGTGACTGAGCAATGAGGAGAGAAAGAGATGAGACCTGACTCATAGGACCTCTCATCATCCTAACAAGGGGATTATGGAAGCAAAGCAGGTGGGCTTTTAGGGATAACAAGATCACTCTGTCATTCTCCTGGGATACCGCATCTGTGTGCGAGGCCTCTTGGCTTTGCTTATTATCATATCCGTAGTGGCTAGAACAGTTCAGTGGAAACAAAATAGGTGCCTGATAGATGTTTCTCAGACACATGAACTGATCGTGTTGCTTTTTTTTCTGTCTTTTTTATTGAGACAGAGTCTTGCTCTGTTGCCCACGATGGAGTGCAGTGGTGTGCTCTCCATTCACTGCAACCTCTGCCTCCCAGGTTCAAGCAATTCTCTTGCGTCTGCCTCCTGAGGAGCTGGGATTATAGGTGCGTGCCACCATGCCTAGCTAATTTTTGTATTTTTAGTAGAGATGGGGTTTCACCATGTTGGCCAGGATGGTCTTGAACTCCTGACCTCAACTGATCTGCCAGCCTCGGCCTCCCAAAGTGCTGGGATTACAGGCGTGGGCCATGGCTCCCGGCCATGTTGCTTTTTTTCCTATGATTTTTGTCTTAGAACATTCCGAAAGTTACGAAAATGTGTACAGGTGAGGAATTTGGCCAGTTTAAACATGTTTCCTGATGTAGCATGTCTGGAAGATGAGAGTGGAAATACAGTTCCAAGCAAGCTGATTTCAAGGTGTCGATTGCCCCGAATCACCAAGCACTGCCTTGCTTCTTGTTTAGCAGGAAACCTGCCCTCTTATTTCCCTGGTGCTCCCCCGTCATTTATGCTGGGTGAGTCATGATGCAGAGAGGGTTGAAAACACGTCCTGGGTGGGAGAAAGTTAGTCATTAAAAATTTATCTTCTCTGGGAGTTTGTTTTTAAAACTTTGGACTAGAAAATGTGTACAGGAATGTTTGGCTTTTAATAATTAAATCTTGCATTGTTTTAATTTTCTCCAGAGTGTCTCTCTGGAGGAAAATAACGTTGCAATTCCAATATTTATGTCTTTCCTAAAGCACTGGTTGCCAAATGAAATGATTTTGGTATTTTTTTTCCTACGATGGTTGATGGTTGATTTGTCTCCGGGGGCACCCCTATGAATTTGCAGGAAGGACTTAATGTTCTGTGAGAGTGGGGAGGAATCACTGGGGCAGGGGGCAAGAGGGCATGGCTTTTTTTTTGGTGTAGGAGGATACAGGATTTAGGGTGGGGTTCCTCCAGCCCTAGCCTAAGCCCACTCTGTAGGTGGCCAGTATCTTACCTTCATACACAGTCCGTTTTCAGCAGGGAGAAGAAGCCAAGCGTCCTGCGTAAAAGCAATTATTTGTCTGAATGCTTGAGGCCATCTCTCTCTCTCCACCTCCAGCAGAGCACCCATCCAGGGGTGTCCAGACACAAACACATGAGAAACACCCAGCCAGCCAAGTCAGGATTTGGATTTTTCACGACTCTCCCATTCCCAGACAATACAAGCCTCATTAGTGGGGAGCTTCTCTTTGTGAGCCCATGAGTAGGACTCACACCTGTAACTATCTCTAATTCATCCAAGCCCTCTTTAAACAGAAAGAGGAAATGTGTGCAATTGGAATCTCTGGGCTTGGCTGCAGCTGTTTGGGAGAAAGAAAATTGCTTCTGTAATTTCTGCTTCTGCTGTGTTTGATTTTGTAAGTCAGTTCTTTAAGAGCCTCAAGGAAAAGGGTGTGCATTTTCTCAGAGCTGAAGTGTCTTGTGCTAGGAATGGGGGACATGAGTGCCTTGCTCATGAAGGCGGTTGGACCCAGATTGAGTTTAGTAACCACTAAAGATGCCAGGTCCTAATTGGATAGCTAACACCTATGTCTGCCATCTGCAAGGAACTCAGAGAATCATTGAGATAGGCAAATATCATGCCTTCCCCCAACACTCCAGCTATAAGTACAATATTTAAAGGCACAGTTTCCAGGGAAGATACAGCTGGCATCACGTGTGGCTATGAGGTTTGCTGGTGTTGCATCCTTGTTTGGAAACCTTAACTTCTATGAGCAGGAATAGCCTCATCTGTTAAATAGGAATGATACTAATACCTTATTGGGTTCCTTGGGGATTAGGAAAACCTGTGTAAAGGACATGGTGGAATACTTGCTGCTAAGACACTTGACAAAGATTTATTAGGAAGGAAGTAGAGTAGTAGTTAAGAATGCCATTGGAATCAGACAGACTTGGGTTCAGTTTCCAGCTCTGTACTTAATACTATTTGTAACTTTGAGGGTGGTATTTCTAAGCTTTAGTTTTCTATTCACTAGGTAGGGACCATAATACTCATCTCAGGTGAAATTTGGCAGTGTATTCAAAGGGTTCACCACATGGTTAATTATTGTTGTTGAAAGAGAGAATAAAAGAAGGAGGCTAGTTGCTGTCCATACCAAACAAGACGCTTGTTTCGTGGGCTCTTCCTGGAACCTCTTATTTTCTGAAAACCCGAAGTAGTCAGACTGGAACTGGATGAATACAGAGAGAAACACGTTATCTCATGAACTTGAACTTGTATGACTTCATTCATTCAGTTCAAGTAATTCTTGTATTCATTATAATTTTGCTTATTCATTTGGTAAATATGTATCAAGCAGATGAAGTATGAGGCACTGTCCTAGGTGTTAGAGATAAAGGACAAAAAGACATAGTCCTGCCTCTCAAATTCATTTTGAGCTTCCATATACATAGATTCCTTTGATAGTTCAATCAAAAACATGGTTTTTCTCTCAAGCAGTAGGGTGAGAGAGAATAATCTGTACAAACATTTAATTTATAATTTCAGGCTATTAGTAGATCCACCTGCGTCCAGCTGGATCTGTGTCTTCCATCTCTTTGATTTTTTGCGTATGTCATTTTTATGAAAACAGAATCCTGCTTTAAGCAGCTGACCCCCACCACCTCAACCATGTGTCTTCCAGTTTCCAGGAGCTGGCATGGTTCATAGATTCTCCCCCTAATATACAAACAGATACCTGTTTACTGCACAACACATGCCACCTACCATTGGTTGTTCCAGTGGTATATCTGGCACCGGCTTGGGCAATAAAAATCCATCTTGGGGATATTCAAACTGAGCCTGGGAGAGGGCCATTTTTCTCTGAAAGAAGTAGCTGTGAGATGAGGGGCTTGGGAGCTGCCATGGGCCACAATTTCTAACTTTTGGAAGAAACATGTCTGTCATTATTGAGAATAAACCCAATTGTCATAGAAGAGGAAAGACGAGAGTGAGAGCAAGAAGAGGAATGAAAACAAGAACAAGAAAGAGAGCAAGAGAGAACACGGGCCATGGCAGTGTTAGCATCTCTTGTTTAATTTGTTCTTGAGACCCAACCGAAATATTTCCCTACTCAGGATTTCGATATTCAACCCCATAATAGATCCCGTGAGTCATCACATTCTACTCTTGCCTAACCTTGCTAATGTTGAGTTTCTGTCTCTTGCAATCCAAAAACAGTCTTGATGAATACAGCATCTGTGGATCTGTTTCTGGGCTCCAGTGAGAGATAGATTAGAAAATGGGCTCTGATGGCTTTGTGTAATCAGTGCCATGGTAGAGAACACAGGATGCCAGGCAGCAAAGACGATGGGTGCATAATCAGGAATTCCACAAAGCTCTGTTCTGTTATTTTGGGAAGAGTAAGGAATGGTTCTTCTGTTCTTTGATCAGTGAGCATGTGCCTGAATATGACCTAATTGAAATGAACCCACCTGGCTTAGACAACTGGCAGAATAATGAGAATTTAAAACAGATTTTCGTGATGGCATGTTTTATCATTCATTTCCTTTCTCCTCCCAAAGTATCCTAGGGTAAGTCTTCAGCAAGACAAATGGATGATCTTGGCCTGTATGTGTCGATTATGACATTAATCCATCTCTCATTCTCCCAGGCCTCCTCCTGACACTTCCTGTTTAACAGCAAGCATCATTAGCTAGGTGTGTCAGGCACTTGTCTTGCTGCATTCTTACATAGGATAATATTGTCTTTTTCATTCAGGAGTTGAAATTCATCTGACACCTGGTATTCTATGGTATATATATATAAAGTTCATTCAATGAGATCTTTACACCAATATCTCCCATTTATGAAGCCACTGTAATCTACTGGGTGTTGTATCAGTTTCTTTATATATATATATATATATATATATATATATATATTTTTTTTTTTTTTTTTTTTTTTTTTTTTTTTTTACCATTTCCTTTATTCTTCACAACGGCCCCGTGAATTATGCATTATTGCCCTTGGCTTCAGATGAGCACCTGAGAGATGAGGATATCTATCCCAAAGGTGTTGGGTCTCTAACTCAGGCGCATTGGGTTCTACAGCCTGTACGCTGAAGGGTTTTGTGATTTTTAAGTGCCCATGTATCTTCAGCACCCGGGACAGCTCCTGAGTGGCTGGATAAGACATCCAGGTTATCTGAAGATGCATGTGAGAGATTATAAGCTCCCACGAAATTCCTACTCAGAGCCATGTGAGTTTAGAGCCAAGGGTTATATGACAGTGGATAGGGTCCTATTTTGTCACTTTGCAGATGTTGAAACTGAAGCAGCTAATTGTGGATCAGGTAACCCAATGTCACACAGCTTGTAAGGGCTAGAGCGAGGCTTGGCAACCATGCTTTTGTTTGTTGCTTTCACTGCGCTCTCTGTTAAATGTAGGGATGGCTGCCTTCTCCTGCTAGTGCCATTGACATGGGTCTCTTCATTTGCTGCTTGGTAGCCTTGCGCAGTTGCGGGCCTCCAAGAGGAGGGGAAGAGACTTTGCCGTGGCTGCTGCTGCTATGCTAACACAAGTCACAATGCTGCCCTAATTGTCTGTATTATGAGGATGGCAGGCCTGGCACATGGGTTCTCTCAAGGCAGCTTCCCAATTAATCTTTTCTTCTCTGATTAAGGCTCACGTCCTGTGATTGTTGTGGTTGGGGAGGGTTGGTGCACAGGATGTTTTAAAGAATTGCGTGCAGTGGAGTGAGTGAAGGAATTTGGGGTTAACCATGCTGACATTGTCTCAGACATGATCACTTTGTGGTCCGGAACATCTGAAGCAACATGGAGCCTATTACCGGCTCTGTGTCCCTGGGGACCCCTGGCGTTTTCTGGGCTTGTTGGCAGTGGTTGCATTTGTGTGCCAGGCAGGGCAAGAGCTGTTGTGGCTCTGCAAGACCTGGGGGAGCCAGAAAGGGATGACGGGTCCTCTTTGTCTTGGTATGAGCAAGGAAAACATTAGCTTATGCTGTGTGTTAAGTTTTCCTTCACCTATTAAAAACATATTTATTGCAAAACCATCCTAGATCAGTTCTTGTGCCTGACCCTAGGGTAAGTGGGAAGCACAAGGAGACATGCCTCTGGACTCCCAGGGTGTTTGATCTGGAAGGGGAGAGAGTGAATAATCAAATTATTGTAGTAATGATTGCATAATTGCAGACAAGAGAGATTCTCTGCAGGCATGGGACAGTTTATTAATTTGATGTAGTAAACACTTATATAGCACTTGCCCTGTGCATGCCATGATTCTAAATGCTTTCTAATAGTAACTCATTTAATCTGCAGAATAACCCTGTATGGTAAGTATTGGTATTAGTCATTGTTATCTACATTGCTCAGATAAGAAAATGGAGGCACAGAGAGGTTAAGTGGCCCAAGGTCACACAGCTAGTAAGTGGCAAAGCTTAGATCTATAACCATATAGTCTTATTTCAGAGTTCATGTCCTTAACCATTCAGGATACCACCTTTCAGCTGAGAAAATACACTGGAGAACTTTTTCTCTGTCTGGGGTTTGGACAGACAATGTCACTGTGAAGTGACAGTTGGGGTGCGATTCAAAGCAGGAGGAGGAAGAGGTAACGAAATAAAGAGCATTAGGTGGCAGGAACAGTGCAGGCAAAGGCCGTGGTCATAGGGAGCCTGGAAGATGTCCTGGGCAGCTTTGGGTGAGATGGGACTGGGGAGGTGAACTGGAACCAAATCTTAAAGGGCCTTGCATGCCTTATTAAGAATTTTTTGGTCTTTACTCTCAGGAAAATGGGAATTCAATAAAAGGTGGTAAGCAATCAGGTTTGCTTTTTGAGGAAAATTGCTGTAAATATGGAAATCCATGTGAATCTAAAGGACCCAGCACTTGACAGGCTGGAGACTTTCCAGAAAATGATGATGGTGATGACAAAAATAGTAACAGCCTCTATTTATTGAGTGCTTATTTAGGACCATTGACCTGCTATGCATTAGTTTGTTCTCACAGTGCTAAAAAGAAATATCCCAGACTGTGTAATTTATACATGAAAGAGGTTTAATTGACTCATAGTTCCTCATGGCTGGGAAGGCCTCAGGAAACTTACAATTATGATGGAAGGGAAAGCAGGCATGTCTTACATGGTGGCAGGCAAGAGAGAGAAGTGAAGGGGGAGGAGCCCTGTATAAAACCATTACATCTTGTGAGAGCTCACTCTCTATCATGAGAGCAGCATAGGCGAAAACTGCCCCCATGATCCAATCACCTTCCACCAGGTCCCTTCTTCAACACCTCAACACCTGGGGATTACCATTTGAGATGATATTTGAGTGGGGACACGAAGCCAAACCATATAATGCTAAATCCTTTATTAGCAATACCTCATTTAGTTTTCACAACCACCTTCTAGGAGATTAGAAATATTATATTTATTATGTAGACAAGTGCTCTAAGGCTTAGGGAATTTCAGCAGCTGGTTGGCATTACAGGCTGGCACCTGCCAGGACCAGTTATTGGGCTCAGATCTGATTCCAAAGGTTTGGCTTTCACGCATGCTGATGAATTCTTATCTCAAGAGCAGAGGGAAGAGTATGTGAGGCCTCTCAGAGAATGACTGTTAGCGGCTGGTGTTCTAGGGGCTTTTCATCATCTATGAGCTCACTTAATTCCCATAACAGGTAGGTGACTTATGTGTTATTTGTCCTCATGTGTAGTTTAGGAAATGGAAGTCCAGAGAAGTTGCCTGTGGTCACGTGGTTCATAAATAGCAGAGTCCAGATTTTAACAGAGTCCAGATTTTAACCCAGTTCATCCAGCTGCAAGGAAGCCAGTGGTTAGATGATCTGAAGAAATTTCCTGGCTCCCTCTGATCTGCATTCCTAGTTTTTAATGCTACTTCTTTTGCCACATACACTTGACTCCACCCAACTTCCACCCCCACTCCATTTCTGTGCTGCAGAGTTCACTCTGTTTTTAAATATTGACTAGTCATGTTTTTCCATGGAGATTGAACCCAGCTCCAAATGCTGTATCATGATTGGTCTCTGAGGACATCCTTGTAGTAGTACATGCTGGTGGTTAATTTGAGAATAGTGGATGAGACTTTAGCCAGTGAGAGGTAAGGAAAAGTCTGTTGGGTAGGGGATGTGCAGAAAGTTTTCCTTTCCTTTAAGCAAGCATCCAAAACTTTTCTCTAGTTGAATGAACCGACACTGAATGAACTTGCTTCTGGATTTCTTGTTCTGTGTAATCATACTGTCTTTTTATTTGCTTAAGCCATTTGGGGCTAATTTCTTTTGTTACTCGAGGCCAAAGGTACTTCAAATGACAGGCAGCCTTTTGGATTCATCCTCGGTAACCTTTGAGCGATGAGGGAGAGAGAAGGAGAAGGACAAGGAAGGGAGGAAGGGAGTCAGGGACTTAAGTACAGGAATGAGATTAAGGGGCGTTTAAGAGCTCTTCTTGCCATTTGAACCATAGAGATTGGTGAAACTTGTTCTTGTTTCATTGTTGCTGTTTTTGAAGTAAAATATTTCCCTGTCTGAGCTAATCTGGGCTTTGATCCCCAAATATCTCATCTTTGTTGACTCTTTGTTCCTAAGGAGGGTATCTGTCTCTCCAAAGGATGCCTCTTTTAAGGTTCTAAAAGCCCAAACTAGTTGATCTGGAAATGCCCGGATCTTTGATTCTTTAAAAAAGTACATTCTATAAGGAGCTATGAGGAATGCTGCCCACACAGCAGGTTATGATTTTGTAGATAAGTTCTTGCTCTATGTCATTGTGGTGTCTGGACGCACAAAGTGCCCACAGCATCACAGAGAGACTCATGCAAACTGCCCCCCTCCCTGGAACATTGGCTTGATTTTGCCCAAGTCGATAAGAGCTAGAACTCTGAGGGCTTGACCATGTAGACAGTGAAGTACAAAGACTCGATCTGCAGTGACCTTCTTGTTGGAAGTGAGGAGGAAGCCCAGATCATCTACGTTGCAATCTTCCAGTGACCTCTTTCTGGGAGACGTGGGAGATGTTCTAACAGAGCTCAAATCTGCTGAGCTTTTTGAGGTTTTAGGAAGCTCACTCACAGGGCTTGTTACCTAATTAGGAGGTAAAGAAAGGCAATAAAATATGAGCCTATGCACTCCATAAATTAGGAGCCGCCTTCAGTTCTCTTTGCACAGAAGAGCTAGGGACTATCTTGCATTTCCACCATATCTGTTTATAAACATACTTGGGATACCTTGCAGTGATAGCCTCATTCTTTACTCTTCTCTGCCTTTTGCCATGAGGGCTTGTTGTGCTCTCCCATTGTGAATCTGCACATAGTCATGTAACTTGCTTTGGCCAATGGCTCAAGGCAGAAATGATAATGTTCTGATTCTGAGCTCAGACCTCAAGAGGCTCTGCCTGTCTTCACCCATTGCCTTGAACTGCTCCCATCATGATGAGAAGAACTTCCCCATACCAATGACTGGTCACTGGAAATGGATACAGAGAACATGGAATAGAGACGTGCCCAGCTGAAGCTCGAAGAGACCACCCAAAAGCTGGCCAGCATCAGACATGTGAGCGAGCCCAGGTGCATAGGCAGAGGTATCTGGCCAACCTGGGTGGGACCTTAGATGTGTGAAAAATAAACCCTTACAATCGAATGTCACTGAGGTTGTGGTGTTTGTTATACAGCATTACTGTGGCAATAGGTAACAGATACAAGAAAGATGTGCTTAGTAACGGTTTTCATTTGTCATCTCTGCAAGAGTATAAACAGTTTGTGGGTAAGGAAATAACAAAAGCCATAATAATAGGAAGGATTGTAATACTGTATTGTGCATACCACACTGAGTGATTTATCACTATAATCATATCAGCCTCGTAAGGTAGAAACTATTATCGTCACTGCGTCACAGATGTGGGAACGGGGACTTAGAGGAGCAGTGAGCCAAGGTCACGTAGCTAGTAGACATCTCAGTGACTTCAGTGTCAAACACAGAGGCAAGCATAGAGTTGATGCTGAAATATCTGTTGGATGAATGAGTAACTATACTTCCAGTTGTGTTGAGTTGAATAAACCCGAAGCAGATTAAAGTAAAATGGTACATCTGCCTTAGGTGAACATAAATGAGAAGGATAACTTTTCCTGCTTCTCCAGTCTTTTGTTGACGCAGCCGCCTTGTTTAGCAAATGCTCAGTACCTTACATTTAGCCATTTTGCCTCATTCCTTGGTAATGCATTAACACTAACCATTAGATTATTGTTACAAACAAGATAATATACCCTGTTGTGTGTGTTTTTGAAACAACCCTATAAATCAGGTCTGCCTTATTTCGAAATCTAATTCAATTACAGAGAAGCTCTACCTTGTGGATGATTAAACTGTAAATTGTGGGTGTCCACTGGGCTCCTAGATTACTAATATGTTCCCTGCCATAACTCACCTCTGTCCCTACCATATATTGTCCACACTTACTCAAGGATGGGGACATTCAGTTGACATGCACCACATTGAAGGATATTTATGGTGTATCTCAAACTCGAAATATCTTCTTCAAGGAGATACACATACATCATGAAAACTCTTAAGATGTATTATGCTTCTCTAAGTGGAAAAGTCCAGTTGACTGATCTCTCTCTTTTTGTCTTGCCAGTGCTCAGGTATTGGGACATAGAATGATGAAATGTGACCTTTCTTGTTTTCTGCAAAAATAATCTCCGTGCTGTCTCTTCTAGGTCAAGGCATGAAGGCTAAAGGCTTGCCTTCTCCATGATGAGTTTCTCAGGAAAGCAAGCAATGTGCTGAGGTTGGGGGCAGCTTTGGGAGGTTTTGAGATGCCTGTGCTGGAATGAGAAGCCTGCGGCTGCGAGTAGGAGTACTGGCTACAAGGGCTTCCTTTTACTGGCCCAAAGCAAATAGCGAGAGAAGGGGGTTTAATTGCATTTACTGACTCCCTGCTCCCTTAACAAATATTTGTTGAGTGGTGCAGTGTGCCAAGGCCACTTAATAATCATCACAGCATAGTTGTATTTGTCTAATTCTTCACAGTTTTTAAAGTATCTAATAATTCTCTCATTTGCTCCCTATTTCAAAAAAACTCATGAAGTGGGCAAGGCAGGAATAAGGATAATATTTTAAAATCACCATTGATGATGTCTGGTATTAATTTAGCAAGTATTATACACCAGAGATTCCATTTCACATTTCACATGTGTTTTTTCATTTAAATTTCACGTAAACCTTTGGAAGCAGGTAGTAGTATCGGGCTCTTTTTATTTTTAAACTTTTATTTGGTTGGCGTGAAAGTAATTTTTTTCCATTAAAATCAGCGGCAAAAACTGCAGTTAATTTTGTACCAAGCTAATAAGTTCAGGGGTGCAAGTACAGGTTTGTTACACAGATAAACTTATGGGAGATTGTTGTACAGATTGTTTCATCCCCCAGGCATTAAGCCTACTAGTTATTTTTCCTGATCCTCTCCCTCCTCTCACCTTCCACCCTCCGACAGACCCCAGTGTCCATGTGTCCAACAATTGCATGAAAAAAACCTCAGCTTCGCTGATGATTAGAGAAATGCAAATCAAAACTGCAATTAGATACCATCTCACACCAGTCAGAGTGGTTATTATTAATAAGTCAAACAATAACAGATGTGGGCGAGGTTTGGAGAAAAAGGAACGCTTATATGCTGTTGGTAGGAGGATTGTAAATTAGTTCAGCCATCGTGCAAGACAGTGTGGCAATTCCTCAAAGGCCCAAAGACAGGAATACCACTCTGTCTTTAAAAAGAGAGCTGCAGTGAGCATAGGTGTCCATGTGTCTTTATAGTAAAATGATTTATATTCCTTTGGGTACATACCCAGAAATCCCATTGGAAACTGGAGCTCAAGGAAGCTCAGCGACTTGTCCCAGGTTGCATGACCATCAGTGGCAGATTTTGGATGCAAACCCAGGACTCTGCCCCTAAAATGTCCAAGCCTGTCATCCCTGGTCACCTGCCTCCCAGCACCGGAGCCTGGATTTGCTGACTTCTGATACAACTTTTCCCTTGACAGGATAATGAGTTCAAGGTTTCCTCCTGGCATAGGGAGCTGTATTAGCAGCAGAAAAAACTCTTAACTCCAGTGATTTCCCCTGTATTTTCCTGCTTGGCTGTCAGAAATTAGAAATTCTTGGAGGTGCTTTTCTGTCTGAGAAGGTCAGAGGGTCTGGTAGAAAGAGCTTAATTTTCAAGGACTTTCATGAATCCAGCAGAAAAGTCAAAGTTCAGTGTTATAATAATTTATAATCTCTTAATTTCTTATTATGGTTGTTTTCAAAAGGATTTTCTTGTGTGATACAGCCTCGTTGTTTCCTGTGAATTTATCTTTGCACTTCCACTTCCACTTTTACTTGATTATCTCAATAAGGCCATCTATCTTTTTTTCTTAATACAGATTTAAAAAAAAATGTTTACTTTCAATAGTTTTGGCGGTACAGGTGGTTTTTGGTTATATGGATAAGTTCTTTAATGGTAATTTCTGAGATTTTGGTGCACCCATCACCCAAGCAGTGTGCACTGTATCCAATATGTAGTCTTTTATCTCTCACCCCCTCCCACCCTTCACCCTTAGTCCCCAAAGTCCATTTTTCATTCTTATGCTTTTGTATCCTCATAGCTTAGCTCCCACTTATAAGTGCGAATATACGATATTTGGTTTTCCATTCCTCAGTTACTTCACTTAGAATAACTTAGAATAATGTCCTCCAGCTCCATCCAAGTTGCTGCAAAGGCCAGTATATCATTTCAACACAGCACTCTCTCTAATAATTGGGAGGGCTTCGGTAACTACCAATAACAATAATTCTTGTTTGCAAGAAGATTTGGTACTATTCGGAGGGCCTCCCATGATCAGCGATTTATTCGATCCTCACAACCACTATGTCAGATAGATAGGTATTTTTGACCATCTGTTTACAGATGAGAAATTGCAGGTCGAAGGTACTGAGCATCTTTATTTGAGGTACAGATATCTCTTTCTGTGGTCAGTTGAATGCTTGATCACAGTTCTTCACTCTTCTGGACAATGTTATGCATCTACACTTTCTCATGACCTCATGATGAGCAGAGTGGACTTCTTTGCCTCTTGACTTTGGTATTGGCCAGGTGACTTGCTCTGGACAATAGGGTGTCATCGAATACGATGCACACATAGGGCAAGCATTTCTTTACATAGGGGGCTTTCCTTCATGTGCCCCTGCCATTGTCATGATCCTCTTGAATAGCTGCTGTTCTTTAAGCTTGTGCTCAACAGATTCAGTCTATCTTAATAGACAGAGAACAAATCAAGTACATTTATTAAGAATCCATGTGGAGCTTGCATGAACCCAATGTGCAGTGAGAAGCACAACCAGACCTGAGGTTTGAAGCAGAGCTGCCCAGCTGAGCCCAGCCTAAGTCATCCAATCTCCACCTGACCCACAGACACATATGTGAGAATAAATGAGGGCTGAGTTAAGCCACTGAGTTTTGGTGTGGTTTGTTATGCAGGTGTTATTTTGATGATAGCTAACTGATAAACTCTCTTTAGATGTGAGCTCCATGAAGGCTGGGCTATTGTGAAATACAAGGCTTGGAAGAGAGAAAATCAAGTACAGTTATTAAATGCATGGGGCTTTGAATGACACATACTTAGATTTGATGCTATTTACAAACTGTGTTAAACTTTCTGGCCTGGCTGGACATGGTAGCTCATGCTTGTAAGCCCAGAACTTTGGGAGGCCAAGGCAGGTGGATCACCTGAAGTCAGGAGTTTGAGACCAGCCTGGCCGACATGGTGGAATCCCATCTCTAATAAAAGCTACAAAAATTAGCCGGGGCATAGTCGTGGGTACCTGTAATCCCAGCTACTCCAGAGGCTGAGGCAGGAGAATCGCTTGAACCTGGGAGGCTGAGGTCGCAGTGAGTGGAGACTGCACCAATTTACCCCAGTCTAGGTGACAGAGTGAGATTGCTTCTCAAAATGAATGAATGAATGAATGAATGAATGAACTTTCTGGCCTTACTGCCTCCATGTGTATAGTTAAAAAAAAAAAACAATATTCCCAACTTTATAAGATTTCTGTAAGGATTGACTGAGATCATGTGTATAAGTGACTGGCAGATAGCAAGAAGTCAGTAAAAGTTAACTGTTATGAAGATGACCTCAAGTAATATTTGTTGAATACATTTTATCCATTAAACGCATATAACCCAATAGGCTTAGCGTATCTACGGAGTTGGAAGGCTGCCACCCATACTTCATATTAGAATCTTTTTTTTTTTTTTTTTTTGAGACGGAGTCTTGCCATCTCCCAGGCTGGAGTGCAGTGGCACGATCTCGGCTCACTGCAAGCTCCGCCCCCCTGGTTCACGCCATTCTCCTGCCTCAGCCTCCCGAGTAACTGGGACTACAGGCACCTGCCACCATGCCCGGCTAATTTTTTTTTTTTTTTGTATTTTTAGTAGACACGGGGTTTCACCATGTTCGCCAGGATGGTCTCAATCTCCTGAGCTCGCGATCCGCCCACCTCGGCCTCCCAAAGTGCTGGGATTGCAGGCATGAGCCACTGCCCTAGAATTTTTTTTATTATTAACCAAAATAAGCTTCCCACCCATTAAGCAGTAACTCCCCATTTTGCTCGCCCCCACCAGGCCCTGGCAATTACTAATCAATTTTCTGTCTCTATGGACTTGCCTATTCTAGATATTTCATATAGAAGAAATCATACCGTAGGTGGCCTCTTGTGCCTGTGTTTTTTTGCTGAGCATAAATGTTGAAGCTTCATCTCTGCTGTAGCCTATGTCAATACTTCATTCCTTTTTATTTCTGAATAATCCATTGTATGGATAGACCCCATTTTATTTGTTTATCATTTGTTGGACATTTGGGTTGTTTCCGTGTTTGGCTATTATGAATAGTGCTGCTACGAACATTTGTGAACACGTTTTTATGTGGACGCATGTTTTGACTTCTCTCGAAAGTATATTTAGAAGTTCAGCTGCTAGGAGGGATGGTGACTCTTCCCCGCCCCGCCCCCATGATTTGAGGAACCACCAATCTGTTTCCGAAGCGGCTGCACCATCGTAGGTTCCCATTCCCCCTCACAATAAATGAAGCTTCAATTTTTTTCACATCCTCACCAACACTTGGTATGATCAGTTTTGGTTTTTATTCTGGCCATCTTAGTGAGTGTGAAGTAGTATCTCATTGTGGTTTTGAGGTGTATTTCTCCAGTTACTAATGATATTGAACATTGTGTGTGTGCTTACTGGTCATTTGTAGTAGGTCTTTTTTGGAGACATGCCTGTTCAGATTCTTGGTCCATTTTTGACTGGGTTATTTATATTTTGATATTGAGTTGTGAGAGTTGTTTATATGTTGTGGATCCTAGTCCTTGATGAAATGTGTAATTTCAAATATTTTCTCCCATTCTACAGGTTGTGTTTGCCATTGCTATTATTAGCTAACTTTCCAGATGTTGTTATTTTCAGCATAAAGTTTTAAATTTTTGTTAATCGCAATGAACCTATTTTTTCTTTAGTAGTTTGTGCTTTTATTGTCATATTAACAAGGCTTTACCTAAGCCAAGGTTGTAAAGCTGTATTCCTATGTCTTCTAAGGCTTTTCGAGTTTTAGCTCTTCCGTTTAGGTCTATGATCCATTTCGAGTTCATTTTTATCTATGGTGGAAGGAGATCCAACTTCATTCTCTTGTGTGCAGTTATCCAGTTCTGACATCATTTGTTGAAAAGATTATTCTCTTGCCCTTGAATGCCCTTTATGCCCTCGTCAAAAATCACTTATTCGTAAATAAAAGGATTTATTTATGGACTCTCAGTTCTAGTCCATTAATCTGTATATATAAGTTCTTAGGCTAGTACCATACTATCTTCATCACTGTAGCTTTGTAGAAATATTTTAAATTGGGAAGTGTGAGTCTCCAACTTTGTTCTTAGTTTTCAAGATTGTTTTGATTATTCTGAATCCCTTGTATTTCTCAGTGAATTTCAGAGTCAGCTTGTCAATTTCAGCCGAAATGGCAAGTGAAAATTTGGTAGGGATTGTGTTAAATCTGTAGATCAATTTGAGAGGTATTTTCATTTTAGTATTGTCTTCTAATCCATGAATATGAATTTTATTTTCATTTATTTAGGTTCCTTTAAATTTCTTTGATCAATATTTAATAGTTTTCAGCATGGAAATTTTACATTTCCTGTTTTATGTTTATCCCCAAGTATTTTCCTAAGTTTATTTTAAAGTTTAAGTTTATTCTTTTTGATACTATTATAAAGGAAATTGTGTCCTTAGTTTCATGAGTTGTTCATTACTAGTGTGAAGGAATACAGCTGATTTTTGCAAATTAATCTTATATCCTGCTACTTTGCTGAATTTATTGGTTTTAATACTTGTGTGGGTGTGGATGTGGGTATGTGGGTGCGGATTAGTTGGCTTTTCTGTGTTCAAGATCTTGTTGTCTGCAAGTAAAGATATTTCTACTTCTTCCTTTCCAAGCCGGATGCCTTTTTTTCTTGTTCTTGCCCAATTGCCCTGGCTTGACCCTCCAGTGTAATGTTGAATAGATGAGATGACAGTACCCACCTTTGTCTTGCCCCTCATCTTAGGGGAAGGCATTCAGTCTTCGGCCATTGCGTATGATGCCACCTGGGAGTGTTTTCATAGATTCCCTTTATAATTTTGAAAACATTCTCTTATGTTCCTAGATTATTGAGTGTTTTTATCATGAAAGGTTGCTAGGTTTTGCCAAATGCTTTCTCTGCATCTATTGAAATAATCATGACATTTTGGTTCTTTATTATCTGCTCATTCTGAATTATTATTCCCTGGATTCTCTAACCTGTCACAACCCTGCCTGTGGAAACCTTCGCAAAGGGCTTGTAACTAGAGAATCTCAGTGCTAAACCGGTCCCAGACAGAGGACCAAGCACAAGATTCACTGCTTCATATGTGGAAAGACAAACACAAATTTAATTTTATGCTCCTTTATTGAGGGGAGAAAGCTACCTGGAAGGTCTTGACAGTCTGTGGCATTTTGACCCCATAGCACAATATTTTTGTTGCCTGGGTTGGGCTCTAAGGAGAATCCTCATGTGGTAGAATCATAAATCCGAAGTATTGAACTCTGTTAGCCAAGAGCCTTTAAAAGAACCAGGTTGCTCTACTGACATCCTGTCTTTCCCACAGTTACAATGGATAATATTACCAAGTCCTATAAAATGAAAATCAAGTTTGAAATAGGGTTTGTTAATTACAGTATTTAACTGTTGTCGTTATTGTTTCCTTGGAGATTAATGAGGTGAGTTATTGTAACATAATTAGGCTACAGTGTATCTAATCTCTTACAAACCCTTGTGATTCACTGTTGTTCCAGTATGGTTTGAAGGTTAATTTCACTTTGCTGGTATAGACTTGGCAATGTGCTTTCTATTGAAATATGTTTTTAATTATATTTGAAAGTCATTAGTCAAGGGCTCTGCTGGGCTGTTCTGCACACATTTGCTGTAGAGAAATCCAGATACAATTAGACTCAGCGCGATCATCTATCCCCGTGTCCAGGTGTCCCCAGGGGATCAAGGGGGGCATTCAAAGACACCTGAGACCTGTATTGACCCTCAGTTTGGTCCCAGGAAGGCATCTTTATCAGTGAAATCTTTTGAGTAAGTCCCCACGGTGGCATTAGGGTTGTGAGTCTGCATCTGAAGTAGACATAGGTGGTTTCACCTTGGTTGAGGACTTTCTCAAACATACCCAGCTCTTTCCCAGCTTCAGGCTTCATGGATACCATTCTATGCTTGTAATATTCCCTGCCTGGCTTACTTCTAGTTATCCATCAGTCTCGGCTTACCTCTGTTAAATGCCACTGTTTCTGAGGAGTCTCCCAAGACCAAGTATCCCCCTACCCTCTGCCACTTAACTTTTTCTGTTGCCAGCTCTCATTTTATCCTGTGTTTTCTTTTGTGGAAGTTCTCACCATATTTAATGATCGGTTTGGTGTTTCCTTCCTCATAAGGGCAGAGGCCCTATTTGTCCACTGCCATATTCGCATACTTAGGGCACATAAGGCTCTCAGTTGTGGTGGTGCCACAAATCCATCACAAACTGCTTTCCTAATCTCCAGCAGCCTAATTCACAAGTGATGCAGGTTTGCCATTATCTTCCTTTTACCTCAGAGTCATCCATGCTGAATGACTGGACCACCCTTCCTGCTACTTGAGTGTATGCATCTGTAACATGGGAGAATCACAACGGGATCCTCCTCACAGAGGAGG
Source organism: Homo sapiens (assembly GCF_000001405.40). Lineage (NCBI taxonomy): Eukaryota > Metazoa > Chordata > Mammalia > Primates > Hominidae > Homo > Homo sapiens. Next base: position 5,723,218 of record NC_000016.10, read on the forward strand.
CAGTAGATGGATGACATGAGCACAGTGACTGCTCCAAGGCAGGCATTCACCAGAGTCCATTTTCTCATTCGTCTGCCATTGGAGAAGCTTGGGATGGATGGCATCTCAGGTCTGATTTTGAGACCTTTGGTCTAAGGCTGAGTAGTCAGCCCACAGGAAGCTGTGGATTAAACAGTGGCTATCTCAAGCTTGGGCTGGATGGTGTCTGAGGTCTGATTTTGAGACCTTTGGTCTAAGGCTGAGTAGTCAGCCCACAGGCAACTGTGGATTAAACAGTGGCAGTCTCAGGCTTGGGCTGGATGGTGTCTGAGATCTGATTTTGAGACCTTTGGTCTAAGGTTGAGTAGTCAGCCCACAGGAAACTGTGGATTAAACAGTGGTTGTCTCAGGCTTGGGCTGGATGGTGTCTGAGGTCTGATTTTGAGACCTTTGGTCTAAGGTCGAATAGTCAGCCCACAGGAATCTGTGGATTAAACAGTGGCAGTCTCAGGCTTGGGCTGGATGGTGTCTGAGGTCTGATTGTGAGATCTTTGGTCTAAGGTTGAGTAGCCAGCCCACAGGCAGCTATGGAGAAAGCAGTGGAGGTCTCATGGACTGCCCTAGTCAGAAATCTGTCTGTAGACTGGACCTTGCACCATTGTTTTCCTTACAGCAAAGTCGCTTCTACATGGGCATCTCTTTAAAGAGCTCAAGTCAAGAAGATGTTTCACATTTTTCCATTTAAAAAACAGACTCGGCTTTGAAAAATGTTTTGGAGTGGTCCAACTCGAAGAAGAGTGTCGGTGTATAGCTCCCTATGTTAGCAAACCATTTGTGTGTCCGTGTGTGTGCATGTGCCTGCGTGCAGACTGCTCACCACTTGAATGCTTCTCACCAATTTTGTGGTGGAGTGACAGATGTTGTGACTGGAACTGTGCTCCTAGGTTTGTTTTATCTCAAAGAAGAGAATGTTTTTTCCTGAGTGGCAAGATATTCTTTGGAGCAGTGTCCTGAGCAAAGACCCAAGGGCTGGAAAGGCCCCAAAATAAAACCTGTGTCTGGGGTAGTTGTCAGAGAGGCTGAGCCAGGGCCCTTGCGCACCCTAAAGGCACGGTGGGATTGTCCTAAGCTGCTTTCACTGCCATTTGGGGAGATTATGCTGGGGCTCTGTGAGAGCATTCAGGAGCTGCAGGTGATGGGCCTCATTTGGTCAAACTGGCTTCCCTTGAGTCTCTATGTCTATGTCTTCGTGAAATGGCATAGTGGTTAGAGGAGGGACTCGGAGCCAGACTGCCAGGGTTTGAACCCAGGACCCATTACCTACCCACTGTGAGAGCTTAGGGAAGGCATCTGACATCTCTTCCCTCAAGCATAATCCTCATGGTCTTGTCATGAGGTTCAGAGAGCCTAATGCATTCTGGAGTAAGAATCCTATCAGCATTGTCACTCTTGTTTCTCAAATAGAGATGGTTTTTCTTCACTTCTCCCATCACACAGAGAGCCCAGATGGGAAGTAAGGTAACAGGTGAGGACCCAACAAGTTCTGAGTACCTACCAAGTACCTGGCACCATACTGGGTGCTTATATTCTTCTCCTTGTTGGATATCTACACCAGCCCACTAACATAGATGGTATCCCCGCCTTCCTGGAAAAATGAAAGTTACCATGAGCCTATTTTGCCCATGATCCTCAAAGATTGTCTGTGATTCCTGCCACGTAGTGAAATCAGCGTCTTTAACAGTCTGCGACTGGGGAAGGGCCATGTATCAGGAGGTGTCTCTGCTCAAACCTTGCCCATTGAGAAGGTTCCTTATTGGGTGGTGAAATCCAATCCGATCAACCCTTTCCCTTGGGAGATGCCAGTGGATAATGAGGGTGTGTCTGTAGAGATCCATCTTTGTCCCCAGTACTAATAAAATATTTGGGGAATCCTCCAAGAGGCCTGATACCTGTTGCAGAGGAGGCTAGGCTGTTGGTTAATGAGCATGCCAAAACAATCCCTTGTGCTGTGTGCCCTCTAGTCTGCGGTATCTTTTTTAAAAATTATTTTCTATTTTTTTGTTAAGAGACAGGGTCTTGCTCTGTCTCCCAGGCAGAAGTGCAATTATGAAGTCTTAGCTCACTGTAGGCTTGAACTCTTTGGCTCAAGGGGTCCTCCTGCCTCAGCTTCCTGAGTAACTGGAACTACAGGCATGCACCACTGCCCCCAGCTAATTGCTTTTATTATTATTATTATTTTTATTTTTTGTAGAGATGAGGTCTTTCTTTGTTTTCCAGTCTTGTCTCAAACTTAACAGGGCTCAGGCAATTCTCCTACCTTAGCCTCCAAGTGTTGGGACTACTGGTGTGAGCCACTGCACCCAGCTCATAGCTTAAGATATGTTTCTATCACCAAGGCTCTCTCTGTAGCCCTTCTGCTTGAGTCTGCAAGAGTGCTCATAAGATCCTCATTTTCCATATAAGGAGAATCAGAGAGGTAACTTGAGGTCCACATTCACACCTGGCATGGGGGAAATCCACTGGGACATCTTTTTGCTGCCATTCCTGCCTCCACGGAGCTTATGCTTCCCAAGAATGGCACTGCTAGCTGCCCTCTCCCCACTCAGGGCTGTTCTAGGATGCCAGCTCTCCGAGTTCTCTGCCTCTTGGTTGGCACTGGCATGAGGAGGCTGCTGGGTTCAGCAGGTTTGCTGCAGGTTGGGGTTAATTCCTGAGCACTCAGTTCCTTCCTTTGCTGATGTGATGACATCCATACAAACCCACATTTCTGAGGTTGGTCACCAAAGAGTCTCTTCTTTAAAAGTGGGCCTTTCCATTCCATGGTCTTCCAACCCAAAGAATCCTGCTTCTCTCTACTTCCTTTTTCTTTTCTCCACTTTTATTATTATTTTTTTTAATAAAGCTTTTTCTTTGGGTAGAATGGGTTTCTCTGATTTAAACTCCTTTCGTCCCAGTTTAATTTCCCTTCCCTAAAGTGCTGTAGAGGCCTTTGCGAATCAATCAGTTTTGTCATTCTAGATCAGATGCCTCCCCGAAATGCAGATAAATTGGCCTTTATGGGACCGTTGTCTCCCTTTCTGGGGATGTATTCAGATAATTCAGCCAGATTTGTCAGGCCTGACTTTCTTTTCATGAACCATGCTATGACCGGCCCTCTCTAAATTAAATACTGCTGAATGGCCCGCATCTACTAAACCTCCTCCCTCCCTGGGGCCCTAGACAACAACCCCTCCATTGCCAAGGTCGCCACCAGCAAGCCAGGACCTTCACTTTCTTTGTCCCGCTTTCCTTCACTCTGTGGTGACCAGAATTGCTGGGCCAGCCCCATGCCGTGAGGTCAGCCAGGGGCAAATCCTTGTCCATAGCCTGGAGTCCAGGGAAGCAGCCTCAGAAAGGAATCTGCTGCTTCTCACCTCCCTTGCTGCTTTGCTCTTGACCTGTACACTAACACTATTATGTTATGATCAAGGCTTAACTCTACTGTATTATTTGCAATGCTAATAGCTATAGGTATTATGAACAATAATGTAATCATTGCTGACATTGTGACATATGATTAGTACAGATATTTTAATATTATTGTTCGCTACATGCCACTGTGCTTTGCCCCTTTACACATTGAATCTTCTCCTGTCAGCTTGGTGTCTCAGCTACAATCGTATTGTTTTTAGTGTCATTGATGGTGAAGGAAACTGAGGCTCAGAAAGGTTCTGTGACTTTCCTGAGGCCATATGGGTGGGCACTCTTAGCCCTGGCCGTGAATTCAAACCTCGATGTGAAGGCCGGGCATGGTGGCTCATGCCTGTAATCCCAGCACTTTGGGAGGCTGGGGCGGGTGGATTACTTGAGGTCAGGAGTTTAAGACCAGCCTGGCCCACATGGTAAAACCCTGTTTCTGCTAAAAATACAAAAATACAAAAATTAGCTGGGTGTTCTTTCATGTGCCTGTAATCCCAGTTACTCAGGAAGCTGAGGCAGGAGAATTGCTTGAAGTGAACCAGGGAGACAGAGGTGGCAGTGAGCCAAGATTGTGCCACTGCACTCCAGCCTGGGCAACAGAGTAAGACTTTGTCTCAAAAAAAAATGAAAAACAAACAAACAAATAAAACCATGATGTGAAGACTGACTTTACTTTTTGTTTCTTCTAGCTTTATTGAGCATTTAATGACTGACAAATAAAAATTGTATATATTTAAGGTGTACGATGTGATGCTCTGATGTACGTATATACTGTGAAACGCTCACCACAATTGAAGTAACATACCCATTACCTGACATAGTTAACCTTTGTATGTGTGTGTATATCTACTCTCTTTGCGTATTTCAAATGTACAATACAGTGCTATTATGTAGAGTCACCATGATGTATATCCGGTCTCCAGAACTTACTTATCTTTTAACAAAGTTTGTATACTTAGACCAATATCTCCCCATTTACCCACCCTCAAGCTCTTGGTGACCACAGTTCTACTCTGTTTTTGTTGTTGTTGTTTGTTTGTTTGTTTGTTTAGAGACAAGGTCTTACCTTGTCACCCAGGTTGAGTACAGTGGTGTTATCATGGCTCACTGCAGCCTCAAACTTCTGGATTCACGTGATCCTCCTGCCTCAGCCTGCTGAGTAGCTGGGACTACAGGTGTGCGCCACCATGCCCACTAATATTTCAGGTTTTTTTTGTAGAGATAGAGTCTGTGTTGCCTACACTGGGCCTTCAACTCCTGGCCTCAAGTGGTCCTTCCACCTTGGCCTCCCAAAGTTCTGGGATTACAGGAGACAGCTACCATGCCCGGCCTCCTCTCTCTGTTTCTATCAGTTCACTTCTTTAGATTCTAAATATAAGTGAGCTTTGGTAGTATTTGTCTTTCTGTTATCTGGCTTATTTCACTTGATCCAGCAATCCCACTTACGAGTGGACATTCAAAAGAAATAAAATCACAATCTCAAAGAGATATCTGTGTCATCACGCTCATTGCAGCACTGTTGACAATAGCCAAGATATACAAACAACTTAAGTGTCCATTGACAGAGAACGAATACAGAAAATGCGGTGTAGATACACACATAGTGGAATACTATTTAGCCTATAAAAAGAAGGAAATCCTGCCATTTTCAATAACATGGATGAATGCTGCTTTTTATCCCTATTGTCAAAAGCTCTTAAGTTGAAACTTCCTAAGCACGGACTCCTGTGTGCAAAGGAATGGTCTTGTGGAAGCATTTGCATATTTGAAGGGATTGATGGACAGGTTAGCTCAAGGGAAGTCATCCACACCAGGTGGAGTTCCCCTGGAGTGAGGGCTGTGGGAGCAAATGCCCTCCTTGCCCACTTAGCAGGTTTCCAGGTAAGGTCCCTGTGTTAAGAAGTAGGGAAAGGCGGGAACACCATTCTCTGATGCCATTTATCTTCTCTGATTGTCACTCCTCGCACATGTGAGCCCTCTGGGTTCCTGGGATGACTCCGTAGGTCACTCTGAGAATATCCTTCTTTGTCTGGCCGCCCCTCCCCTCTCCATGGCTGAGAGTCTCCTGAAATAAGATTTCTTCCAGGCACAGAGGCAGCTCCATGCAGAGTCCCTGATGAGCTACTCGCCACTGTGTTCTGCTGGCCCCTTTCTTCCCTCCCCACCTCCAGCAAAGTTCCAAGATCACCTTTAAGTCTGCCCATCCAGGCCAAAAGTCTGTACCTGTCAAAATCTCTTCTTGTGGGTTCCCAGAGACAATATCACCTCTCAACCTCAACTGATAGTGACAAACAGTGACAGGTTGAACTTTACCTGCATAGCCCTGGCTCCTGTCAAATGTCTCCGCTGACAGGTGAGAGCTCTGAAATCATCCCAATACTCTCAGGTCCAACTGCAGGGCAGAAGGGCCAGGGAGGCAGTGATGTATGTTGAGTGCTTGCTGTTGCTGAGAACCGGAACAGTTGAACATAGACTTTGGAAACTGGGAGACCTAATTCTGTCACTTACAAACTGTGTGTCTTTGGGCGAGGGGCTTAGACTTTCTAAGCTTCAGTTTGTAGTCTGTCAGATAGGGGTATGAACATGGAGATGCTTCATACCTAGAGGTTAAGTTCTAAATCAGAGCTGGAAGCAAAATATGTGAGCAAGTCAGAAGTTTCTCTTGAAGGCTGCAACACTGGAAAGCATTTTGCAATTCCTCAATAAGCTCAGCACACAGCTAGCTTTTTTTTTTTCTTTTCTTTTTTTTTTTTTTTTTTTGCCAGCCAAGGAATGGATTATTGTTTTTTTCGTTGAGCATCTGGTGGATAGATGGCTTGCATTTAGGGGATATAAATGTAAAAATCACAGCATGGGGATTCAGAGATAGGCATGTGGGAACTAAGACCTGCTATATTTTACAAGAAGCTATGTTAATTATATTTGTCCAGGGTACCCAAGATAATTTGCATCTTTACTAAGCTCACCTGTATCTCTTCCACTAAAGGTCTCAAGCAAGGAGGAAACTGGCCACAAACTCCACTCAGGTATTTGGGTAGGGCTGTCGGAAAGGCACTTTTATTCTTCTACTCTTATCGCAACTGGGGTTCAGTCATAGAGAACAGACACCACTCTAGCTGGTTTCTCCAAGTGTTAAGGTGAATAGCAAGGTTTTGGTGACTTTCATTGCCTTTGAAAAGGAGGAATGCCAGACCCTTGGCTATTTTGAGGGAGGCAAATCCTAGCCCCGAGAGCTGCATACTGCATCTAAGCTCAGGGAAGCTGCTTCTCTTGCTGCAGAAAGCTAGTGGGTGCAGCACCTGCCTTTGGAGAACCACTGTGCTTTGCCTCTGGTCCATGCCCGCAAAGGGGGTGCCTCAAATCCTGCCTTCATCTAGACTCAATTCCACTTTGAGTATCACACAGTGCATCTGATCAGAGGACCCAAATTAAACTCAGAACTTACCTGTCAGTGTGTCTGGGGAATTTAGGTTTTTGGTTTCTGGTCTTGGCAGTAGAAGAAGATTATAATGTTCATTGAATTAGCCAGATCACCAGCCTACCACAATTAGGGGAGCCTTGAAGACAAGCTGACCACAGGTTTATTCTCTTTTTTTCTTTCAATGTCCATACCTGATCCTTGGGGATTTAGTGCCACAGAGCAAAGACTACAGCTTCTCATGCCTGAGAAAAAGAATCCAGAGGAGCATATAGATGGAGAGAATGAGCCTAGAGTGGAGCCGGCAAGCACCGTCTCCCTGAGAGGGTCTGTAGAGGGCATGGAACTGGTTGTCATTGTGTGCCTCTGGCTGCGCACACACACTGGAGCTGTTAATCTATGATCCTATCAGTGTCCAAGATTTGACCAACTAGCTTAAGTATTTTTCTCTTTGGGATAGAATAATACTAATAATCATCACCACTGCCATCATCATCGTCATCATTACCATCATCATCACCAACATCACCACTGCCGTTGTCACCACTGTCACCATCATCATCACTACCACACCACCACCATCGTTATTACCACTGCTGTTGTCACCAATGTCACCACCATCATTATCATCATTACCAGCTTATTATTATCATCACCATCAACATTGCCACCATCATCACCATCAGTATCACTGCTACCATTGTCACCAATGTTAACACCATTACCACCAACATCAACACTGCCATTGTCACCACCATTATCATCATCATTGTCATTATCACTATCATCATTGTCATCACCACTATTATCATTGCCACTGTCATCACCATCAACATCTCCACTGCCATTGTCACTGGTGTCACCATCATCACTATCAGTATCACCACCGTCATCATCGTTACCGTCACTACCATCATCACCATTACCACTGCCATTATCACCAATGTAACCGTCATCACCATGAACATCACCACTGCCATTGTCACCAATGTAAGCACCATCACCATCACCATCAACATCATTGTCCTCATAAATATCACCATCATCACTGTCATCAACAGCACCACCACCATTATCATTACCATCATCTTCATCATCACCACTGCCTTTGTCACCAGTGTCACCGTTATCATCAAGATCATCAACAACACTATCATTGTCATCACTATCAATGTCTCCACCAGCACGATAATGGTTGTCATCATTGTCATCACTATCACCACCACCACCATCATCATCACTATCAGTATCACCACCACTACTGTAATCACCATCATATTAATCAATTCATATTTACAAAGTACTTTCTTTGTCAGGTATTATGCTAAAACCCCACCTGCAGCATCTCAGTCATTTCTTACACAACCTTAGAAGGTGGGTACTGTTGCTATCCCCATTTTACAGAAAAGAAGACACACCCAGATGAGTAGGAGGGGCCGTGATTTGAACCTCAGTTGTCTGAGTCCAAAGTAAAGGGGTAGAGGGGCTCTCTTGCTTCTGAGATTAGCAAATATAGCTCAAGAATGTGGGCATGAACTATGTAATCTCTCTTAGAGGCAAGGTGATATTTTTTCAAGTGAAAAAGGGAGAGCTATTAAGTCAGAAATCCCCCCTGGATGTCCATAGGACATTTGTAATGGCAAATGCAAGAAGAAATGTGGGTAGGGAGAATAGCGGTTGAACTGTTGAGGTCATGAAGAGGATAGATGACAGGAAGTATGAAATCTTAGACAATTTTCCAGTGGTTTCTAATATGTGTCTTTCTATCCACTGCAAGAAAAATAAGAAGACACCACCATATCTCACATGTTAGCCTCTCAATCAGTAGCCTATTATCTTGTCTGTTCAGGTGTTTAATGGAAGGTCCTCTCTCCTGCTGACCCAAAAGCTTAATGAATCTAGAATTCTCCACCCCATATCAGTGAGCTGGGCATCCCCTTGCAAGACAGCCTCATTGCAGCCACGCACAGGGTAACATTTCCTCTTTGCTTCATATTCTAATGAATAAATGATATTCCCATTGGTTATTTATCCACTTTTAGAATTTGAATGGAATTCTACAGATAATTGCGGCATTTCAGCATTTGATAGGAAATTGGCACCTGCTGCATGGAGATAATAGTTCAATTCAGCATCTATGAAATAGGGAATTTTCTGCTAATTCCTGCCTTGAAATTTGTAAATCATCAGTGGAGTTGGTTATTAAAATTCAAGAGTTTAAAGACCTGGAGCCAAGAGGGAACGTACCTTCTTCATTAAAATTACAGTAACCAACAATGACTGCCGGACTGAAGATTCTCAGCCCAGAAGGCTCAAAGCAACTCAGGAGCAAGAAAGCTTAGTGGCAGTATGATTGTCTCTCCAAGAGATTCAAACTGCAGAACAGGAGCGAGTTGGCTCTAGGGCACTTGTCAAAATGTGCAGAAATGAGAGATGGCTGCAAGACATAGGGGAGAGGCAGGGACTTTGGGGTCAGGCAGACGATGGTTAGAATTCTAGCTGTCTATGGCTTTAGGCCTTTCTGGGTCTCCGTTTCTGCACTTGTAAGGTAAAAAATTCCCTTTTTGGCAAGAAGTAACTACCTTCTATGTAGTCTTTAGTTAATCTAAGATCACATCTATCCATTTTTCACCCATTTACTTAACAATTATTTACTACAAGTCACTTAAGTGTGAGATTCTCCCAGGTCCTAGGGGAGGACAGTGGAGAACAAAGCCGGGCTTGTTCTCTGCCCTCATGAATATTCTTCACAAAAGTCTTCAACCGTGTCTTCATGGAGCCAGGATGAGTGCAAAGACCCCAAAAGGAAAATAAAAAATTGCACGAGGCTGATGGGAATGCCTGCCTTATTATCCAAGGAGTCAACTTGGTGGGTTGAGCTTTTTGGGGTGATGGAAATGTTCCATGTTTTTATTGCGATGGTGACTATATGATCTTACACATTTTTGAAAACTCATCAAACCCTGTGCCTAAACAGGGGGTACATCTTACTGTATGCATGTTATCAATACACCTGACTTCCAAAACAAATGAACAAAAAAAGTCCCCTTCTGAAATGAAATAGGCAGTCAGTCTGGTATACTGTTGTAGTTGCTGAGCCTAAACATTTCACCAACTAGGAAATTAGAATTAAAGAGACTGGGGACTAACACAGTTTCTAAACTTTCACTTTGGCTTGTGAGAATATACAAACGCTTCTGAGCACCACTGACTTCCACAAAGACCTCGTAAACGCTAGGCTGTGGGTGGACTCATCCCTCATCTGGCAGCCATGGGGGTCCAGGAAGGCCACTGGGGAAGCAACTTACCATGATTCACATTGCCAGGTGATCCGAAGATCAACTCCAATGTGCAAGTGGCGCTCTTGTCTCTGGCCTTAGATTGTCCTCCCGAGCAGCAGTGCTGTCAGTGGAGTAGCTGCCCTGGGCCGGGGTGGTCATGCCTGATATTTACGTGACCTTGGCCAGGTCAGCTGGGCAAACTCAGGCCTTAGTTCCTAGAAAGTGATCATGAAGTCAGCATGGTCACCTAGTCCCCAAGGTGCCTCATGATGTTACTCTTGTCCACTTGCAGAGAGCTTTCCCAAACACCCTTGTGTCCTTCCTCTTTCCCTTCTCCTGGCTTCCTTCTCCCTTTCCCTCTTACCTCTTTATTCCCTTCCTATCTCTTCTTTCCTGTTTTTCTCTTTCCCATTCTCACCTTTTCTTCCCAGCCCTTCCTTCCTTCTCACCTTTCCTTCCCATCCGCGTCCATGCTGATGCTCTAGTCTTTCCCTGGGATGCGTCTTCTTTTCTCTCAGCTTTCTCTCTCCAAGGCTGCTGAGGACATCTATTCTGCCCTACCCCACCCTTCATTTTCTCCATTTCCTTCATGCTTCCTGACCTCGACCCTTCTCCTGTTCTGATGACTGGGCACGTGTTACCTATTAGAGCTGAAGAGAACTTCGTTGTCCATGTAATAAGAACATGCACGAACAGCCCAGGCACTTTCCCAGGGTGTTTATGGCTGGAGAAAACTCCATCCTTACGCCCTACCTGGTTTCATGTTCTTCTCCTTACCTGTTGGGTCTCTGAGATAGGTGTCTTGTCTGTTCAAAGAGCACAGGTTTGGCCAGACATGGTGGCTTATGCCTGCAATCTTAGCGCTTTGAGAGGCTGAGGTGGGAGTATCACTTGAGGCTAAGTGTTAGAGACCTGCCTGGGCAACAGAGACCCCACGTCTACACAAAATAGGAATTTTTTCTACTTGGGATTCTGAGGCAGGAGGATCACTTGAGCCCAGGGGTTCAAGGCTGCAGTTAGCTGTAATTGTGCCACTGTACTCCAGCCTGGGCAAGAGAACAAGATTCTGCCAAAAAATAAAATAAAAAGAAAGAAAGAAAAACAGCACATGCTTTCATGCTTTAATCCCCTCTGAAACCTGATTTCCTCTAAGCCCCATGGAGTGTTGCCATTGCCAAAGAAACCCTTGGTAGAGGAAATGAGGCAGCATCCATGTTTGATCCTCCAATGAATTGATCATCTTGCTCAGGTCCACTGATCTCAAAGCTAGGTTCACGAGACTGAGTGCACCTGCCTGTCGCCTTCCTCTTTGGTGCCAAACACCCACATTGCTATTGGGCAGCAGCTCTCAGATGACTTTACATGCTGGCTTCCATCTCATACACTGAGCTCATTCCCTGTAGGCTATAGGGAATAGCATATCCTTGGCTTGGATGAGCTCAGTGGGAGCTCATCCAAGAAGGAAGGGAGATAAGGGTGTTTAAGAAAGGTCACTGCAAGTGAGCAAAAGTAACATCGTGAGACACCTTGGGGAGTAAGTGACTGTGATGATTTTAAACACTTTCTAGCACAGGGTTTGGCATATAGTAGATGTGCAGATAAAGTTGGCTCACACAAACTGGCCACAAAAAAGAAAGAAAAGAAAGAAGACAACTCCAAGGAAGATACACCATGAGAGAAGTATGTGAAGTCCACAGTGGTAGGAAGGAATGGGGGCCATGCCTTGTGATCATATGGTTTATCCAGCTTTCCTTAGTTACTCCGTTTCTGTGCCTGAACTGTCTGTGGTCACAGAGATATTACCCCTGGCTAGGAAATATGATGGAACCACCTTTTAATAGCATCCTTATCTCAGTTTAACTGAAGGAAGGGGTCAGGACCCTCCATGGGCACCAAGGAGACGTCTTCAAGCCACTCTGCATTTCATGGCTTCCATTACTCAAACCCAGACAGTGTTAGTTCTGAAATGACAGAACAAAGCAGACTATTGCCTGAATTCATTCTTCTCAATCACATCTGAATTCCGTCCTCACAGAATGTCACAGTGTGCCTGGTTGCCTTGGCATTAGCGATACAACTTTTCTGAACTTTCTTTCTCCAAGGCTGTTGAGGACATCTGTTTTGCCATGCCCCACCCTTCAGTTCCTTCCCGCTTCCGCATCTTGACCCTTCTCCTGTTTTGATCACTGAGGCATGTGGGTGTCCATTACCTAATAGAGTAGAAGAGGACTTAGTTGTCCATGTAATAAGTACGTGCATGGGCCGGGCCCAGTGGTTCACGCCTATAATCTCAGCGCTTTGGGAGGCCAAAGTGGGTGGGTCACCTGAGGTCAGGAGTTTGAGACCACCCTGGTCAACATGGTGAAACCCTGTTTAGCCGGGCGTGGTGGTGGGCGGCTGTAATCCTGCTACTCTGGAGGCTGAAGCAGGAGAATCGCTTGAACTCGGGAGGCGGAGGTTGCAGTGAGCCAAGATGGCACCACTGCACTCCAGCCTTGGTGACAGAGCAAGACTCTGTCTCAAAAAACAAATAAAACAACAACAACAACAACAACAAAACAAATATGTTCATTTGACACATGTTCCCCAGATGGGAGGAAGGCGCGGGTAGAGTACACATGTGTTCTTAAAAGCAGAGGTTTGCTTAGGGTCCTCTTCCTGTGTTCAGAGGAACAAAGACGGTGACATGCTGACCTTAGAGTTCACAGGGGGATTTGGACGTCCATGACTCATTCATTTTCCTTCTTTACTGGCTGCGATGATGACGGCGGGAGGTTTTGTTACACGTGGACCCGTGGAGCCACTCTTCCTGCCTTTGCCACAAGCCTGCCACCTGGCACCCCCCATCCCTTTTGAGCAGTGTCGAAATGAACCTGGCGTCCTGGAGACATACCAGGACATCTGTTTTGGGAAGTATGGGGTATAGGGCTTTAGAATTCTGAGCTGCCTCCTTTGTGTCAGAATCAGATGTGTCACTATCTATAGCGACCCCTCCTCCCATCTTTTTTACTTTCCTAAAAGTGCACCCGAGTAGCACTGGGTGTGGGGTGATGGGAGGTGTGATTCAGCCACCCACGGCCATATGGGGCTGCTGCTTGTCCCAGCTTCTGCTGCGTTTCCCTCCCCGACTCTCCTCCCTGCTTCCCAGTGAGAGGAGGGCTCGCCACCCTGTTTCCTGGATGCCTGGGCCGAGTGGGGCCCGGATCGGGGTCATTTGAAAGCCCTGTGAAGAGTTGAACATGAAGTGGAAGCTATTTAAATTTTTCTTAATTTATTTTTTGAACAGTCTCTCTGTCACCTGGCATTTTCCTGTGCTGGTGTCTCTCAGATTGTCTGTCTCTGTCTCTATCTGTGCCTCTCTCTGCCCCCTCCCCTCTCTCCATCTGTGTGTGTCTGTCTCTTTGCTCTGCCTTTCTCTCCATCTGTTTATGTGTCTGTGAATTTGTCTTTGTCTCTTTTTCATTCTTTTTTCCCTCTTTTCTCTTTGTCCCTCTTTCCCCCCTTCTCTTTCCCTCCCTTCTTCCTTGTTTCTCGCTCTCTCTCCCCCTCCGTCTCTCTCCCCCTCCCTCTCTCCCTGTCTCTCTTCCTCCCTTCTTTCCTGGCCCCCTCTCACTTTATTCCTATCTTTCTCTGATTCTGTTTCAGTCTCATCCTCTTTCCCTCAAGCACCTCCTTCATTTAAAAAGGTGGGCAGAGGTGAGTGAGGGGTACTGAGAGTGATGGTGACTTGCATTGCCCATAATCTGCTTGAGGTCTAATATGGCTCCACTTTCTGCTGGATGCTTCATGTCAGCAATCAGTGTCATTATGTGAGGTCTGTCGTCATTTTTTTTAAAAAAAGATTCTGGGCTGGGTGCAGTTGCTCACGCCTGTAATCCCAGCACTTTGGGAGGCCAAGGCAGGTGAATCACTTGAGGTTAGGAGTTCAAGAACAGCCTGGCCAATATGGTAAAACTCGGTCTCTCCTAAAAGTACAAAAAGTTACCCAGGCGTGGTGGCGTGTGCCTGTAGTCCCAGCTACTTTGGAAGGCTGAGGCAGGAGAATCTCTTGAACCTAGGAGGTGGAGGTTGCAGTGAGTCGAGATCATGCTGCTACACTGCAGCGTGGGCAACAGAGTGAGACTCCATCTCAAAAATAAATAAATAAAATTAAAACAAAAATATTCTGGATTTTTTTTTTTTTTTTTTGCCTGTCCATGTACTACAATTTTCTGCCTTATCCTGCTGCTATGTGGCTAACTCTTTATCCTGCTTTTTGTATGTCAGCAAATCTGTACTTCTCACTAAGTTTAGGGTGCTTGGGGTCTTCCTTTGCACTGTCTCCGTACCTAAACAACCCCTTCTACAGAGCTCAAGATTGGATGATGGCTGCACAACTCTGTGAATTAACTAAAAACCCTGACTTGTACACTTTAAATGGATGACATGGAGTAATGTCTGAATTATATCTCAATAAAGTCTGGTTTTAAAAATTTGTTTCTTTTTTTATTCTTTTATTTTTATTTATTTTTAAAAATTATACTTTAAGTTCTGAGACACATGTGCAGAACGTGCAGGTTTGTTACATAGGTACACATGTGCCACAGTGGCTGGCTGCACCCGCCAACCTGTCATCTACATTAAGTATTTCTGCTAATGTTATCCCTCCCCTTGCCCCCCACCCCCTCCAGGCACCAGTGTGTGATGTTCCCCTTCCCTGTGTCCATGTGTTCTCATTGTTCAACTCTCACTTATGAGTGAGAACATGCAGTGTTTGGTTTTCTGTTCCTGTGTTAGTTTGCTGAGAATGATCTTCTGGTCTTTAAAAAATGTTTTCATACATTATATTTATACATATTCATGAAAGTACGTATGAAACTTTGTCACATGCAGAGAATGTGTAATGATCAAGGCAGGGTGTTTAGGGTATCCATCACCCAAGTATTTAACGTCTCTATGTGTTAGGTATATATCAACAACGCTGTTTCTTTAAAAAGTAAATCTAAAGAAAGTATAGCCCAGGTGCGGTGGCTCATGCTTGTAATCCCAACAGTTTGGGAGGCCAAGGCAAGCAGATCACTTGAGGTCAGGAGATGAAGACCAGACTGGCCAACATGGTGAAACCCTGTCTCTGCTAAAAATACAAAAAAATTAGCTGGTCGTGGTGGTGCACGTCTGTAATCCCAGCTACTCAGGAGGCTGAGACAGGAGAATCGCTTGAATCTGGGAGGTGAAGGTTGCCATGTGCCGAGATTGCACAACTGTACTGCAGCCTGGGCGACAGAGCAAGGCTCTGTCTCAGAAAAAAAAAAAAAAAAAAAAGGGAAATCTAAAGGAAGTATAAAGCACATTCCATTGATTTCAGTCTGACTGCAGGTTTTCCACTGGGGCATTTGAATTGGGAGCTGGAGTGGGGGTGCACAGCATGTGAATCAGGAAGTATTTATGACTCTGTGTAAACATATCACAGTGGAATGCCAAACATTAGCTTCTGCTGAAATCAGCTAGCTCATCTAAACCTTAGCTAGAGGGGTTTCCTTAATGTCAACATTGATGCAAACAACCAGGGAAGATGGATGAACTCAAAGCAAAATTGGGTCTACATGGATTTTCTTCTCTCTGACAAAGAACAGGCTAACTCCCACTTACTCCACACACCCCTTCCTCCACAAGGCCTTGCCTGAATCTCAAGTTTAGAAAAAACTCTTTTTTGCTGTTGTCTTGAAACACCTTGAAATCTAACAGTTCTGTTGCCTTATTGTCCTTCTTGGTTTAAGTATGTGTCTTATCCATTGGGCTGTAAACTTCTTGAGTGTAGGAACTGTGCCCCTTTTGCACATAGAAGGTCTGTGATAATTATTCAGGCAAGGAAGGATGAAAGAAAAATAAACTCATGATTGAGGGGGAACTTGGCGTCCAATATGGATATTAAGGCTAGTCCCAGTGAAACATCCCACTTTTAGCACATAACTGTTGTGCACCTATGGGTAACGTTCTGCGTAGCAGGCAGTACTCAAGGCACCGGTAATACAGCTGTGAATAAAACAGACAAGAATCTGTGCCATTGTGGCACTTGTGTCTGGTAGGGGGAAAGTGGATAATAAAAATAAGTAAGTTATAAGGAGTATTGGAAGGTGGTAATGTTCGGGAGAAAAGAAAGCATAAGAGTACTTGTGTGCATGGGGTCATTTGCAAAATATTTTTCTTTGATCTTTATTCCCCTGATAGCTATAGAGAAAATAAATTTTTCATATAGAAGGAGAGAAAATTGAGGTATTTTGCAGCAGACAGAGACGGATGTTTAAAAAAACTTACGCTTTGGCATTTTCTGTGCACCCTAAGCTTCAAACTTAGAATTCTTAGAGCCAACAGAAAGGCCCTTGGGGCTGGGACAGGAAATCCTGTGTTGTAGAAGCAGAGAGCAGGGAAAACAGGGGAGCCACTGCCCCACGTTGGGGCCTCCTCCCCTCTCTCCATCTGCACGTGTCTGTCTGTGACTTTGCCATTTGAGCAAGCTTCATTCCAGTTTTTCAAGCTTAAGCCTTGGGATATTAAAAATGTAAAAAATAATAAGAAAAATGAATGGGTGCTAACCACAGCTAGAGACAGAGGAGGTGGGGTGAGGCTGGGTTGCTGAGGAGCCCTGGGGAGGGATCAGTGTGGCCAGCAGTGGGAGGGGTCCATGCTGCAGAACTGCTCTCTTTGAAATTGGTATTTTTCCACAGCAAACAGAAGCCCAACGCTTGTTGGCAGTGGAGCCTCGTCCTGGGAATAGAGAGGGCAGAGCGGCCACTGGGAGCTAGATGTGGAGGAAGTAAACACACGGGGAGGAGGCTGACTGTCATGTCTTTACCATCTGGGGGCTCCCTGAGGAGTTGGGGCCGGTGTTAACATTCATCAGGTGCCCTGTTGATCAGTCATCATCAGAAGTGAGAGGAGCAAAGCATCCAGTCACCAAACACTGTGTGATTGCCTGAGACTCCAAGGGGGCTCCACCAAACAGGGTGCAGCACAGTCCCCCAGGCACAGGGGCTGGCCACAGTCCCAGCAACAGTGATGAAAGTGTCAGCTAGTGCGTATGAAGACTTGCATATTGGACACTATTCAAAGCACATTGTGTGAATTATCTCACTTAACCTTGTAAAGTTTTCTGTAGCAAACTCATGGATCAGTTAGGACTCAATTGATTACACGTGACTGAAAACCAAACCCAAAATGATAAGCAGAAAGGGAATCTGTCAAGTCATGCAACTGAAATATCCAGGAGAAGCTGTGGCTTCAGGCATAGCTGGATCCAGGAGCTTAAACAGTATGATAGGCTCTGTTGTTTTTCTTGGTCTCTTGACTCTACTTCCCATATCTCAGTATCATTCTAAGGTGAGCTGTCATGGTGGCAAAAGGGCTGTGGGTACTCTAATCCACATGCTTTCAAGGTGAAGTCCAGCAGAAAAGAATGTTTCTTTTACTGTCCCCATAGTTTTAGTATGTCTTGTGGCGTCTCCTTGTCTCTGATGAGGATTATGTGCCCGTCTGGACAGATGACCATGGTGGCAGGGAACGGAAGTCACCGTTTGTTGTGTACTACCCTGGAGTGAGGACTGGAGTCATGATGAGTTGGAGTGGGATCATGAGGGATGGTCCTTAAAATAGGTTAAAGGAGGCAGGTGGTAAAAAATTAAAAAATGTCTATGTCTTGGTACTATTATCACCTCTGTTTTGTAGATGGGGAAATTGAGACCAGGAAGGGTGGAGTCACTGGTCCAAGGTCACACAGCAAATAGAACTGGGATAGTGGTCCAGTGTCATCTATGGCCACCATCAGGCCATCAACTTCCACGAGCAGAGTCTCATCTCATCCCTCTTTCCTGCATCTGTCCTTGGGGCTGCCACGTCATTCCAAACCACCAGAGCAATCAGTGGGGTCGCCCTGAAGACTGCAGGAGTCATAAGGCCGCAAGCCCATCAATCCTGTCACTTTCCAAGGACCATTCCCAAGGCAAAGGGTCATTAATATCATCATCTCCATCTTCTTTAATGCTAATTACTTTTTTTCCCACGTCAACATAAAAATCATCTTAAATGTCCTCATTAAAGTGGATGTGATTTCTGACCACAGAATCATCAACTCAGCCTGGGAAAGACTTTCAGGGGAGAAAATGTTCTCAGAGCCACAGTAGCAATTTTGAGTGATTTAGAATATCAAGTTGGTATGATTTTTAATCATTAAAGGAGATGTAAAAACATATTTTATACACAATCTTTTATCTTACACTTATTTTTATATTTCTCTATAACAATTTATTGCGACACATATATCACCATTACATCAGACATTTATGGCTCCATTAAAATTCAATGCTATCATAAATTTGGGCCGGTTAAAGTGGTGACATTTGTAACAGCTTCCACAAGGACGTATTTTATATTTAAAGTGAAACTTTGAGTAGAAACTTTCGTTAAAGAAATAAAAAACATGTAGAATAGGAAGGGGATATAAGATTTTCTTCTTTGTAAAACACTTAATGCCTACCTTAATACCTGCCGTATTATGAAGCCAGACTTTTGCTAAATACTGCATATGGTAGTTCCAGTATGTAGGGATGAACGGGAATCATGATAATGCTATCATTGACTAGAAATACTCCTCTCTTCTCAGTCTTTTGGCACCCTGAGACCTGGGAGAATTTTAGAAATAAGAGAAAATAATAAATCAGATTTTTAAAAAATGCTATATCCATATAATGAGAGGTTTTCTGATTCTGGAGCATAAGGATTTTCAGAGTGATAGTATATGGAACTTACATTTTTCCATCATTTGGTTCAAGATGGGAAATTTGGGCATATCCGTCCTTCCCTTCCTTCCTCCAGTCCTTCCTCCTTTCCTTCCTCCCTTCCTTCCTTCCTCCCTTCCTTCCTTCCTCCCTTCCTTCTTTCCTTTCTTCCTCCCTCCCTCCCTTCCTGCCTCCCTCCCTTCCTCCCTCCCTCCCTTCCTCCCTTCCTTCCTCTCCTAACTTTCCTTCCTTCCTTCCTCTCCTTCCTCTCCTTCTCCAAACCATCAGAAGGTGTTAGAACAACTTTTGTGAGCCCAGTGCTT
This sequence comes from Homo sapiens, assembly GCF_000001405.40. Lineage (NCBI taxonomy): Eukaryota > Metazoa > Chordata > Mammalia > Primates > Hominidae > Homo > Homo sapiens. The sequence goes on from NC_000016.10 coordinate 5,742,428, forward strand.
TTATAGCGGATTTAAAATGTAAAAGTGGGGCTGCTATATTCTTACTTCTGAAGGAGGCTTCTACACTGGGAAGCTGTCAAAGGAGAGAAACAAGCCCGATCACTTCTCTTGCATCCTCCGGTGCCATAAGAACGTCTGGCACATAGTAGATATCCACCAGTAGCCTCATCAAAGCTCTTGGTCAAGCTACTCATATAGAAAGCTTTAGGCAATTAATGCTCAACTAGGCATAACAGAGTACTGGCCCAGCTGTGCAGGACAGAATGGGTATCATATATGACTTAAAGAAAGCGAAGTGAGTGAGGACCTTGTTTACGTCTAGATAGCGTTTATGGAAGAAGGAGGCTTCAAATTAGTATTAGTCCAGAAATGGGACTAAAGGTAAGCTAGCCTGAAAGAACCAATGGGGGCTAAGAGCTAGCTTGAAGAACTTCATTTGGGCCGAGAGATGGATCTGGTCAGGTGTTGGGATAAAGTGTAGGTGAGTCTACACAGCACCATGGTGTGTATCACAGCAGGGACAACAGACACTGAACGTGTGCTGGGTCAGGCAGGAGGCATGCTATTTTGCATTAACAATAGAGATAGCAAAGGATTAACTCCGCTTACTATTAGCCTGTTTTTTTTTCTCCAAGTGCTTTTCTCAAATGGACTGATTTTAATTCTCACAATCACACTAACGGTGAGTATTCTGTATTGTGATTGGAAAGAACGAAAAAGGAGAGGAGATATATGGGTTACAGGTACATTTTCTATTTCTCTTTGTATGTCTCTGTGAATCTGAACAAATAGAAGGCAGAACACTACTCACATCCCAGGGGTAAATTTAATTGGGGGACTGGGTGGGCACCTTCTGTTTTCTGAGTTATACTGGCTGATGCTGCTAATTGTGGGCTGAAATCAAATGTCATTACAGGAAGTGTCAGCTAGAATCAGACATATCAGAGTTCTCTTAAACCAAATGAGACCTTTGCAGAGCATGTCCCGTGGAAGGAGGAGTCTTACATTCCCATAAAGGAACATAGTACCTACAAGCTGTGCCGTTCAATATGGGAGCCATTGGCTACATGTAGTCACTCAGCACGTAAAACTGACTGGTGCCACATATTAAAATGATCATTTTTTGCATGTTGTGTTAAGTAAAACCTATCTTTAAAAGTAATTTTCCTGTTTGCTTGTTTTAATGTGGCTACTGGGAAATTAAAAAATCACACATGATTTTCATTATATTTCTTTTTTGTTTATTACGCTAAGATCACTTAAAACGAGATCTGCCTTGTAACAAATTTTATTTTTGTACACATAAGGCCTTGCTGTGTTGCCCTGGCTTGTCTGAAACTCCTGGCCCTAAGTAATCCTCCCACCTCACCCTCCCAAAGTGCTGGGATTATAGGCATGAGCCACTGCACCCAGCCTTGCAATGAATTTTTAGGCACATAACACGGTATTGTTAATGATAGGCATGATGTCATACGGAAGGTCTCAAGAACTTATTCATCTTGATAACAGAAACTTTCTATGCTGACAGCATCTATGTAGGTTGTTTGCATCCTTTCCCTTCAAAGGACCTATCTTACGGAAATAGAGAAAGACTCCTGGAGAGCTCCTTCTTCATCATGTCACCAAGGTCTGGGCTGGGAAGTGCTTTCATATAAATTTTCAACTACAGCTCCCAGGCTACCATGCCCTGAAAAGAATCATTCACAGCTCCTTGTCTTTGCTTGTGCTATGTTCCCCATCTGGAGCTCCTTCCTCTTATCTTCCACCTCACTCATCTGGCATGCTCCTGAAACCCCTACTCAAACATTCTCTGTTTCTTGTAGCTGCCCTTGAATGAATTGCTCTGTCTTCTGGGTTCCCGCAGCACCTTGAACCCGTTTCCTTTGCTGTCGCTCTGACTGCCTTGTGTTTTAATTATTTATCTATTTCCATAGCTGCTCATGGAATCCCTTGAAATCAGGGACAAAGTAACTTTAGATTCTTCTTAGGCAGAATCCTTCTTTTCCGCTTCCAAATAGAAGGGCACCCCCCATCGATGCTGGACCTGGTTCATATGGCATCATCGGTCATTGTGTCTCTTCTTTCCAACTCCACCTTCAGTGGCTTTGCACTGATGACTTGAAATTGGAGTATTTACAACACAGACATTGGCACACAATGTAAATCAGGGCTTTTTGTGAGGAGTGGGGAAGGGAGAGCAAGTTGTTAAATATTTACCATCTCACCCGATCTGAAATTAAATGAAATAAAAGGCTTTTGCCACCTGAATCAGCCTTGGAAAATGGTGGTCATTTTCTTGTGATTAAGTGACGTGATTGTGAAGAAATTGTGCTTTCTTTTTCTTTTTTGAGACAGAGTTTTGCTCTGTCGCCCAGGCTGGAGTGCAGTGGTGCGATCTCAGCTCACTGCAACTTCTGCCTCCCGGGTTCAAACAATTCTCCTGCCTCACCGCTCTCTCTCCGACCGCCCAAAGTAGCGGGGATTACAGGCATGCACTGCCACGCCTGGCTAATTTTTGTATTTTTTTTTATTATACTTTTAGTTCTAGGCTACATGTGCACAACGTGCAGGTTTGTTACATATGTATACGTGTGCCCTGTTGGTGTGCTGTACCCATTAACTTGTCATTTACATTAGGTATATCTCCCAGTGCTATCCCTCCCCCTTCCCCCACCTCATGACAGGCCCCGGTGTGTGATGTTCCCCTTCTGTGTCCAAGTGTTCTCATTGTTCAATTCCCACCTATAAGTGAGAACATGCAGTGTTTGGTTTTTTGTCCTTTGCGATAGTTTGCTGAGAATGATGGTTTCCAGCTTCATCCATGTCTCTACAAAGGACATGAACTCATCCTTTTTTATGGCTGCATAGTATCCCATGGTGTATATGTGCCACAATTTCTTAATCCGGTCTATCATTGATGGACATTTGGGTTGGTTCCAAGTCTTTACTATTGTGAATAGTGCCGCAATAAACATATGTGTGCATGTGTCTTTATAGCAGCATGATTTACAATCCTTTCAGTATATACCCAGTGATGGGATTGCTGGGTCAAATGATATTTCTAGTTCTAGATCCTTGAGGAATCGCCTTACTGTCTTCCACAATGGTTGAACTAGTTTACAGTCCCACCAGCAGTGTAAAAGTGTTCCTATTTCTCCACATCCTGTCCAGCACCTGTTGTTTCCTGACTTTTTAATGATCGCCATTGTAACTGGTGTGAGATGGTATCTCATTGTGGTTTGATTTGCATTTCTCTGATGGCCAGTGATGATGAGCATTTTTTCATGTGTCTTTTGGCTGCATAAATGTCTTCTTTTGAGAAGTGTCTGTTCATATCCTTCACCCACTTTTTGATGGGGTTGTTTTTTTCTTGTAAATTTGTTTGAGTTCATTGTAGATTCTGGATATTACCCCTTTGGCAGATGAGTAGATTGCAAAAATTTTCTCCCATTCTGTAGGTTGCCTATTGACTCTGATGGTAGTTTCTTTTGCTGTGCAGAAGCTCTTTAGTTTAATTAGATCCCATTTGTCAATTTTGGCTTTTGTTGCCATTGGTTTTGGTGTTTTACACATGAAGTCCTTGCCCATGCCTGTGTCCTGAATGGTAATGCCTAGGTTTTCTTGTAGGGTTTCTATAGTTTTAGGTCTAACATTTAAGTCTTGAATCCATCTTGAATTAATTTTTGTATAAGGTGTAAAGAAGGGATCCAGTTTCAGCTTTCTCTATATGGCTAGCCAGTTTTCCCAGCACCATTTATTAAATAGGGAATCCTTCCCCCATTTCTTGTTTTTGTCAGGTTTGTCAAAGATCAGATGGTTGTAGATGTGTGGTATTATTTCCAAGGGCTGTGTTCTGTTCCATTGGTCTATATCTCTGTTTTTGTACCAGTACCATGCTGTTTTGGTTACTGTAGCCTTGTAGTATAGTTTGCAGTCAGGTAGCATGATGCTTCCAGCTTTGTTCTTTTGGTTTAGGATTGTCTTGGCAATGCGGGCTCTTTTTTGGTTCCATATGAACTTTAAAGTAGTTTTTTCCAATTCTGTGAAGAAAGTCATTGGTAGCTTGATGGGGATGGCATTGAATCTATAAATTACCTTGGGCAGTATGGCCATCTTCACGATATTGGTTCTTCCTATCCATGAGCATGGAATGTTCTTCTATTTGTTTGTGTCCTCTTTTATTTCATTGAGCAGTTGTTTGTAGTTCTCCTTGAAGAGGTCCTTCACATCCCTTGTAAGTTGGATTCCTAGATATTTTATTCTCTTTGAAGCAATTGTGAATGGGAGTTCACTCATGATTTGGCTCTCTGTTTGTCTGCTACTGGTGTATAAGAATGCTTGTGATTTTTGCACATTGATTTTGTATCCTGAGACTTTGCTGAAGTTACTCATCAACTTAAGGAGATTTTGGGCTGAGATGGTGGGGTTTTCTAAATATACAATCATGTCCTGTGCAAACAGGGACAATTTGACTTCCTCTTTTCCTAATTGAATACCCTTTATTTCCTTCTCCTGCCTAATTGCCCTGGCCAGAACTTCCAACACTATGTTGAATAGGAGTGGTGAGAGAGGGCATCCCTGTCTTGTGTCAGTTTTCAAAGGGAATGCTTCTAGGATGGGAATGCATCCCATTAATACCTAATTTATTGAGAGTTTTTAGCATGAATGGCTGTTGAATTTTGTCCAAGGCCTTTTCTGCATCTATTGAGATAATCATGTGGTTTTGGTGTTTGGTTCTGTTAAAATGCTGGATTACATTTATTGATTTGCATATGTTGAACCAGCCTTGCATCCCAGGGTTGAAGCCCACTTGATCATGGTGGATAAGCTTTGTGATGTGCTGCTGGATTCAGTTTGCCAGTATTTTATTGAGGATTTTTACATCAATGTTCATCAGGGATATTGGTCTGAAATTCTCTGTTTTTGTTGTGTCTCTGCCAGGCTTTGGTATCAGGATGACGCTGGCCTCATAAAATGAGTTAGGGAGGATTCCCTCTTTTTCTGTTGATTGGACTAGTTTCGGAAGGAATGGTACCAGCTCCTTCTTGTACCTCTGGTAGAATTCGGCTGTGAATCTGTCTGATGCTAGAGTTTTTTTGGTTGGTAGGCTATTATTGCCCCAATTTGAGAGCCTGTGATTCGTCTGTTCAGGGATTCAACTTATACCTGGTTTAGTCTTGGGAGGGTGTATGTGTTGAGGAATTTTCCATTTCTTCTAGATTTTCTAGTTTTTTTGCGTAGAGGTGTTTATACTATTCTTTGATGGTAGTATTTCTGTGGGATTCGTGGTGATATCCGCTTTATCATTATTTATTGTGTCTATTTGATTCTTCCCTCTTTACTTCTTTATTAGTCTTGCTAGTGGTCTATCAATTTTGTTGATCTTTCAGAAAACCAGCTCCTGGATTCCTTGATTTTTTGAAGGGTTTTTTGTGTCTCTGTTTCCTTCAGTTCTGCTCTGATCTTAGTTATTTCTTGCCTTCTGCTAGCTTTTGAATGTGTTTGCTCTTGCTTCTTTAGTTCTTTTAATTGTGATGTTAGGGTGTCAATTTTAGATCTTTCCTGCTTTCTGTTGTGGGCATTTAGTGCTATAAATTTCCCTCTACACACTGCTTTAAATGTGTCCCAGATATTCTGGTATGTTGTGTCTTTGTTCTCATTGGTTTCAAAGAACATCTTTATTTCTGCCTTCATTTCGTTATGTACCCAGTAGTCTTTCAGGAGCAGGTTGTTCAGTTTCGATGTAGTTGAGTGGTTTTGAGTGAGTTTCTTAATCCTGAGTTCTAGTTTGATTGCACTGTGGTCTGAGAGACAGTTTGTTATAATTTCTGTTCTTTTACATTTGCTGAGGAGTGCTTTACTTCCAACTATGTGGTCAATTTTGGAATAAGTGTGATGTGATGCTGAGAAGAATGTATATTCTGTTGATTTGGGGTGGAGAGTTCTGTAGATGTCTATTAGGTCTGCTTGGTGCAGAGCTGAGTTCAATTCCTGGATATCCTTGTTAACTTTCGTCTCGTGGATCTGTCTAATGTTGACAGTGGGGTGTTAAAGTCTCCCATTATTATTGTGTGGGAGTCTAAGTCTCTTTGTAGGTCTCTAAGGACTTTCTTTATGAATGTGGGTGCTGTATTGGGTGCATATATATTTAGGATAGTTAGCTCTTCTTGTTGAATTGATCCCTTTACCATTATATAATGGCCTTCTTTGTCTCTTTTGATCTTTGTTGGTTTAAAGTCTGTTTTATCCGAGACTAGGACCGCAACCCCTGCCTTTTTTGTTTTCCATTTGCTTGGTAGATCTTCCTCCATCCCTTTATTTTGAGCCTATGTGTGTCTCTGCACATGAGATGGGTTTCCTGAATACAGCACACTGATGGGTCTTGACTCTTTATCCAATTTGCCAGTCTGTGTCTTTTAATTGGAGCATTTAGCCCATTGACATTTAAGGTTAATATTGTTATGTGTGAATTTGTTCCTGTCATTATGATGTTAGCTGGTTATTTTGCTCGTTAATTGATGCAGTTTCTTCTTAGCCTTGATGGTCTTTACAATTTGGCATGTTTTTGCAGTGGCTGGTATCGGTTGTTCTTTTCCATGTTGAGTGCTTCCTTCAGGAGCTCTTTTAGGGCAGGCCTGGTGGTGACAAAATCTCTCAGGATTTGCTTGTCTGTAAAGGATTTTATTTCTCTTTCACTTATGAAGCTTAGTTTTGCTGGATATGAAGTTCTGGGTTGAAAATTCTTTAAGAATGTTGAATATTGCCCCCACCCCCTTTTGGTTTGTAGAGTTTCTGCCGAGAGATCTGCTGTTAGTCTAATAGGCTTCCCTTTGTGTGTAACCCGACCTTTCTCTCTGGCTGCCCTTAACATTTTTTCCTTCATTTCAACTTCGGTGAATCTGACAATTTATTTGTCTTGGAGTTGCTCTTCTCGAGGAGTATCTTTGTGGCATTCTCTGTATTTCCTGAATTTGAATGTTGGCCTGCCATGCTAGGTTGGGGAAGTTCTCCTGGATAATATCCTGCAGAGTGTTTTCCAACTTGGTGCCATTCTCCCTGTCACTTTCAGGTACACCAATCAGATGTAGATTTGGTCTTTTCACATAGTCCCATATTTCTTGGAGGCTTTGTTCGTTTCTTTTTACTCTTTTTTCTCTAAACTTCTCTTCTCGCTTCATTTCATTCATTTGATCTTCAATCACTGATACCCTTTCTTCCAGTTGATCGAATCGGCTGCTGAAGCTTATGCATTCGTCACGTAGTTCTTGTGCCATGGTTTTCAGTTCCATCAGGTCATTTAAGGACTTCTCTACACTGGTTATTCTAGTTAGGCATTTATCTAATCTTTTTTCAAGGTTTTTAGCTTCTTTGCGATGGGTTCGAACTTCCTCCGTTAGTTCAGAGAAGTTTGATCGTCTGAAGCCTTCTTCTCTCAACTCGTCGAAGTCATTCTCCGTCTAGCTTTTTTCCATTGCTGGTGAGGAGCTGCGTTCCTTTAGAGGGGGAGAGGTACTCTGATTTTTAGAATTTTCAGCTTTTCTGCTCTGTTTTTTCCCCATCTTTGTGGTTTTATGTACCTTTGGTCTTTTATGATGGTGATGTACAGATGCGGTTTTGGTGTGGATGTCCTTTCTGTTTGTTAGTTTTCCTTCTAACAGTCAAGACCCTCAGCTGCAGGTCTGTTGGAGTTTGCTGGAGGTCCATTCCAGACCCTGTTTGCCTGGGTATCAGCAGCAGAGGCTGCAGAACAGCGAATATTTCTGAACAGCAAATGTTGCTGCCCGATCATTCCTTTGGAAGCTTCGTCTCAGAGGGGCACCCGACTGCATGAGATGTCAGTCTGCCCCTACTGTGGGGGTGCCTCCCAGTTAGGCTACTCGGGGGTCAGGAACGTACTTGAGGAGGCAGACTGTCCATTCTCAGATGTCAAACTCCATGCTGGGAGAACTAGTACTCTCTTCAAAGCTGTCAGACAGGGACATTTAAGTCTGCAGAGGTTTCTGCTACCTTTTGTTTGGCTATGCCGTGCCCCCAGAGGTGGAGTCTACAGAGGCAGGCAGGCCTCCTTGAGCTGTGGTGGGCTCCACACAGTTGGAGCTTCCCATCTGCTTTGTTTACCTACTCAAGCCTCAGCAATGGCAGGCGCCCCTCCCCCAGCCTCGCTGCCGTCTTGCAGTTCGATCTCAGACGGCTGTGCTAGCAATGAGTGAGGCTTTGTGGGCGTGGGACCCTCTGAGCCAGGCATGGGATGTAACCTCCTGGTGTGCCGTTTGCTGACTGTTGGAAAAGTGCAGTATTAGGGTGGGAGTGACCCAATTTTCCAGGTGCCGTCTGCCACAGCTTCCCTTGGCTAGGAAAGGGAATTCCCTGACACCTTGCACTTCCCAGGTTAGTCGATGCCTCGCCCTGCTTCGGCTCACGCATGGTGGGCTGCATCCACTGTCCTGTCCCCACTGTCTGACAAGCCCCAGTGAGATGAACCCGGTACTGGGAAATTCAGAAATTACCTGTCTTCTGCGTTGCTCACGCTGGGAGCTGTAGACTGGAGCTGTTCCTATTCGGCAATCTTGGAACCCACCAATTTTTGTATTTTTAGTAGAGAGGTGGGTTTCACCATGTTGACTGGGCTGGTCTCAAACTTCTGACCTGAAGAGATCTGCCCACCTCGGCCTCCTAAAGTGCTGGGATTACAGGCATGAGCCATCGTGCCTTGCCAAGAAATTCTGCTTTCTGTTCAATCCAGACAGTTTGAGGAGCTCTCCCCGAAGGCTGTAATTTTAGGCTCTGGTGGAGAGATGATGGATTAGACTAGGTGATTATGAAGTTTCTTCTCAGCTCTAAACTTCACTGATTCTGGGCATTATGCATTTCACTCATGAGTAATTAACATTTGTAGTGCCCTACATTTGTGCATCCCTTATCTTTCTTTTTCTCTCGGGGAGCTTTCATACTGATTACGTCTCTTGACATCTCTGTGAAGCAAGTGGGCGGATACCGTCTCCACCCAATAGAGAAGTTAATACATCCACTGTAGACTTCTGCTTAAAATCAGATAGATTTGCACATAATTGTTTTTGGTCTCAAATAGTTAGATGATGTGGCTGCTGGATGAAGGTGAATCTGGAGGATGAACTCTAGGAATCAGAGAGGGCAAGGAAGCCACCTAAAGTCACACAGATACTGGAGAGCAGAACCGCATCAGTCTCAGGACTACTCTAAAGGTGAGGAGCATTTGGAAGTGGTAGTGGTCCAGGAGAATGGAAAAATACTGTTAGCTGTAGAATATCCACTATTGCAATTAAGTAAGAGAACTGACTCCAAATTGAGATGGTTTAGTGTTTACTCCAAACCTCAACTATATTAAACCCATTTTAATGGTTTTTTATTCCTTATTGGTGGGAAAGTAAATTAGTTCAACCATTGTGGAAGACAGTGTGGCAGTTCCCCAAAGACCTAAAAACAGAAATACCATTTGACCCAGCAATCCCATTCCTGGGTATATACCCAAAGGAATATAAATCGTTCTATTATAAAGATACATGCATGTGTATGTTCATTGTACACTATTCACAATAGCAAAGACATGGAGTAAATCTAAATTCCCATAATGGCAGATTGGATAGAGAAAATGTATGCATATACCATGCAATACTATCCAGCCATAAAAAAAAGAACGAGATCATGTCCTTTGCAGGAAAATGAATGGCACTGGAGGCTATTGTCCTCAGCAAACTGGTGTAGGAACAGAAAACCACATACTGCATGTTCTTACTTAGAAGTGGTAGCTGAATGATGAGAACACAGGGACACATAGAGGGGAGAAATACACACTGGGACCTTTTAGAGGTCACGGATTGGAGGGTGGGAGGAGAGAGAGGATCAGGAAAAACAACTAATAGATACTAGGCTTCATACCTGGGTGATGAAATAGTCTGTACAGGAAACCCCCATGACACAAGCTTACCAATATAACAAACCTGCACATGTATCCTTTAACTTAAATGAGACATTTTGCTCCAAACATTCACTATTGAAACAATCAACTATTAAAAGGGCTCCCCCTTGTTTTTGCCACCCACCTAGCTGTTTCACGCTGTTTACTGTGATACTGTGCTTTCCAGAAAATAAATTGCTTCATGGGCCATAGGATCTTATTTTCTCCCTTCAGAGAGAATGGCACCCCAAATTGAAGATAAACAGTCATTTTACAAAGGTTTCAGAAAAGGATGGTAACTCTTTGAATGACCCATAATAAGAGAACCCTCTTAGGAGGTGAGGGCGTATAAGCAGTTGGGATTTCATGAAATGGCTGAGTAATTTTGCCAAGCCTGGAGATAGGACTTCATACTCACTCCTCTACTTTGAATTTCTGCAACTTTGAGGCATATGTTGAGTTTCAAACTAGATCAAAAGAAATAAATTCAGAGAGAAAGAAAATTCACCCAGAACATTGTACAAAAAAAGAGTGCCCAGCACTTTGGGAGGCTGAGGCAAGAGGATCGCTTGAGCCTAGGAGTTCAAGACCAGCCTGCTCTTGAACATAGTGAGACCTCATCACTCCAAGAAATAAACCGTATTTTAAAAATTAGCCAGATGTGTGGCTACACTTGTAGTCCCAGCTGCTTGGGAGGCTGAGGTGGGAGGATTGCTTTAACCTAGGAGGTTGAGACTGCAGTGAGCTGTGATCACACCACTGCACTCCAGCATGGGCAGCAGAACAAAACCTTGTCTTAAAAAAAAAAAAGTGAAAATGCTTGTGTGTGTATGAGTGGGCACTAAACTTCAATAATGGTCCTTTTTGATGTAGCTAAGTCCTCATAATGCACTCATTAAAACTCTAGAAATAAAGATTTTAGTGCCATTACATAGAACACTTAAAAAAATCCTCATAGGTATAAATTGTCTATGAATTTTACACTATGTGCCCTGATTAGTGGTTATTATTTTACTGCTTATACTCAAAAAAATTTAGAATATACTTGTGTAGAATTTTGGCTGCGTTTTTCACTTGAAAAAGAGTTACAACTCCGTTTCCATATGGTAGACAGAGGAATCCCTCTAAATATGCGGCAACGGAGTTGCTTCTGTTTCTAAGAGCTGTCTATAGGACCTCTCCTCCAGTGGTGTGCTGCAGCCAGCTTGTATTGGCTGGCGAGAGCCGATTGTGAAATTTTAAGGAAACCTACCAGCTGGTTGATGTCATATTGGCAGCTAGAAATTGGCCATAGAGGGAGTATTTATACCACAGAAACTGGAAAACCCTATAAACCAGTGTTTTTCTGTCCCCAGAAAGTTGGTTGTTAAGCGTTTACCAGCACAGCACTGCTCTCCCTTGTATAGGAGCCTCCCCTCTTAGCACATTCCATCTCATTTCATCCTCAGATCTACAAATAAGTAGAGAGCTGTGTTGAGGATATAGAGTTTTCATTGAAAAAAAAAAACACAAAAATCAATGATCTAAACCCTACAGAAAAGCAGGGACAATACAGGATTCTGTGTCCATCCCCCACTCCTCTCTAGGTATTTGGTAATTATCTAGCCTCTCCACGTAGCCTTTCTTTTTATTCATTTTTCTAATCTAACTCAGCCATTCTCAAATGTCAATGTGTATGTTAGTATGCATGTGTTGATAATGCAAAACTACCTGCATGACACTTTGTGGGAATATTAGGGGCTTTTGAGGGTAATTTTAGCCATGCAAGTATTTTCCTGGAGTTGGCATAATACATTTGTTAAAAGCCGGAATAGTTTTGAATCCCACCTCTGCCACATGCAAGCTACTTAACTTCTCTATGCCTCAAATGAAGGTAATAATGGTACCTTCCCTGTAAGCGTCTTGGGAGGATTAATTGTGTTAATCTATGTAACATGTTTAGGATTATACCTTGTGTTTAGTTGGTGCAATGTTCATGTTCGCTCCTATTGTTAGGAAGGAAGGGAGTGTTTTAATTGATGATTGATGTGGGGGTGGGTTGCCCCTACACACCTGTGGGTGTTTCTCGTAAGGTGGGACGAGAGATTTGGAAAAGAAAAAGACACAGAGACAAAGTATAGAGAAAGAAATAAGGGGACCCGGGGAACCAGCGTTCAGCATATGGAGGATCCCGCCAGCCTCTGAGTTCCCTTAGTATTTATTGATCATCTGTGGGTGTTTCTCGAAGAGGGGGATGTGTCAGGGTCACAAGACAATTGTGGGGAGAGGGTCAGCAGACAAACACGTGAACAAAGGTCTTGGCATCATAGACAATGTAAAGGATTAAGTGCTGTGCTTTTAGATATGCATACACATAAACATCTCAATGCTTTACAAAGCAGTATTGCTGCCCGCAGGTCCCACCTCCAGCCCTAAGGCGGTTTTTCCCTATCTCAGTAGATGGAGCATACAATCGGGTTTTATACCGAGACATTCCATTGCCCAGGGACAGGCAGGAGACAGATGCCTTCCTCTTGTCTCAACTGCAAGAGGCATTCCTTCCTCTTTTACTAATCCTCCTCAGCACAGACCCTTTACGGGTGTCGGGCTGGGGGACGGTCAGGTCTTTCCCTTCCCACGAGGCCATATTTCAGACTATCACATGGGGAGAAACCTTGGACAATACCTGGCTTTCCTAGGCAGAGGTCCCTGCGGCCTTCCGCAGTTTTTGTGTCCCTGGGTACTTGAGATTAGGGAGTGGTGATGACTCTTAAGGAGCATGCTGCCTTCAAGCATCTGTTTAACAAAGCACATCCTGCACCGCCCTTAATCCATTCAACTCTGAGTTGACACAGCACACGTTTCAGAGAGCACGGGGTTGGGGGTAAGGTTATAGATTAACAGAATCTCAAGGCAGAAGAATTTTTCTTAGTACATAACAAAATGGAGTCTCCTATGTCTACTTCTTTCTACACAGACACAGTAACAATCTGATCTCTCTTGCTTTTCCCCACAATTCTGGCAACTGAGTGAGGGACAGATTGGGTGAGGCCAAGACTGGGAGACCAGGAAGGATCCCCATTTTATTGGTTCACACTGATCTTCCTGAATCAATTGATGGCATGTGGCTGTTGAGTGTTAGGTAGACCAAAGCAGTAGCCCTAAGCTGTGACTTAAAGGGCCTTGGTTGGTCACAAAAGACGACCACTTCCCCATGGGCATCTATTTGATCAACTTCCATCTAATTACTTTTGTTTGTTTGTTTATTTTTTCTTGAGACAGTGTTTCACTCTTGTTGCCTAGGCTAGAGTACAAAGGTGCAATTTTGGCTCACTGCAGCCTCCGCCTACCAGGTTCAAGCGATTCTCCTGACTCGGCCTCCGAAGTAGCTGGGATTACAGGCATGCATCTCCATGCGCAGCTAATTTTTTGTATTTAGTAGACATGGGGTTTCACCATGTTGGTCAGGCTGGTCTCGAACTCCTGACCTCAGGTGATCCGCCTGCCTCGGCCTCCCAAAGTGCTGGAATTACAGGCGTGAGCTCTTGCACCCGGCCTCTAATTCCTTTTGGAGCTGAGGGCATAATGAAGAGAGGGAAGTAGGAGATGAAGTAAAGGAGCAGGCAGACATCACAGTTTGAAAAGACCTCAGAGGTCATGGTGAAAGTTTGGATTTCATATTTGCTGCAGTGGAAAGCCATGAGAAATTCTTAAGCAGGTGATTCTCCTGTCTCTCCCAGTGCCTTCTAAGTCAGGCACTAGGAGAGATACAAAGCTACAGGTGGTGCCTCAGGGACTTACAAACCAGAAGGTTCCATGCCTTCCCCTTTAGTGGGTATTATTTGATTTCTGTGAACCCCCTTCTTACATCTTCCACATAAGCAAAAAAAAAAAAAAAAAAAAAAAAACCCTGCACCACCTCCTGCAGTGTATGGACATATGAAATGCCGTGGGGTTGTAGTGTGGTGTGATAATTAATAGGAAAAGGGCAAGCAAACTGTAGGACTTAACCTAGCAAAACTGGAAAAGCTACAGACATGGCAGTGAGAAAAGATGGATACCGTTTTTCTTCTTGCTTAGACCTGGTTTCTTCAGGGATCACCTTTGCGGTGGAGTTTGTCACATCTCCCAAATGCCCAGGCTGGTTTCTTACCTCCTTCTCCATCCAGGCCTTGTCTCACATCCAGGGGCCAATAATAAAGATAAATTTGAGGAGTAATGAATAAAGACCCATTCCTTCTGGAGCAATAAAATTTATCGTGGCTTAACTAATCTGGCACCATTTATGCCTGCTGCCTGCCTTTCCAGCCATCGAATGACTAATTGATAACTAATTTCCTCAATTTGTACTTCATTACTTATCACAGCAGAAAGGCTTATACCTAATTCTTTGAGCCAAAGAGACCCCATGAAATCAATGGAGATGTTACTTGCCAGGGATCTTGGCAAATTGGCCAGCTTCGTGGGAAAGGTGGACTTCTCAATAATACAGCTAACAGGTACTGAGTGTTTATTGCATGCAGAAACTGGGCTAAGCACGTTACATTTGTATAAAAAATATAAGGGTTCTACAAGATGATGTAAAGGATAAAGCCCTTAACTGTATTATCTTAACACAATAGAAATTTACCAATGATTTAATGTTATTCTTAACACAATAGAAATTTACTAATGATTTAATTCAGATGTTTCTGGTTGGCAAAGGATGGGGGAGTTCTGTATTGCATTCTTCAGATTCATTGAGACCTAAAATTAAGAACCAAGTTGACTGAGACTCTGCCATCATTACTGCATAGCTGCCAAGCTTGCCCTTGGTCGATATTCAGCCAGCAGAGGGAGAAAGAGCATGAAGAGCGTGGCGGGGAAGGTTTTTTTTGTTTTGGTTTTTGTGTTTTTTTTTTTTTTTTTTGGAGATGGAGTGTCACTCTGTTGCCAGGCTGGAGTGCAGTGGTGCAATCTTGGTTCACTGCAACGCTTGCCTCCTGGGTTCAAGTGATTCTCCTGCCTCAGCCTCCCGAGTAGCTGGGGCTACATGCCCATGCCACCACACCCAGCTAATTTTTGTATTTTTAGTAGAGACGGGGTTTCACCATTTTGGCCGGGATGGTCTCGATCTCTTGACCTTGTGATCTGCCCTCCTCAGCCTCCAAAAGTGCTGGGATTACAGGCATGAGTCACCACACCCAGCCGGGTGGGAAGCTTTTAATAGGCCAGCCTAGAAGAACACATCATTTCAACTGATAGGGTGTTGGTTATAACTCAGCCACAGAGAGACCAGGAAATGTGGTGTAGACGTGACCCAGGAGGAAATGAGTTTTGTTGGACAGATTGCCACATGCTTGTGATTTTATTTAATTCTTACAACAGTGCTATGAAGTTGGTCCTCATCCCCACTTCACAGATGTGGAAAGTGAGGCTTGAAAAGGTTAAGTAGACTTGCTAGTAAGTGGAGGAGCAGATTCTTCAGCTTGTCATCTGTCTGATTTCTGGGCTCATGCTTCTACTACTGTGCTAGACTACTTCTCTTGGGTCTCAAGCAATGAGAAGCTCTGACAATAAATCTTTCCCCTTCACTACTCTCGCTGGTCATCACCACTGTAGCTGACCCTGACTCACTGTGAAGTTCTGTACTGGTCAGCCATCACCTCTGCCTGTGGCACTGAGCTTCCCAGAAAAACATCTCTGGAACTTGCAGCAACCTGGGGTTGGAAGCCTGACGGGACCCAAGTTGGGTGATACAGAATTCTGAGGCTGACCACCCATATGTGTGGGGGCACAGAGCAAATGTTAAATTGAGCCAGGAAAGACTCCACTAATTAGCGTTTCTTCTGAACTCTGCCATCCATTGGCTTTTTAACAAATGATGCTATTAATCCTACATGTTCTCGATTCTTCACTTTCTTCATGGGGGGAAAAAGTTGAAGGCGGTATTGTGGTATTTATCCTTGAAATAATGTTGCCATAGTTACCTCTCGGCTCTATTATAACAGTAGTGCCATAATTGGAGCACGGAGACCTGGAGATGCTCTTGTAACTGCGAGCTTGGTCCCTAGGTTGGGCATGAAAAGCATCTCTTAGACTGGGGGAGAAAGAAGAGAGGTTGGCCTCAGCAATTAACCCCAAAGCGCAGCACAGTGGCCCTGTCTGTTGGATGAGAGCATTGCTTGGTGGTGTCCAAAGTGAGCCATTTCTGTGAAGTTGCTTTGTTTTCACATTGTTTTACAGTGACACTCTTAGAATGCAAGAATGTAGTGTCTCCATGGAAACTGGAAAGGTACAAAATTAAGACCTCAGAATAGGAAAGCTTCTATGAGCACAGTTCTGGTGATCACTAATAAAGAAATGATGTGTTGTAAGTACAAGCTGTTGGATGTCAGGGAAGACGTGGAATGGTAAATTTGACATCCTAATCTAATCCAAGACCTTCACTTTTTGGATAGGGTGGGAGAAAGGTTATGAATGCACATCTAGGGAATGTATGCTCCCCTAGACAGGAAAAAGGTTTGTTAATGTCCCACTGTGGCAAAAGCGTGGCTGACCCTCCATGCAACATGAACTTGACTCCACTTACCTCTTGTGTATATGCGAAAGGAAATAGTTAGTGGGTTGTGAGAGGGGCAGTGTGATACATTGGGAAGACACCATTTGCAGTTAAACCATGGTGAGTTTCACGACTTTGAGCAAATTCATGAAACCTCCATTTGAACCTCCATTTCTACTTCCATAAAATGGGGAGGCTACTAGTATATACTTCTCTGAAGAACATGCTTCCTTTCTTCACTTTCCTTTTGATGTTTATTTTTGGCAGTATCAGTAGGGGTTCATTAGCCTAACTTCCTATCCACGAAGGCAAGGTTCAGTTTAGAATGTCTGAATCTGCATCATAGCCTGAGGTCTGTGTTCAGCTTACAGAAGAACCAGTGGAAACAGGAAGCCATCTCTGGGTACACATGCTGTTTGCCCATAGTGGGAATTGGTGAACTTCTTAGAGAGATGTATCTCTGTTCTGATGCTTGTATTTCCTTGGTGGATCCTCCTCCACGTCTCTCACCACCTTGTACAATTCCTGACCTCTCATTTGCCTCCTCACATCATGTGTTGACACATTGACAGAAATGCCACGCAGCTGTATCAGGGCATTCAAATGCATACACCTCTCAGGCTCACCTTCAGCCCATGCAAATTCAGAGTTTTCTTAATTTCTGTAGCTCTTTCTATTTCTGTATTTAATGGCACAGAACATGAGGTTCCTTTTGCCGCCAGTGCCAGGCATGTGCTAGATCTCCATTTGGGTAGAAGCAAAGCTCTCATGCTGATCTCCTTTCCTGTCTGAATACCTTGCAGTGTTTCCCACAAGCCTCTCGGTCTTTCTCTAAAAAGATGGCAGTTACCACTTTGGCTGGCTGGCATTTTTCTGATCTCCCTGATCCTGTAACAGTATTCCTCTCTGGGATTTTTTTTTCTTGGCATGGCAAGCACTTCTCCCTCACCAGTGCAGGGAAGCCTTTGATACTTCTTGGACATCTTGATCAAACGGCCTTAATGCTGCAACCACCTGCAGTTTTACTGTTTAAAACTTCCACATCCCCTTTTGTGCGTATTTCAACTGCACTGAAAATGTAGGTTTCTATAATCTTGTAGATGGCTATAAATATCCCCACTGGGTTAAAAAAAAAAAAAAACCTTGTATTTGAGCCTCAATATGCTGAGATGTTTTGTGATCTAGTAAATAGCAGGAAATTTTTGCTTACCTAATATTTATTGAGTAGCTGTTACATATCAAATAAAGCACCTGACTTTGTTAGGGTGACCAGGTTGTCCAGATTTGCCCGGAATGTTCCCAGTTTTATCATTGAAAGTCCCACATTCTGGAGAAACTGGAAATCTATGGTCCCAGGCAAACAGAGACAGTTGGTTGCCTTAGGCACTAGGGGTAAATTGGTAAACAAGACAAAATTTCTTCCCTCAAGGATCTGACAGTTTGATAAACCAGAAAATAAAGATAAGTACTCAGCAATTTCACACACACACACACACGTATATACATATACATACACACACACATACATATATACCCCCAAAGAATTGTAAGTAGGTATTCAATTACATGTCCATATACGTGAGTAGCAGCATTCCTCACAATAATAATGTTGTGAAAAGAACCCCATTTCCATCAACAGAGGAGAAGATAAACAAATCGTGGTGTATCCATACCACAGAACACTATTTAGCCCTAGAAAAGAAAGAAGTACTGGTATGGATGAACCTTGAAAACATGATGCTAACATTGAAGGAAGGCAGACACAAAAGGCCACATCTTGTACAATTCAATTTATATGAAATATTTATTAGGTTGGTGCAAAAGTAATTGTGGGGTTTTGCCATTATATTGAAAGTTATTTGAAAGTAATGACAAAAACCGCAGTTACTTTTGCACCAACCAAAAAGAATAGGTAAATCCAAAGAGACAAAAAGTAGGTTGGTCGTTACTGGGAGCAGAAAGGAGAGAGGAGTAGGGAGCGAGTGGGGTTTCCCTTTGGGGTGATGAAAATATTTTGGAACTAGATAAGAGAGGTGGTTGCACAACATTGTGAGTTCACTGAATGCCACTGAATTATTCACTTTAAAATGGGTAATTGTATGTTATGTAAACTTCACCTCAATGAAAAACAGATAATGTGGTAATTGATAGGATGGTGGCCAGTAGAAGGTTCTGGGGCAGGAAGGATCCAGTTGGTAAACAGTGAATGCTAATGCAAGAGTTAGGTCACAGAAAAGATGAAGGGGTAGTGTTTCAAGCAAAAGAAGAAATGCTTCTGTAGATGTGGGAGGCAGGGGAGCCCTCTCGCTGCTGTTTATTTTGTGACATGGTGATGCACATCTTGTATATTAAGGTGACTTCTGAAGAGTAATATAGAAGCAGAAAGGTGGGATCACCTTCAGAATGTGCCCCCCAACTTTTTAAAATGGTTTTCTAGCCACTCAGCTGCAAAGAGATAGATCTGGCCTTGCTGTTTGGTAGTTATTTATTTCCCAAGGAATATGTTCATAGAGTCTTTGTATTAGCTGTTCTCTTTCTGCTAATAAAGACATACCCAATACTGGATACTTTATAAAGGAAAGGGGTTCAATTGACTCAGTTCCACATGGCTTGGGAGTCCTCACAATCATGACAGAAGGCAAGGAAGAGGAAAGTCATGTCTTACATGGCAGCAGGTAGGAGAGCTTGTGTAGGGGAACTCCCCTTTATAAAACCATCAGATCTCGTGAGAACTCACTATCACAAGAACAACATGAGGGTAACTGCCCCCATGTTTGAATTACCTCTCACCGGGTCCTTTCCAGCACACATAGGAATTATGGGAGCTATAATTCAAGATGACATTTGGGTGGGGACACAGCAAACTCTATCAGGCTCTTTGGCTAAATGGGTAAAGAATAAGCTGAGATGGCACATTCTCTGGGAAGACATTCAGTGTCAGCAGGTGACTTGATGCTGGGGTGATATCCCCACTGGAGGGGCCAATCATCCTAGGTCTGGTCCTTACACAGCTTCCCCTGACCCCTATCAAAGGAAGTTTCAACCCCTCCCAGGAGGCAGGGATGGGAATGAGCTTCATGGCAGAGTTTGAATTTGGTCTCTGCCCTTTGTCACCTGCGCCTCCTTGGGCAGGTGAACTTCTCCGAGCAGCAATATCATCATCTAGAAAAGGGGAATGGAAATAAAAATGGATCTATTGTAAGAATAAATGAATTTTCCTGCAAAACCAATAGTATACACTGTCTGGCAAATAACAAGCACTCAGTAATTATTAATTTTCTCCATTCTTTCCTCTTCATCCTAGACTTAATTAAGATGTATAGTTGAAGCTGTGAATAAGCAGTTCACAAAAAGAGAAATCTAAATGGCCGGGACACTTGGAAAAATGTTCAGACTGGGTAGCAACAAAGGATTTAAAAGTGAAATAAGACATAATTTTTTCTCCTAGAAATTAAGGCAGAAAACGAACAAAAAGAAAAAAAAAAAAAACGAAGAAAGAAAACTCAAGTCAGTGTTGGCCAAGAGGGTTGGGAGTCAGACAGTCTCATACCAGGCTGGTAGAAATACAACGTGGAACAACCTTTTGTGGGGCAGTTTGGCAATAAGACTAATATGCTCGTTTCAAAAGCCTTAAATGCACGTTTGTGCTTTGACCCGGCAATTCCACTTTGGGAAATTTCCCCGCGGGGAATAATTAAGGATGTGTTCGCAAACTTAGCCGCAGAAGGCACTCTATAAATAGTTGTTAAATGAAGAAGTAAGTGGTACTCATTGCTGCATTGTTTATAATAATGAAAATTCCAATAACGGGGAAAAAAATCAAATAATGATGGTTCTGGCCATAAAATGGAATCCTTTGCAGCCATTAAATATGATTTGGTAAACACGTTTGGATAATTCTGTCATTTACATAGGTCTGGGAAGATATTTCTGATTCCTCAAGTGAAAAATTATGTTAAATGGCATATTGCATGGCTTTGGCTTGTTTAAAAATATGTATCCGTAAATAAAATTGGGAAGAAAACCTCTTGAAGGATATACAGCAATATGTGAAAAGCAGTTATTGCTGAATAGTGACACTGTGAATGATTTTTTAATTTTCTCCTTTTTGCTTTTTGGTATATTATGAGCATGTACTGTTTGCACATATCTGTTTTTAAAGAAAAACTTAATGTTAAAATAGAGGGACTTGTTAGGATAGGGGTGGGTGGTTGGAAATCAAGACAAGAAAGTAGAACATAAATGCGCCCAACACAAGAATGTGGGGCATCTGGCTGGATTAGAAGTCCATCGTGATTTGGGCAGCCTTCCTTCCCCGCTGTTGGCACTTTAAGCTTTTTCAATTGCAGATCCACACTCGGATCAGAAGGAGGCTTGGTTTGGCCTGGACCCTCCTTAGGAAGTGTCATGTCTGGGAAACACACACAAGAGCGCTCCTTTGTTCATGCTGCTCGTTGCCCAAGTTGGCTGTGCTTGGGGGTGACTCGCTCCCAGCTACAGCGATGCAAACGTGTGTCCTCGGGCTGGGCTGTGCAGACAGCCTGCGCCCATGTCTTGGAGGGAGACAGCCAGATTCTGGCTGTGAGAAAAGCCCCTGGCCCAGGAGGCTCTTGGGGATGAAGGGGGCATGTCTTTACCTTTCCTTATCCCCATATTTTCACCGAGTAAATTGCTGCGATAGAACATAATTGCTTTTCATTTTATTTTTAAAAATTGCTGCCAAGGCAATCCGCCGGCCTCCTGAAGTCAGCACAAATCTGAAAACACTCACTCCGAGGGAATATTTTGAAAACTTGGATTTGAAAAGCGATTTAGCCCCAACGATCAGCAGGTCGAGGTTCAACCGACTGTGGTAACTCGGTTGCACTTTAGCCCCAGAGATTCACAGAGCTCATCACTTCCTTTCTCATTGAAGCCTTTGCTCAAATGCTCCCTTCTGAGCTTACACTCCTCTGAATGCGCTGGCTGTCTTAAGTAGCAACTCCTTCTTTTGGGTTTCCCAGATCTCTTTTTTATTTCCAGGTATGTATCCCGCCCTGGCATTATATTATTTCTTATTTCTTTATTCACCTGTTTACTCGTCTATCTCCTATGCTAGAACACATGCACCTCAAGGGCAGGTACTTTATCCTATTCATTGCTGTACCCCCGTGGTTAGAATCACATCACACACACCGTAGGTGTCTAATAAATACTTAACTAATGAATGAATAAGAGAGAAGGCTGTGAAAGTCTTTTGCAACCAGGAAGATGCTGTGGGGCAGTAGGGTGTGGGTAGGATGATTGCATTTGGGCTACTACAACTCTCCAGCTCACAGCCAATGTCATCTGGACACCACATCATGGTTAGATGGGCTGTTCTTAAGTTATTAATAGTCCTGGAATACCAGGAATATCTATAACGGCATTCTGCCTCAATGCTGGAAGGTACCAGAGGCCTTGAGTTTTCCTTGGTGGGGAGGACAGGACTCCTTTCTTCACCAGAAGCTGAGTAGATGCCAGCACCCAGCCTCTTGTAAAGCCTGCAGAACCATGAGCCAATTAAACCCCTTTTCTTTTTATTATTCTTATTATTTATACTTTACCCCTTTTCTTTATAAATTACCCAGGCTCAGGTGTTTCTTTACAGCAATGCAAGAATGGCTTAACACAGCTTCCCTGATTTCTCTAAGATGCTAGAGAAAAGAGAGCGCAATGGATAGGGGAGGGAGAAGGGCCCATCCCTTGCATGCTGAGACCTGGTAAGGAACCCCGAGGGAAGAAAGAGGCAATTATCAGTAAACCAACCTGGACTCAGTTCCCTCACACCTGTACACTTGGATTTTGGTCAAAACATAACCTGAGCTTCAGTTCCTCCATCCTTCAAGTAAGGTGAAGAAAATCTGCCCTGCCTACCTGTCATTATAACCATCATCATTTTTTTTATCATTACAGCTTATTAAACATTTATTATTTACCAGCCACAGAAGCAGGCACTCTGTATATGGCCTTTTATTCAGTTCCTGTGATCATCCTATGAAATAAATACAATTTTGTCCATTTGAAAGAGGAGAAAGGATAAGGTAGGAAAGGCAAAGTAGTTTGCCCAAGTCTCCTTGGGCTGCAGGTGCTAGACCAAGTCTCGCAGGGTACCTGATACTGTGTTTTATGAATCAGGAAACACCATCAAATGTCACCAGTACCTTTCCAAATGTGTGCACAGGCAAGCATGTTTGCATGAAAGCATCTCTTCTAATTATTGGGAAGCCCTTGGGTGGGAGCTGGGAGACTCTTTCCAGCCTAGCTTAAGTAGGTAAACTTAAAGAATACACATATCCTCTCCAGAATGTGCTTAAATCTGATCACTGGATCCCAAACCCAACAAGAACAGGGCCAAGGATACCAGCAGCAGAGCACTCCCCCAGTCTAAGACAACACTGTGGTTTATAAAAGGTCAAGTTCAATCAACCAATTGTTTCCCAAGGGAAAAAAGTCAAATTTCAGTTTCAATACACATGTCTTTGGAGGGGAAAAAATCCCATTAAAAACTCTTACCAGCAAATGATAATTAATTCAAATCCACCTTTGACCCTTCTTTCCCAGAGTCAACCACAGTTACCATGAGAGGCGTAAAGACATTTTATGAGGGCAAGGACTTTGTCTAATTCATGGCTGAATACCTAGTGCCAGACACACAGAGAGTGCTTAATAACTACACATGAAAGAATGGCTGTCCAGCAGGTGGCTGCTATGGATTCTCTGCAAACACTGTAAGAGATATGGTACTTTTTTGCAATTCAACCGAAAATGGCAGGGTATGGACTCGCCCCAAGGGAGAAAGGACGCCTTGTGTTTTCAAAATCAGCCAGTGAAGCACCTCAGCCTGGGGTTTGAGTTTACAGCCTTTGGATATGGGCTCTGGCTTTGCTGCAAGTACAGGATGCTCATCCCTAGAGTTCCAGACACTAATGGCAAGAACAAGGATGGGAGTGTGGAAGGATTCCTAGTCTCCCGTGGAAAAGACAACCTTGGTTGTCAGTGAGGTATCTGCAGTCTCTGGTGTTCCACCACTACCCAGCTACATGGTTACTGCTGTTGCCATCTTTGTCTCTGGGGTGCTCAGGTTGATTTACAACACTGGAGAGTCAGCCCATTGGGACAGTGGGGACTAGCTTGGTAGTGTGCACGTCATGGAGCAGCCAATAGCTCAGAGTTCTGTCCTCCCGACCAAGGAATACTCAAGGTTTTTGAAACCTTCCAGCATTGAGGCTGAATGCCATCATAGATATTCATGGTATTCCAGGACTATTAGGAACTTAAGAACAGCTTGTCTAGCCATGATGTGGGGTCCAATCATGGCAGAAGGAGAAGGGGCGTCTCACATGGCCACAGGAGGAGCAAGAGAGAGAGGAGGAGGTATCATGCACTTTAAAATACAGATCTGGGCTGGGCACGGTGGCTCACGCCTGTAATCACAGCGCTTTGGGTAGCTGAGGTGGGTGGATTACAAGGTCAGGAGATCAAGACCATCCTGGCCAACATGACGAAACCTCGTCTCTACTAAAATGCAAAAAATTAGCTGGGTGTGGTGGCACATGCCTGTAGTACCAGCTACTTGGGAGGCTGAGGCAGGGGAATTGCTTGAATCCGGGAGGCAGAGGTTGCAGTGAGCCGAGATCACATCACTGTACTCCAGCCCGGGCAACAGTGCGAGACTCTGTCTCAAGAAACAAACAAACAAACAAAATGAAAAACAGATCTCTTGACAGCTTACTCACTACCATGAGGACAGCACCAAGACATGAGGGATCCCCCCCCAGGACCCAAACATCTACCACCTGGCCCCACCTCCAATGTTGGGGACCAGATGTCAACATGAGATTTGGGTGGGGACAAACATCCAAACTGTATCAGAAGCTAAGGCTACCCACCCTGCTTCTGCCCTCAAGGCCCTCTGCTCTCTATCCCTCCCCACCAAATCCCACTTTATTTCCCTTAGCCTTTCACTGAGGAGTCACTGTTTGCAAAGTCCTCTCATTTTTAAACCTCTACTTATAGTTCAGTACGTGCTACTTCTTGCAAATAATGAGCTCTTTACATTTAGTTCCCATCACCTTATTTCAGGGTTTTCTGTATCTGTTAGTTTGCTTCTGGGTGTTGTGGTTTTCACTTTGTAGGAACTGATGTCTCAGTCAGTTGTATAAGGTTAGTCCCACCCTTTAAGACAGAAACCGTGTTTGCACACCCAAAGTGTTCCCTCCAGAGCCCCTACCTAGGGCCGGGCATTCAGTCCCAATCACAGGTTAAGGGTGAGGGATAGCTTGGTAGAAATACCACAGAAGTAATAAAGAATCTACAAGACAGCATCTCCTCTTGTCTTCTTTTGGCCTGTGTTATTTTCCTGACTTCAGGGAGATGAGGCGGAGAGCTGCTCATGGTTGAAGGAAGGAAACGTTTCTCTTGGTCCATCTAGGTCAAGATGGGATGCTGCCCAGAGGACCTCCACAGAAATTCATTAACTGAGAGAAACCACGCTATGGGAGTGAAGGTTGGTAGCTGAATTGCCCATTCAGCTGGGGAGAGGTGGGTGAATACCTGAAGGTAATGTGGATAGAAAGGCATGAAGCATGTGTGTATGGGTTCAGAGCCCCTGTGCAGACATCACACTGGAATAGACCTGTCCCTACGAACCCTGCGTGAGTTTCCAAGCTCACACACATCTCCAGCTTCCTGCTTTTGTCACACGCCTTCCAAGGACACAACGGGATTTGCCAGGACATTCTTGATGTCTTCCCCTTGGTATTTATAGGGTGGCTTTCCAATGGACTCCTGAAAAGGCATAAATGAAGCTTTGTTGACAGGGGAATCCTGTTTGCTGTAATTAGATATTTAAAGACCCTCATTAGTTGCCTTTGCTGGGCCTAATACTCAGCAGTACCAAAATGAGGGGCTCTCGACTTTGGCCACCTCCTCCCCCTCACTCAGCATAATTCTTTGAGGATTCCTATTTGTATGTCTTCACAGCCCTTTAGTCTCATGACCATACTCTTCACTTAGTGAAGTCCCATTACTTTCTCTCTGCAGACAAAAAAAATGTATATATTTTTCAGTTAAAAAATGTTAAGAAACAGTCGGGCCACCCATCAGAATGAATGTATAGCTCACCCAGCTATGCAATTATCCAAAAATAACCCATTTCTATTTCCAAGAGTAGACTGCATTTAAATAAGCATTCTCTTCAAATAAACTTTCATTAAGTCAGATTTCTCTATAGTCTGCAAGCTTAATGAATGCATGTGTGGCCGCGTGAGATATATAGGATTTACCTCCATGCCTAGTTTTTGGAGCATGAGAGAAGCTGATCCATAATGAGATACGTGAACCCATTTTGGTAGAGGCACCGTTGATTTAACAAAGGAAGCGCTGAAATGTGCATCAAATGGGGGCCGCTAAGATAACTGAGCTTCTGAGGAAAAGGCTGCTGAAATGTTAGAGTCCTACGGCTGTTTTTTTCTTTTGCATATTATTAGAAAGTCTGGTTTCAACATGACCTCACTGTTTAGACCCCCTTAAAATACTTGTTTCCCCACCTTCCACGTGGCCCTGTCAGGAAGGGGTACGTGGCAGACAGGGAATAGCTACAGGTGCAAAATGCAGAATACCATTTTTCCAGTGTTTTCGGCCCACATGACATACCAGCGTGGATCCTGTTTGAAAGCTACCAGGTGGTAGCATTTATTTTGGCTGAAACTCTGCATCATAGCCAAAATCTGCTCTTCTGTGCATTCCTCTTGCATCTATTCCACTCTGCCTGCTGGGGAGGAAGCGGATGATTCTGAGCCCAGCCCACGTAGGTGCTGTTGAAACAGGAGGTCAGGCCAGCCTTTGCTGCTTCTGGGGTGCTTTAGTAGCAAATGGCTTCTGTTGTGTCCAAATGGAGTCCCCTCCACGGAACATGGGTATGAGATGCCCAGAGAAGATGCTCGACTACACGGACCATCACTGTTTTTTGTTTGTTTGTTTGTTTGTTTTCCCCCTGTAACCCATTGTATTTAAGTGGTTTAGATTATCAGATGAAAAAAAAATAGGAAATCCAGGCAGTGGGATAGAGAAGAAGTCAAATGGGGCTGCCTGGAGCACCATTAGTGAGTGTCAAACAATTTTGTCAGCAGAAAGCCTTGTTATAAAGCCTATAAACTACCAACAGGTCAAAAAGAAAAAAAAAAGAGTCAATTAAATATTGATATATAGGATATGGAAGAGAGGTGAGTGACTGCATTTAAACCTGACGTTTTTTGATGGGAAACACCTTATGAATATGTCATCAACTAAATTATGTCCCCTCAAAATTCATACGGTGAAGTCCTAACCCCAGCTACCTTAGCACGTGACCTTATTTGGAGACAGGGTGTTTATGGAGCTAATCAAGTAAAAATCAGGTCATTAGGGTGGGCCCTAATCCAGTATGACTGGTGTCCTTATAAGGAGGAGAAATTTGGGCTGGGTGCAGTGGCTCGCACCTATAATCCTAGCACTTCTGGAGGCTGAAGCAGGTGGATCACTTGAAGTCAGGAGTTTGAAACCAGCCTGGCCAACATGATGAAAGCCCATCTCTACTAAAAAATACAAAAAAAAAAAAAAAATTAGCTAGGTATGGTGGCAGGCACCTGTAATCCCATCTACTTGGGAGGCTGAGGCAAGAGAATTGCTTGAAGTCAGAAGGAGGAGGTTGCGGTGAGCCGAGATCATGCCATTGGAATCTAGTCTGGGCAACAGAGTGAGACTCCCTCTCAAAAAAGGAGGAGAAATTTGGACACAAACAAATACAGGAGGAAGATCACGTGATGACATGGGGAGAAGAGGAGTCATCTACAGTGAGAGGGTCCTGGAACACATCCTTCCCTTGCAGCCCTGAGGAGGAATCAAACCTGTCAATACCTTGATTTTGGACTTCTGGCCTCCCAGACGACAAGATAGTAAATTTCTGTTGTTTGAGCCACCCAATTTGTGGTACTTTGTCATGACAACCGTAGGAAATTCATGCAGGATGTTGGGGGCAAGGATACCTTGGAAGAAAATTAGGCTCTCAGTATAGGTATGTGCTAGAGACTTGTACTCCTCTGGCTAAGGGAGAGGTTACAGAGGGTGGAGGCAGATAGAAGCTAAACTATAGAGAAGATTTACTGTGGAGGTAAGAATGAATGTGGCTCTAGCCAGAGTAGTTTGGGTGATTACGGGTTGTGGGTGTTTTTGTGTGTGGGTGTATATTAATGTTTGAAGTGATGAGCTATGCTTAAGTGAGAACCTCTCATGTTGGACCTGAGGTAGGACATCAACAGGACTGTTTTCAGAACACCAGTCACAACCCCGCTGATAAAAATAGAATGCAATAATGAAACTGGCCAAAACCAGCTACAACCAAGATGGTGATGAAAGTGATCTCTAGCTGCCCTCACTGCTCTTTGTATGCATTAATGCATTAGCATAAGCCGTTCCCATCAGTGACATAAGTTTACAAATGCCATGGTAACACCTGGAAGTTACCTTATAGGGTTTAAAAGGGGAGGAACCCTTGGTTCAGGAAGCTCCCCACCCCTTTTCCAGGAAATTCATGAATAACCCACCCCTTGTTTAGCATATAATTAAGGAGTTGTTATAAATAAAGCTAGCCAACAGTCCACAAGTGCTATCTGCCTATGGGGTAGCCCTGCTATTTCTGTGGAGCAGCCATTTTCCTGTTCTCTGTTGCTCTAGTAAACACGCTTTGCTTTCATTTTACTCTGTTGGCTCACTCTTGAATTCTTTCCTGCACATAGCCAAGAACCCTCCTGGGCTAAGCCTCAGTTTTGGTGCTCGCCTGCATCAAACTGATTTATTCCACTGTTTAAACACCTAATGTACAATGAACTGGCAGGATGTGGGTGGCCTAGAAGAAAATAGCACACAGCTTTTAGAACTCTATGCCAAGCCCATGACAGACATCACTAGTTGATCACGGCACTCTTTTTCTCTGAGCTGAGTCTTCTTGCCTCCCCATCTTACTGGGTAAGCAAGACAGGCACAACCAGTTATTCCATCCTGGCAGGTGAACTCTGTTTCCTGTCTCTGGCCACGACCCTTTTTGCTGGAGGTGTGGTCTGCAAACGAGCAGTGTTGGCATCATGGAGTCTCCTGGAGGAGACGCAAAACCTGAGGCTGCCTCCCAGATCTACTGAGTCATAAACTGCATTTTAAACTGTGTAAAGTGAAAGATCAAAATGAAAGCAAAGCGTGTTCACTAGAGCAACAGAAAACGGGAAAATGGCTGCTCCCTAGACACAGCGGGGCTACCCCATAGGCAGATAGCATTTGTGGACTGCTCGCTAGGTGCGACCTAGGTTGTTGGTCTGCACATTAAGGTTGTGAGAAGCTCTGACCTGGAGGGACTCTCCTTCTGAGGAGGGAGTTAGGGTGAGGTCTACATGTACCTGAGAAGTGAACTCTATTCTAGTCAAACCAGTAGCCAGTAACTGGGTATCTCAAGATAAGTATTTCATTGTGTTTGTTTTGTTTTGTTTTGTTTTCTTGAGGTGGAGTCTCCCTCCGTAGTCCAGGCTGGAGTGCAGTAGAATGATCTCAGTTCATTGCAGCTTCTGCCTCCTGGGTTCACATGATTCTTATGCCTCAGCCTCCCGAATAGCTGAGATTACAGGCATACGCCACCATGCCTGGCTAATTTTTGTATTTTTAGCAGAGATGGGGTTTCACCTTGCTGCCCAGGCTGGTCTTGAACTTCTAGCCTCATGTGATCCAACTGCTTCGGCCTCCCAGAGTGTTGGGATGACAGATGTAAGCTACCACACCCCACCAAAAGCATCTCATTTTGGTATCAGGCATGTGAAAATGTCCAATCTGAAATTTAATTCTTGCTCTGTATGTTGTAGGTGCAGTGTTTGTGTGTGTGCATGTGTAGTGTTTGAAGTGATGACATAGTTATTTCGTGTGATAGTGTCAGTTCAATCAGTATGGTACCTTTTAAAAAGGCTAGTTTGGGCTGGGCACAGTGGCTCACGCCTGTAATCCCAGCACTTTGGGAGGTCGAGGGGGGTGGATCACGAGGTCAGGATTTTGAGACCAGCCTGACCAACATGGTGAAACCCTGTCTCTATTAAAAATACAAAAGTTAGCTGAGTGTGGCAGCACATGCCTGTAATCCCAGCTATTCAGGAGGCTGAGTCAGGAGAATCACTTGAACCTGGGAGGCGGAGGTTGCAATGAGCCGAGATCACACCAGCACACTCCAGCCTGGGTGACAGAGCAAGACTCTGTCTAAATAAATAAAAAACAGAGGCTAGTTTATAGAATAACAATAGTGAATTTATGGGGCAGAGACTCACCGGTTGCCGGAAGAAGAGCATCCACAATACCTTGTGGAAAACAGCCAGACTTACTGGCAGGCTCCCTCCATGTAGAGTCTGTACGCCGCCTCTCCTAACATCTTCCCATGTGCTTTTCACACACCCAAATTCCTGAGCTCCACTTCTAACCCACTGACTTGGGATTTCAGAGATTTTAGGCCCAAGGATCTTCCTGCTTAGATCCTCAGGTACCTCTTCTGCACTCTTGAGTTTATTTCCCCATCAGTGTAACTTGAAAATTCAACCCAATTATATGACCATAAACCTTATGAGAAAGTGAATAATGAGTCCTTTATACTATAGTATAAATGTTAGCATATCTGCAAGTATTTATTCATGGCTGATTTGGGCAAGTGAGTTGAAAGGATGGTGGCGGTGATCTATTCTGGAAGAAACAGGCAGCTAGAGGGGAGATAAGGAGAAACGATAGTTTGGACCAAGGACAATTTGCTGAGAGGAACAGATCTGATTGAGGAGCCAGTATCTCTGTCCTTGTGGAGCTTACATTCTGATTGGCAGAGACATGCAACAAATAATAGCCTGGTGGAAAGGAATGAATAGTGGGTGAAAAGCAGGGCAAAGGGCTGTCAGTTACAGTTTTAAATAAGAGGTCAAGAGTAGACCAGTAAGATGAGGGAGCTGGTTTTGCAGACATTGGAGGAAGAATGTTATGGGCAGAGGGAGCTGACTGTGCAAAGGTCCTGGGGCTGTAGCATACCTGGTGTGTTCCAGGAAGCCTTCTGGCAGGGAGAAATGGGCAAGGGGAAAAGGAAAAGATGAAGTTGCGGAGGGGCAGGACACCGTTGGGACTTTTGCTTACAATGAGAGATGTGAAGGGTCTCAGGAAGATTTTGAGCAGTAGACAGGTATGACCTGGCTTGGGTTCAGTGGCTCAACTCCAGTGCTATGCTGAAGGTAGACTTCAGGGGATAAGTATAGAAGCAGGGTGGCTAGTTAAGAGGTTATTGCAATTACTAAATGTATAAATTTATAAAGCATGTGAAGAAAGAAAGAGATTCCTTCTTACTGCATTGTAGCTCCTTCCTCAGTGGTAAGTATCATTAACATGTTCACAAGCAGCCTCTAGACTATGTCTGTGGCCATTCAAACACACACACATCCATACACACACATTGTTTACATAAATGAGATCATAGTATGCATATTGCTCCAGAACTTACTTTCTTGTTCAACATGTTTCATATTCTGTGTCGTAGTTGATTCTAACAGTTGCATAATTTTTCATAACATGAACGTACTGCAGTTGCTATATTAGTTTTTTATTGATGGACATTTAGGATGTTTTCAGTTTATTTTTCCCATTCTGAACAGTGTAACAGTGAACATTTTTGCAATATCTATTTTTATGCACGTGAGCAAGAACGTGCATGGGATTATTTCTGAAAAATAGAATTGCCAGGTGGAAAAGCATGTGCATTTTTATTTTATTTTATTTTTGAGACAGAGTCTCGCTCTGTTGCCCAGGCTGGAGTGCAGTGGTGTGATCTCGGCTCACTGCAACCTCCATCTTCCAGGTTCAAGCGGTTCTACTGCCTCAACCTCCTGAGTAGCTGGGACTACAGGTGAGCACTACCATGCCTGGCTAATTTTTGTATTTTTAGGAGAGATGGGGTTTCACCATGTTAGGTTGGTCTCGATCTACTGACCTCATGATCTGCCTGCCTCAGCCTCCCAAAGTGCTAGGATTATAGGCCTGAGCCACCATGCTTGGCCTGCATTTTTTCTCTTTTAATCGATACTGCCCATTTGCCCTCCACATAGGTCATAGTCATTTACATTCCCACCAACAATGTGATGTCTGCTTTATATGTAGTTTCATGGTTTACAAAGCCCTTTCACGTGCATCATGAGTTAGCCTGTGCAGGAGGAGGAGGAGTGGGTTTATCCCCATCATGCAGATGTGGAAACTGAAGCCCAGAATGGGGGATTTGGGCAATGGGAAGAGAAAGGGCCCATTACCTTACTGACAGACAGACAGACAGAGACCCACAGACCAACATTCCTTTTCTGTTTCTGGATTAATAACACACTGGCTTCCTTTGACATTTCTATGTTAGTGGGAATACTTGATCATATCATTTCTTATGGTGATAGGAGTTGCTGTTTTAGTTTCACGTAGATGATTTTAGAAATTATTTTCACAGAGGCAGTATTTTAAACACACAGGTAATGTCAACACGTAGTTCAAAATTTCAGTGCCTCTCTGGCTTTCTTCAATCTATTTCAACAAGGAGAGGTTATGCAGCTTCCTTCCACATATCCTAGTAAGTAGTAGTTATCAATAGCTAAACATTTAGTTTAATCATTAGGTAGTCACCATTGTATAAACATTTACATGGTGTCTACTGTGTAACAGGGCTTTGGGATACCAGCAGCATTTCCTTTCCTGTACACCAGAGGATTTTTTATTGGTTTAGTTTTTTAGATAAAGTCTCACTCTCTCGCCCAGACTAGAGTGCAGTGGCGCAATCTTGGCTCACGGCAACTTCCACCTCCCGAGTTCAAGCAATTCTCCTGCCTCAGCCTACCAAGTAGCTGGGATTGCAGGCACGTGCCACCACACCTAGCTAATTTTTGTATTTTTAGTAGACCTGGAGTTTCACCATGTTGGCCAGGCTGGTCTCGAACTCCTGACCTCAGGTGATCCACCCACTTCGGCCTCCCAAAGTGTTGAGATTGCAGGAATGAGACATTGCACCCAGCTCAGAGGATTTAAAATCAATTTTAAGAATGGCAATCCCCTTCGCTTTTCCCTAAACCAAATCTCACATAAAAATGGAAAATCTCCACAGTGCTTATAAAGTCACAGTGAATATAGCTTGATCCTTGAGTGATGGTGTAGACAACAGAATGTAGTCCACACCCCCAAATCAGCTCAAAGTAACTCACATCCTATTCTGGAGCTTTTGGAATACCCTAACGGGGGACATAGGATCCCCAAATGTATCTCCTTACTCAACCACCATAGCTGTTCCTAAGCTTCCCTTCAACTAACATCCCCCTTCTCACCCCACACACCTTTCTTTTCCCTCTTCCCTCTTCCCTTCAAGTTTTCTGGGCCTGATGTTATACCTGGGAATTTCTTATAGTGGAGAAGGCAGGTGGAACAGAGGGGGTCACTGCGTTGGAGGGACTGATGCAAGCCAGGCTAGGACTGCTCAGAAGGCAGGGGAAAGTAACACGGTGGAAACACCTATGTGTTCAAAATGTTTTGTCCCTTCTATCACAAATGATAAAAATTAAGGAGCCTTATATGGCACAGGCTCAGAGGTTCAGACACCAGGTGCACAGGTGTCTCAATGCTCAGGTGGCCTGTTGGCCATCCATACCTCTTTCCCTTGTCTCTGTTCATCCACCTGAACATGGCCTCAGTGCCACTTCAGGGCTCCAGGAAACAAAGGACTGAAAACCATGGGTTTGATACTCTGAATCCTTAGAGCCTGCTAACTTGTTGGAAGCATGGAATGCTGCAATGTCCACTAACGTAGGGGTTTTTCAAGAACAAGGAGCTAGCAATGTCCAGATGAAAGAAAATAATTTCTGACAGTGGAAATGAAGATGCAGGCGTCCATGGGAGAAAGACTATCGGACGAGTCAGGGCCAGACAATTGTTCTCCTTTTTTAAAGGTTCTGTCTCTGGACCTTGAGGTGCCCCTGTTCTTGTCTGGGTTACACATTTCAGCTCCCCAGGATGAGCGATGAGCTCTACATCACCTGGCCCAGGCTGCAGGGCAAAGAGCTCTTCAAGAGCCCAATGAATCTTAATAAAAAATGGAAATGGCTTTCCCCTTTCATTTTAATTAACATTATGTCTACATTTCTGGGATAATGGATAATTAAGTGAGTTCCCTTGGCATTACAACGTTCTTGGAAATAATTTATGGTTTCGTTTCACTGTGTGAAGGCTGTTTGGGTTGGTGCTTAAGTTTTATCATAAATATTTCCGAGGAGTATTTGCACATTCGTTGATTTGTATTCAGAAGGCTGCAGTACCCCATTCTGGGGAAGTGTCTTATGTAATATTTTCTCACAGGCCACGCTTCCACTCTGTGTGTTCTTTTTTGGCACAGAGTTGTTTGCAGAATGTTGCATTCCTTCAGCAGCATGAGACCACGGCCACCATTTTAACCTGCATCCCTCTGTGTGAATTGGTTGACCTGAGACAGAATCTCAGTGAGCCTTCTGGAACTGGGCTGAGCTTAAGTCTTCCAGTCTAAAAGGGAAATGGTAATAATAATAAGGGTTGGTATTTATTACGTGCCCACTAGTCTGCACCACGTACTGTGCTGAACATTTTAGGCAGTCTTTTATTATGAAGAACGAATGTGGCATTGTCCACAGTGAGCCTTCATCATAAAGCAATGGTGTGGGTGTTAGTATTATCATCCCCAGTTGACACTAAGCTAGAAAGTGGCAGAGCTGGGATTTCAACCCAGACAGTCTGCCTCCAACACCCACAGTGATGAACACCTTATGTTGTCCTTATGCAAATATCTACAGGTATGAAGATGTGTCTACTTTCTCCCTCCAGAACAGCCCTGTCCAGGAGATTTTGTGTGATGATGGAAGTGTTCTAAATCAGCATCATCAAACACGGTGGCCATTTGCCATGGATGTATGGATGTCTACTGAGCACGTGAAATATGGCTTAAGATGACTCTGGAATTGAATTTTAAATTAAATTTAAATTTATCTTAATTTAAGTAGCCAAGTGCAGTTATGGCCACCATATGGTGTAGCACAGCTCTGCTGCAAACTGCCTGCTGGCTGCTCTAATGCCCTGACGTCATCCATTGCTGCTGGAGCAAATTACTCACACTTTGTGGTTTAAACAACACAAATTTATTACCTTACAATTCTGGAGGTCACAAGTCCCAAAATCAGCAAGGTTGTTTTCCTCCTGGAGGCTCCAGGGGAACATGAATTTCCTTGCCTTTTCCAGCTGCAAGAGGTCACCTACACCCTTGGATCATGGCCCCTTCCTCTACCTTCATAGTCAGCAACAGATAATCTTCAAGTCTTTTAATTCTGACCCTGCTGCCTTCTTCTGAAGGGACCCTAGTGATTCCATTGGCCCACTGGATAATTCAGGGAAAATACCTCATCTCAAGTACCTTAATTACATCTGTGAAGTCTCTTTTGCTATAGAAGGCACATATTCAGATGAGACTCTAGGCAGTAGGACCGGGACATCTTTGAGGGGTCGTTGTGAGAGTATTTCTTGGAGTTTAAGAGCATAGGCTCTGAAGTTGCATTGACTTGGATGGAAATCTCAGCATTGTCACTTACTCCTTGTATAAATGGTCTTCGAGCAGGTCACTCAACCTTCCTGAGTCTGAGTTAACTTATATTTAAAAGCGGAATAATGCTAGTACAACCAAATAGGGTTGTTGTGAGACTTAATTAAGGTAGTGATGAAAAGTGACCATCACACAGGGAAACACACAATACATACATAAAATTGTTAAAGGCTACTT
The DNA here is from genome assembly GCF_000001405.40 of Homo sapiens. Lineage (NCBI taxonomy): Eukaryota > Metazoa > Chordata > Mammalia > Primates > Hominidae > Homo > Homo sapiens. Next base: position 5,777,756 of record NC_000016.10, read on the forward strand.
CTTTAACTTACATTTCATTATTATTTGGCACAGGAGTAATACCCTCACTCTCCTACTTAGCTCCTTTAAAAAATATGCCCTTGGTGAGAGAAATGTAGAGATGATGAGAACCACGATCATAAGTAGGCATCTCTTCCATTTAAATTGCTTTTTCAAGGGCTTGCTTTTATTTCATTTATTCTTCATAACCACCATTTGAAGTATGTGGTCACGTCCTCATTTTGCAGAGTAGAAAACAAAGATTCAGGAGCATTAAGATACATGCTCAGAACCCTAGGGCCAGTGCAGTGGTGAGCTGGAACCAGGCACTTACCTGCTGGTTCCAAGGTGGATCCTCATTCCAGCTTTGTACCGTTGACTTCCCTTCCATGTGAGATAAAAGAGGAGAAGTGTCTGTAGAAGGATAAATTGGGGAAGGTGGGGAGGAATGGCAATAGTGACTTGGTTGAGAGTTACGGTGCCAGAATCATCCATGTGTGGAGACCTAACATTTCAAGGCATTCCTTGGCACCTTTGAGCTTCACAGGGCCCCAGAGTTCTAAGTGTGAGTTTCCATGATCTCATCTGATTTCCCTACCATCTTGCAAGACAGGACCCCCGACCTGGCTAGTTCTCTGATCACCTGGACTGGCTTCACCCCTAGTCCTTCACCTGGTTCACAATCTGATGGGCTTCAGCTCCCTGCCAGCCCATGAAATTATTCAAACAAAGCAGTCACTTCCTCCTGTGGGAACCAGGGGACATCTCACCATTTTGTCACTACAAAGCCTGCTCCCCACAGTGCCTGCTGGTTCAACCTGCTCTGAGAGCAACCCCGCGTGGCCTTGCATGGCGTGCTGTGTCTGCCTCTCCCCTGTACCAAGTAGGTTTGACTCATGGATCCGTTGATTGCATCTGTCCACAGCCAGGTGTCCTGTGCGTGGCCATCTCATACTATTTAGGGTGGGGATCCCTTCTTCACTATGAGGGTGAATAGGAGGTGACCAGAGAAGAGTTTTCCCCTAGTTTGAGCTCTAACTCCCACCCCTCAGCCACTGTGCAAGCTCAGATAAAAGTTACACGTCCTCTTGGTGCCTCGGTTTTCCCATCTCAAAAATGGGGCTGTTATTGTCATCTGCCTGATATGATTCCTGTAAAAGTAAAACGAAATACATGTTTATGTGTCTGGCATATAAAGCACTCAATTTTTTTTATTCATTAAGCCCCTCATCCATTGATCTATTCATTAACTCATTTAACAATTGTATATTGAGCCCTCATTGATTTCTGGGATGAACCAACCTATTACTAGAAAAATCTAGCCTCCAAGTTATGAACCATGCTGTCAATGACTAAGTGATCATGAACTCAAAATATTTTGATGACAAGTTTAGGGTGAATTTGAAAATAAATTGCATACCCACTTTTTGCGAAATGACTGTTAGGTCAGCTTTCCTTCCCCCCTCACGTCGTGTGCAGACCAGACCCCTCTGGATCTGATCCCTCTGTCAGTCTCTGTCCCTCTAAACAGCTGAATTTATCTTGAATTTAAATTGTGAAAAGTTAAGATGCATACAGTTGTTAAATTTCCAAACTTGATCTCTGCTCCCTCCTGCATTTTGAACCTAGCACGAAAGCATTTTCATCAGATGATCACCCGAGCTGTAGCTGGTGCTATACAATTCCATTCAGCACATAAAAACGCATTTCTTTCTGACTGCATTATATTACATGACTTATTGAGCCATTTATCTCATGGTGTGGGGCCCAAGCTCTGTTTTATTGAAACTACAGAATCAAACGTCCATGTATCCAAGTATCCCTATACCTTTGTGGGTGCTTATTTGGAGAGTTGTTCTTGTGAATGTTGGTGAGCTAAGTAGCCTTCCCTCTTCATTCTCCTGGGCTCATTGTGGATTCTACTGGAAATTCTTCCAAAGGAGTTATTTTTATAGATGCACCCCCAACCCAAGTGGAATGATGGGATTGTATTGCCCTGATATTTGGCCTTGGCTGCAGAATACCCTGATAATGAGGTGTTGCGGCACAGGAGGCCACGACTGTCTTGTCTAAGTTCAAACCCTAGCTCTCCGTTTGCCTACACTGTGACTTTGGGTTACCTTTATAATCTGCCTGATCTTCAGTTTTCTCACTTGTAAAATAAATGGAGATGGTAATCATACTGATCTGAGAGTTTTCGAAAATAATAAATGAGCTAAAATATGTACTAGTTTATAAGAGTGCTGTATACCTTAAAAGCATGTTTGCTATTATTATTGTTATTTTCAAGACGGAGTCTTGCTGTGTCGCCCCGGCTGGAGTGTAGTGGCACAATCTCGGCTCACTGAACCTCCACCTCCCAGGTTTTAAGGAGTTCTCTGCCTCAGCATCCAGAGTAGATGGGACTACAAGTGCGTGACACCAGGCCTGGCTAATTTTTGTATTTTTAGTGGAGATGGGATTTCACTATCTTGGCCAGGCTGGTCTTGAAATCCTGAACCTTGTGATCCACCCATCTCTGCCTCCCAAAGTGTTCGGATTACAGGCGTGTGCCATTGCACCCAGCCTTATTATTTTTTATTATCTTTCTTACCTTTCTATAATCTTTTTATTTCTTCTGGGTACAGGAAAGGATAGAGACAATGAGATAAATTTTATTCATTGGTTCATCCATGTATCCAACATTTATTATGTGGTTGGCATGTACCATATATTACACAAGGGAATGAATATGAGATAAAGATAAAATCATAATATCACGTTGTATACCATAGATATATACAGTGTGTATTTGTCAATTTAAACAATCAATCAATCAATTCCTCCAAATGAAAAAAAAATCACAGTCCTAATATTCACAATGTTGAATTTCCTGGGGAGACAGACATTTAACTTTTCATAGGCAAAGTAGGCTGCCTCCTCTCCTGCTTTGTATCCCATTCTCCAGTCTGACATATGCTCAAAAGGCCACTCAGCTTCTGAAATTCCACCGTTAAGTCACTTGAGTACAAGATGTACAGGCAGCTCCCGAGAGAAGCATGGGACGCCTGGTTTAAGTTCAAGTTACTCACTTAACCTTGAGCAAGACACTTCTTTGCTTTCTCCTCTTGAAAACTGGTAGGTGCCATCGCTATCTGCACAGTCTACCATGCTAGAGCAGAATCTATTATACCGTGTCTAGAAAGAGCTTTGTAAACTCCAAAGTGACAATTCCAGTGTGACAAGCAGAACACCCTTGCGGGGTCCCGCTGGGAGAGGTGGAGGTTATGATAAAACAGGTTAGAACCATGGTGGGTATTTCTCTCTCATTCTGTTAAACTTGGGTTTGGCAACTTTTAAAAACCATTCTCCTTGATTCTAAAACTAGGTCCTAAGGGAACCTGTGAGATAACCTGCCGAACAGTCACCGAAAAGTATGGTGAAATTAGGAAAGCTAAAAGATAGGTGCTTTTCTGATGCTTCTTGCCTAAAGATGGAGAAAACTGGGGCAGGGAGGAAGGGTGCATCCTCTAAGTGGGGGAAATGGAATTGTACAGTTTCAATTTGCTTAGAAGCTTAAGGTTTATCCATAGCCTCCTCCTCTTGACTCTATTGACTCTATTGAACCTATTTCTAGAGTGAGCTTCTCAATGGATTGCTATTAGAGGTTTGGATAGGACAGGGTAGGGCAGTTCTTTACAATGTAGTAAGTAACTATGCCAATAAATGCCAGTAGTAGGCCCAGCTCAGTCACTGTGACAACCTCAAACACCCACACATATTTACAAATGTTCTCTAGGAAAGGAATTGGCAAACTTTTTTCTGTAAAGATCCAAGCAGTAAATATTTTGGGCTTCATTGGCCATACGGACTCCGCCGCAACCATCAACTGTCTTATAGTGTGAAAGCAGACATAGACGTGTACACAAATGGATGTGGCTGTGTGCCAATAAAACTTTATTTACAAGAACTGGTGGCAGGCTAGAATTGCCCTGTGGGCTATATTTGAAAGCCCCCTTTTCTAGGGATTTGTGCCACCCATTGAAATTTTCTGTTCTAGAGGGAGAAAACTGGCCAGAAAAATGTGCTGGTTATCCTCTATGGCACTGATATCAGAAAATGGTGGATTCCTCATGAAGAGATTGTCTTAGTCCATTGTGCTGCTATAACGAAATGCCTGAGACAGGGTAATTTATAAAGAACAGGAACAGGCCAGGCGTGGTGGTTCATGCCTGTAATCCCAGCACTTAGGGAGGCCGAGGTGGGCGGATTACTTGAGGTCAGGAGTTCAAGACCAGCCTGGGCCAACATGGTGAAACCCCGTCTCTACTAAAAATAGAGAAAGACATTAGCTGGGTTTGGTGGCACATGCCTGTAGTCCCAGCTACTTGGGAGGCTGAGGCAGGAGAATCACTTGAACCCACGAAGTGGAGGTTGCAGTGAGATGAGATGGCACCACTGTACACCAGCCTGAGTGACAAAGCAAGACTCAAGCACAGAAACACATTTCTTACAGTTCTAGAGGCTGGGAAGTCCAAGATCAGGGTGTCAGCACGTTTGGTATCTGATGAGGTCCCAGTCTGCATTTCACAATGACATCTTGGTGCTTCATCCAAGAATGTTGTGTCCTCCTATGATGGAGGGGACAGAAGGGGCAAAAAGGAGTACACTCTCTCAGTCAAGCTCTTTTATAATGACATTAATGCATTTGAGAGGGCAGAGCCCTTATGATTTACGCATGTCCCAGAAACCATCACCTCCCAACACTGTTGCATTGGGGATTAAATTAAATTTTCACCACAAGAATTTGGGCAAATACATCTAGATCATAGCAGAGATAGAAGAAGACAGTGTCAGGATGGGGGATTTTATATTGATTGCTTACTATGTTAGGGTTCTCCAGGGAAACAGAACCAATGGGAGATACTGAATGTGTGAGAGTGTGGGTATGTGTATGCATGCATGTGCGTTCCTGTTATGAAGAATTGGCTTACATAATTACAGAGGCTGAGAAGTCCTACAACCTAACCAGCAATCTGGAGACTCATGAAAACAGGTGGTATAATTCAGCCTAAGTCAAAAGACCCAAACCAGGGAAGCTGATGTTGTAAATCCCAGTTGGAGGGTATGAGAAGATGAACTGAGATGTTTCAGCTCAAGCAGGGATGCAAGGAAGAAGAGGGTGAATTCCTCTTTCCTCTGCCTTTTGTTCTATGTAGGCCCTCCATGGATTGGATGACATCACCCACACGGGTGAGGGTCATTCACTTTGTCGAGTCCACTGATTTAAATACTCTTTGCATCCCCCCAAACACCCTCATGGACACACCCAGAAGTAATATTTCACCAAATATCTTAGCATTCCCTAATCCAGGCAAGCAGACAGATAAGATTAACTGTCACACCCTCTTTACTTAAATATTTTTAAATTGTGATACGATTTACATGCAAAAACACACAATATTTACATATAATTTACATAAAATAAAATTCGGCTCTTGAAGATACAGTTCAGTGAGGTTTTGATAGAAATGCACCTGTGTAACTATCTTTTCAATCTATGTATAAGATATCTCTCTCCTCCCAGAAACTATCTTTTCGCTGCTTAGCAATCTAGTTTGTACCAATCTGTGGTAACCATGTTTTGATTTCTGTTTCTACAGATTAATTGTGCCTGTTTCTTAAATTTATGTATGAGGGTTATATGGTGTATATAGAGATTTTTTCTTGTTTTGAGTATTTCATTAAATAAAAGATGCATATCAATAATATAGGAAAAGTGGATAGAAAAAAATCACCCTCATCCCGTTATCCAGACATCACGTCTGTTTTCATCGTGGTAAATTCTCTTCCAGCTCTGACCCATTCATGCTCATATTTTAACATAATTGTTTTCAGACTTTACACACCATTTCCCCTGCTTTTTAAAAATTTAATGATACCCCAGGCACATTTCCCTTGTTTCCATGGAATGACTTTAATGATTGTTTAATGGTTGTCTAAAATTCCAGCCTGCTGATGTGCCAAAACTTACCAAAAACCTCCCTTGTCACGAAGAGGCAGGATAGTATAGGTATGTTCCCAGGGGGCAGGCTCCCTAGTGCATATTTTGGCTCTGTGTCTTGGTTGCTCATCTACAAAGTAAGGATCATAATGGGATTGTTGTGGCTTTCATGTGTGCATCCCCTCCACAAATTCATACATGGAAATCCTAGCCCCCAAGGTTTTGGTATTAGGAGGTAAGTATATTCATCCATTCTTACCTTGCTGTAAAAACTTACCTGAGACTGGGTAATTTATAAATAAAAGAGGTTTAATTAGTTCATGGTTCTGCAGGCTGTACGGGAAGCATAGAGGCCTCTGCTTGGCTTCTAGGGAGGCCTCAGGAAACCTACACTCACGGCAGAAGGTGAAGAGGAAGCAGGCAGCCGGGCGCGGTGGCTCACGCCTATAATCCCAGCACTTTGGGAGGCTAAGGCAGGTGGATCACGAGGTCAGGAGATCGAGACCATCCTGGCTAACGTGGTGAAACCCCGTCTCTACTAAAAATACAAAAAAACAAAATTAGCTGGGCGTGGTGGCTGGCGCCTGTAGTCCCAGCTACTTGGGAGGCTGAGGCAGGAGAATGGCGTGAACCCAGGAGGCGGAGCTTGCAGTGAGCCGAGATCGCACCACTGCACTCCAGCCTGGGCGACAGAGCGAGAGTCCGTCTGAAACAAAAAAAAAAGAGGAAGCAGGCACATCTTACATGGCCAGAGCAGGAGCAGCAGAGAGACGGGGGAGGTACTACACACTTTTAAACAACCATCTCTTGTAATAACTCACTCACTGGACAGAACCAAGCTGGGATGGTGCTAAACTCTTCATGAGAATTCCATCCCCATGATTCGCTCACCTCCCATCTGGCCCCACCTCCAGCCCTGTTGATTACATTTCAACATGAGATTTGGGTGACGACACAGATCGAAATCATGTCAGTAAGGCCTTTCAGGGGTAATTAAATCATGAGCATGGTGTCCTTATGAATTGGATTAGTGCCCTTTTGGAAGAGGCCCCAGAGAGCTGCCTTGGTTTTTCTGCCATGTGAGGACATGGCGCATAGACACCATCTATGAACCAGGAGGTAAGTCCTTCCCTCACCAGACACTGAATCTCCCGGTGCGTTGATCTTGGATTTCCAGCCTCAGAGCTTTGAGCAACAGATTTCTCTTGTTTATAAGCTACCCAGTGTATGGTATTTTGTCATAGCAGCCCAAACAGACTAAGACAGGGAGGGACCTACTTCACTGGGTTGTTGTGGGGATTAAATGAGCTCTTTTGTGTCAACATTGTTAGCCATCCAGTGTTGTGTAGATAGTGGTGTCACACATACATAAAGGCATGCAACTTTTACCTTCCACGGATTTATTTTTCTGGGATAAATTCCCAGGACGGGTGTTAAAGAGACGGGACATTCAACGGTCCTTGCTATGTGGTATCTCTTTCCCCTGTTCTCTTCTCAGTGAAGGCACTACCTCAGTGGGATTGCAGTATGTTCAACCTCAACTAAGGAACTTAAATGGTATGTGGCAGGACATTTACCAAAGAGCTTGGTAGAGACAAAAGAGAGGTGGAGCTGGCTCAAAACTATCCAATTCTGAGCTTCTGCATCCCTTCCAGGCATGGGGGTGGTGGGGCAGGAAATGAAGCTACTTTGTTTCCAAGGCCCCACCGCCATCCTTGACGATCCTTCCATTTTCTGTCCTACCTTCTGTATATTATCAGGGTCTCTGCATGGTGTCTTCAATTTCTTTTCTTTTTTCTTTCTTTCTTTCTTTCTTTTTCTTTTTTTGAGGCGGAGTTTCACTCTTGTTGCCCAGACTGGAGTGCAATGGCATGATCTTGGCTCACTGCAACCTCTGCCTCCTGGGTTCAAGTGATTCTCCTGCCTCAGCCTCCTGAGTAGCTGGGATTACAGGCATGCACCACCATACCCGGCTAATTTTGTATTTTTAATAGAGACAGGGTTTCTCCATGTTGTTCAGGTTGGTCTTGAACTCCCGACCTCAGGTGATCCACATGCCTTGGCCTCCCAAAGTGCTGGGATTATAGACATGAGCCTCTGCACCCGGCCAAGATGTCTGCAACTTCCTGAAAAAATCTGCCTCTCTTCATTCCCACTGTCATTACGTTAGACCACATCACCTCAGCTGACATCACCTTGCTTGTGGATTACTGAAACCACCCCCCATTTCCATTCCCTACCTTCATGCTCACCTCCTTACCTCCTTCTCTTGCCATTTCTCCATTGGACCACCAGAGCTTTCCTTTCATTAGGATCCTTGGATCATGTCATTCCCTGAATTGGTCCTACTGCCCTTTGGATGATCCAAAACCCTTAAGATGCTTTGCAAGGCCCTTGGTGATTCAGACTTTGCTTATATTGCTCCACCTCTCACCCCAGAAGACACCTGCCTCCACTGTGTTCTCTCTGCCCTTCAAATGAAGTATGCATAGTCTTTCTCACCTTTTTGGACTTCTCTACTCCTTCCTCTCTTGCTCCTGCTCAGCCTTGAGATTCCAGCTTGTCTCTTAGCTCTGGGAAAAATGAACCTCTGACCTCCCAAGTCCAGGATGGGGGCCCTTCCAGCTGTCCCTTGATAACGTCCATTCCTCTGCTGCTCATGTAGCACTTTGCTCACTGCTGCTTCTTGGTGTGTCTCTACCACTAGGAGGGACCCTGTGTTTATGCAGAGTTGAAATAGTGACAAGAGAGTGTAACGAAGGCCAGGATAAGGAGATGTGCCGTGTGTCAGGGTGTGTTTCTGCCTCGAGAGGGTTCTGCACTACCCCAGTGTGGGGAACAGAGCTTGCTCTGTGGATGATCTCTTCATTTTTCCAAGACCTCTGCACCTGTCTTGGTCCTACAGTGAGGTTCATTCTCCTTAGCATGCCCACTGCCCTCATCCCAAACCTGGACATCATCCCTGACAGTGCCTCTTTCCTGCTTTCACCAGGCTGGTCATACTCATTACAGCCATTTCACATTTGACTGGCTTCATGTCAGACTCTTAATGAGATGACAGTGAGAAATTGGTGTTTGACCTCATCAGAGAGTGATGGGAGGGAAGGAAGTGAAAGAGGTCTGAAAGGTAGAATGAAGCCGGGCATGGCAGCTTGCGCCTGTAATCCCAGCACTTTGGGAGGTCAAGGTGGGTGGGTCACTTGAGGTCAGGAGATCGAGACCAGCCTGGCCAACATGGTGAAACCCCATCTCTACTAAAAACACAAAGATTAACTGGGCGCGGTGGCAGATGCCTGTAATCTCAGCTCCTTGGGAGGCTGAGGCAGGAGAATTGCTTAAACAGGAGGTGGAGGTTGCAGTGTGCTGAGATTGCGCCACTGCATTCCAGCCTGGGAAACAGAGTGAGATACTGTCTCCCAAAAAAATAATAACACAGGAGGAGCTCATAGCATTTCTTTTTGTGAAGAAGACTTTGTAATGACTCCACAGGGCCCTTTCACTGGGAGAAAAGGGAACAGGTGAGCACACCAAGGACACTGTTTAGGATTGTGCTGCTTGGGGATCTGTTCATCATAAGCATCAGAGGTGTCCTCCAGTGCACACAGAAGAGCCTCACAGTGAATTAGACAGAAGACCAATGATGTTTCCTGGCAATGAAGTGAATAAAGACTTTATGCCCTAGGACATCCATTGTAAGCCTCTCTACAAACTGGTCATCTGAATAATAAAGTCACTGTAGTTTGCAGTGGGCTTACCTCATGCTTAGCCATGAGGGGATGACACTGTATAAACCTGACCCCATACTCAAGGACAGTATGGTTTAAGTGGGTAGGATGGGATACCCCACAGACAAAACACATACAGTGATAAGTAAGTATATGTGAATGCTGAAGAGGAGGAATGTGAATGAGAGCTTTGTAGAAAAGGTGACAAAGAGCTGGATCTCGCAGAGAGGGTTTGGCAGCATGGAGGGAACAGGAAGGCGAGCCCAGGAGAGGGTGACACCACCAGCCAAGGGGGTCAAGAAGTAATGAGTTTGGAACAGTCAAGCCTCCATGAGGATCATTTCCCAAGGTGTTCCTGTAAAGGGCACACGTTGACAAGAGGTAGCAAACAAAGTTGGAAAGGAAGAATGCATTGCAATTGCAGTGTTCCAAGTCAACTAAGGAACTTAGATGTTATGTGGCAGGTCATTCACTGAAGATTTGGGCAGAGACAAGAGAGAGGCAGAGCTGGGCTCCAGACTGTTCAATTCTGAGTTTCTGCATCCCTTCCAGCGGGGGCAGGAAATGAAGCGACCTTGTTTACACCTATAGAATGGGGTAAATATAAATGATTGACTTGTAGGGGTGTTGAAAAGATTGTCTGTGAGCCCTTCTTCCTAGGCGGAGATTCGACTGCTGAAAACATCATACCTGGAGAGTGACATCTGGCCATGCTGGAGGTTGCTCCCAGGACTGCATCCTGAATATCTGCTGTTGGCCGGTAGTTTATTTACCCTGGATGGAGAGAAGAAATGACAGCATATGTCACCCTTTCCATTTAGAACCTCATTTTTAAATTGTATTAACTGCTGTCCTTATTGGAGACATTTAGCGCAACAAAAGCGTCTTTTGAAGGAACACTTGTGGCTGGGCGTGGTGGCTCACACCTGTAATCCCAGCACATCGGGAGGTCGAGCTGGGGGGATCACCTGATCTCAGGAGTTTGAGATCAGCCTGGCCAATGTGGTGAAACACTGTCTCTACCAAAAATACAAAATTTAGCTGGGCATGGTGGCAGGTGCCTGAAGTCCCAGCTAGTTGGGAGGCTGAGGCAGGAGCATTGCTTGAACCCGGGAGGCAGAGTTTGCAGTGAGCCGGGATCGTGCCACTGCACTCCAGCCTGGGTGACAGAGCGAGACTTAGTCTCAATAAATAAATGATAAATAAACAAACTTGTGCTCTTTCAAAAGAGCAAAGATAGGCCTTATTTAGCAAACTGTGAGCTCCTCAGCGAGTGTAAGACACACACATACACATACACATTCACACACACACACAGCATCCCGAGAGTGACGTTGTCAGTGACAGGCACATGCTTTTCTACCCACCTCCCAAGTTATTAGGAAAATTATAAGTTAAAAATCTAAGAGGCCCCAAAAGCAATTCAGACCTGTGAAAAGCCCCCATCCTGTTGCACCCCATATGTAAGGCTTTCCTGTGTCTCAGGAAGATAGAAGCCTCTTTCAAGACATTTTCTCCTGCCTACCCTATGTGGGAGTCAATGCTCTTCCACTTCCAGCTGATTCTGATGGGATAGACAAGCAGTCCAAACTAGTGAAAAGTTTGAATGTCCTGGAGTCCTTGTGCACAAACCCTTCCCTCTCTCTCCCTCTTCCTCTCTCTCACACAGCACCAAGTAAGAAGGCCTGTCTGTGTAAGGAGGATTCATCAAAATCTCTAATTAAATACATGGCAGCTGGTGAATTGAAGCATTTGTCTTAGCTCTGCCATCCTATAATACTTTATAATCCTGGGAGCCCAAAGTATGAATTAATTATAATTTCTGAAAACCCAGGGAGCCAGGCGCATCAGGGAGGGAGGTGTGGTGAAGGAGAGGCTGTGTGTGGTGACAGTAAATGCTTCTGAGAAAGGGACAGAGACATCCTTGTGTTGACTTACAAGGGGCCACTTTGGGAGGTCTACAAGCCCGCATATTTGTGTATATTTATATGAGTGTGTGTGTATGAGAGTGTGCATGGGCATGTATGGGTGTGTATGTATTTGGAGTCAAGTTTTAAGATGTTACTATAGGGCATTTAACGTGTTAGTTTCATCATCATCATCGTCATCATCATCACTAGTACTGGCACTAGTATTTTACCAGCTACTGAGAGCTTATTATTGTTCTCTTTTGGTTAAGCTTTTTCCCCAGTCGTATCTTGTTCATGACTCATGACTATGCATTATTTATACAGTTAGTATCGCACTTCTCTTGATAAGAAGATAGAAGCTCAAAAATGTTAAATAATCTGCCATAAGTTCCCAGGCTCACAAGTGTCTAAGCCAGTGCTCAAGTCCTAATCTGATCTCAAGATGTCTCCTTCTAACCGCCAGGCCAACCTTCCTGAATTCACCATACACCATGACTAGGTACGCAGATTATAGACTTGGATAAGAGATAATTTCTACCTTAAGGAAGTGAGCCTGCAGTGTATGGGCTGTGCTAGCTGCGGCAATGGTGGCTGCTATAACAGATAGACCTCTACACCTCACGGGCTTCATGCAGGAAAAGTTTATTTCTCTCCCATGTGATGTGTGACCATGACTGTGGGTGTGGAGCTGGCACCCAACCCTTGTGGTTATTCGGGACTCCAGGCTGCTACCACTCAGCAGGCCTTCCTCCATCTTCAGCATTTGACCTCCAAGGGAAAAGAGTGCGAGGGTCTCACATGGAGAATTTGGACAGGCTGGACCTGAAAGTGACAAATAGCCCTTCTTCCACGCCCACATCATCCACCAAAGGTCAGTTCCATGGCCATGCCTTGTGGCCTGTGAGCTGGGAAGTGGAGCCCAGTTGTGTAACCAGGAAGAATACAAGAATGACACGTATATGGGAAAGGCTTGCCAGAGGGAGAAACCCCTGCATTTTCCATTGTCCAAGGTGCAGAGACCGTACAGAGAAGGATGGGGCCGTAGGAATGGCTTTGGCTTTGTTTGTGCCTCCTTCCACTCCAGAAACAGGAGCTCAAAGGAAGAAAAAATTGCTGCAATACAACTGTTGATGAAGATGCAAGGAAAACAATATGCTGAAAAAAAAAAAAGGACTCAGAATGTTCAGAAATGTAGCACATGTGGTAAAATGGAATAGGGACCTTGATGCTTACAGGGTTTGGGGTTTGATCCTGGGCCTACCAGGCAAAAAACATTTCTTATCCTCCCTAAGCCTCGTCTCCCTCCTGGATGAAGACAACAATACCTACTCCACAGGGGCTGCCATGGAAATGAAAGAGATGAGAGTGAGTGTGGAATGCCTGGTGCTGGGTGCGTGCTCTGCATCACTTCGTCTTCCTCATTTGGCCTTACAGGACCATTCCAGAGTCACTGCTGCTGCTCTTGTGGCCCTCTGCCCGTTTTGGGGATGTAGATGGTGGGTCTTTATTTTTTTTTTTTTTGTTTTTTTTTTTTGAGACATGATTTCACTCTGTTGCTCAGGCTGGAGTGCAGTGGTGTGATTTCGGCACACTGCAACCTCTGCTTTCTGGGTTCAAGTGATTCTTTTGCTTCAACTTCCCAAGTAGCTGGGATTACAGGTGCATACCACCACACCTGGCAAATTTTTATATTTGTAGTAGAGATGGAGTTTCACCATGTTGACCAGGCCGGTCTCAGCTCCTGGCCTCAAGTGATCCGCCTGCGTTGGTCTCCTAAAGTGCTGGGATTACAGGCGTGAGCCACAGTGCCTGGCTTTTTTATTTTAATTTGTCACGCATGACTCAGCTAGATCATTAAATAGCACATACTTAAGTAAATATTCACTAAACTGTAGCCAACTATCTTTTGTATTTTCTATCGCACTAAAAAATGTAGCTCTAACTGATAAAAAGATCAATGCAATGCTATTAATAATTATATCATCTTAACAGACATCATTTGTTGAGTGATGACTCACCAGGAGTCATTATTTTAAGGCCTTTACATGCAATCGCTTTTTAATTCTTACAGCAATCCTAGGATCTGGGTACTAATATTATCCCCCTGGGATCTTGGCCAGGAGGGCTGGGTAATGGTCTATCGTGTTCATGCCTCTGTTCTCACTGCCTGGCACAGTAACTGACAGGCAGGCAGCACACAAAAGTCTGTGTGGGTGAATGGGTGACTCTCCAGGTTCCAGGAACAAGGGGTCTTAAGTTACTTGACTTCCCCAAGGTCACACTATAGCAAGTATTAGAGCTGAATGCAAATTCACATCTGGCTAACCACAGACTGCATTCTAGAGAGTAGAAAAAAATTAGCACACACACACAAAAACCCTCACATGTTGGACATCATGTATTCAAAAGTAAGCAATGCAATAAGCATATGACATGTTTGATCTGAATATCCTTTGCTTGGTTTCCACTTAAGGCCACTTTGCTCTCTGGAAATAAAGAGGTGGAGAAAATGGCAATTGTCACTGTCATCCTTATGGAGGTTTTGGGAAGAACCAGCAAGATGACTGAGGCCACCCTCCAGACTTCTTGGCGTTGCCTCTGGGGCTTGGAGGTCCTTTGTACACCAGAGACTTTGAGGATGACTTTGGCAGGGCGCTGGCTCTCCCCCGCAACCCAGGCACCCTGCAGAAGTTGTGTCTTTGCCTATAAAGCAAGCAAATTGGATGGGATGATTTCTGATTCCCTTAAGAGCTAGTTATCGTGGATAAGTGATTTTAAAGCCCGGGACCCCAGTCTAAGGGGCTGATAAAAGAGAACCTGGGACAAGGCCAATTTTCAAGTGATGTGTGTATGCTGCTGGCACTGAATGGCTTCTCTGTAAATGGTCAGTTCTGTTGTTATTCCTGTTCCAGCCCTCTGTAATCCCTTTCTAAGTTCTCTTAGATACACTAGAGAGACAACATCACAGCTACATATACAGTTGACTCCTGCACAACATGAGTGTTAGGGGCACCTTAGCCCAGTTGAAAAATCCATGTATAACTTGTGACTCTACAAAAACTTACCTACTAATAGCCTACCATTGGCTGGAAGCCTTAGTGATAACATAAACACTCACTGAACGCAAATGTTCTATGTAATATATACTGTATTCTTATGATAAGGTAAGGTAGAGAAAAGAAAATGGCATTAAGAATATCATAAATATGGCTGGGTGCAGTGGCTCATGCCTGTAATCCCAGCACTTTGGGAGGCTGAGGTGGGTGGATCACCTGAGGTCAGGAGTTTGAGACCAGCCTGGCCAACGTGCTGAAACCCCGTCTCTACTAAAAATACAAAAACTAGCCGGGCATGGTGGCATGTGCCTGTCATCCCAGCTACTCAGGAGGCTGAGGCAGGAGAATCACTTGCACCCTGGAGGTGGAGGTTGCAGTGAGGTGAGATCGTGCCACTGCACTCCAGCCTGGGCAACAAGAGCGAGACTCCATCTCAAAAAAAAAATCATGAAGATAAGAAATAGGTTTACTATTCATTAAGTAGAAGTGGATTATTTTAAAGGTCTTCATTCTCATATTCTTTGTGTTGGGTAGGCTGAGTAGGAGGAGGAAGAGAAAGGGTTTATCTTGCTGTCTCTGGAGTGGAGGAAGTGGAAGAAAATCTACATAGAAATGAACCCCTGCAGTTCAAACCCACGTTGTGTTGTTCAAGGGTCAAATGTACTTCCCGTTTTCCAGACCTCAGGCTATGTCCAGGTGTCGGTAGGGAACCCACATGTCTCCATGACTCCCTTTCTCTCTGGCTGGTCTCACTTTTCTCTAAACTTGCACTTCAGCCTCTGAGAAGTGCTTAGAGAGGCCAGGAGCCCAGCCCTGCTGTGCTGACCGGCTCCTTTTGCCCACCGTGGGCAGCCCTGGCTGCCTCTGCTTCTCCCCTGGCCCGCCTCCGAAACTCAGCTTAACCGTGTTTGTTTCTGTCTTTTCTTGTTTTGTCAACATGCCATTGAAAAGGAAATGCAAACCTGAGCCTTGATTAGAAATCTCCCTTGGTGAAGATTTACCCTGATTTTCAATTCAGCCCGTTGGCATGGGTGCTGGGGGACCGGCTTCATGCCGCTAAGAGGTCCAGGAAGCTGATGTGGCACTGGCCAGAGTCCTGAATCAGAGGTGTTGGCACAAGCCATGTTGCCTTCCTGAGAAGAGGTGGGCGTCCCTCCCTCTTCAGCCCCCAGGCCCCTCTCTTCACCTCCTCATCTTACCCACTACTCAAGAGCAGTGCTCACAAAGCAGTGAGGAACCCGGTACTTGCAGGGGATGCTGGAGGGCCCAGACTGGTCACCCCATTGGGAGACTTTCCAGGCTGGGAGGGAGCCTGGATCTATGTACATGTGCCTTCGTGTGTGTGTGTGCATGCATGCATGTGTGTATGTGCATGTGCATGTGTGTGTGAGTGTGCATTGCATGCGTGCATGTGCAAGTGTTCATTTGCACATACTCACAAATGTACTGGGAGACTGGAATCCAGCACGTTCTCCCTGATCCTCACATTATAAACCTGTGTGATCTTGGGTGAGCCATTTAAGCTCTCTGTGCTTCATTTTTTGGGAGAGTTAATATGTAAAATCATGAAACTGCAAGGTGTTGGACAAACCTCTTAACTGATCTGAACTTCACTTTTTTGCATTTCTGTGGTCATTTGTGGTTAAGGGAATGAGCATTTGGAGCCTCGACCTTGACATTTAATTCCAGTACATCTGTGGTGTTGGGCATATGATTTAATCTCTTGGGGCTTTTTCTTTATCCGTAAAGTGAGCACAGTAACAATCTCTAAGTCATGGGGTTATACTGAGCATTGCATGGAAACGTACAGAAAACACTTACAAAATGGTCCTTCTTCCCCTTTCTTTTTCCTTCTCTTCCTCCTCTTTGTTTCCCTCCTTCACCTTCCCTTCCATCTTCACCTTCACCTCCTTTTTTTCCTCATCCTTTACTAATTCCTCGTCCTCTTCCATCATTATTATCATCATTGCCTTCATCTCATTATGAGGCCAAATTCAATTATGTACCTGAAAGCACTGTGTGATCTATAAAATATTACAAACACCAAAATGTCTGTGATACCAGAGGCACACTCACCTTATGTGAAACTCAATGCCAGCGTGCGTGTGTGTGTGTGTGTGTGGTGTGTGCAGCCTTTCAGATTTGCTCATTGGAGAGGTATAGCTGTCGGGCAGGTCAGATGTTGTGTGTCAAGGCATGTGGTGAGCAAAATGAGTTTGCCTGTGGATGGGGGATGCAGCTGGAGGAGTCGGGCGGCCCAGCAGGAGGGGAGCCAAGAAGAACACCTTAATGATGGCTTAAGAAACTTACAAATAAAGCTGAGGTTCCTAATGTTTAATTTCAAGTGACTGAACATTAACATTTAATTAACTCCTGACTGCTAAACCAATATTAAATCTAGGCAGAGGCTAGTGGCATCTCTTATGTATTAGCCGCCAAGAGGCTGCAATCCTACTATGGCGACATTCGGCAAGATGGAAGCTACCCCATCACATGGGATCCCAGTCTACACACTGTCTGTGGAATTCCCCAGGCACACACCCACTCTCATCTCACTGGGTCTTGAGAAGGAGTCACATTCAAGCCAACATGCCTTGGCTCAAAATCTAACTTTTCTTCTCCCCAGTTGTATGACTTTGGCCAAGCTGCTTAAATTATTCCATCTCAGTTTCTCATGTGGAGAATGGGAAAAGAAATACCTACCTTATTATATTGTTTCTGTAGATCAGTAGCGATGGATCTGAAACACCTCACGAAAGGCCTAACCCATAAATGTCAAGAAATGATTCTACGTCAGTTTCATATCCCCCCTCTCCCTATTACTATGCCCAGTGACACTTGGTTCCTGTTAAGGACCAAGATCTGTTCCACCTTATTGTCTTCCACTTCTTCCTTCTTCTTTTTTTTTTTCTTGAAACAAGGTCTTACTCTGTTACCCTGGCTGGAGTGCAGTGGCGAGATCATGGCTCATTGCTGTGTCAATCTTCTGGGCTCAAGTGATCCTCCTGCCTCAGCCTCCCGAGTAGTGGGACCACAGGCACCTACCACCGTGCGTGGCTAAATTTTTAATTTTTTGTGGAGATGGGGTATTGCTATGGTTGTGAATTCCTGGGCTCAAACAATCCTCCTGCCTTGGCCTCCCAAAGTGCTAGGATTACAGACATGAACCACTGTGCCTAGCCTGGTCTTCAATATGTTGTTTCCTTGACCTGGAATTCTTTCCCCTCCTTACCCCTGACCACTCTTCTTCCAAATCCTAACTCAAATATCATTTCTTCAAGAAGCCTTCTCTGGCCTCCTAAATAGATCCATTTCCCCCATTATATACATTCATATATCCCTCCTAACTTTTGACTTTAGACCTGGAAGATAAACAATCCCATTCTCCCCTTCTGTTTACATTCATTGGGGAAGGATTTGCTTTTTTTCACTGATTTGCAAAGCCATTAGAGCCTCACAGTCTCTGTTGCATTTTCTAATGACTTAGTTCTTTTGTTTGCTCTACTGGAGATAGGTCGACAACACTCACCAGTTGCATCAATAGTCCCCACCTTTTCAAAGACTTTGGCAGTACAGTTGGGTTTTCCCATTTGCATAGGGCTGTGCAATGCATTGTAGATTTCCATAGCAGTTGAATCTAGTGCATTTTCAGCTTGTAGATTGGGGGAAGGGAGGACTTCTGTCACTTTGTGAAGGCATGGTTGAATTTTGGTGAGCTGTTTTGGAAGGTCATAAGCAGCTCAAGACTGGGCTCAGGAATAGTAAAACCCTGATGTCAAGTGGATCCACCCACTTCTGAGGCTGGGTTCTGAAATGCACAGATCTGGATCTGGAAGGAAGTGGATGTGGCCCACATGGGTGAAATCTGGAGCATGGAAGAAGGAAACATGTTATGGGAAAGAGGCAGTTTTTGCCAAGCTATGGCCACGAGCAAGGAATCAGGAATGAGTTGCTCAATCCAGGATCTGGACCAAATATATCCACAGTGATCAAGTATCCAGGGTTTGTGATATGATCAGTGGCCTCAAAAGCATCACATGGGGTCAGAGAGAGGAACAGGAGTGGTGGTGGCATCATAGATGACATTTCCAAGATGGGATGGAATGAGCTGGATCCCAGGGATGAAGCAGGGCTGTATCAGATGGTGTCTCCACACCCTGATGATGATGATGATGGTGACAGCAATAGCAGCAGACCTTTCATGAGCACTAATTAGGCTCCACTTACGGTGCTGACTGTTTACTTGTCAATGCCCATTTGATACTCTTACCCCATTTTACGGATGAAGACACTGAGGCACAGAGAGGACAAGTAATTTGCCTGTGGTCATCCAGCTAGAAGGAGACAATGCTAAGATTCAACCCCAGCTCTGTTTGCTTCCAAACGTGGTGTTCTCTAACTCTGATATATTTCCCCCTTGTTTCCAGGTTAACCTCTATATGGCCCTCACATCATTCATCAATTCATTGTTTGTTCATCGATTATTTACTCATGTGACAATATTTATTGAGGATCTACTTTGTGCCAAGCACTGCAGAAGGTCTCTGGCCTTTTAGAGTTTATATTCCTGTGCAGGAGAACTACAGAAAATTACATAAAATAACTGCAAAAGATGACAGTCTAATAAGTGCCATAAAGAAAATTAAATGGAATTTTGTGATCAAGACTGGTAGATGGGGATGGTGAGGTCATCTTTGTATAGGGAGGTCAGGGAGGGACTCTACAGTGGTGACATTGACACTGAGACCTGAAGGATAAAAGGAACCAGCCATGCTAGATGCCCATAGAGGAAGTTCTGATTTCCTATCACTATTCTTTACCTTTTGGATCTTTGAAGGTAAACTACATAGACTGGATTTGCATCAATGGTGTAGACTTTCAGGACATCTTTGGGGTAGGCAGTTTTAGCCTAAGTGTGTGTCCACACCCACTTCTTGGGACCCTCCACTTCAAGGACCGTCTTGGAACATCTCCATTGGGTGCTTCTGAGAAGTCACTCCCTACTTGATTTTCTGCTCTTCCTGTAACTGAAGGTGTGTTTCCTTGTTGTTTTGGCTGTATCTGGCTTCCAGACCCTTAGACAGATGGCTCCCCAGAGTGACTCAGCTCTGAGTAGCTGGGGACCAATTATGAAGTTGACCCTTATTTTATTCACTTCTGAGCCCAGCCCTAAGCTGATGCAGACAATCCTACATCCAGTTAAGTGTTATTTGCTTGAAATATTTGAAAGAGCCAGCTTGGCCCATCTTCAAATATTTTGTTAGCTAATCAAAGCCAGATTGTGGTCAGAGGCCATATCTAAATTTATTAGGAAAATTAATAGACCATTTAGATTTTATTGGAATTAAGCTAAAATACGATAAGCAGCCACACAGCAGATAGTGATTAATTATTACACTGACCTGAGTGATGGGCTCATAATGAAATATTGACTTATAGGTAAGTCATGAGGCCTTAGAACAAGCAGGACAGGCTCTGGAAGGATGTCCGCACTCCATCTGCTTGAGGTTAATTGGATGGGACACCATAGAAGAGATGCTCAGTAAATATGCATCATTTATTCTTTCAAACAGTATTTGTATGCACCTACTGTGTGCGAAGCCCTGGGAATATATAAAGCAGACAGCCTGAGTTTGAATATTGGTTTCTGTACTTAATAGCTATGTGTCTTTGGGCATGTTACTTAACCTTTCTGAATTTCCATTTCCTCATTTGAAAGCCAGGGATAAAAATGACTAACAGGGATAAAAATGACTAATTGTAAGAAGTCATGGAAATGATATGTGTAAAAAGTGATTGGACATAGCACATAGATGTTTTTATGAGTATTATTGTCATTAGTAATATTCTAAATGAGACCCATTTTTGGCCTCACATAATTCAAACAACACATTACGATACAGCTGATCTTCCAAGCAGTGTCGATTTCTCCCTATTGTGTGCTTGGCAAATATTAGTTAGGGTCAGAAAAGGCTTTGTTGAGAAGATGTTTGAGCTTTGTTCTAAAGGATGAAAGGGTTTATTTCCCAGGTGGACTGGGAGGATATGGGACTTCCAGGTAGATGGCTCAGGATAGGAAAGGACATGCAGACTTGAAACAACCTGGCAAGTGGTAGAACTTTAAACAGTTGGGTATTACAGGGCAGAGGGCATCTGCGCTAAATGATTGTTAGGGCAACAGGAACTGGACGTTGGGTCTTGTGGTCTGGATCACTCACCTATATGCCTGTCTCCATGAAATATATGTGTGTCAAATGGGACTTATGAGAAGGGACCTTCTGTTTACTTTTTAAAACATTTGCTACTCGTTCCACTTTGTTCGTTGTGGCAGAAGGAAAATCTTAATTAAGTCATGCCAGAGTCAAAAATTATGAACCAGGGGTCTGAGCTGTGAGGTTCCTCCCAGGTGCTTGCCTTTTATGGGCACTACATAAACCCCTCCAGCGTCAGCTTGGGTGTAGCTCAGAGGTACGGACTACTTGCTGCCTGCGTCAGACAGGCCCAATTCAGCTCCAGTTCTGCCACTTGACTCCTGCAAGATCTCGGGTGAGCCACTCTGAAACTCAGATCCTTCCTCTGCAAAAGGGCTTATTAGTCTGTTTTCATGCTGCTAATGAAGACATACCTGAGACTGGGTAATTTGTAAAGAAAAAGAGTTTTCATGGACTCACAGTTGCACATGGCTGGGGAGGCCTCACAATCATGGTGGCAGGTGAAAGGCACATCTTACATGGCAGCAGACAAGAGATAATGAAATCCAAGCAGAAAGGGAAACCCCTTATAAAACCATCAGATCTCGTGAGACTTATTCATTACCATAAGTACAGTATGGGGGAAACTGCCCCCATGACTCATTTATCTCCCACTGGGTTCCTCCCACAACACATGGGAATTATGGGAGCTACAAGTAAGATGAGATTTGGGTGGGGACATAGCCAAACCATATCAAGGGAGGTTTGTAAAAGCAACCTCATTGGTCTGTGGAGAAGATGACTGAAAAAAGTCGAACAATATACAGATGTATGGTCCCCGAATTATGATGGTTTGAGTTATAATTTTTCAACTATATAATGATATGGAAGCAACATACATTCAGTAGAAACTGTACTTTGAGTACCTACACAACCATTCTGTTTTTTTCACTTTCAGTACAGTATCCAGTTGGTTACAGGAGATATTCAACATGTTATTATAAAATAGGCTTTGTGTTAGGTGATTTTTGTCCAACTGTAGGCTCATGTGTTCTGAGTGTGTTCAAGGTAGGCTGGGCCAAGCTGTGATGTTCGGTTGGTGAGGCATATTGAATCCATTTTTGACTTAACAATATTTTCAACATACAAGGGGTTTTTTGGGATGTTACCCCATTGTAAATTGAGGAGCTTCTGAATAGCTCTTTGTACAAAGTTGGGTGCCTCTACCTATTCAACAAATGTTAGTTCCCAGAATATAGTGTGGTATGTTTGATTTTTTAAAATTAATTTAAAAAAAATAAGTGGGAGAATGTTGCTATATATGGGTGTTCTGTTTCATATACTAAATATATATCTGTCTGTCCTCAGAAAATGAATATGCATGTCTCCCAAGATATATTTGCATGTTCCATTTCTCCTATTAAGTGTATATTTCCCTATTTTTTATATATATATGTATAAGTATATACATATACATGTCCTACTTATAGATGGAGGGGAGAGAAATATGTATATAGGGAGAAGTAGGTACAGAAAACTGTAGAACAAGCCAGACTGTTCCAGAAAAAGTAGGAAATATGCTAAGGGTAAGGGAAGGGGAAGTATACACCCAAGGGCCACAGGTGATGCTCTGGCATGTCCAGTCCAATGGTGTGTAGCCTAATTTTGGATTAGCAGAGGAGACTGGACCCCATAGTCCATTTCGTTACTCATGCATAACCATGCACATTATGATGTGACATTAACAAGGCAAAAGGAAGTCAAGAGCAAACCAGGGTGGGACATCCTGTGACCAGGACTTGATGGACATGGGTGAAGGGAGGGGCAGGTTGTGAACAGGCTCTGCACCCCCAGCACGCCCTTGAGCTTAGGCCAGGGTGTGAGTAGACGGAGACTCCTCTGCTGGGCAATGGCAAGGGCTCTCCAGCACAAATAAGGGAGAGTTGGCTGGGACAGATGACCAAGGATGTGTGGAATTGGAGGACACGGGATGGTGAAATGGATGTGACCCAGTGACTCAGGGACACTTTTAGTGGCCTATTACCTAGTTTCACGGTGACACTGGGGATAAATTGGAGGAGGAATAAAGTGTTGTCCCTGCAGTCATTATTACAGAGAGGAATTTCTGTCCTCAGTTGCTTCTCAGATAGCTAACAGGGCCGCTCGGAAACCTAAGCAAGGAAGACGTCCTAGTGCCATTGGATCCCTTTTCTGGGGCAAATCACAGACAAGCCTCTCTGTTTGAATGGCTGGGAGGGCACGGGAGGCGGTCCTAGGGCAAAAATGAGTTAATAGTTTAAAACTTCCCTGCCACATGAGGACAGATGGAATCTGCCTTCTTGTCCCTGATACAGACCCATGGGAGGCTCCAAGAGGCAGGCTTAAGTGCAAGAGCAAGACAGAGAGTGGGATCTTCTACCCCAGGAGCCCTCTGATCACAGGATTGCCACTTTTGATGAAGACACAGTTGAGTTAAAAATAGGCCCCGCCCAGAGTGTGTACGGAAGTGGAGCTGGAAGTTCCTGGGCGCATGTGTGACAGAAATGCAGTGGGCCATTTTAATTAGATCCCTTTACCAGAACTCCTGACCTTCTATGTAGCACATTAATGTATTTTACTAATTATAAATGCAATTAAAAAGTACTGAAATAAAATTAGGCTGATCTATCTAATTTACATTAAGCACTTTCAAATTATGCAGATTTTAAAGTCTCTATCTGCCTCTCTCTCCCTCCCTCTCTCTTTTTTTTTTTTTTCAATTTGAGTTTCGGGGTAAAATTGTCTGCATTAAAACAGCTGGAAAACAACCTTGTAGGAAAACAAATTTCTTTTCTGTGATTATTCTCAGTGTGCGAGTTAATTTTTGAGGCAGTAATATACTTAGCAGTCATCGGGCAGTTACTTGAAAAGCAGAGACATATGTGTCTCGACACAGGCGCGGGAGCTGGGGTGCATGCACGCGGGGATGAGTGGGGTTTGGTTACTTTGGGGAATGAGGTTGAAAGGCTAACTAGGCACACACAAAAAAATACCAATGTGATCCGTGGTTGCTAAAGAGTTGAGATTTACAAAGAGCAAGATGTAATGGCAGGCACAATGTGCCTTTGATAGAGATGAACCATCTGGTGGGTTTATCCAACAACATAGGTTTTTTGTGTTGTTTGTTTGTTTTATTCCTATGCTGACAGGCACAGAGAGTGAACCGGGTGCCAAAATTATCGCCTAGCATCATTAAAAATCAGAATGTTCAGTTTTGCTGGTTATGGAAGTTGTGTATGCAGGGCAGCTCTATATTAGGTGAGGAAATGGAGCATAAAGGAAAGCGAATTCCCCTCTCCCCCGGAGGGTTGGACGTGTGTGCTTTTCTGCTGGGGCCATCACTCTGCCTGGGTCTGCTGGAGGCTGCATTCGCTGGAGGAAGAGGAGACCTTGACGGGGCCTCTTTATAGATTAAATCTGATTCGCAGGTTCCTTGGAAGCAGACGTGTAATAAGCTGTTCTCTGGAGTAGTGTATAAGCTCCTTAAGACGTTCCTGGTGAGGTTTAACTCCCCTTACTCCATGCCCTCAATTTTATTTGCTGCCCAAACTTTGCGCTTTAAGCTCCCCATCAAAAGGAAGCCTGAAATAATTCCTCAGATTGAAGCTGTTCGTTTGGAAAGTCCTTTTCTTCCTCTTCTCCCCCTTTAGATACAAAAGGGGTGTTTCCACTTGCAGCCAGGGAACCAACTTTGCCTCCTGTGACCTGGAAGCCAAGATGCGTGTGAGTCTTCCCAAAGGATGGCTGGACTGTAAAACATGCAAACAAGGGTGGGATAGCTGCTGAGGTCCCTTGTATTCTGAGATCTACAGGCTCAGGGGCCCTGGAAAGCTTAAAGTGATTCTTGGCCCTTCCCTCATCCCATCCTCTGCCATCACAGACTCTCAGAGGGAATGCTCAGAGGTGGAACTGCTTGTTAACCTACGGGGAGAAAGTTTTCAGATCTTTCTCTTGAAGAGGAGCATGTCTGGATCCATGTGGCAAGCAGATGCTAACTTAGAGCTAGACCCTGCAGATTTCTTCCCTTTATAGGGAAGAACACGATAGCTTGTTTTGTTCTGATATTTTACTAACTAAAGCCCTTCTGGATTACAGACAAAAACTCCATCACTGCCACCAATAAACTAAGTTTATGTATTCACTTATATATTGGTTCATTTGTTCATCCATCTATACACATATGAATGTATGAATCTCGCCCCCATCTGTCCACCTATCCAACCATTCATTCATTAATCATACAGTTATTTCCTCACCTCACTGACATTTACTGAGCATTTACTCCATTTCAGGCAATATGCTTGTCTTGAACTTTACCAGGATGTATGGACACAGCCCCTTGAGTTCTGAGAATTCATAGTTTAGAGAAGGAGACAGACATGTACTTGGGTAATAATTTGATCCTGGAAGAATGGATGCAGTTGCAGACCATCTTTAGCACCCAGACAATGGCAGGAATGGGTTGGATGGGACTATAGTCAGAGGGTCTCTCCATCCGCTGTATCCCTCCCCCCATCCAAGAAACAACAGCAAAATAAAACCTTACCTCATAGCCCTTTGTTTTCCATACCTCAGTACCCCGTGAGTATGTCAGCATCAGGCCCATCCTTTTGGCCTGAGCTTGGTTCGTCTCTGACAAACACAGGCTCTAAGAGTTCCTTTGTACTATTTTATGGTCCTCTTTGTACTGGCTTTGGGAGGGATATTGGAAGAGTGGTAGAGAGATAACAGGTGCTTTGGAAAAACAAAACTTGTGGATTCTGATCCCAGTTCCCACACTGACCAGATCCGGGATCTTTAGCAGGTTATTTAACATGGCCCAGCTTCTGTTTCCTCATCCATTTTTAATAACGGTGCTACTTTCTTTGTGAGATTGCAGTAAGTATTAAAATGAAATCATGACCGTGAAGCATATGTATGGTGCCTGTCATTCATTCTCTCACTCCACAAAGCACACTTTGTTGGGCATTCATTAAGAACTTGATGAAATAGGGATGAATTAATAAAGTGCTAGAATTCTACAAAGAGAATATTGAGCATCTGCTGTATTTAAGGTACCATACTAGGCACAGAGTGGGTATATCAGAGTGAATAGGATGCATTATCTACCTTCTTGATCCCCTTTCTATTATCTCATGCTCTACTATGATTATGTTGCTTCAGTTAAAGGTCTGGGATTGCAGAAATGTTGCTTCTTTCCTCTCCTGGTCTTCTGCCTCCTGTCTGATAATGCGCACCAGTAATCAGACTTCCACACCTTTGCATATACTGCTCTCTCTGCCTGGAATTGTCTTGTCCATCCCAATTCATGCCCTTCCCTACTTGTCAAACTCCTACTTACCCTTCCAAGCCCAGCTCAGAGATTTCCTCTGGGAAGTCTTGCCACAGTATTAAAGATGGTCTGCAATTGCATCTATTCTTCCAGGATCAAATGATTACCCAAGTACATGTCTGCCTCCCTCTCTAAGCTTTTCAGTTCCTTGGAAGTCAAGGGCCTCAGTCCAATTCATTTTGGTGTCCTTCAAGAGAAGCATATTGCTTGAAACTGTGTAATTGTTCAGTAAATGTTAGTGAGGTGAGGAAATAAATGCATGAATTAATGGATGAATTGTTGGATAGGTGGATAGATGGGGGTGAGATTCATACATTCATATGTGAATGAATAGATGAATGGATGGATGGATGAACAAATGAATGAATACACAAGTGAATACATAAACTTAGTTTATTGGTGGTAGTGACAGAGTTTTTGTCTGTAATCCAGAAGGACGTTAGTGAAATATCAAAAGAAAACAAGGTATCCTGTTCATTGATAAGGTTTGAACTTTGAGGATGGCTTTGTAGGGAGTCCCTGGGGTATTTCCTAAACTGATAAATCTGAGGACAAATGAAACGTTGAGTGCTGTGAATTCCAGGTATGAGTTGCATTCCACCCAGATGGTGGGAGGTGAAGGGGACCTGCCCTCTGTGTGCTGCATGACTGCTCTCCACCCTGCTGCATCCTCCCTTCCCCTCTTCTGCCCATTGTGAAAGCCTGGTCCTAATTAATTACGGTGGCCTTTCAGCAAGTTGGTCCTGGACACCAGGATTTTCTCTGCAGCAGTGGCTGCTGCCTGGCCTTGAGTCCTACCACGCTCACCTCCCAGACAAATATACTTAGCAGGTGTTTTCCCCACATTAATAATCAGAATTGACACATTCTAAATGAGGCCCTCCTTGTTGTGCAGGGCAGCTCTGATGGATATGTGGGGAATTGACGGCTCTTGAGAAATGTTTTTGCCACTACCAGCATTTCTCTGACAGGTTTTTAATAGTCCCACTAAAACTGCAGTATATTGGAAAATTTTGTAGATGAAGTGCAAAGGGCTGCTGTGACTTGGAGGCTCTGGGGTGGAAAAATACAGTTTGGGGAGCATTGAGTTGTTTGAATCAAAAGAAGGTGATCTAGTGTGGATTTGGGCTAAAAGCTGGGAAGGGGGCAGTTTGGTCACAGGTCTTTGAGGAGACCTGGGCTGGGTTATGGATGGCACTATGCAGTGATTCATGTGAACAGTAAATGAAACACTGTGTTCAGCCCTGGAATAGAGCCTGGATTAAAATATGAGGTTAGAGAGGGTCAGACAGGATGGGTTCATTCATTTATTTATTTACTCATTCCATAAGCACTGATTTACCAACTCGTGTGTCACAAATATAAATTAGCATCCATAAGTTCAAAATTCTATTAACTAGTTTAGAGCCTTGGGCTATTTATGCAAATGTGAATTCTGATCCTCAATTCCCTCATCTTTAATATGAAGCTGTTAATGCCTATTCTTTAGAATTGTATTTCAGGGTTGGAGATCCAAAATGTAAGCTTCTATGTGGGTTGGTGGCCCTGCCAGAAACAGAAGACATGTATTGATGGGATAATTGAGAAGAGTTGAACAAAGGAATTGTTTATCAAAAGGTTAAAGGAAACAGATAAGATGCAGCACCCTGGGGCTAGCAACTGTGGAGAGCTGTTACCACCCCTAGGGTTCCAGGGGGAAGGATAAATTAGCAGAACTCAGAGGGCTATAGGAAGGGTTGCCTGACATGAATGTGGCTTTCAGTAATGAGTCAAGTCATAACCAACCCATATTCTAGCAGAGAGGAAGTCAAGAGGATGAAGACTCCCATATCTCTCTCCTCCCACCTTCTGCTACCCTGTAATGTTTTCCTTTGGCCAAACTCAGTAGGGAAGGGGATCCATCAATATGGTTTCAGGGCACAGAATAGAGTGGATAAGGACAGAGAGTGGATCTGGGGGGACAAATGGAGAAATCTGTCCTGCATAGATCCTAGCACAGTGTTGATCTCTCAGTGAGTCAATAAATGGTAATGAACATGGGTATCAGGAGCTCACATTCCCATTGGGAGTGAGGAAACAGCTGGCATTATTATTCCAGTTTGTCCCTGAGGCTTAAAAAAATGGGAGGGCCTCTCATGTCTTTACTAGCAGACCTGCCTTCCCTGTTACCTACAATTCAGTTCTCTCATTTTCTGTCTTTCTTCACCAGCCACTGGAGGGAGGTTTTCTCTATCCATTTGTGCAGTTATAACAAAATGATGAGACTGAGTGAATTATTAAGAATGACAATTTATTTTCTCACAGTTCTGGAGGCTGGGAAGTCCAAGATCAAGGTGTTGGCATTTGGCGTCTGGTGAGGGCCTTCCTCCTGCATCCCCACATGGTGGATGGGGCCAAAAAGGGTAACAGGGACAAATGCTATGTACTCACATGATGGAAATGGAGAAGAGCCAGAAAGGGAGCCAAAGCTAGTTGCCTCCAGCCCTGTTACAAGGGATCAATCTATTCATGAGGGCTGTGCTTGCCAAAGGCCCTTACCTCTTAATACCAACATAATGAGGATGAACTTTCAACAGGAATTTTGGAGGGAGCACCAGAGTTCCAACCTTAGCAGAGGTGAACAAGTTGCAAGTCTGCTTTGCTGTTCAAGGGTGAAAAATCAAGCCCAAGACAGTGAAACCAGCTATTGGAAGTTCATTAAGGAATCAGGTCTTTGCCAGGGACTGTCATCAGTGGGAAAGACAAGAGCTGAAAGCTAAACAAACCTGGTAATGCCCCGGGATAAGCTTCCCTAATTAGCACAGAGGTGACTGCAGGATCACTGATGCTGTCAGCCCAGCTCAGCCCTCTGAAAGCCTTCACGTCGTCAGGGGCTCTTCTTATTCCTTGGCCCACTGATGTTCCCAAATGCTCTTTCTAAACCTCTCAGAGCCACTTACCGAAGCAGCCAGCCTTTCCCCACTGGAGGAGCAGGATCTCCAGGAAGAGAAGGAATAGTTAGAAAAATGTCTTGCCATGGCCTGGGGGAGAAGCTAGAGCTACCCCCCGACACCTCCTCCAGCAGGCACCAGTGATGGCTGAGCCTGGCCCAGTGGGAAGATGAGGCATTCAGGCTTTGGTGTGAAATGTCTAGGTAAATACTGACTCCTTTGTTTATTTGTGCTGGACAGTGACAACACAATTACTTAACCTCTCAGAGCCTTCTTTTTCCACCATGATGGAACCTACCTCCCTATTGTCCTGGGCAGTAAGATAGTTGTGGCCATCCCTCCTCTCCCTTCACGGGGGCTGTGGATATGAATTGCATCTTCTTGTATCCTCAGTTTGAGGCTCCAACCACCTGAGCACCTCTCTTAGTATTTCCTTCACAATCTTGTGGCATCTTCAGGATGCCACAGGGCCAGGACTCCCTGTGAGCTGGGTCCCTGCCAGGTCATCTCAGAAAGCTGCTGTCTGACTGCTGCAAAAGGTGGAGCTGGGTTCCTGAGCTAATTTTGGTTACTATTAAAATGGGTCATTACTGAGCACTTTTGCACAACCAGGAAATCAATTGGATGCAAACCAGTTTGCTAATAGGGCTCATTATAGCCTC
Source organism: Homo sapiens (assembly GCF_000001405.40). Classification (NCBI taxonomy): domain Eukaryota; kingdom Metazoa; phylum Chordata; class Mammalia; order Primates; family Hominidae; genus Homo; species Homo sapiens. The sequence continues at coordinate 5,807,563 of NC_000016.10, forward strand.
GTTATAACTTAATTGCATAGGTAACCACACAAGTGTATAAATAGGGATGAATGTAGTCAGGGAGGGGGCTTTTAGAACAGGGATCAATTCTGGATTCTGGAAGTCCTGGCTTCTGAGAGAGAGGGAGTGTGGAAGGTTGAAGTCTACATCGGTGCATCACAAACTTTAACAGACTCAAGAAGGAGCTGGGAATCTTGTTACAATGCAGGCTCTTGTTTACTTGGCCTGGGATGGGGCTGGAGAGTCTGTGTACCTAACCAGCTCCCAGGTGATGCCCACGCTGCTGGTCTGGACCACACTTTGAGGAGCAGGGAGCTGGACAACTGGACACTTTCCAGAACCACATCCACCCCAGACAGAACCACCATAAACCTTGTATCTGGGGTTATTCAGTCCATTTCTTTCAATTTCCTCCTTCCTTCTTGCTGTGTCTCCTGAACACCTATCAGGCTTACTCCTTCTATGCCTGAATCCTAAGAGGGTTTTGTGGGCTGAATTTTGTCCCCAGTCCCATTTCAAACGCTGAAGTCCTAGCTCCTGGTATATCAGAATGTGACTATGTATGGAGATAGGATTCCAAAGAAGTAATTAAGATAAAATGAGGCCGTTAGGATGGGCCTTAATGGCCTCATTAGGACAGAGGCATGTACAGAGTGAAGACCAAGAAAAGACATAGGAATATTTCTGAGGGCTGTGTTCTGTTCCACTGATCTATATCTCTGTATTGGTACCAGTGCCATGCTGTTTTGGTTACTGTACCCTTGTAGTATAGTTTGAAGTCAGGTAGCTTGATGCCTCCAGCTATGTTCTTTTGGCTTAGGATTGACTTGGCGATGCGGGCTCTTTTTTGGTTCCATATGAACTTTAAAGTAGTTTTTTCCAATTCTGTGAAGAAAGTCATTGGTAGCTTGATGGAGATGGCATTGAATCTATCAATTACCTTGGGCAGTATGGCCATTTTCACGATATTGATTCTTCCTACCCATGATCATGGAATGTTCTTCCATTTGTTTGTATCCTCTTTTATTTCATTGAGCAGTGGTTTATAGTTCTCCTTGAAGAGGTCCTTTACGTCCCTTGTAAGTTGGATTCCTAGGTATTTTATTCTCTTTGAAGCAATTGTGAATGGGAGTTCACTCATGATTTGGCTCTCTGTTTGTCTGTTATTGGTGTATAAGAAAGATTGTGATTTTTGTGCATTGATTTTGTATCCTGAGACTTTGCTGAAGTTGATTATCAGCTTAAGGAGATTTTGGGCTGAGACAATGGGGTTTTCTAGATATACAATCATGTCATGTGCAAACAGGGACAATTTGACTCCCTGTTTTCCTAATTAAATACCCTTTGTTTCCTTCTCCTGCCTAATTTCCGTGGCCACAACTTCCAACACTATGTTGAATAGGAGTGGTGAGAGAGGGCATCCCTGTCTTGTGCCAGTTTTCAAACCCTAACGCTGCGTATCTACAACTATCTGGTCTTTGACAAACCTGAGAAAAACAAGCAATGGGGAAAGGATTCCCTACTTAATAAATGGTGGTGGGAAAACTGGCTAGCCACATGGAGAAAGCTGAAACTGGATCCCTTCCTTACACCTTATACAAAAATTAATTCAAGATGGATTCAAGACTTAAACATTAGACCTAAAACCATAAAAACCCTAGAAGAAAACCTAGGCATTACCATTCAGGACATAGGCACAGGCAAGGACTTCAAGTCTAAAACACCAAAAGCAATGGCAACAAAAGCCAAAATTGACAAATGGGATCTAATTAAACTAAAGAGCTTCTGGACAGCAAAAGAAACTGCTATCAGAGTGAACAGGCAGCCTACACAATGGGAGAAAATTTTCGCAACCTACTCATCTGACAAAGGGCTAATATCCAGAATCTAAAATGAACTCAAACAAATTTACAAGAAAAAAACAAACAACCCCATCAAAAACTGGACGAAGGACATGAACAGACACTTCTCAAAAGAAGACATTTATGCAGCCAAAAAAACACATGAAAAAATGCTCACCATCACGGGCCATCAGAGAAATGCAAATCAAAACCACGATGAGATACCATCTCACACCAGTTTGAATGGCAATCATTAAAAAGTCAGGAAACAACAGGTGCTGGAGAGGATGTGGAGAAATAGGAACACTTTTACACTGTTGGTGGGACAGTAAACTAGTTCAACCATTGTGGAAGTCAGTGTGGCGATTCCTCAGGGATCTAGAACTAGAAATACCATTTGACCCAGCCATCCCATTACTGGGTATATACCCAAAGGACTATAAATCACGCTGCTATAAAGACACATGCACACGTATGTTTTTTGCGGCACTATCCACAATAGCAAAGACTTGGAACCAACCCAAATGTCCAACAATGATAGACTGGATTAAGAAAATGTGGCACATATACACCACGGAATACTATGCAGCCATAAAAAAGGATGAGTTCATGTCCTTTGTAGGGACATGGATGAAATTGGAAATCATCATTCTCAGTAAACTATCGCAAGGACAAAAAACCAAACACCATATATTCTCACTCACAGGTGGGAATTGAACAGTGAGAACACATGGACACAGGAAGGGGAACATCACACTCTGGGGACTGTTATAGGGTTGGGGGAGGAGGGAGGGATAGCTTTAGGAGATATACCTAATGCTAAATGCTGAGTTAATGGGTGCAGCACACCAGAATGGCACATGTATACATATGTAACTAACCTGCACATTGTGCACATGTATCCTAAAACTTAAAGTATAATAATAATTAAAAAAAGATATAAGAATAAGGTGGTGTCAACAGCCAAGGAGAGAGGCCTCAGAATAAACCAATCTTGCTGACACCTGATCTTGGACTTTTAGTCCAGAATTGTGGAAAATTAATTTTTGTTGCATAAGCACCCAGCCTGGTGCTTTGTAATGGCAGCCCTAGCAAACTAATACACAGGCGATGCTCAGCTCAGCACACATACCTGCACTTCTATCCCATGGTGCTGGGTATATCTGTGACATCATCACCTCCGTAATTTGAGTGACACTCCTGCTGGGTTGACCCAGCCCGTGGAACTCCTAAACAGCTGTACCACTTCCCCATCTGCACAATCAGAATTCAGGAGTAGGGTCTTCATACAATAAACCCAGACTTCCATCCCATTTGGGACTAAGACCTCATAGCTTCCTTGTTCACTACTGAGCCTCCTGCTTTGGTAGCTCCCCTCTGAGTTACGTGTATGTGTGCAAAAGGAAATCATCACAAAATTCAAATTGCCTCAACTGGGAATGTTCTCTTGTTTAGAAAAAAAAATTATTAAGTTATGATTGGTATTCTGGAAACTTCACACATATGAAGAGTAAAATTGGGTAAGTATTGAGCTTTGCATATACTTGTGAAACCATCACCACAGTCAGGATAATGAAAATATCCATCACTCCAATGGGTTTGTTTGTGTACCTTTGCAGTCCCTCGCTCCTGCCCCTCCCTGCTCCCATCCTCCTCAGACAACCACTGATCTGCTTTCTAAATCCGTACATTGGTTTGCAGTTTTTAGAATTTTATATAAATGAAATCTTATGGAACAAATTTTTTTTTTTTTTTTTTTTTTTGAGATGGAGTCTGTCACCCAGGCTGCAGTGCAATGGTGCGATCTCGGCTCACTGCAACTTCCGCCTCCCAGGTTCTTCCACCTCAGCCTCCCAAGTAGCTGGGATTACAGGCACCCGCCATCATGCCCAGCTAATTTTTATACTTTTAGTAGAGACGGGGTTTCCCTGGTTTCCCTATGTTAGCCAGGCTGGTGTTGAACTCCTGACCTCAGGTGATCCGCCTGCCTCGGCCTCTCAAAGTGCTGGGATTACAGGTGTGAGCCAATGCACCCAGCTGGAACAAAGTATTTTTTTTTTTTTTTTAAGATGGAATCTCATTCTGTCACCAGGCTGGAGTGCAGTGGCACAATCTCAGCTCACCGCAACCTCTGCCTTCCAGGTTAAAGTGATTTTCCTGCCTCAGCCTCCTGAGTAGCTGGGATTACAGGCATGCACCACCACATTGAGCTAATTTTTGTAATTTTAGTAGAGACAGGGTTTCACGATGTTGGCCTGGGTGGTGTCCATCTCCTGACTTCGTGGTCTGCCCGCCTTGGCCTCCCAAAGTGCTGGGATTACAGACGTGAGCCACCACACTAGGCCAGGACAAACTATTTTTAAGGCATTATTGAGATGTAATTGACGTGCTATAATATTCACCTATTGTTTCTATGAAATACAATATAGATCTTGACTGAATTTATGGAGTCATGTAGGCGTTACCACAATTTAGCTTTAGAACTCCATCACCTCAGAAATATCTCATTTGTAGTTAATCTACTCTCCCTCAACCTCCAGCTCCAGGGAACTGCTAAAACTCCAGGAAATGACTGATCTGATTTCTATCTCTAGGAATTTGCCCTTTCTGGACGTTTCATGTAATTGAATAGAAAGAACGTAGTCTTTTGCACCTGGCTCCTTTGGCTTACTGTAATGGTTTTCAGGTTCACCCACACTGTCCCATGTAACAGTGTTTGGTTCTTTTTGTTGTGCGGTCATGTTCCACTGTATGGATAGTGACTACATTGTGTTTATCCATTCACCAGTTGATAGACACTTGGTTTATTTACAGGGTTTGGTCGTTACAAATAATGCGGATATGAACAGTTCTGTATACGCCTTTGGACATGTGCTTTTCTTTCTCTTGAGTAGCTAGAAGTAGAAAGGCTGGATCATTTGTAGGTGAATATTTAACTTTTTAAGAAACTTCCAAACTGTTTTCCAGAGTGGTTGAACCATGTTACATTTCCACCAGCAGTCTATAAAAGTTCTACTTCTCACATACACTCACCAACATGATCAGTCTTTTTCTCTTTTTTTTTTTTTTTTCAGAGTTGGGGTCTCACTCTATCACTCAGGCGGGAGTGCAGTGGTGCAGTCGTAGCTCACTGCAGCCTCGAACTCCTGGGCTCAGGGGGATCTTCTCCCCTTAGCCTTCCAAGCAGCTAAGACTACAAGTGTGTGCCATCATGTCCAGAAAATTCTTTTTTATCTTTGGTAGACCCGGGCTCTCCCTCTGTTGCCTACGTTGGTCTCAAACTCCTGGCCTCAAGCAGTCCTTTCACCTCTGCCTTCCAAAGTGCTGGAATTACAGGCATGATCCACCACCTTGCTCGGCCCAGTCTTCTAAATGTTAGACATTCTTACAGGTATATACGGGTATATGACTGTGATTTTAATTTGCATTTTCCTCGTGACTAATGATGTTGAGTATCTTTCAACTTCTGGTTTTCCATGTGTGTATTTTCTTTGGTGAAGTTTCTGCTCAAATATTTTGCCCATTAGAAAATTTTGGGTTGTTGATTTTCTTATTGTTTTTATTGTGATACATATACATAACATAAAGTCTATCCCTTTAACCACTTTTTTTTTTTTTTTTTGAGATGGAGACTTGCTCTGTCACCCCGGCTGCAGTGCAGTGGTGCAATCTTGGCTCACTGCAACCTCCACCTCACAAGTTCAAGTGATTCTCCTGCCTCAGCCTCCCGAGTAGCTGGAATTACAGGCGCATGCCACCGCACCTGGCTGATTTTTGTATTTTTAGTAGAGACGGGGTTTCACCATCTTGGTGAGGCTGGTCTTGAACTCCTAACCTGATGATCCGCCTATTTCGGCCTCCCAAACCTTTAACCATTTTAAAACATACAATTCAGTGGTGTTAAATGCACCCACAACATTGTACAACCATTATGGTTCCAGAACTTTTTCGTCACCCAAACAGAAAACTCGTACCCATTAAGCATTCATACCCATTCCTCCCCGGCCCTCAGTAACCACTAATTTACTTTGGTTTTATGTGGTCTATCTATACAATGGAATATGATTCAGCCATAAAGGGAATGAAGCACTGATTCATGCCACAGTATGGATAAACCTTGTACATACCATGCTCACTGCAAGAAGCCAGGCATAAAAGGTCACATATTATAAAATTCTGTTTATATCAAATACCCAGAAAAGGCAAGTCTCACTATTGAGTTTTAAGTGTTCTTTATATAACAGGGATCCTGTATCAGGTATGTGATTTGCAAATAGTTTATCTGTATCATAGAGTTGTTCTGAGGAGCTGATATATCATGCTCTTAGCAGAGCTACTGGCATCAGCACGTGCTTACTATTTGTTAGCTATTGAGATTTCATTATTTGGATCCAGTCTCACTGGGAATTTTAGTGATTTATTCTGACTGTGAACTTAGTTAAAGCCCTTTATATAGAATTAAACATCTTCACTGCTGACTTGGGACCCTGGAATTATAATAGATGAAATTTTAGGATTGGCTTATCGTAGGTGTTTAACTAACTTACGTTATTATGGCAAAAACCACAATTACTTTTGCACCGACTTAATACAAGAAGTAACTTATTTTAAGCAATTAGGATAGTAATGGTAATAGTAATAGTAGTTATTATTACTAATGTCAGTGACTAACCTTCCATCTCGAAGTTAACTAACCTGTAATTACTCTTACAAGATGGTACCTTCCCCTCTCCAAAATCCTGCAGAGAAGGTGTCTCTTGAGGCCCGCCTGTGCTGCCCACATCCCTTGGTCTGCATCCGTATGCCCTCCTTTCCCAGCCTTAGCTGAAGTGCCTTTGGGAAACTGTATCACTGTTACCTTGCATGCTATGTCCTAATGAAGAAGTGACAAAGGGATTGTACTCTGTAAAAGAATATAAAAATAAATTCACTCTAATTTATATGAAGATCTCTGTTTGCTTCCTGCCTTCCCAAATCCAAGCTTCACCAACTTTTTCCCTCTTCCGAAGAATTATACCCCCAGCAGCGACAATAATAACAATAAATATAGGCTCTGTGCTGAGCACTTCTTGGTTAGTTGAATCTTCCCCAGAATTCCATCAATGCCCAATTCACAGATGAGGAAATTCAGGCTCAGAGGCCACACAACTTGCCCAAGGTCATGAAAGTAGTCAGCGGTAGAGAGCCTATCTTCTCATCCACTTGTCTATCCTGCCACCTGGCCATTTAAAAATTTTATTCCTGGCCGGGCGCGGTGGCTCACGCCTGTAATCCCAGCACTTTGGGAGGCCGAGGCGGGTGGATCATGAGGTCAGGAGATCGAGACCATCCTGGCTAACAAGGTGAAACCCCGTCTCTACTAAAAATACAAAAAAATTAGCCAGGCGCGGTGGAGGGCGCCTGTAGTCCCAGCTACTCGGGAGGCTGAGGCAGGAGAATGGCGTGAACCTGGGAAGCGGAGCTTGCAGTGAGCCGAGATTGCGCCACTGCAGTCCGCAGTCCGGCCTGGGCGACAGAGCGAGACTCCGTCTCAAAAAGAAAAAAAAGAAAAAAAAAAAATTTTATTCCTGACCTATTTTCTTTCTTTCTTTTTTTTTTTAAATGAGGTCTCACTCTGTTACCCAGGCTGAAGTGCAGTGGCATGATTCTAGCTCACCGCAGCCCCAACCTCCTGGGTTCAACAATCCTACCTCAGCCTCCTGAGTCACTGGGACTGCAGGTGTGCATCACCAGGCCTGGCTAATTTAATTTAATTTTTTTTTTTTTTTTTTTTGTAGAGACAGTCTCACTATGTTGCCAAGGCTGGCCTCAAACTCCTGAGCTCAAGTAATCCTCCTGTCTCAGCCTCCCAAAGTGCTGGGATTACAGGTGTGAGCCATCGTGCCTGGCCTGATTTCCTTTCCAATGTCTTGATCACATGTGGGTCTCCTTTAAATTCCCTTCTATCCTCCCATCCCCTGTTTGGAGACCCCAGTGGTCAGTAGCTGGCCAGGGCCTGACTTCAGATCCCATGATTAGAACAGGGGCAGCTCTGTTGATCAGAAACCTCAGCCAGGGGTGCTAAGAAAAGAGCCTGAAAAATGAGTATTCAGTCACTAATGGACCAAGAAAAGGTCCAAATTCCGTTTGGACCCCACTCAGAAAGTCCATCTCCTTCTCTCCAGAGGAGCTGAAGAGAACAAAGTGGACCCTGTTCCAGGAAGGAAGCCACAGCAGTTTCCACAGAGGCAGAGAGAATCATTTTTCTTAGGTGTGTGAAGGTCCTCAAAGAGTGAGGTAATAGGTTTCTTTATTAAAAATTAATCTTCTTGTAAAACCATTGCAATACAATGCACTTTAATAAATCACCCCACGCTTCCGAACACATTTATTATCCCTTCTCAGGAAACAGTGGAGCCCAGAGAAATTGATGCTGCAGAGAGAATGGCTGCTGGTTCACTAATGAACTCAGATGGGGGCAGGGGCTGGGAGCCTGGGGCTGGGGGCTGCGTTAGGTTTGAAATCCACCGGGTGGTGTGGATTTTGCATGGGTATTACAATTGGTTAAAATCCATTAGGCTTGGTTGGATCTTACAGCCCCCAGGTATACAACCCTTGGGATTTCTGGGTTGAGAGGGGCCCAGTAAAAGGACAGCAGCTCTGGCTAGGGCTGATAAGGTCATGTGAGCCTCCAGTTCTCCATGGGGGTGCTCTGGGATGACGGGTAGCATTAGTTCCAATTTGCAAACAGGGAGTCAGCATTAACCCCCAGTGGCTCCTTAAAGATGCTCCTCATCCTTCATCTCTGCTACATCCTTAGGCTTGGAGGCACTGGGATTTCAGAAGCAGGCGGAATACCTTCTCCCCTTGGCTACCTATTCCTTCAAGCTCTCTTCCTCCCTCATCTAGGAAGATTCTCTAACTGCCAGTACCCGTCAATTACAAAACCTTCCAGGTACTTTGGATTCTTACTGTCTGAAGCAGCACCTCTCTACAGAAGTGACAAAACCGTCTTCTCTCCTTGACCAAGGATGACACTGACTGCCAAAACCATGCCAGCTGAACCCCAAATTCCATAGCCTCTCATGAAACTAGACCTTGCATCTCCTATCTGAAGCTCCTTTCTCAATTATTATGCCTGGCCAGGCATGGATCATGCTTGTAATCCCAGTACTTTGGGAGGTTGAGCCCAGGACTTTGAGACCAGCCTGGGCAACATAGTTAAACTTCGTTTCTATAAAAAAATACAAAATTAGCCAGATGTCATGGATTGTGCCTATAGTCCCAACTACTAGGGAGGCTGAGGTGGGAGGATTGTTTGAGCCTGGGAGGCTGAGGCTGCAATGAGCCATGATCGTCCCACTGTACTCTAGCCTGGGTAACAGTGAGACCCCTGTCTCAAAAAAGAAATTATATAGCCCTAGATCTAGGCTGAAAAAGATGCTATTCTGTCCTCTCTGTGTTCTTTGTATTATTTTATTTTTAATTTTTGTGTGTACATAGTAGGTGTACATATTTATGGAGTACCTGAGATGTGTTGATATAGGCATGCATATCCTCTCTGTGTTCTCTTTGTTTTTGGGATCCAAACAAAAATATTTCTTCTGTCAGTCTCTCCTCTCATGCAAATAAACATCCTGACTAGGAGATCCACCCACCTCCAGTAAATCCCAGAAAAATCAGACATATCCCATTTTGGGTTCAGCTGAGGATATCCCCTTTCCTGTACATCTTCCCTGCATTGTAATCCAATTCAGCGTCGTCTTGCACTCTTGTGCACTCTCTCTCTATCTCTCTGTGTGTGTGTGTTTGTGTGTGTGTTGGGGTGTGCACTTCTAGGAGCAGCCATGTTTCTATTACGGTAATTAAACACAGGTGAAGGATAGCTTGGAGCTTTGAAATCCATATTCTTCTCCCCAGTTCCCCTCACATTTCTTCTTAAAGCGAGCTTGCTGACAAGCAGGTACTGATGGATAACGGAACTCTCACTGATATCCCATTCGTGGTTGGAGTTTCAGGTAGTTGCATTTTTACAGTGCTTGGCACAGTGTAGGTAATAAATAAATGTCTTTTCAATGAGTAAGAGAGTGAGAAATTAATGGATGAACAAGTGAGTGAGGCCAAAATTCTCATAGCTCAGGGAACAGGAGAAAGTCTGACTAATGTTTGGGAAGATGGCATGACACCAAGACCCTTAGTGGGAGAAGCCCAGCTGGAGAGGGGAGAGAGAAAGGAGAGGGGAGAGAGAAAGGGGTTCATGAAGATGGGGCTGGAGATGCCGACAGGGTGCCTGCAGTGATGGGTCTTGTGGGCTGTATTTTTTTTTTTTTTTGAGACGGAGTCTTGCTGTCACCCAGGCTGGAGTACAGTGGCGCAGTCTGGGCTCACTGCAGCTCCGACTCCCGGGTTCGCGCCATTCTCCTGCCTCAGCCTCAGTAGCTGGGACTACAGGCACCCACCACCATGCCCGGCTAATTTTTTGTATTTTTAGTAGAGTTGGGGATTCACCGTGTTAGCCAGGATGGTCTCGATCTCCTGACCTCATGTTCTACCCACCTCGGCCTCCAAAAGTGCTGGGATTACGGGCGTGAGCCACCGCGCCTGGCCAGGTCTTGTGGGCTGTATTAAGCGTATTTGTCTTTATGGTGAAAGCAGTAGGGTCTTTGAACAGTTTTAAGCAGGAGACAGGTAAATAAAGATATTCAATAACTTTATCCCCATTCTGATCACTAGTAATGATACTTCATTAGATCATCACCATCCTTAGCATTGTTACCAATCATTGAGCAGTTGCTGAGCCAGGCTGTGTGTTAGGAGGTTTCTGTATCTGACTCAATGGTGCCTCCAGGCATTGTGTACCGTCATCAGTTTTGCATATGAGGCAATGGACTGACAGGGTGAAGACCATTACCCCGGCAGGAAAGCCTGAGTTTCATTGCACATCATGCCTTGCAAGGGCTTGTATATCATGGGGTTCTCGCACTCCCCATATGAGGGGATACCATTGTGTCCTATTTCCTGCTCTTGGGTCGTGGAGAGGTCTATAAGGAACAGAGAGCTCTGCCTTTCTTTACTCAGTCAATAAGTTTTTTGAGCACCAGCCATGTGCCAGATACTGTGCTAGGCTCACCTTCTGAAATCCGTCTCGGAAGACACAAGGAACCTCTGAATTGGAGATGGTCTAAGTCCATTAATAAGCATTTTTTGAACAATATTTACTTTGTTAGTTTTGACGAGAAATTAGAAGAATTAGATAGGACCCTTGTTTTCAAAAAGTTGTCAGCATGGGAGGAAGAAAACAGAGAGTCTTGACCGTAGAGGGGACAACAAAGAATGAGCTTCAAGGTATGATTAGGAGTGTTGCTGGTTACTGCTGCCTGCAGCTAATGTCTCCCCTGAGCATTGGATCCCTGTGTCCATTATGTTCTATGCATACCTCATGCTCAAAGGGGCTACAGTGGGAGAGAGGACTCCTTTTATGTCCCATAGTCTGTGTAAATGGTTCCTCCACCCACCAAATACATCACCTTTGACTCATCTCTTTCCCTTGTTCCATCCTTACAATGGATGGGTCTTAATTACCTCTTGGATCTGTCCCCATCTCCATCTGTCCTTCTCCTCCTCTGCTCCATTTCCCCCTCCTTGTCTCTGCTTTCTCTCCATCCACAGGTCTGTTCTCCTGCCCTGGTATCATATTCTGTTTGAGCCACTATAACAAAACACCACAGACTGGGTGGCTTATACACAACAGAAATGTATAGGTCACGGTTCTGGAGGCTGGGAAGTGCAAATCAAGGTGTCAGCAGCTTCAGTGTCTGCTAAGGGCCCACTTCCTAGATGGCCGTCTTTTCAATGTGACATCCTATGACAAAGGATCATACGAGCTCTCTGGGATCTCTTTTATAAGGGCCCTAATCCCATTCATGAAGGCTTATGCCTGTGACCTGACCACCTCCCAAGGGGCCTCACCTCTTTTAGGGGACACAATTATTTAGACCACAGCACCTGGGAGGTTAGCAATATCTTCCTATGGTGCCTCTCTGCTTCCATCTATGCTCTGCTTCTGCTCTAGAGTGGTCTTTCAAAAGCATGACCTCACTGTGCCACTTCTATGAAACCCTACAGAGGTTTCACTTTGCTTGCAGGAAGCAGTGCAAACTGTATTTTGGAACACAGGTTCTTTCTGACCTGGGTCCTTATCTTCTGCCATTTACCTCTTGGAAGACTTACGTTGTACTGACGCTGGACTACTTGACATTTCCTATCCAAGTTGTGTCTCCAGGCCCTTATCTATGCTGCTCCCACTGCCTGGAATACCCTTTCCCTCTGCCATGCCCACCAGGTGAATCACAGCTTATCCTTTAAGACATGGCTTTAGTTTCTTTCAACAAATATTATTGAGCACTTTCTTTACATGCTAGATCATGCCCTAGGCAGGCCCTGGAGCCCCAGAAATGATGGATAAATGAGGAGCTAGCTTTGTACCTCAAGTGCCCTGTCACTTTTTCATTCATCACTCACCTCCGTTAGAGAGGGTTGGCCTTTCTGCTGGCCTTTATCGTCGCATCCCACTCTGTTGAGGTACCTTGCTTACAAGCCAACATCCCCCACCAGACCGGGACCTCTGGCAGGGAGGGGTGATGTCTTTGTCTTCAGGTGACTTTACTGCACACTCACTGTGTCTGAGACATTGCGCTTCTGCACTATAAATGCACTTTTGCATTAAATATTTCTACCACCTCTAGGAAGTGGTTGTTGCTGTCATTCCCATTTTATAGATGGAGGAAGCAGAGCTCATGGGGATTAAAACACTTGCCCCTGGTCCATACTCACCCCATAGCCTGACTGCAAAGTTCATTCTCTTAACCGCCATGCTACATTGTCTTATTCAGTTCTTTGTCTTCGGCACATCACGTGGAATAGGGCACAGAGACGTTTGCTAAAGGAATCTTACTGTCTTTATATAAATCCTGCAAGGGGGGAGGCAGGAACAGATGACATTGGAGAAGAGGTGGGGTGAGGAAGGACCATCCCGGTGACCCCGGCCACGTGGCTGGACCGTGCCGGGATTGATCAGCATTAGCAGCACCAGAGCTGCAGCTGCCCGCACGTTTCTAGCCACAAGGGAGGGGAACCCACCCCAGCTTCTTTTCATCATCAGCCTAACTAATTTCTTCCCCCACCTGCTTTTGTGTTTTTGCTTGGCGGTTGTCAGAGGGCACCTGAAAATGAGCTTGGTGAGAAGGAACGTTTTCCCCATGAATCAGCTCTGAAATCATTCCTCTGAAGTGCGTCACAGCGTTACCCTGAATTGTTGGGACGCGACTCCAGCAGCGTCCTGAGTGACACCGTTCCCCCGTCTGTCTCCTGTGCTCTCCCAGCCTCACAGGGGTTTAAGACGATCAGACAGTTAGACAAGCCAGTCTAGATCCAGCCCTCTCTTTGACAGCAATTTCTTAGAGGAAATTTCATCTCAATTTCGGGAAGTCTTCTCTCCTCTCTGATTGATGGTTTTCCCAACCTCAGGCTCCACAATGCCACACGTTTAAGGGGATCCCTCATCACAGTGCCCTCCCTGTGAGCCCACCTCCTCTGGGAGGGCAGGAAGGAGGTTTGCTGGCCACCAGTCCTCAAGTGCCTGATTTTCCCTCGTTTCCCTTTCCTTCCCTAGACATGCTGCCCTGAGGTGCTCCTACCAGGGTCTCTGCAGCACACCCCCATCAGGACCAAACTCATTGCTCAGGCAGGACAAAGGCTCTCTGCTGCAGACTGCTGTCATTTTCTCCTCGTCTGGCCTGGGAGATAACATGGGGGGCTGCCTCAGATGCTGAAGCCTAAGACTACTACTAGGCTGGCCACTTTCCATCCCAGTTGGGGCGGGGAAGTGGGCTGTCTGTCATTCTCTCTTTTTTTATTTTTTTTTTTTTTTTTGAGACGGAGTCTTGCTGTGTCACCCAGGCTGGAGTGCAGTGTTGCAATCATGGCTTACGGCTCACTGTAGCCTTTGACTCCTGGACATGAGCAGTTCTTCTGCCTCAGCCTCCCAAGTAGCTGGGACTACAGGCACCTGCCACTAAGCCCAGCTAATTTTTTCAGTTTTTGTAGACATGAGGTCTTGCTATGGTGTTCAGGCTTGTGTCCAGCTCCTGGGATCAAGTGATCCTCCTGCTTTGGCCTCCCAAAATGCTGGGATTATAGGCATGACCTACCATGTCTGGTTCTTTATTATTATTAATGTGTTTGTTTTATTTTTGTCTCAGTCTGTTCCTGCTGCTGTAACAAAATTCCTGAGACTGTGTAACTTACAAAGAACAGAAAGCACAAACATTAATTTTCTCGTAGTTCTGGAGGGTGGGAAGTCCAAGGTCAAGGCACCAGCAGGTTCAGTGTTTAGTGAGGGCTGCCCTCTTAGCATCCAGGATGGTCTCTTGCTGCTGCATCCTCACATGGTGAAAGGAGAAGGGCAAAAAGGGCCCAGCCAGTTTCCTGCAGCCCTTTTATAAGGCACGGAGCCTTCATGGCCTGATCACCTCCTAAAGACCCCACTTACTAATAATGTTGCATTGAGGATTAAGTTCCAACATAATTTTTGGAGGGGACACAAACATTCAGAGCATATCAGGTATGAACACTTAACGTAAGATCTATCCTTTTAGCAAATTAAAAAGAAGTTGTTTATAAATTGGGTTGGTTCCATGATTTTGCTGTTGTGAATTGTGCTGCCACAAACATGAATTAACAGCATTTGCAATGATCTGGATGAAATTAGAGACTATTATTCTAAGTGAAGTAACTCAGGAATGAAAAACCAAACATCTTATGTTGTCACTGATATGTGAGAGCTAAGCTATGAGGATGCAAAGGCATAAGAATGATACAATAGACTTTGGGGACTTGGGGGGAATAGGGAGAGGGGCAAGGGATAAAAGACAACAAATATGGTGCAGTGTTTACTGCTTGGGTGGTGGGTGTGGCAGGTTCTCACAAATCTCCACTAAATAACTTACTCATGTAACCAAATACCACCTGTACCCCAATAGCTTATGGAAAAATAAAATTAATAAATACAAATAAAAAATAAAAAGTTATTTATAATTGAGTGGGTTCTCACTAATAATAGTAATAAATAAGTTCTGGAGATCTACTCTATAGCATAGATCCTATAGCTACAAATAGTATATTGTGCACTTAAAATTTTCCAACCACAAAGAAATGGTGGGCAAGAATTGAGGTGATAGGTACATTTAAAATACACAATGCTGCTACAAGAATTACGGAATTATGTCTTGTGTCTGTGGAATTATGTCTTCTTGGGTTTCCAACCCATGGCCTGGAGAGTCCATCCTGGGCTCCTGGAGTGTGCAAGTTGGAAGGAATTGGAGATGGTTTGTTGTCATGGTTAAGTGCATGGACTTTGGAACCTAGCTGCCCAGGTTTAAGTTCCAGCTCTGCCATGCACATCTTTGGGACCTTGAGTGTGTTGCTTAAAATGCATCTGAAAGGCATCTGAGGCCTCTGTCTTGCCAGGCTGTGGGCTTAGATGTTGCTTTCCACATGATAACTGCATAATTTGAGGCTGGTTGCTTCAGAGGTCTTAGGGCACCAAGCTGTAGGAACTATGCTGTGTAGTAGATCTCAAGGACTTATTCATCAGTTTAAAATTAGTAATGCTATTGGGAGCCACTGCTGTACCCCATTTGGAACTTTTCCCTCTTAGCGTATTAAACCCTTCTGCCTACCCATTGCCTTACCCTGAGGATCCTGGAGGACTGTGAGAGTCCTGGGCACATAGAGGGCAGTCGGATACTGACGCAGTGAGTGGATGAACACCCATTCACTTTGCTATTCTAGCATAAGTCCTTACACATAGTTGGTACTTGATAACTATTTTGGAAGTGAGATTAGAGGTTGAGTATGTGAACAGATAAATAACTGAATACCAGATGGCAAGTACATAAAGGAAGGGGTAGCTCCTGCCTCTTGGAACTAATGAGCTGGCAGAGTCGTAACCAAATGCAACATAGCATGTGAAGTGTTCTATTGAGGGAATAGTCGATATTGCTTATTGAGAATATAATATGTGTCAGGCACTGCCCTCTATGGCTGGGGTCCCCAAACCCCAGGCCACGGACTGCTACCAGTCCATGGCCTATTAGGAACCCAACCACACAGAAGGAGGTGAGTTGCAGGCAAGTAAGTGAAGCTTCATCTTTATTTACAGCCACTCCCCATCACTCACATTATCACCTGAGCTCCACCTCCAGTCAGGTCAGTGGCAGCATTAGATTATCATAGGAGTGCAAATCCTATTGTGAACTGCACATGTGAGGGATCTAGGTTGCATGCTCCTTATGAGAATTTAATGCCCG
Source organism: Homo sapiens (assembly GCF_000001405.40). NCBI lineage: Eukaryota > Metazoa > Chordata > Mammalia > Primates > Hominidae > Homo > Homo sapiens. The sequence continues at coordinate 5,823,752 of NC_000016.10, forward strand.
ATGATCTGTCACTGTCTCCCATCACCCCCAGATGGGACTGTCTAATTGCAGGAAAACAAGCTCAGGGCTCCCACTGATTCTACATTACAGCAAGTTGTATAATTATTTTATTATATATTACAAAGTAATAATATAAATGAAGGGCACAATAAACATAATGTAATTGAATCCCACATCTCCCTGGTCCATGGAAAAATTGTCTTCCATGAAACCAGTCCCTGGTGCCAAAAAGGCTGGGAACCACTGATCTATGGTATAAGAGTTAAGGACAAGGCCCTGTAGCCAGATGGCCTGGTTTCGAATCAAGATATTGTGACTTACTAGTGAGGGAAACTTTGAGGAGTTGCTTCACCTCTCTGGGCCTGGGAGCTAGAAGAAGTGCTCTTATCCACTTTGAGGACTAAGAAGCCAAGGATCAGAATGATTAAATTAATTTTCTCCGGGCCCAGGACAGAGTAGGAGGGGGCGCCAGAGTCTGCGCCAGGTCCCTGTTATTTCCGAGGACTTGTGAAGAGCCCACCATGATGACAGCTGAGTGGATGGTAGAAGGGGGCTGCCTCCCTCTTTTTTGGTCACCCAAGTGTGTCCTTCTTACAGTCATGGAGCTTGTCTGTCTCCCTCCTTGACAGGGAAAACAAGTGCCAGACAGTGTCCCAGTATCCAGGGCAAAAGGCTATCTGGTGTCTCCATTTGTCTCAGAAAAGCCAGGGCACATTCCCAGGGCCCCAGTTATGCTCTCTTCATGCAGGGGGCTGCAGGGTGACTTTAGGCTGGTCAGTGGCTTTCTGGGGTGATTGACACATGCAATTTCCCTCCTCCTGTCTGGCTGAGGTGTGGAAGGAAAATTGGATGTTGTTGAATAATTGAAAATGAAAATCCCTGCAAATTGATTCCTATGAAAACAAAACTGAGTTCCACAATTAGGCATCTTGCCTTTGCAGGGCATCTGAGGCCTCTCTCTTCCCACGCTGCAGGCTCAGACGTTGCTTTCTACATTATAACTGCACACTTTGAGCCCAGTGGCTTCAGAGGTCTTAGCAACTCCAGAGAGTATCTAGAAGGGAACCCTGAGGCCTACTTCCCATCCCTGGTTCCCGAGGTGGGCTAGGAGGTTTATCCTTTGGTTTACTTTCCTGGGGGACTCCAGTGACATAACTAGATGTTTCATACTGGCTTGTGAGTGGGCTCTGTCCATCTGGATTCTTACTGTGAGGGTCAACACTCTTACTCCATCAGAAAATTAAGAGGTCCCCATTGTGGAATGATGTTTTTGCAAGCTTTCCAATCCATGGCCTGGAGAGTTTGACTAAGAAGTTAGACTCTTGGAGCATCAACACAGGAAGGAATTGGAGGTGGTCTGTTGTCATGGTTAAGTGCATGGACTCTGGACCCTCGTTGCCCAGGTTTAAGTCCCAGCTCGGCTATGCACAGCTTCAAAACCTTGCAAGCGTTGCTTAACTTCTTCAGAATGCAATATAGTGATGGAAGGCAGCCCCGTTGGGGAAGGAATGAGCAGTACCAGGAACCCCAGGTTCAGAGATGTTCCCTGCCCAGGCTGTGAGCAGGGTACTGCAGGGACCTCCCCTCTCTATGCCACATCTTTTGCAGATTCCACCTTCATGCTCATTTCCTGTATACAATCACAGCTCTTAACAGAGCAGCACCAGGAGTCACCTACTATAAGGTTCGAAGGAAGTGTCTAGATCATCTACTGGGGTTTTACCTGGAATTTGTGGATCAAATTTAGGAGCATTCATAAACTTGGATGGAAAAAATTATAGCATCTTTTCTCAGTGCATTTTTTATGGTAAAAACCATGTAACATAAAAGTTATCATATGAACCAATTTAAAGTGTACAATGTAAGGACATTAAGGACGTTGACAGCGTTGTACAGCCATCACCACTGTCTGCCCCAGAAACTTTTCATCACCCCAAAGTAAAGCCTCATACCTATTAAGCAATCACTCCCTGTTTCCTCCTTCCCTTATTATTCCTTAATATGAATAAGGAATAATATTCCTTAATATGAATAAGGAATAATATTCCTTAATATGAATAAGGAATAATATTCCTTAATATGAATAAGGAATAATATTCCGTAATATGAATAAGGAATAATATTCCGTAATATGAATAAGGAATAATATTCCGTAATATGAATAAGGAATAATATTCCGTAATATGAATAAGGAATAATATTCCGTAATATGAATAAGGAATAATATTCCGTAATATGAATAAGGAATAATATTCCGTAATATGAATAAGGAATAATATTCCGTAATATGAATAAGGAATAATATTCCTTAATATGAATAAGGAATAATATTCCTTAATATGAATAAGGAATAATATTCCTTAATATGAATAAGGAATATTATTCCTTATATATATTATTATATATAACATATTATTCTTATATGTTATATAATATTTCTTATAGTAATATTCCTTATTATGAATATTACTTACTCATTTACAAACACTCTTCCCTTAGCACTTTTTATCTAACATTTACCTGAAATATACTGTGCCCCTCAAGTGTGAATTGTGAAGCAAACCACAGTTGTATTAGCAGTACCTGTGACTTTGTCCCCAGTAGATGTCCAGCTGTTTTCATTCCACATTACAGTGTTTCAGATGTTTTGAAAGTCTTTTATGCCAGGAGGTGGCAAACTATTTCTGAAAAAGGCCAGGTAGTAGATATATTTTGGTGTTGTGACCTATATGGTCGCTGTCTCAATGACTCAACTCTACCATTTGGCATGAAAGCAGCCACAGATAACATGTAAACAAATGGGTGTGGTTGTGTGTCAAGAAAACTTTATTTACAAAAGCAAGAGCTGGGCCAGATTTGGCTTGCAGGCAATAGTTTGCTAACCTCTACTTTATGCTCATCTCTGTTGTGAAGTTACTAATAGTTATTAGATTCACTGCTGTGTTTTGTTATTTAACATATTAATTAAAATCACATCCATATGCTGTCCTATAAATTTTTTATATGTGTATTTTAACACAAGTTCCTTTTATAATTCCAAATATATTATTTATTCATTTGTTAACACTATTGTGAGAAGTGGTAGATAGAGTTCATCTGACTTGTGAAGGGATCCGTGGCAGGAGCAAGCTAAGGAGCCCTGAATCCTTGACCAATAGTGTTGGAAATGCTAGAATATCTTTGAAATATTCCAGAAAACAGTTGTGTAGCTTCTTCTAGTGCACCTTCAATGACATAGTGCTCACCATCTCCCAGAGAAGCCTATCTCTTCGTTGGAGCATCCTTGACTCTACGAATATTCTTTCTCCTGTTGACCAAGTCTTTTTCTCTTTCACACATGAGACCCTCCTTTAAAGCTACATTGAACAGGCCAGGCACTGTGGCTCATGCCTGTAATCCCAGCACTCTAGGAGGCCGAGGTGGGTGGATCATGAGGTCAAGAATTCGAGACCAGCCTGGCCAACATGGTGAAACCCCATCTCTACTAAAATTACAAAAATTAGCCGGGTGTGGTGGTGGGTGCCAGTAATCCCAGCTACTAGGGAGGCTGAGGCAGGAAAATTGCTTGAGCCCAGGGGGCGGATGTTGCAGTGAGCCAAGATCGTGCCACTGCACTCCAACCTGGATGACAGAGCAAGACTCCATCTCAGGGAAAAAAAAAAAAAAAAAAGAAAAGAAAAAGCTGCATTGAACAACTCATATTCTACTTCTACACAGTAGTTGAAGACAACTCTCTATGCACCCCGAGAACTCCCTCCCTCTACATCAAGACTCCGCAAGATTTTTCTGACAAGGGCCAGGTAGTAACTGTTTTAGGCTTTCTGATCATACTGCTTCTGTCTTAACTACTCAACTCTACTGCAGTGTGAAGGCAACCACAGAGGGTGTGCAAAGAAATGGCTGCAGCTGTTTTTTAGTTAAATTTTAGATGGCAACCCCTGCTTTGAGTTAAATCCTTCCTAATTCTAAGTCCCCTTGCTATAATGGCCATCTTCCTCTGGATGCACGCCACTGTGTCTCTACAGTTTTTTTCTCCTACACTCGTCCATTCATTCATTCATCCACTCACCCATCCACCTGGCCATCCATCCATCCACCCACCCACTCATCCAGGCTTTTGTCCATCCATCCATCCATCCATCCATCCATCCATCCATCCATCCATCCACCCATCCACCCACCCATCCACCCACCCACCCACCCACCTATCCATGCATCCATCCATGCATTCCTCTATGCATCCAATCCATCCATCCATCATCTATCTAGTCTTCTGTCCATCCATGTATCCATCCATCTACCCACCCATCCATCCATCCTTTCAGCCAGCCAGCCAGCCTGCCTTCTGTCTAACCATTAATCCACTCAGCCACCTATCCACCCATCCATCCATGCATTCAGTCTATCCATCCCTGCATCCAATCCATCCTTCCATGTATCTGTCCGCTCATCCATCCACCCATTCATCTGTCCATTCAACCACCCACAAATCTACCCATCCATGTGTGGGAGAGCATGATTTAACTCATATATAAACAATTTATAATTACTGTGATAAGAGCTGCAAAGGGAATAAACATGGTATTAAAGGATAATAGTCACTAGTAAGGTGGTGTGATGAGGTCTGAGTGAGTGACATCTTAATCTAGAAATAAAGGATGAAAAAAATGCAACCACCGGGCTCACGCCTGTAATTCCAGCACTTTGGGAGGCCGAGGTGGGCGGATCGCGAGGTCAATAGATCAAGACCATCCTGACCAACATGGTGAAACCCCATCTCTACTAAAAATACAAAAGATTAGCTGGGCGTGGTGGTGCACGCCTGTAGTCCCAGCTACTCGGGAGGCCGAGGCAGGAGGATCGGTTGAACCCAGGAGGCAGAGGTTGCAGTGAGCCGAGATCATGCTACTGCAGTCCAGCCTGGTGAGCGAGACTCCAAAAAAGAAAAGAAAAGAAAAGAAAAAAATGGAACCTTGTCAAAGTTGAGAGTGGAGGATTTCAGCAGAGGGTGGAGTGTGTGGAGTGCTGGGCAAGGAAGAGTATGGTGTGCCTGTAGGCTGAAAAGAGAGTAAGGTGGCTGGATGCATTAGTAATTTATTGTTGTGTAATAAATTACCATTACCCCCAAAGTGAGTAACTTAAAACAACATCACTTACCGTTTCACTGTTTCTGTGGGTCAGGAATCCAGACACAGCTTAGCTGGGTCCTCTGCTCCGGGTCTCCCACAGGCTGCAGTTGAAGTGTATTGCTAGGGCTGCAGATATCCGAAGACCTGGCCAAGGAAGGATCTGCTTTCAAGCCCTTTCCCTGTGCTGCATTCTATTCTTTAGAGGGAAGTCTCTAGCTCCAGCTCACACTCAGGAGGAGACCACTCAAAGGAATGTGTGCCAGGAGGAAGGGGTCAATGGGGACCATCTTAGAAGCTGCCTGCCACACTGTGGTTTAAAGGGTGATGAGGAGAGAAAGGCAGGGACCGTCCTGCAGAGGCTGAAGGCCGCAGCCAGTCACTCAGAGGTTATCCTGAATGCTAAGGGAAGTTATTGAAGGGTTTCAAGCAGGGGAGTCACATGATGAGCTATGCATTTTGAAAAGATCATCTTGATGACTGCGAGGAGAATGGATTGAAGAGGCACAGTGAGGGAGCAAGGGGAACAGAGGAGGTTGTTGAAATCATCTGGGGAAGAAATAATGATGGCATGGACCAGGGTGGTGGCATGAAGTGTCATTTGGGGGAGGAGGAGGGTGCCTTTTTATGGAGGCAGAACCCAAGGTGTGTGCTGTTCAGCTGCATATGAGGATTCTGGTGGCCCTCTTCTACCTCCTCCAACATCCCCCTCCATCCCCTCCTTTTCTTTCTCTCTTCAGTAACAGCCCCTGCTCATGATCTCCCATGGGCTGTGTAGATCTGCTGTCCATGAGCCAGGCATTGACGCAAGAGAACAAAGGCATTGCTAATGCTGTAAATCCTGGATCCAATTTATTTGTTATTTCCACTCATTTGAAATGCACCTGTTGCCCCAAAGGCCTTTGAATGCCATCAGCAGCAACTACAGAATCAAAGAGAAATTAGAACCTTTTGGAAAAGCCCTCAGTCATTCAGAAGGGAAACAAAAACAGGGGGGAAGAAAAGGCCTTTGGTTTTTTTTTCCCCTTAGGTGACTTACTGGCATAGACGGTTGGGCTTCTGAAAGACCCTTAGGAGCAAGGATCTGAGGCTGTTTTCTTTTTCCTTCCTCTTGCTTCCAGTCTCTTCGTTTGCTCAATACATTCAAATAGCCATGACATTTCCTTGTAGGGTTTTTAAAACACCACACTGCCACTTTTCTTCAGGCTAGGATTGTCTAGCATCCATCTTGTGGGCTGCAATGCTCATTTGCAAATCGTCCTGGATACATTGGCAGCTCAGGGTCTGATATTACCCAGCTAATCCAGTGTTTTGTTAGAGACCATTTGCCCCGCAGTTGGGCAGAATTAGGAAAACCCTCCCTATCTAGTTGGTTCAGCTTTCCTATGCATTTTATGATGTTGGAGGTGGAATCATTTTAGCCCAGCATAGGCAATCCAATTGTCTAACAGGCCTTCTGGAACCTAATGAGATCATTAAATTTCCAATCATTTTGCTTTTTGTTTTTTTTTTTTGTTCTTTCTGTAAACATGAATGTGACTCAGTGAAAGCTTAGTGCTTATCACAGACTCGCCACTGAGGGAAAGAGGATTGTATAGAGGCCGGGACTGTGGGGGCTGAGTAATATCTGGGTATGACCCTCGGGAGAAAGGGGTTCACGTCCCAGCCAGAGTGGTGACTTCTAGCTCCATTTGGGTGGGTGTCAGTAGCCAGCAGATGTGATCTGGGAGGTGAGAAAAGATGTATGGGAAGATAAAATGCAGCAGCTAGGATGATCTTTGAGGCCAGATCAAATCATGTCAGTGTGTCCTCTCTGCATCACCACTGCCCTAGAATAACACTGCCATCTTTGCCACCATTGCAGTGTGCCTGCTGGACCTTGTGCCACCATACCCTGTGGTTCTAACGATACTGACCGTCTTTTATAAATAGCTCAGGGTCTTCAGACTGTGTTCAGGCTGTTTCCTGGCTGTTGTCTCTGCCTACCATGCATAGAATGATTGGCTTTTGCTGGACATTTGAGCCTCTCCTGTGATGCCCTCTCCTTGGCCAAATTAACTCAGACTGTCTCACCTGCCACCATTTCCTATCCCCCCCCAACTCTGTTTTTTGCGTAGCCCTTGTTGTCATGTAAATTAACCTTGCTAATGCGTTAGTTGGCGAGTTTAATATCTGTTCTCCTTACCCACAGGGATACGAGCATCTTTAACAGTACGTGCCACAGAGTAGGCATTTGATGTGGTTTGGATCTGCGTTCCGACCACATCTCATATTAAAATGTAATTCCCACCAATTCCAGTGTTGGAGGTGGGAACCTGGTGGGAACTGTTTGGATCATGGGGGTGGATCCCTCATGATTGGCTTAACACTGTGCCCTTAGTGATGAGTGAGTGAGTTTTCCAGAGATCTGGTTTTTCAAAAGTGTGTGGCACCTTCCCTGCCATTCTCTCTATCTTGCTCCTGCTCTGGCCATGGGACCTGCCTGTTCCCACTTGGCTTTCCACCTTGAGTAAAAGCTCCCCTGGGCCTACGCAGAAGCTAAGCAGATGTTTGTATATCCTGTAGAACTGTAAGCCAATTAAACCTCTTTTCTCTTTTATTATTATTATTATTATTATTATTATTATTATTTGAGATGGAGTTTCGCTCTTGTCCAGGCCAGAGTGCAGTGGCACAATCTCAGCTCGCTGCAACCTCCACCTACTGGTTTCAAGCAATTCTCCTGCTGTAGTCTCCTGAGTAGCTGGGGTTACAGGTGCCCACCACCACGCCTGGCTAATTTTTGTATTTTGGTAGAGACGGGGTTTCACCATGTTGGAGAGGCTGGGATTACAGGTGTGAGCCACTGCACCTAGCCTAAACCTCTTTTCTTTATAAATTACCCCGTGTCAAGTATTCCTTTTTAGCCATGCAAGATGGCCTAATACTGTCTTCACTATATAGTGGTGAAATAAACAAATTATTTATAAATGAATGCATAAGCTCTTTTAAGTGAATGACCCCATGCTTGGATCTTGGTCACCCCAAGTTTCTACTGCCTGAAATAGAGTTCGGCACATGGTAAGTATTCAAAAAATGTCTATCGAGAGGTTGAAAAATGGGGCAGATGTTAGCACTTTCATCCTAGAGGGAAGGTATGTCTGTCTGGTTGAAGGAAGACCCCAGTCAGCATCAGACCATGATTCAGGACCCTGTGTTGAGGAGGCAGGGCATAGCTGAGGGCTTAGGAGAGAACTGGGAACTGAAACAGAAGCAGAACTGGCTAAGTAGGAAGCCAGGTAACCTGGGTTAGGTATAATCTGGAAAGGTCTAACAGGTAGGCTGGAGCTCAACAGATATGGGGTAGCTCAGATCATGCCCCAGGGCCTCCTGAAACAGGAGTAAGGCTGTGGAAGTAGTTCTTTACCCCAGCTAGTTCCAAACCTTACTGGCTAATGGACTAGGGAAGGGTGAATCCACAGAAGGAAGGCTGAGGTAGGCAGGGAAGAATGGGGCATGCCCAGAAAGGGCTATTTTGCCACTTCCTAGCTGTGTGATCTTGGGATCGTTACTTGACATCTGTGTGCCTTAGTTTCCACAACATACAATGGAAATTGATAATAGTCCCAGCTCTTGGGGCTGTTTCAAGGGTTATTTTATGCATGAAATGCTTAGTTCACAGCCTGGCATGTAGAATATAACACATGTTAGCTGTCACTGTTAGGCTTCTGATTATACTGCAATTACACCTATTTGATGTCTCTCCCAAGAGCCTGTAAGTTCCCTGAAGGCAGGTGTGCAATTGTGGGTCAATTAGCCTAATCCATAAAATGTCCAGAGGCCTTTTCATTGGGGGCATCATGGAATTAACAGAAATTTAAAAAGCTGAGTCTGAGTCTTAGAGCCAGAGTGAACAGGAACCAAAGATGTTCTGGAAGCTGACTTTCCTATACTCCAACTGCTTGGGACCACAGGAGCAAAGAGTGTACATCTAGAGTTATTTGAAGGTTTGCTGCAAATGATAAGGTTAAAGGGTCCTCAGAGACTTCTTGGGTATCCCCAGGCTGTAGAAATCCTGAAAAAGATATTCACCAATGGTGATTTCATCCCTTTTTGGGCCACAGGTGTTTTTGAGAATCAGGTGAAAGCCACCAACCCCCCAAAATGCATAGGCACAATTTTCCATTCAATTTCAGGGTGTCCACAGATTTCTATGGTACAGTACAGGACAATGCAAGGGTCTGGGTAAGAACCCCATACTAGAGCCTTATGCATAAAGTCTCACTGCAAAAGGAAAGTGACATCTCCTCCTAATTTTCTAGTCCAGGAATAATATCTGTATCAATATGAAATCTGGCCAGGCGTGGTGGCTCACGCCTGTAATCCCTGCACTTTGGGAGGCTGAGGCAGGTGGATCATGAGGTCAGGAGATCGAGACCATCCTGGCTAACACGGTGAAACCCCATCTCTACTAAAAATATAAAAAGAATTAGCCGGGCATGGTGGCAGGCACCTGTAGTCCCAGCTACTCAGGAGGCTGAGGCAGGAGAATGGTGTGAACCCGGGAGGCGGAGCTTGCCGTGAGCCAAGACCGCACCACTGCACTCCAGCCTGGGCGACAGAGCGAGACTCTATCTCAAAAAAAAAAAAAAAAAAAAAGAAAGAAATCTGTAGAAGGTCAAAAGGAAAGGAGGCAGTCCATTTTTGTACCTTTCAATTATAAAGGTAACTTAGCTGATACAGTGTGGCCAATTAAGACACTTTTAGAGGGTCTCCTTAATTGAAAGATAAGGATGATTTGTGATCCGTAAATCAAGAATGGACGTGTGCATTGGTCCTTGAAATGTCTCATGTTGGCACATCTCTCTCTTTTGAGAGAAAGAAGGAGAGACACATTTATTTTGTTTCCCTTGTCTTTCTACTTAGTTAGCCCTTTCTTTAGCCCAGGCCCTGTCCAAATTATTATAATTTTGGAAAGATTGGAGTCTCTTATGCATCATGTACTATTTGGAAGCAATAAAGAATTCGTGCATATACTACTCTCCCTCTCCATACTAGGGTGGAAGAGGATGACACTTTTGTGGCACGTGTTTGAAGCTCCCTTTCCTAAAACTTAATTGACCTGAGCCCCCTGCAAATGCACATAAAACAGATACAGATTTTTATCCTCAGTGTCCAGCCCCAGGCCTGGCACCAAACCACTGCTCACTTTTAGGTAGGCTTAGTTGCAGAGGTCGTCTGTGAATTCTGCTTATTTTAAGAAATTAAGACAATTTTTCAATGGCTTCAGTGGTACACGTGGTTTTTGGTTACATGGATTCATTTTACAGTGGTGAAGTCTGAGCTTTTAGTGTACTTCTCATCTGAATAGTGTATATTGTACCCAGTAGGTAGTTTTTCATGCCCCCTTCTGAGTCTCCAATGTCCACCATACCACTCTGTATACCCCTGGGTACCTGTAGCTTAGATTTCAGTTATAAGTGAGAACATGAGGTATTTGATTTTCCATTCCTGAGTTACCTCACTTAGAATAATGGCCTCTAGTTCCATCCAAGTTGATGCAAAAGATAGTATTTTGTTCTTTTCATGGCTGAGTAGTATTCCATGGCACACATATATACCACATTTTTCTTTATCCACTCATCTGTTGATGGGCACTTGGTTTGTTTCATATATTTGCAATTGTGAATGTGCCGTGATAAATATAGAAGTGCATGTGTCATAGATAGATAGATAGATAGATAGATAGATAGATAGATAGATAGATTGACTGATTTGTTTTCTGTTGGGTAGTTAACCAGTAGTGGGATTGCTGGATTGAATGGGATAGGTAGATAGATAGATAGATAGATAGATAGATACATAGATACATAGATACATACATACATACATACATACATACATACATACATGCACAGATGATAGATAGATAGATAGATAGATAGATAGATAGATAGATAGATAGACAGACAGACAGACAGATTTCTTTTCCATTGGGTAGCTATCCAGTGGTGGGATTGCTGGACTGAATGGTAGATCTACTTTCAGATCTCTGAGAAACCTGCATAGCGTTTTCCACAGAGGTGTTACCAGTTTACATTCCCACCAACAGTGCGTAAGTGTTCCCTTTGAGATATCACCTTACCCCACTCACCATGGCCGTTTTTTAAGTCAGTAAACAATAGATATTGGTGCAGATGAATCCTGCTTTTTGTGAAAGGAGGTGGGATGGCTCAACTTGACACATCTGTGTCATTATATAGGACCCCCCCCAGAAGTATAATGGGGCTGTAGAATTGCAGAAGGCAACTGGCCCAGCCTTAAGAGGCTGGTGAGGGCTTCCTAGAAGTGAGGACATCTGAAGTGAGCACAGAGCAATGAGCACGTGACAATACTCGGCTGGGCAGGCACTACAGGCAGGGAAGCCATGCGTCCCACCACATGGGAGGAGGAAAGGGCAGGGCACGTAGACAACTAAGCACAGCATTGCAGAGCCTGAAGCCACTGCGATCTGCTTTGTAGAAAACGGTGCTACACATCTGGATTCATACTTGGGGAGGCTTGGGAAAGCTTAATGGAGAAAGGGGGTTTTGAGTATATCAGTCCTCCTATTGTCAGACTTTGTAGGTATCAACATCCTGCCTGTTGGTTGAAAAGAGTCCAGATTCCCAGGACCCTCTTGGATCTACTGAATCAGCATCTTCAGGGGCAGGGCCCAGGAATCTGCATTCCTAACAGGCACTCCCCCAACCTCCCCACAGGGTTTCTGCAGGATTCTGAAGCAGGTGGCTCTGCCTGGACCCTTCTTCTTAAGGTTTTATGAGGAAAACAGTCTCATCTGCCACCCCCATAAAATGTGTTTCCTGTCTCATCCGTTTTAGTTCTTGATTAAACTCAATTTGGCATGTCGTTATATCTGATTACTTATTCATCTTCTTCTTTAGTCTTTTTCTGGGGGACAATTGATTACGAGCTCTTGGAGGAACCATGCCCACAGGCCTCCCATCCCTCCCAGAGCACAGTCCCAGGAGAGAGACACCTGCCTGGCCTTGCTCCTTGCACCCGCCGCCCATGAGTCTTGGCGTCACAGGGAAGTTGGGGAAGAGGAAGAAGAGAGCTCAGGAGGCTGAGGCTGCTTGGAGGGAGGCTCTGGGCCTGGAGTTGAGAACTCAGATTAGTCCCTGCCAGAAGTTAGAGTGTGAGGCAATTTAGCAAATTGTAGCTTGCAGCAGATGTTTAATTAGTCGTGAGGCTGTGCAGTGACTGGAGGCTGAGCCGGGGAGGGCAGCTCCGTCTGCTGCTACCGCCGCCAGCACCAAGGGGGACATGGGCTCTGCAGCTGGGGGGTGAGGCTGGGCCCAGGGGAGCCCAACTAGCAGGAGAGAAACCTAAAGGCTTGAGACCCTGGGACATGGGAAGTCCAGGTAGACAGGCAGGGCACGAGAAGTTTAGTGCAGAAAGGAAGCTCCAAGACCCTTTGCCTGGCAGTGGGGTAGTTCTGAGGCAGAGTTTTCCTCTGCAAACATCTGGGAGCATGATCCTCAACAGGTCCTAAATGGAGACACTCAGTCATACCTGTCACTTGCTCCCCCTGTTCTGCTCCCCATCTCAGTGAACAGAACCATGACCCACCTTCTTCTTTAGGAGCCATCCTCCATACTTCCTTATTCTCTGCCCTTCACGTCCACTTCATCCCCAAGTCCTGCCAGTTCTGCCTTCCAGGCACATCTCAAATCTCCATCTCCATTTCCCCACCCTGTCCCAGGATTTCTCAAACTTTGCACTGTGGACGTTTGGGGGCTGGGTTATTCTTTGTTGCGGGGGAGCTGTCCTGTGTGTTGTAGGATGTTCAGCAGCATCCCTGGCCTCTACCCACTAGATGCCATTAGCATCCCTCCTCACGCCCAGTTGTGACAACTACAAATGTCTCCTGACATTGCCAAAAGTTGCCTGAAGGGGAGAAGCACCCAGATGAGAATGCTTGTCCACATCAGCCCAGGCCACCTCTTTCTTGCTAAGGATCTTAGCTCCTTACTTGTCTTCTGACTTGTTTCCTGGTCTCCAACCTCACTTCTTCCAATGCATCCTCCACACTGAAGCTGGAGACATGTTCCTAAGGGAAACTGGGTCATGTGATAGTCTTCCCTAGAGCCCTTGCGTGGTCCCTGGTCACTTGCAGAAGTACCCGTATTCCCTGACATGATTTGGAGGTCCCTTCTTAGGGGACACTCATTCATAATTCTAGCCTCCTTTCCCAACCCTCAGTCTCTCCTGCTTCGCTCAAATCCCCCTGGAATCCTGCCACTTTCATGATCCTCCTTTCCCACCTCCTCTCCTCCTCCCACGGAGGCTTTGCACACGCTCTCTATATTCCAGTCCCGCTAGACTTTTCTCAGTTTTTTTTTTTTAACTACACACAAACTGCATCTTCTGCCTGAAACACCCTCACAGATACAGCCCCAAGGGTCCTAGAATAACAAATTAAGATGAGGGTTTGTCCAGCTGGCAGAATCCTAAGAGATCTTATTGGACACATTGTTTAATTTTTGTCCCAGTCCAAGTCTGACTCAGACATGGGCTTTCTGAGAGATTGCATAAGCTTCAGAATTGCAACGACTCTCAGCCACCCTCTGCCCTCCTCCACAGACATTCCCACTCCCAACCCCACTGGTTACCACACAGTCCCTTGTGTTGGGGCAGGAGGAGGTGGAAAAGCACCTCACAGGGAAAGTCTTGATGCCAGCCCCCTCTTTTTTTTTTTTTTTCCTGAGAGGTTCCTGGTCCTCTTTTGCGGGTACAGGCAACAGAACTGGGTGAGGATTTTTAGTTCTATCCCCATTCCTGTTTTACCTTTAGAGCTCCATGTGGTTTATATTGCAGACCATCAGTAATTATTTATATAACGTTGGCTTTCCCAACCAGACTTCCCTGAAGGCAGGGTGCTTATCTCATTGATCACACTATCCTTAGTATTGACCATGCTTGGTGGCATAGAAGTCTGTTCTCAATAAATCCTTGAGTTGGCTGGGGCAGAGGACCCCGTGGGAGGTAGGTTGGGCGCTTGGAGAAGACTGTGTCAGATGGCTGCTTCGGAAAGAGGCAACACAGGTACAGCATTCTGGATGTCTGTGGACTCCAGTTCTAGGGCTAGTTGTTACTTTTAATGTGACATTGCTGCATAATTTTTTTTGGCGGGGGGGCTTGAAAACATAATTCTCTTTACTACATGGCAGAAGATGATGCAAGGTTAATTTTGTTAATTTCCATATTACATATTGAAAGAATACAACACCAGAATGCTGGAATCATCCACTTTGTTCACCTTAAGTACTATGCTCACATTACCACACATTACGTAGGAGATGTAGCTGCGTGGTGTCTGATCTTGCCACGTGTGTTCCAGGTGACAACAGCTCCTGAGGTATGGGTGGCGGCCTGCCTCTTTCCACATGTACACCTGCACAGAGTTATCCTTGAATGCAGCGAGCATGTGGAGGGATGCCACCCAGTAGTTGCTGATGGCTGTCTGGTGGTCGTTAAATCATTGCAGCCAGTGACGGTGGAGAGGAACAAGAATGGCCCACTGGTAAATACAATCATATATCCTATTCTGGCTCCCATCCAGTTAGGATGCTGCAGATGAGCCGGGAACGGGAAACTTGCTATCTCATGTGCTTAGATGACTGTTTGGCTGCCCGTCCTCTTTGGTTGTTAGATCAAGGGTGATAAATTCTGTCTTTCTTCCAATGATACTTTGGGACATCCATGTTAGCCTGTTTTTTCATCTTTGGGGCCCAGCAGTCACTTTCTCTCTCTAGACCTCTGTTTTCTTATCTGCAAAGTGGGAATTTGGATGGATGAATATCTTCATTGCTTTCAGTTCTAATATTGGTGACAGCTCAGTCACAAAGCAAGCGCAAAAAAATCTCTCTCTGCAAACAGTAGTTGTTACAGTTAACGTGAACTAAGCACTTTTTGCAGACTACCTCAGTGAGCTCTCACACCATTTTACAAATCAGGAAAGAGAAACCCAGAGGGTAGTTTCCTTGCTCAAGATGACTTTGAGAGGTGTGCTTCTCAGCTGGAGGAAAAGTTTGCACCCCAGAGGACATTTGGCAATATCTGAAAGTATTTTTGGTTTCACAGCTCGCTGGGGAGTGCTCCTGGCATATAGAGTAGAGGCCAGGGATATTGATAAACCACCTCCAAAGCACAGGAGAACACCTACAGCAAAGAATTATCTGGTCCCAAATTTCAACAGTACTAAGGCTGAAAAACACGGACTTATAACTAGAAGTAGATACAAATTATCGTACTCCAGAATTTATCCTTTGCACCAGCACATTTTGGCTGGCTCAGACTCCAGCTATATTTCCCCATCCTCTGTTCAATACTTATGAGGGAAGAAAGTCTTACAAAAAATCACAGCAAATCAGAACCAGAAATCTCATATTTCTGTTAGTCTCTAACTGGGAGGGAACTGATAGTTTCATTTGGGACCCACTTTTTGCCAAAAGCCCTTTTCTTGGTTTATGGCCCTAATTCCTTTAGCCCTCTCCACAGCCACTAAGTGTCCTATTGGCATTATCTGGTCCTGATTCACCAGATGCAGATTTCCCATAAGCCCTTCCAGTACAACTCAGGAAACATTTATTAAGCGCTACATTAACCTGAAGTGCTCTGAACTGCAAACAACATACCTGGCCATCAGAGGCTTCTTAATCAAGCAGTAAGTAACTTACTCAAAAAGAATACTGGAGTCAGGTGGTTCCGGGACTAGTTCAACAGCATCAGGAATTCAAGCTTTACTTAACAGTTTTGCTTCACCATCCTCATCCACATATTTGTAGTCTTAGGGTTACAAGATGGCTGCCATTGCTCCAGGCATCACAACCTCCCACTGTGTTTCAAGGCAGGAGGTGGATGAATGCGGTTTTCTTTTCTTGAGGCTATTTTTAAATGAAGGATTGCTTTCTGAGAAGATGCCCTCACCAGTAGTCATGCTTCTGCAGCTCATTGACTAGAATCAGTCTCGTTGGTAACCCCTATGAGCAATCAAGACAGAGAAACTAAGGTAGACAAAGAAGAAGGTGAGTTGGAATGATTACTGGACAAACATCTAACAGTGTCTGCCACAAGCATCTACTGTGTGCCAGAGGCTGTGCTAGACTCTGGAAGTAGTGACCAAGGCACTCATAATCCATTGTTGACAGTCCATTTAGTATCTAACTCATGAACACCCTCTTCCTCAATTTCTCTGCATCCAAAGTCAGCAGAGAGTCCTTATTTCCCCCATTGTGTTTTAGAAAAAGACCTGGACACTGAGTCACAAACCCAGTGACAAATATAGGACCATTTTCCTTGGCATCTCAGTCTCAGCCTTATCTTGCTTCCCCTATGTCCTGACAGCGCTGTCCTTGGTTGAACCAGAGGCAGAACATCTGCATGGCAGTGAATCACACAGCTCTTCTGAAGAGGCTGGAAAAACAAAGCCACACCCAGAGAGGCCACCCCCTGTCCCCAGCGTCTGAGGGCGCATGAGATGAGGTGAGGCTGTGTGCCCCAGAGGATGCTGTGCTCTGCGGGGTAGAAAGTCATTTTGTGCTGATAGGCCTGGCGGTGACCTGGCTCTACACCTCTCCTGTGCCTTCAGAACACCAGGAACACAGCTCCCCCACTGCCATCATGATCTTTACATAAACACTGAGCTCTACAAGAAGAGGCTTAAATGGGGGAAGGAGTTGCTGGGATGAGAGTATGGGCTTCACAGAATGAAAACATGTCAAAAGGGGAGGATTAGGGTTACTTAGAAGTGAGGCCGTGGGTCACCACTGCTTGGAGATGTGTGTAGGTGAAGCAGAAGGAGCCTTCTCACAGCACACTGGCTTTAGCATGGCCTGTGTGATCCACCTGGGGATGCAGTGAGTTCCCTATCATGGAAAACACACAGACAAAACCTAGGGGAACCACTCTCAGTGTTGCCGAGAGCCAGTGCCTGTCTGGGTGAGAGCTTGGACTGCCAGAAGCTTCCTGCCAACAAGGTCTTCTGCCTCTCTTCAACCAAAATGGCCTTTTTTCTTCTAAGCTCTTAGGCTATTGCAGGGGTAGTGAACCTCCCAATACTCCTACAACAGGGGAATCAGAATGTGGAGAAATTACCTTGTGCTGCAGATAACGTCTCAGGCAGGTTAGCAAGCTCTCCCTAGTGGAGCTGAGGGTCCTGGGAATAACCGTGGTGAATACTAATGTCGATTGAGTGATTTCCTGGCATTGCGTCAAACATTTTACATAGATTATTGCATGGAATCATCTCCAACACTATATAGAGTAGGTACTGTTATCACCACCAATCCAGTGTCATGGATGAAGAAACGGAAGCATGAGGAGGTGAATAAACTTGCTTAGATTCAGTAGCTGAGGAGCAGCAGAGCCAGGATTTGAACCCACACAGCTGGATTCAGGGAATGTTCTTATCACCATGCAGCTGCACTGCCACTCATGTAACCCCAAACTGCCGATCATCCATCTATCCATCAACCTTCTTCCTCTCTCCATAGTATCTTCTTCCCGAGAGCAAGGGAGGGCCCAAGAGAATAATTTCCTCACCTTGTCCCTCCCACAAAAAATTGCCAGATATAACAAGTAAAATACAGGGTGCCCAGTAACTTTTCAATATATGAATGGACACGTACAACCAAACATTCAGATACACAGCAACCATTTGTTTAGCATAAGTATATCTTTTCCAATATCTGGGATATACTTCTGTTAATCTCTATCTGTCTAGTCATTGTTGATCTGAAACTCAGGTGTAAGTCATGGGTGTCCTGTATTTAGCTGGCATCCTGACTTCCATGGCCTGTAGAGGCCCAGTGCTCTGTCTGACTCCCAGCCCATCAACTGAACAGGCCTGATGCAGCCCAGTTCTCATTTCAGCATCGAGGACTTCCTTTCTACTCGCAGACTAAAAGAATCAGAAATAGATGTGGCTGCTTTAAAATGCACATCTGCATTCCTGGGCTGCCTCTCCTCAAAGCCGAGAGTCTCAAGTCTGATTTGAAATTAAACACCACCAGGTCTTTGCTCTAGGTAGACGTGGGCTGGTGGGCTGCCATCCTCGCCCAGAGGCACACCACGCCCCATCCTCATCCTCCTCTCCCTGTGCTGATGGCATTCAGGCTTCTTCTGCCTGCAGGTAGATGGTGAATCTCTGCCCTGAATCATGGATTTTGTGTGTCAGGTTCCTGGAGAGAGGCCTGGAAGAGTGAGAAGGAAATGGAACCGCTGAAATCAAGTTTAGACTTGTTAGAGGGAACAGTGTTTAAAAGGCGCCTCAAACATGTTAACTGCAGCTGTTCTCAGCACCGAGAGAATGGCGATGATTTTCCTAGTGAGATGCAGGAGATCATCATATGAGAAGTAGTTAAGCAATAATTTAACATTGTTGTTCCCTCCTAAGCTGATGCGAGCTGCTTCTGGCAGGAGGGTTTAGGGAATTTTGTTCTCTCTGTGGGAAATCACAAAGCCCTTGGATTTGATTTCCATTTAAATCCCTGAGTGTTTGGTTATCTGCCTTAGTTCCCTCATTCATTTGTAGGCAAGCATGTATTAAGCACCTACTGCATGCCTGCCACTGTGTCATTTCAGTCCCTAAGTGCATGCTGCAGGTGTTCATTCATGTATTCATTCATTTATCCATTTTTAAACTTATTAAACATTTTTCAAGGCAAGTGTATGTCTGGCTCTGCTCTAGGTGCTGGGGATATTTAATAATAGAAAATAATGAGGTCCATGCTCTTCCTTCAAAGAATGGATTTCTCATCGGAGGAAATGTACCTCTAAGCAAGTAATCAAAAGGCAATGGGTTAGTCCCATAATAATAACAAGGTGGGACTCCATTGACTGAACAGCTACTGTGTACCAATCGCTTTGACCACATTACTATTTTTGTTTTTATTTTTTTTTTAATTTATTTATTTTGAGACAGACTCTCGCACTGTCGCCTGGACTAGAGTGCAGTGGCATGATCCTGGCTCACTGCAACCTCCGCCTCTTGGATTCAAGTGATTGTCCTGCCTCAGCCTCCTGAGTAGCTGGGATTACGGGCATGTGCTAGCATGTCTGGCTAATTGTTTTTTTCTTTTTTTTCTTTAGTAGAGACGGGGTTTCACCATGTTGGCCAGGCTGGTCTCGAACTCCTGACCTCGTGATTCACCCGCCTTGGCCTCCCAAAGTGCTGGGATTACAGGCGTGAGCCACCACGCCAGGCCTATTATTTTTATTTTTATCTTTCATTATAGGTTCAGGGGTACATGTGCAGGTTTATTATATAAGTAAACTCACGTCTCAGGGGTTTGTTTTACAGATTATTTCATCGCCAAGGTACTAAGCCTCGGACCCAATAGTTATTTATTCTGATCCTCTAACTCCTCCTACCCTTCACCCTTAAGTAGGCTCCAGTGTGTGCTGTTCCCTTCTGTGTATCCATATGTTCTCATTATTTAGCTCCTACTTATGAGGATATGAGGTATTTGGTTTTCTGTTCCAGCATTAGTTTGCCAAGGATAATGGCCTCCAGCTCCATGCATGTTCCAACAAAGGACATGATCTCGTTCTTTCTTATGGCTGCATAGTATTCCATGGATACATGGAACATTCCATATATGTTCCACATTTTCTTTGTCTACTCTGCCATTAATGGGCATTTAGGTCGATTTCATGTCTTTGTTACTGCACATCTGTGTTCACTGCAGCACTATTCACAATAGCAAACACATTATTATTTTTAACACATTATACCCAAGCCATTCCTTGAAGCAAGGTAGCCATGTTATAGATGAAAAAACAGAGGTCCGGAGAGGTAAAATAACTTGCTCCAAACTACGCAGTTAGTAAGTACAGGGATTAAGTTCAGAATATAGATGCATCCTTCTCTAAAGCCTGAACGCTTTCCACTCTGCCACGTTGCTGCTGGCACCAATGAGAGAACACAAAGAGGAACAAGGAGAGAAGTATGCAGCAAGCTCCAACAAGCGCACCTGAGTTGGGTTCTGGAGGTTGAATTTCAGAATTTTCCTATCAGAAAAGTCAGAAGAGTTTCCCTAGAGGGGAGAACATCATCTCTTGAAAGAGTGACATTATTTGGGAAACTGAGGGAGGTGAATGAGAAGCTTTGGAAGAAGCAATATGGAACCCAATTCCTGGGCTGCCTGGATGGTCTAGTGATGGTTTGTTTTGCTGGAACAAAGGGATGGCTCCTTCTGAGACTAAAGCTTAGTGTTTTGGAGTACCAGGGACTTTGCCCATCACCTACCTTGAGGTCTAACGTGTTCACAAAGGACAGTTTACCATGAGGGTTATTATGTTTTTTTTCCACCAACCTGACTTAGAAATCTCAAACTTAGAAACTCAGCCCACATATCAGAGCAAAACTGCCGGCAAGAAATGATGCATGCTGCATTTTAAAATCTGGTTGTTGTGGCTGATTATATATGCTGTTCTAAAAAGCCCTGGAATAAAGTCTCCCATCCCACAAGGGTAAAGAATGGTCCCCAAAGTAATTGGCATTACATTATTGATAAATGTGTTTGGCCACGTGAGAGCAATAGCATCTGTCTTCATCCCTGACATCTGATAAATTCACGAAGCTCCTGCGTTCACCTTGGACATGTGTGTAAGTCTAGTGGCAAAGATTCCTTCACTAACTAGCAACTTCAAAATGTGCTGTGTCCAAGGGAAAAAGGAAGGGGGAAAAATAAGCAGTGTGTCACTTTTGAAATATTTGTCCTGAATGAAATAAAAAAAAGGATATTACTGTTCTCTTGTCTTTTCTCTGCCTTCTTAGAATCGGATTAGTCATTATTAAACATTTTGAAGTGGAATAAAAAGAGGGAGAAGATTCCAAGGGCACATTGCGACTTTGATTTTAACAGAACTATCATTGTCAGGAGCCAACACAAAGGCGGTTTCCCTTACACGTTGAGATCCTAGTAATTAGGGCCTTGTAATGACCCATTCCAAAAAGAAACAGCTCTGTTCCTTATTTGCCGTTAAGAACACCAAGAGTTTATTTGCAGAGAATTGGGTTTAATTCAATTAGCAGGAATTGTGAGGCATTCATAACACAAGGTATATTAGCCCAGCACTTGGTTTGTAATGAGAACCAAAAAGCATTTAGGGAAAGGAAAGCTAATTACCCGAGATTCTTTTTTTTTTTTTTTTTTCTGTAACACGGAGGGTTTAGTCCAAATTTCAGAGGCCTGTATTCCCAAATCCCTTAAGCTTTAATTAATGATGAAGCAGGGTAACAGGAGATGTAGGACAGCAAAATTTTGCCATGGAGTCATTGCCAAGGGGGTATTACTCATAACTCCACCCTCAGCCAGCACTTCAAAGTTTACAAAGCATTTCCACCACCGTTATCTGTTCTGAATATTCATTTCCTCCTTCTTCTGGACCAATTACCCAGCACTGGGAATATTCCTCTCCAGCCTGTCTTGAGTTTCAGATCTCAGCTTGCTTCTCCAAGGAGGTCCACATCCAGCCCAGGGAATATTGGTCTCCAGCCTTTCTTGAGTTTCAGATCTCAGTTTATTTCTACAAGAAAGTCCTCATCCAACCCAGCTGTTTGCTTCTGGAGATGTGAGCAGGAAATTGACGAGTGTGAATCCCCACTCTTACCTGCACCTTGGTCCAGGTTGATGACCCGGGGCAGGTGGCCGAGCTTCTTCAAATTTCACTGTGCTTTTCTTTGTTATTCCCCATAACTGTGCTGTCCCATTTGGAAGCCACTGCCAAATGTGGTTACTTAAATGTAAATTAATTAAGATGAAACTTAAAATCCAGTTCTCAATAACACTGGATACATTTATAGGGTTCAGTGGCCACACGTGGCTAGTGGTGACTCTTATTGGATGGCACAGATAGAGCCCACTTTCAGCATCGCAGAGAGGTCCCTCAGACAGCAGTGGTCTATAAAATGGGGGACCTCATCTATCTTTTGAGGGTAATGAGTTAAGAATTTTGTGAGAAAATGGCCTGGCGTGGTGGCTCACGCCTGTAATACCTGCACTTTGGGAGGCTGAGGTGGGCAGATTACTTGAGGTCAGGAATTCAAGACCAGCTTGGCCAAGATGGTGAAACCCTATCTCTACTAAAAATACAAAAATTACCCAGGCATGGAGGTGGGTGCCTGTAATCCCAGTAATCCTAACTACTTGGGAGGCTGAGGTAGGAGAATCACTTGAACCTTGGAGGCGGAGGTTGCAGTGAGCCAAGATCGTGCCACTGCACTCCAGCCTGGGCGACAGAGTGAGGCACTGTCTTAAAAAAAAAAAAAAAAGAATTTAGTGAATTTAGTAAGAAAATGCACAGGAAGCTGGTGACTCATGGTGGAGGCCCAGTAGTAGCATCTTTGATGAAAGAAGAGAGTGGAGAAAAGGAGGAGGAGAAGAGGGCACCCCCCTCTTAAAGTCCATTCTTAACACAGTGGGAAAGAATAATGGGGAAAGGTGTAGGGAAAGGAAGGTAACTTCTATTACAGCATGTTTTATGGGCTTTATTATCTCTGTGTCTCTGTGTGATTATTCGACAAGTGTTCACTGAGTGTGCCAACCATCTCATCTATTCCTCACAACCCCCCAAGGAGGAAGATTTTCTTCCCCCAACTGGGTAGATGGAGGAATGGAGGCTCAGGTGGGTGACCAGGTGTACCTGTGGGTGCACAGCCAGTGAGCTGTGGAGCTGAGACCCAACCCTGTCCCAAGGAACAGCAAGACCCTGCTTCTCTCCACCACACTCAGCTGTCTTCATCAACACAGACTTCCAGCTGGTTCTTATTATTTTAAGGGCTGAGCGCCATTGCTCAGGTAGCCAAGAATGCTCCACTTCACAGTCTTTGCATGATGGGTGGATGTGAAGGACCACATAGGTCACTGAAAAGGCTCCAGGAAGCCCCTCAAATGCTTGCTTCACTGGGGACTTGGGATTACCTTCAGAGCAGCTGCGGAGAAGGACACATTTTGCAAACAGCCCAGCCATGCACATAAACCGCATTATTAGCCTATAAATCAATTAGTGCATTTGGGTCCAGGCTGCACAGTGCTGCTCTGACAGATGGCCATCAGTCTGTCTCCATCTCCTTAGCTAGATCCCAAGAGGAGGGGAGAGAAGAAAGAGCTTCCAGGAAGGTGTTGAACCCACTAGCTCTCTTGTAGCAGGGAATAGGGAATTCCGAAGTGGCTGTGCAAGGGCCAGGCTGTTCTCTGGAAGTCATTTGAAGAATGAAATTGAATTTGGTGACTCCAGGAACTTGGTTGGAGTGAGAAATACATGACTCTCAGGTAGGAAACACATGAGCATTTTGGAGAAGACGCTGCAGTTGGTAGAAGTAGGGGGAAGGACACATAGTTGGGAACATGCAGGACTTGGATTCCATTTCCAGCTTTGCATGACCTTGGGCAAGCCATAAGAACTTCTTAGCCTCAGTTTCCTTATCTGAAAAAAAAAATGGGGGTGGGGGGGGAATCTTAAAATAGATCCTGATTGCATCAAAGGATTAAAATGTGTGCACAGATGTTACAGGAGAGAGATCTTTTTCCAGATAGATTATAGGAACTTCAGTGCCATTTGCAAAGAAAAACGAGGTGGACATTAGTTTTCAGGGTCTTACCAAAGGCTGAGTTTTTATTAGAGGTATGTCACGGTGTTGCATTAGAACTGGAGAGCAACATGGTTATGAATTGAACAACGTTTATTCCTTCATTAGTTTGTTCTTTCTGGAGACTTTTAGTGAAGCTATATGGCCCTCCGGAGGCTGACTGGCTTAGCTTCTGATTCCAGCACCAAGCCTTCCAGTTGTGTGGTCTGGACTGGTGTTCCACAGCCTCACTCTCTCGGTCCGTGCAACAAACATTATAGCCACCTCTTAGGGTCGTCATGGAAGTCAATGAAATGAAGACTGTAGGGTGTTTCGCCCCATGCTCTGTTCAGAATCAACACCCAGACTATGTTAGTCATTAGCATTGCCAACAGATTGTCTGTAATTGTCCAGGACTCTAGGGATACAGGAATAAATAAGGCATTGTCTGGTCTTTGAGGAGCTCTAGTGCCATGGCTCTGACATCATCTGGTGTAGTGTAAACACCCCCAGTAGTGATAATTTAAGCATACCCTGAGAATTATCCTGCATGGCAGATGCACCTGAATGTGTGTCCGGAGCTCTGGCCAACCCAGAGATTTGTTCCTTGTCTGTGAGGAACATCTGTGCTAAGTGAAAATGGCATACAAACTGCATGCAGTTTGCAAGCAGGTTGCAGTTTGTTTTGTCCAGCCTGACACCACTAGACTATATATAAGGTGGATATCTTATCCAGCCCACCACCACTGGACCATTTCTGTACATAAGGTGGTTCTCCTGTGCAGCCCACCACCAGTGGACTCTATCCCCTATATGGAAACCCCTAACAAAAACCGATGTCTTGTTTTCTGGCTCTGGATCTCTGGTCTCTTGAACCGGGTGCCTTCCCCACTGAGGTTAACAGGGGTTCAGCACAACATCTGGAATCAGAAAACCATCTGAAAAATAAACACACAAATATGATTCCAGGTCAGGAACTGCTAAAACTCCATGGACTCCAGGTTAAGAGACTGGCCTAGTTTGGAACTATGGGTAAAACAAAGTTTATACCCAGCACAATCATCCTAATTGTAACGGATGAGTAGTGATTGCTCTCAGAATAGGTAATGAGGGCAAGGAAGTCTTCCTACAGCAGGTGATGTCAGTTAAAAACAAGAGCATAAACAGCTTATTAAATAAGCAGGGTGTCATGCCTGTAAACCCAGCACTTTGGGAGACTGAGGTGGGTGGATCACCTGAGGTCAGAAGTTCGAGACCAGCCTGGCCAACATGGTGAAACCCCGTCTCTAATAAAAAAATACAAAAATTAGCTGGGCATGGTGGCGGACACCTGTAATACTAGCTCCTTGGGAGGCTGAGGCAGGAGAATCACTTGAATCTGGGAGGCAGAGGTTGCAGTGAGCCGAGATCATGCCACTGCACTTCAGCCTGGGTGACAGGGAGAGACTCCATCTCAAAAAACAAAAAAACAAAAAAACAACAACAAAAAAAAACAGAAAAGTAAGTGGGGTGAGGGCAGGACAGGAGCTCCAGATAGAAGGACCAGAATATGCAAGAATGGGAGAGTAGAAAACCCAGGTAAGAACACTAGAGTCCTTGGTCTTCTAAGAAGTGGAGGCAGAGTCCATTGGAGCGTCGTTGGGGTCAGAGATAAGGTTGCATTGAACTCATATTTCTTCTTTTTTCATGGCCTTCAAGCAAATGCATTAACTCATATTTCTAATTTTATTTTCCTGCATGGAAGGGTTCTTGACTTTAAGGACGATGGAGTGCCCTGATTTTAGCAGTCATGTGGATTTGGGAAATGGCAGTAACAAGTGTCACCAGGTATTGGGTCCAAACAGGAGACTTGAGGTTACTGAAATCACCATGAGGCCCTGCTTCCTCAAGGTGTAGGAAAGGGAGGGGGATGTGTCTGGGGCACTGATGCATTTGCTACAATCCTCTGCTACAGAAACTCATTCCCAGGCATCCAGTTTCTCCCAGGGGTCATATCCTAGCTGGATACCCAGTATCCACTCTAGGGTCCTTCTCTGATTCCATGGCCCCTCTGATTTCCATCCCACATGGTTCTCAAGTCTTGGTTTTTCTGACTGTAAGCCGCAGTCACCAGTGCTCAGAGTCAGGAAATCTGGAAGTGCCGACTGCTCACGGAGGCTGCTCTCCTGTTGCGTGGCCCCCTCACTCCGAGGCATCGGCAAGTATTTGTTCTGATAATTATTTATTAGCATCTCGCCGATGCACAGCTTCCCTGCAGCTCCTGTATGATCTTGAGTGTGCAGCGTCTCTCTTCCCACGTCTTTGGAATTTTGAGTTGTGCTGTCATTTGTTCCCAAGAAGTATTCTTTTCCCAAGAGGCATTCTGTTCCCCTCCAAAAGCATGTTTTCAGCTACTCCCAGTGTAGCCCAGCAGCTCCCTGCTCCTAACTCAAAGGGAATGTTATATTTCGGATTTGTTTTCCTTTGCGGATCATCTGCTCACAGATGTTTGTCCTTTGGCTTGTTTCTCCTTCTAATTAATTTTTGATTAAGTTTTGAAACACCTTCTGTCTCCACCAGTTTCAGCCACCCCAGGTGATTCTGTTTACTCTGAACCCAGGCTGGGAGTCTGGGTTCTCGGAGACTCAGCAATTCAGTGGCTAAGAGGGAAAGGAACTTCCAATTAACTGGTTAATTGATGTTATCCGTTTTATCCAGAGGGATAAGCGGAGGGGATGCTGCTTGGCCGAAGCATGAGGGAGGGAGAAAAGTGAGTGAGTCTGAAATCTCCTGGAGTAATGAGTGGAGTGAGAGAAAGGGAAAAGGTAAGATAAGTGACCTTCCAGAAAGAAAATGGAGCTGATATTGTGGCACTTAGTAAGAACATATGTGTGCAGACACATGTCCTTCGAACCAGTAACTCCATTCTTTGGAATTATTTAGAGGAAGAAGAAATAAAATATTAAGCACTAGTATCCTGTGTGTCATGAACTGTGCTAGGTTCTCTAACAAAGTAGCACTAGTAGTCACCATCATTGCAGTAGTAGTGGCAGTAACAGCAGCAGAATTAATGATAACAGTAACGATGCATTATGACAGCAGACACCTCTGCATGTTTACTCCCAGAACTATTTTCGGTGTCTTATGTGCATGATCACATTTACTCCCTAAAGACTGCATGTGATCCTCAGTGAACAGATGAGGAAACTGAGGCTCAGAGAACTGGAGCATTGCCTCGGTTTGCACAGAGAGTCAGTGACAGAGGTGAAAGAACCCACAAGGGCGACTCCAGAGCCTGATGTCTCATTTCCTTCACTTGCCATCTCGAAAGGGCCCCGGGCCAGGTGTGAGCAGTTCACATTTGACCTTGCAGGCAGGGAGACAGGCAGCTCAGCGTGGGAGAAGTGATGAAGGATGGCTTTTTAAAGGCTGGGACAGCAGGTGCGCAGCCTGGCTGGAGATGGCATCGGGCATATCCTGCTGCGTTCCCGGAGGCTCATGCATCCTCTGAGCTAAGCCGAGCTGTGGCCACCTGGAAACTTGCCTTGTTGATTCCAGCCTCCCTGTGGGAGTGCACCCCCCAAACGCACTTCCCCAATTCCCAGGCCTGCTTTATTTCTCCCTTTGGTACACTGTGCTGTGGACTTACCCTCACAATCAGCCCAAAATTCTGGGTTGTGAAGCCAGACCCTATGACGGTAGTAACTCTCCCGCTAGTTATTATCATGGTTGTACCTTGTATTCCACACAGAGCAGGAAGGATATCAGTGTGCATTCAGCTTGGTGTTACTGATCACGTCCTATCTGGAGACAAGATGCTCTGCCCAGTGTGCAGTGGGTGCTTTTCGTTTATCCTGCAAAGGCCACACTGGAGGTTCATTTCACCGTCATCTTGCATTTTGTCTGAAGACCTTTTCCCTAGACCGCCTCTCTCTGCATCCCTCCTCCTTAATTTTCCTCTGTGTGTTTTCCAAGGCATTCTCTGCACTGCCAGGGACGGCCTAAGATTTACCAGCCCTGCCGAAGAAGATGAAATGCTCAGGGGTCACTGGGCAGGACGAGGTAATAAGAAAAGCAAACGGTCAACAGCAGGCCCAGCCCAGCTGAAGCAATTACCAAGTTTCTTCTCAATTTTGAGATTGCAATGGGGAGAGCAGAGATGGCTATGGCGAAACATAAATTATGTCATCTCTGTGCTATCAAAGGTTCTGAGCATTCCTTCCTGCTGTCCTTTTCATTTTGGCTCCGTAAATACTGTGTCCTTTTAAAAAGAGTCATTGTTCATGTCCGTTCAAAGGTGACAGGAAAACCGCAAGTTTAGCGTTCTGTGGGTGAGTGTCTTAAAGGAACTGTCTGTTGCTGAGTCAGTGGGTGAGTAAAGGAAGGACGATGTCTTGGCCAGGTGTAGAGAGTTTCTGAACCCTACAACATTGGCTGGAGAGCAGAGGCTCCATCATTAGAGGCACCCGAATTAAAAGCTCCAGCCCACCACTTACGAGCCATATGAGTTAGGGCTGTTTCCCTTCTCTGTTTTTAAAATCGGGGACAATGAGAGGATCTACATCATGGGGTGTGATAAGGATCAATTGGCATTATATGTTAAAAGTACTGAGAACAGCCTGCAGAGTGATCAGAATGATCCTTAGTAAAAGTTAACCGGGTTTTTCCCCCTCTTATTATTCATAATATTGCAGGGAAAGCTTCCTTATCTTCCAAGATCGTGCCTTCAAGTTCATGCCTCCTAGCCTTTGCCCATGCTGTCTCCTCTGCCTCAAATGCCCTCCCTCCCTGCCTTAGGTCGAGTTCTCCAGAGCTGAGATGTGGCTTTTGAAGCAGTGAGGATTGCAGGCGTGCTCACAGGAAGGGCCTGTCTAGAGGTGAGGGAAGGAACATGAGGCAGCAAAGATGTGGTTTAGTTGAAGTTGAGCCCCAGCCGGATGCTATGGGAGGCTCTGAATGTGGATAGCTCCAGGGAGCTTGCACACCCTGAAGCATGCAAAGTGCACTTTTATACCATCGTCTCAGCCAGCCATGGACTGCAGGCTGGCTCCGGATGGAGGTCAATGCATAACTGTTGTGGCACCTTTGGGCAAGGCACGATTCTGCAGAAAAGATGGCAGCTGAGAGTCCTGATCAACCAATGCTTGATGCAGCTTGGCTAGGGGTGGAGGGGGGTGATTAATATACTGGATTTGTAAAAGGGGTTATGCAGTTGGGTATGGTGGCTCATACCCATAATCCCAGCACTTTGGGAGGCTGAGGCGGGAGGATCACTTGAGCCCAGGAGTTTGAGGCTGCAGTGAGTTATGATTGTACCACTGCTCTCCAGCCTGGGTGACAGAGCAAAACTCCATCTCTAAGGGGAAAAAAAAGGATTTGGGATATGGGTGGAGGATCACCTTTCCCCTGCCAGCAGACTCTTACCCATCCTGCAAGACATTGCACTACTGCCCCTCCTCTAGGGCCCCTTTGCCTGTGCGTTACGCTCTGAGTTACTTCGTTCTCTCTGAGTGCAGAAGACTTTTCACTGCAGGTCCCTTGGTTACAACGCTCATTATACTGTAATAGAATTATATGTTTACAGATCAGACTAGCCCTAGGAAAAGAGACTATGGATATTGGAGTCATCTCTTGTGTAGAGAAAGGAGGCAGCCAGTAAGGGGGTGCAAGCTGAATAGGGGCAGAGCAAGGAGGGAGTGGGCTTCTTGGGGTGAAGTTTGGAGCCTCAGCCTTGCATTTCAATGCCAGGTAGCATTTGATATCCTGGAGTTGAACAGCTCCCGGGTCTTCCAGCCAGACAACCCTCACCTCCTGAGAACGGCCAGGGGAAATTATGGAAAGTCAGAAGAGATTGCACAGTTAAATCTCCCCAAAGAGAGGAGAAAACAAAGCAAAGCTTTGTGAGCGTGTTGGAGTCCTGCCCTGGGCACGGCCTGACCTGCCCCCATGTTCCCTGGGCTTGAGGAGCCAGGTCTGGTCTCAGCCTGAGTCGGACACAGGCCCCAGCCAGGTAATCTAATCGCTGGACCATCCAGCTGCACCTGAGGACACAGACCCTGACTTGGAGATCTCTCTTGACGGTTACATGCCTTTCTTTTTGTCTGTGGCAACAAGCATCCTTTCCTTGGATGAATGATGGTTTGAATGAGCCCTCAGAAAAGACAGCCCAGCTTGGCCTGGTCTAGCTTAACAGAGTTCAGGATGTGAAGTCCTGTAGACGAGGGAGGTGTGGGGGATAGAGAGGCAGGGTGGTACCCTAGCTAAGCCTGCTGCATTTCAAATTGTGGCTTTTCTTTTCTTTGAGACAGGGTCTCCCTCTGTCACCCAGGCTGGAGTATAGCGGTTCAATCATAACTCACTGCAGCCTTGAACTCCTGGCCTCAAGCAATTGTCCCCCTCCACCCGGCCTCCCAAAGTGCTGAAATTGCAGGCATGTGCCACTGCACCCAGCCAAATTCTGGCTTAAAATGGTATGATTATTTTGTGTTTTAATTACAAACTAATCCCTTATTGACTATATTTGATCATATAATATCAGCTAAGTTTCTATTTTTAATTTTTGCCAGCTTTATTGAGGCAGACTTGACAAAGAAGAACTGTATTCTTTAAGGTTAACAGTATGTTTTGATATGCACATGTATTGGGAAACGCTTACCACAATCAAGCTAATGATCATATCTGTCACCTCACATAGTTATGATTTGAGTGTGCCTGGTGAGAACACGTAAGATCAACTTCTTCAGAAATATCAAGTATATAGTACAGTATTGTTCATTGTCATCACAAGACTGTGCATTAATGAGATCCCCAGAACTTATCCTGCGTAACTGAAACTTTGTGTGTTTTGACCAACATCTCCCTATTTCTTCTCACCTCCGGTGCCTGGCAACCATCATTCTAGTCTCCGCTTTTGTGAGTTAAACTCTTTTAGATCTCATGTATTAGTGAAATCATGTAGTATTTGTCTTTGTGTCTCTGGCTTATTTCACTTAGCATAATGTCCTCCAGCTTCCTCCATGTTGTTGCAAATGGTAGGATTTCCTTTAAGGCTGAATAATGGTGTTTATATGTTTATACCTATCTTACCCCCCCCACACACAAGCACACATTCACACACACACACACACACACACACATGCACACCACATTTTCTTCGTTCATCTGTTAGTGGAGACCTAGGTTGTTTCCATACTTTGCTGTAGTGAGTAATGCTGCAGCGAACATGGGGGTGCACATATCTTTGAGATACTAATTTTATTTCCTTTGGATAGGTACTCAGAAGGATTGCTGGATCATATGATAGTTCTAGTTTTTTTTTGGAACCTCCATACTGCTTTCCATAATGGCTCTATCAATTTACATTCCCACCCACAATGTAGAAAGGTACCCTTTTCTCCGTATCCTCACCAACACTTGCTATCTTTTGACTTTTTGGTAACCCAGCCTAACAAGTGTGAGGTGATACCTCATTGTGGTTTTGATTTGCATTGCCCCAATAATTAGTCATATTGAGCACCTTTTCATAAGCCTGTTGCCCATTTGTACATCTTCTTTGGAAAAATGTCTGTTCAAATCCTTTGTTCGTTTTGTAATTGTATGTGTGTTTTTTTCTGCTGTTGAGTTGTTTGAGTGCCTCATATATTTTGAATATTATCCCCTTATTAGATATATAGTTTAGAAGTATTTTCTCCCACTCCGTAGGTTGCTATTTTGTTCTGTTTGTTTCCTTTGCTGTGCAGAAGATTTTTAGTTTGATGAAAGCCTACTTGTTCATTTTTGCTTTTGTTATCTGTGTTTTTGGTGTTATATTAAAAAATTCACTACGCAGACCAATGTCAAGAAGGTTTTCCACTTTGTTTTCTTTTGGTAACCTTACGGTTCAAGTCTTATGTTTGAGTCTTTAATCCATTTTGAGTAGGTTATTGTATATAGTGTGAAATAAGGATTCAATTATATTCTTTTGCCTGTGGATATCCAGTTTTCCCCATACCATTTATTGAAGAGACTGTTCTTTCCACATTGTGTGTTCTTGGCATTCTTGCTGAAGATCAGTTGACTATAGATGGCTGAATTTATTTCTAGGCTCTCTATTCTGTTCCATTGGTCTTTATGTCTGTTTTTTGCTGCTACTATACTGTTTTGGTTACTGTTCCTTTGTACTGTATTTCGAAATCAGAACATATGTGATGCCTTCAACTTTGTTCTTCTTGCTCAAAATTATTATAGCTATTAGGGGATTTTTGTAGCTCTTTATGAATTTTAGGGTTGTTTTTTCTATTTCTTTGGAATTTCCTTGGAATTTTGATAGGGATCATACTGACTGTAGATCACTTTGGGTTGTATGGATATTTTAACAATATTTATTAATCCTATCCGTGAATATCGGATGTCTTTGCATTTATCTGTCTTAAGTTTCCTTCATCAATATTTTATTAATGTTTGTTAATGTTTAATGTACACGTCTTTCAACTCTTTGGTTAAGTTTATTCCTATGTATGTTATTCTTTTTTTTTTTTTTTTTTTTGCTATCGTCAATAAGATTACTTTCCTAATTTTCTTTCCAGTAGTTCATTCTTTGTGTATAGAAATGTAACTGATTTTTGTATGTGGATTTTGTATCCTGCAAATTTACTGAATTTGTATATTATTTCTAAATTTTTTTCCAGGAGTCTTTATGGTTCTCTCTCTCTCTCTCTCTCTCTCTCTCTCTCTCTCTATATATATATATATATATACATATATATGTATATATATATGTATATATATGTGTATATATATGTATATATATGTATATATATATACACATATATATACACACACACACACACACACACACACATATATATAGGGAAAACTGTTATATTATATATATATATATATAATGTTATGATTTGTGTGTGCTTGGTGAGAACACATAAGATCAACTTCTTCAGAAATATCAAGTATATAGCACAGTATTGTTCATTGTCATCACAAGACTATGCATTAATGAGATCCTCAGAGCTTATCCTACGTAACTGAAATTTTGTGCATTTTGACCAACATCTCTCATTCATATATGTGTATGTGTGTGTGTGTGTGTGTGTGTGTATGTGTGTGTGTGTATATATATATATATATATATATATATATAATCTTAGCCAGATCTTCTGGATAACTTGCTGGAGCTTTAGGACTTGCTGCTTCACCTTGCATTTTTATGTTATAGAGATGGTTTCTTTTCTTAAACCTCATGAGCCAGGCTCTGCTAGCTTCAAGCTTTTCTTCTGCAGCTTCCTACCATTCTCAGCCTTCATAGAATTGAAGAGAGTTAGGGTCTTGCTCTGGGTTGGGCTTTGGCTTAAGGGAATGTTGTGGCTTATTTGATCTTCTATCCAGACCACTGAAACTTTGTCCATATCATCAGCAAGGCTGTTTCACTTTCTTATCATTCCTGTGTTCACTGGAGTAGCAATTTAAATTTCTTTCAGTAACTTTTCTTTTGCATACACAACGTGGATAACTGTTTGGGGGAAGAGGCCTAGCTTTTGGCCTATCTTTGCTTTTGACATGCTTTTCTCACAAAGTTTAATCATTAGTTTTTGATTCAAGGTGAGAAACATGTGACTCTTTCTTTCACTTGAACACTTAAAGGTCATGGTAGGATTATTCACTGACCTGATTTCAGTATTATTGTGTCTCAGAGAATAGGGAGACCTGAGGAGAGAGGGAAAGATGGGGAACAGCTGGTTTGCGAAATAGTCAGAACACACACTACATTTATCAGGTAAACCTCCCATCCTATGGGAGAAGTTCACAGCACTCCAAAACAATTACAATAGCAGTATCAAAGATCACTGATCACAGATAACTGTAACAGATGTAATAATCATGAAAAAATTTTAAATATTGCAGGTATTACCAAAATGTGCCACAGAGACATGAGGTATACACACACTGTTGGGAAAATGGCACTGATAGACTTGCTTGACACAGGGTTGCCGTAAAGCTTTAATTGATTAAAGAGCAAGCAGTGTCTGTGAAGTATAATAAAATGAAGTGCAATAAAATGACCTGGGCCTGTAATAACCTCCCACCTCTGGCTGTGACAGCCAAATATGCCTCCAGACATTGCCAAATCTCCCCAGTACACTGAGTGAATCCCCTGTTGTTAGACAGCTAGGTTGTTACCTATTTTTTCCATTATAGAAAATGTTCCCAGCATTTTGGGAGGCCAAGACGGGCAGAACACTTGAGCCCAGGAGTTCAAGACCAGCCTGGGCAATATAGAGAAACCCTGTCTCTACCAAGGAAAAAAAAAACAAAGAAAAGAACTGCACAAAACTTAGCCAGGCATGGTGGTGAGTGCCTGTAGTCCCAGTTAACTGGGGAGGCTGAGGTGGGAGGATCCCTTGAGCCTGGGAGGCAGCGGTTGCAGTCAGCTGTGTTTGCACTGCCGTACTCCAGCCTGGGTGACAAAGTGAGACCCTGTCTCAAAAAATAAAAAAAGAAATGTTATAAAATATCATTTTGTGCTATAAGCTTTTTGTGGTATTTCCAATATGTAGAAGAGACTTCCACAAGCAGAGGTATGAGGTCAGTGGAAAGGAGGGTTTTTAAGGATCTTTGTCTGTATTTCCACATTGCCAAGCTAAATTTGGCAAGCTAAAGGCTCCCTCTTAGGAGCTTTTCCTAACCTTGCACCTAGCCGCAGAAAGTAACCAGGGGCTCTTTAGAAGGAAACTTAGATGGTGACACCTTACCCCAAAGACAGCAGGTTACAATGGGAAAGGCCCAGAGAGCCTCAGCACCCACTTCTCACACCAACCCAGGCTCCTCCCTTCTTCATAATTAAGCTTCAGATAATGTTTGCAATCTCCCCGTGTTTTCTACCATGTGTCAGGGTGACTGATGGGCTTGTCACAGCTCAGACTCCCTGTAAACCGGCACTGTGACTGCTTTAACCTTCCTTAATAGACCAACTTCAAGGGCAAACCAAGGACAGAGATTTGCCAGGCCCTCCCTGATCAGTCCCTCCCTCCCCTGTGACTTTTTCTTTCCTCTCTTCTGCCTCTTGCTCCTCTCAAAATCGTCTGCAAGATAGACCTAAGGCAGTTGCCGAGCACCATAAGTAAAACTATTCTTAGGTTACAAGCTGCCAGAATTTTCAAGCAAGTGCATGTAAATATTTCATTCCTGACAGTGAGAGTTATTAAGAGAAACCTTGTGCGTTTTCTAGAAGAATTTTAAGAGACATTTATTCATTGGACATGTCTGGAGCCTGCAGAATTTGGTAGGAGATGGGAAGGGAGGTAGGGAGATGAATATCATCCATGAATGGGCTCTTTCCTTTTTTACACTTATGGTTAAAATTTAAGATGAGTCCTGGCGGCTCAGTGGCTGGAACCAAGTCCCAGGCCAGAATAGAAGAGAAAGAGATAGGGAGAGGGGAAGCTGCCTACTTCAGAAATACCCCTTTGGGGCCGGGTCTGGTGGCTCACGCCTGTAATCCCAGCCCTTTGGGAAGTTGAGGTGGGCAGATCACATGAGATCAGGAGTTCAAGCCTGCATGGTGAAACCCCATCTCTACTAAAAATACAGAAATTAGCCAGGCATGATTGTGGGTGCCTGTGGTCCCAGCTACTTGGGAGACTGAGGCATAAGAATTGCTTGAACCTGGGAGGTGGAGGTTACAGTGAGCCGAGATCACGCCACGGCACTCCAGCCTGGGCGACACAGCGAGACTCTGTCTCACAAACAAAAACAAAAACAAAAACAACCCTGTAGGTGGGCTGTTTGCAAGTGGCTCTGTTGAATGTGGTAGGGCTCATAATATCAGATGTTAGGACTTCTGCTACTGTTACAGTGATTACCTTGAACTCACAAAACCACAGCTATCCATTCTCAATCTCCAACTCTAAGCCAGACGTTCCCATTGAATATACATAAAACAGCAAGAAAGATTTTTGTGTCCCTTTTTAAATAAGGAAACTGAGCCTCAGACAGGTAAGGTAACTTTCCCATGGTAGAGTAAGGACGTATAAAGATCAGGCATTTTTGTCCTTACACATTCTACCAGCTGGAGATCAAGTTGAAGGTTCTGAAAATCACTTGCCAGCAAAGGAAGAAAGTTTACAGTGGAAAATCACAAAGAACAGCATAGGTGCCCAGGGTTTTGTGACAGGGAGGATAAAACTCTGCCTACCATTGGCCAGCAACCATGCCAGGCACCTTGAACATATTGTTTTGCTTCTTACAGCAGTCTTATAAAATGCTATTTCCATTTTACAGGTATAAAATTATGGAATCAGAGAGGCTAAGTCACTTGTCATCATCTATGGTCATGTAACAGAATATCCCTAAAACTTAGTAACCGTTTATTATACCTCAAGATACTGTGGGTCAGGAATCTAGGCAGCGCCTGCTGGGCATGAGTTGACTCAGGTTTCTTGGTGAAATTCAGTTGACTGGCACATTGGTCAGGAAGACTGGAAGCCTGGGCTCCCGTGGGACTGATCCCAAAGCACCTAGATGTAGCCTCTGCAACAAGGCTATCTTAGGATAGTCAAAATTCTGACATTTCAGCTGTGGGTGCCCAGAGAGCAGCCCAGTAGACAGTAGTGGACACTGTCAGCATTTCTTTTTTTTTGTGATGGAGTCTCACTCTGTCGCCCAGGCTGGAGTGCAATGGCATGATCTCAACTCACTGCAACCTCCGCCTCCTGGATTCAAGTGACTCTCCTGCCTCAGCCTCCTGAGTAGCTGGGATTACAGACGCATGCCACCATGCCAAGCTAATTTTTGTATTTTTAGCAGAGAAGGGGTCTCACCATGTTGGTCAGGCTGGTCAGGAGACCTCGTGATCCACCCGCCTCCACCTCCCAAAGTGCTGGGATTACAGACGTGAGCCACCGCGCCTGGCCTACTTCACCACTTTTTGACAATAGGACTATAAGGTTTTCTGTTTGTGCCTGTGAAAACAGTCTAGAGATTCAAATTGGTTCAAGAAAAGAGTTGACTCAGTTTGTTTAAGAACTCACAACCTGTTGCTTGCTCCCATTTGTCAAGGTGGCTGTGTAGAGGAGAAGGGGAATGCAGTGTTTCCTGTTATCCCCAAATGGATCATTAGGACGCAAAGTTGCCTGCAGAGATAAGCTATGCATGATAAGTTCCAAAATAGTGAGGTCCAGATACCTCCCCAGGGCTAAAAGAGGACAAGGCAATTGTGCTATTTCTAGTGTCCACTAGTCTATATAAGCAGAAGATCAGAGAGGATTCAAGAAGAGAGAGAAGAATGAGTCATGGGTCAACGTCCTTCTCCACAACATCATGAAAAAAGCCAAGCTCCAGGGCTCCTCTTGTAGATACTGGGAGGCCAGCAAAAAGAGGCCCTGATCTACTCACGCAGCATCTTTGATGGTCGTTCTTCTGGGCTTATTTGTGCAGGTGGAGATAAAAAGGAATGGAGGAGAGAGAAAGCTTCATTCTCTGCTTTGCTCTCGCTTTTTGTGGCTAGGTGAGGACCTGAGTTTCCTGAAGGCTAAAGGGATACCAAAGAGAAACTGGGTTTGAGCTTTGTGGCTGGTGTACCAGAGAGAACCAGCTGCAAGGTGAACAATCTCAGTGTCAAGAGATGGAGTCACACTGCCAGCATTCTATCACCAGGAGAGTTTGGGAGAGGTTGAGCAGAAGTGGATTTCCTATCATGGAACCATGTAGGAGGATCTTGTACAAAGTAGTGCTTCAGTGGGGATGTGTGGGCAGCCAGCTGGGTCTGTTCACCAGAACCATCTTCTCCCCTTTGATACACGGTTGGCTACATGCTTACACCCCCGTGCCACACAGGTGACTATGTGACTGAGCTCTAGACAATTGAATGTGAGCTGGAATGATGCATGCTGCTTCTGGGTGTGGTCTCTAAAAACCACTACTCATTCTCCTCCTGTCAGATTGGGACAAAGATGATGATGGTGGCTTTGGAAGTCACATCTTAAGCGTAGCAGAGCCTCTTTCACTCTGATTTTCTGAATATTCACGTGGAAGAGATCTGTTATTCAATTTGCTCTCCCACCTGGGACTCCTACATGAGAAAGGAATGAATGTCCATTGTGTTGGGCTGTTATGCATTTGGTTCTATTTGCAACTGTAGCTTAGATATCCTTGACGAACATAAGCAGCCTTCACCCATAGGACTCCCCCTAATCCACCCATGCCCCATGACGGTGCCAGCATTTGGACATCTTTCATACACAGGGCATTTGTTGCTATTGGAATTCACCTGATCACCAGAGGCATTAGCAGATGATTTCATTTGTTGCAAAGTGCAAAGGATGTTGTTGCCCTTTCTCTTGAACCCATCTTCTTAGACGCAATGGCAGAACAGATGAAACCAGAAAACCAAAGGGGAAAGAGGTCAGGAAAGAAAAGACCATGCATTCTCCCCAGTTAGTCCTTCTGGTTGCTGCCTGTGGGGGGAATGGAGGAGATGCGTCTTATACTGTACGTGAGATTAAAGTTTTACACAGAGTTGGACTTGAGAGGACAGGAATTCTCAGGCCTGAGAGTGACGGCCATTCTCTGTGTCTGGCCGAGGTGTCCTTACAGCTCAAAAACCTCCACATGTGTGTCATTCATTTCATACGCTGGTGTCAGACCATTCCATAAGTCAGTTCTATCTAAGCCAGAGACAGTCTGGCAAAGACGACCTGCTAGACTCCTTCAGGGTTTGGGGATCTAAGATTTTCATGTGAATGACTAGCAACAGAAGTAATCACCCAAATGCTGCCACGGATCCTCGTGTTTACCTGGAATGCCAGTTTAAGTTAAGATGCACTGACGTCACAGTTAAAGCCTTCCCGGTCCGGCACCGTGGTGTGTCATTTGCTGGTGGGGAGGGAAATCTGGAGGCCTACCAGGGATGGCACTTGAGGGAGGGGTGTGATTATTCAGTCTTGCTGCCTGGCGGGTCGCTTGTAGCACCGTTGGCACAGCCATCCCTACTGTAAATACTGGAGGCAGGGATGGGGTGACCTGCATCAATCAGTGAGAGGGGAAGGGATAATGTCCAACCAGGGAATAGCAGACAGTCACCCACTGCGTGTCAGGGTTTTTGGATGGGAGCATTGCAGAGCTGTGCAGGGAGCGCTGTCTAGGATGATAGAGACCGGGTTCAGTTTACAGCTCTACTGCTTGCCAGGGAAGTAATTAAATCTCTTTGATCCTTATCTGGATCCATTTAAAGTGAGCTCTATCCCTTGAATGAGCTGATAAATTCCTTCCTGTGCTTGAGCCATTTTGAGTTGTTTTTGTGTCATGTTTCCGAAAGAGACCTAACACGACCCTATAAAAGTTATACAGGGTAGCCCCACGCTGTTCAGCATGGAAGGCACACACCACATACTGGTTTGCAGCATCAGAGCCCCAGACAGTGTTTGGGCATCTCAGAAGGGGTTCAGGGAGAACAGGTGGCTGTGACTGGACAGTGATCTTCCCTCTGTCCATTAACTCAGTCCGGACATCTCCTGATGTGTGGGAGTCCCAGGAGGGAATCCAGGTCTCCATCATGTGGCAGAATCCCTGCCTGGGTCTCAAAGGCAGCTTTGGAGTTCGACCTGAGTTCAGACCCGGCCCCTGAAAGTCCCTGGTGTGGCCTTGGGCAAGGCTCTTTATGTCTCCAATCTCAGTTGAAAAGGAATCACGTCCACTGAGTTCCTAGCACAAGTGAGAAGGAAACCCTTAATGTCGGCCTTTGCGATTTCAAACACATGCAGAGAAACCGAAGGAGAGGAAGGGAAATGATTAAAGGGATGGGAAATAGCTGGAACAAAGCTTTCAAGAGAGTCCTGCTGGAAGTTTCCCACGTCCGTTTTGCACCCTGCGCTGGTCCACAGAATGGCCCGCCTCAAACACGGCTCTAATCATATCAGCCCCCCACTGCAGACACTCTGATGACTGCTGATGGCTTGATAAAAGCCCATGGTTGCAGCTGGCGTCAGCAACCCTTAAAGAGCCCTCCATCCTCCAGCAGGCCTCTGCGGTACGGTCTGGCTTGCCCAGCGTGCAGTCCAGCCACAGTGGGTCGTGACAAACCCTGAGGTCTGTGGGTGCACATTCATGAATACTACCTGCCTTAGAAGGGAGTCTCTGAATCTAATATAATTTTGACTATGAAATCCACTCTGAATGCAGCGTAGAGAGGGTTCTAGATACCTAGAGGGGCCTCAGTAAAGTTTACCCCTTGTTTCATATATTTAGCTGATTGGTAAAATGATTAATGCGGTATAGTTTACCTTTAGTTGGCCACAAGCCGTACCACTCCCTGTTGCATCACTATATGCCTTACCTTCTACTGTGCCCTCATATGTGAATGTTTGAGAGAGTTCTTTTTAGTCTCCTCTTTAATAAGAAAAAAATAGCCAACATTTCCACAAGGTCTCTTTCTTTCCAATTTTTTCGTGAATTTCTTTTAACTTTTAAGCTCAGAGGTACATATTGCAGGTTACAAAGGTAAACTTGTGTCATGAGGGTTTGTTGTACAGATGATTTCATCCCCCAGGTATTAAGCCTAGTGCCCATTATTTTTCGTGATCCTCCCCCTCCTTTCACCTTCCACCCTCCAGAAGGCCCCATTGTGTATTGTTCCTTTCTATGTGTCCATGTGCTCTCATCATTTAGCTCCAACTTCTAGGTGAGGATATGCAGTATTTGGTTTTCTGTTGCTGTGTTAGTTTGCTAAGGATAATGGCCTCCAGCTCCATCGATGTCCCTGCGAAGTCCATGATCACAACACTATTCACAGCAGCAAAGACAAGGTCTCTTGTTAACGCTAAAGTGGTACGAAGCTTTATTTTTTATCCTGGTTTAAACGTATATTTAATTTTACAAGTGGATACATTATCAATGTAAACATCTTAAACAATTCAGGAAAAGAGAAAGTTGCCATTGACTTTTCTTCACCCTTTGGGTCCCAGTCAAGTTCCAGTTTGCTCAGGAGTAAACCTTTTGTCGGTTTGATGTATCTCCTTTGATACATTTTTCACATATGCATCTATTGTGTGTGTGGTGAGGGAGAGATGGATGATGTATACATACTTGAGTTTTTTTTTTTTTTAGAAAATGGTATCTTATGTACACTTTTCTGAATGTTTCGTTTTTCATTAACAATATATGCTGTAGAGTTTTTAATGTCAGCATATAAGAATCTTCCCCAAGCTGTATGATAGTTTATAATATGGATGGATCATAATTGACTTGGCTTAAAAGATCAGAAACTGGAAGTCCAACAGCCACATTCAGATCATGTATGTGTTTTTTGTTTGGCTAGAACCGTGTTTTGCCTGGGAAAAACTGAAACGCAAATGGCTTTAGCTAGTGGGCAATCATTAGTTACCCCACAGGCCCTGCCACTCCCTACTGTCTCTCCCACTATAGGTGGTTGAATATTCAAACCCTGTACTTTAGTCATTATACTTTTTAAAAAATGTATTTCTGTCAGATCAATGCCACAATGGACAGCTATGTGTATGCCTTTTTATGTTTGTATTTCCCTATGGTAGATGCGAGAAGTGGCTTCCACCTAATGGGGGGAATAAGAGGGGCTTGATGATGTAAATGACACAAGGTTAGGAAACACTAAAAGTATGACTTGGGGGACATCAGAGTAGTCAGCTGAAAACTCTTTTGCCCATGGAGCTTAGTGAAGCAGAGAGGGTAGTTCTGCCCAAGGCTCATAGCTGTTGAATATCATATTTCCCTGACATATTCCTGTTGGTTTTCAGCAGAGAAATACACACATTCACGTGAGATAATGTAGCCCAGGGATCTTGTGTGCTTGTGCTTTACGGATGTGGCTGATCACCATGGAATCAGCTGCTTTCCCAGTCCTGAACGGGCGCCAGGAATGAGGGAGGGGAGGGAAGGTTCCAAACTCTGACATCCATCACACCATGAGTTTCCCCATGGCTGGGCCCCGGATTCATGGCTTGGCAAGCCTTCAGCCACAGCTCATGGACTTTCTTGGCTGAGGTCAGTCTGAAATCTGGTCTCCTGTTTAGAGGGCTAATGGTGCATGAAAGCTGCTCCATGGACAGCGAGCTCTGCCTGAGCTCCTCATCTGATGCCTTGGGAGTGAGTGTGGGAGAGTTGGTGCCAAAGCCAGGTCAGTGGGAGCTGCAGGGGCTGGTCAGCTAACTCAGGAAGTCATTCGTTCTTAAGTCCTTTGTTGGATTCACATTTGTGAGCTGGTATTGGTCTGTGTCTTAGCCTGGGCTGCCATAGTAAAACACCATGGACTGCAGCTTAACCAACAGGAATATATTTCTCATACTCTGGAGCCTGAGAGTTCAAGATGAAGGTACCAGCAGACTCGGTATGAGAAAAGGGTCTGCTCATTGGGTTGTAGGTGGCTGCCTTCTTGCTGTGTCTGCATGTGGCCTTTCCTGTGTGCAGGAGGAGAGAGAGAGAGAGGGAGAGAGGGAGAGAGAGAAAGAAAGTAAGTTCTCTGCTCTCTCTCCTCTTTTATGTTTCATTTTTTTAAGACGGAGTTTCATTCTTGTTGCCCAGGCTGGAGTGCAATGGCGCAATCTCAGTTCAATGCAACCTCTGCCTCCGCGGTTCAAGGGATTCTCCTGCCTCAGCCTCCCGAGTAGCTGCGATTACAGGTGCACACCACCATGCCCAGCTAATTTTTTGTGTTTTTAGTAGGGATGGGGTTTCACCATGTTGGCCAAGCTGGTCTCGAACTCCTGACCTCACATGATCCACCTATCTCGGCCTCCCAAAGTTCTGGGATTATAGGCATGAGGCATTGTGCCCAGGCAGCTGTCTCTTCTTTGATGGGCACTAATCCCATCATGAGGGCCTACCTTCATGACATCATCTAAACTTAATTACTTTCCAAAGGTCCAGTCTCCAAATACAATCACAGTGGGGGTTAGGGGTTCATTATATGAATTTTGGGGACATAGCTCAGTCCAAGTAGTCAGATAGGACAATATGGCTGAGGTTGGCCAAGTCATCCAGGTATAAGAGAAGTTGTAAGATAGAAAGCTTCTTAAGAGTTATCACACAGAGAAAAAGATCTGATCTCTAGATAGGAGACCCTTTCTAGGCATAGATGAACAATGTTGGGAGGTGTCTACACCAAATCCTTTGATATACAGTAGGCTTGTAGATAGGAGGCTGAACATCTACGTGACTTTATGTTGGGTTTAAATCTAATTTCTTATGCTTAATAACATCCCGACTTTGGAAAAGTTACCTAACTTGTACAAACCCCAATATTTTCATTTATGAAATGGGGTCATAAAAGTTATTCAAGGGTTTAAATGAGATAAAATATATAAACAACTTGGCACCATTCCTGGCACAACTCTATTTCACAATATTTTGAGGAATTTTGCAAACATGAAGCTGCTGCTGTTGCTGTCATTGTAGCTTTTACCTGGTGTTTCTCATAACACTGACTTGAAACTTTAAGGGAAGGAAAAAAACACATTAAAAATGTCTTCAGTGCCTTTGTTTTCTTTTTCAGTGTTTATTTAATCATTATCAGTACATGGACATTGCTCACAGCCCTCCCCACTTATTTTTTTCTTGACAAGATTGTTATAATATGTTGAAAATACTAATTATCCTATTCACCTTATTAACAGGGCTGGATAAACAAATCATGTTGCTGTGCTTGGTGGAAGAAAATGCATGTGTGTGTGTGTGTGTGTGTGTGGTGTGTGTTGCAACCTTTGTCCCCTCGGGTCATAACAAATTATTGATGCCAGTTCCTTTAAAAAGACAATTAATCCAATTACCTTCTTGTTGAATCAATACTAATGTCTTTTTTTGTTTAACTTGCAGGTTTCGGCAAGTCAGGCTACAGGCAAAGCTGAGGTAGGAAACGTGGTTTTTCTGTCCCTTTAGAAGATAGTTTGAAGTGGGTTTCTTTTGTGATGGAGTGTAACGAGCATTCTAGCAATGATTCTTCCGTGTTTCATTTCCTGGTGGCTTGGATGGTGTGTTTTCAGTTGAGTGGTTTCTGTGCTGCTGGGTTTTGGGGTGCCCAGGTCACCGCACTGCTCTTCATGGAGTGTGCGTGGTAAAGATGGTGCAGGGTGACTTCAGCGTCTGTTTCTTGACAGATACATCATAATTCTAGCCCAGCTCAGACAAAGCCCTGGCTCTGCCAATGAGACCTCCACTGTCTGTATTATATAGTTTCCCCATTCCTTCTCTTTTGGCTTTTCTTTGTATATTTTTTTCCTTTCCTTTATTTTATTTTATTTTTGGGACAGAGTCTCACTCTGTTGCCCAGGCTGGAGTGCAGTGGCATGATGTCGGCTCACTGCAACCTCCGCCTCCCGGGTTCAAGTGATTCTCCTGCCTCGGCCTCCTGAGTGGCTGGGATTACAGGTGTGCACCGCCACGCCTGGCTAATTTTTGTGTTTTTAGTAGAGACAGGGTTTCACCATGTTGACCAAGCTGGTCTCAAACTCCTGGCCTCAAGTGATCTGCTCGCCTCAGCCTCCTAAAATGCAGGGATTATAGGTGTGAGCCACCATGCCCAGCCTGTTTTTCTTTCTCTACTCAGTCTCCAAGGCATGAAAGGAATTGTGGTGGATGCTGACAACATAGGTAAAGAATAAAAAACGAAGCTGTTCAGAAGTCACCAGCAAGGTGACCACCCATTGGAAATTGTCCATGTTGTAATGTAATGGGCTCCTGCAAAATATGCCCAGCACGATAGAGCCGGTCACTCTCACTCCTGAGCCACTGTGTGGTTAAAGCAAAGAACACTGACCCAGGTCCCAGGAGCCCAGGGCTCTGTGTGACGTCCAGTGTTGCATTATTGGAACCCTAAGCATGTGGAGGTATTTATATCCTACTGCTCAATGAGGTCATCACCAAAGTCTGATTTTTCAAGTTCAAGAAATTGCAACCTCAGGCATAAATGGGTTAACTGTGGGTTTTCGCTTTCCTCAGGTATACCATGGGGATGGTTATATCTCCCTTTGATCCATCACACAGTCGTTAGTAGGGTAAAATAGAATAAAGCTTGTGGAGGCAGATTCTCGCAGGATTCTGCAAACACCTAAGGGGAGATCATTATCCACAAGTATCCATTCCCGTTCAAATGTCGGCATCCTCGGATACAGTAACTTGGTGTGCAAAGGTTTTCCAGGAGCTGTGATGCATTCATAGTGTGAGTGATTTCAGATGCCTAGTGAGGCAGGGATTTGGGAA
This sequence comes from Homo sapiens, assembly GCF_000001405.40. Lineage (NCBI taxonomy): Eukaryota > Metazoa > Chordata > Mammalia > Primates > Hominidae > Homo > Homo sapiens. Next base: position 5,868,686 of record NC_000016.10, read on the forward strand.
GCACAAGGATAGGGCAGAGATGAGCAGCCCCCACTGTCACCTATGTCCCCATGATCTTGTGACCAGTCACTCGAGTGAGTTATTAAACAACACAAATTTTGTTTCCTCATTTTTGGAATAGGAATAGCAATATGCATCCTATGAGGCTGTCGAGAGCATTAAAATGGCAACGGCAGTGTTTCCTCTGGTGGTTTGCTGTCACGGGAATACCAGTTTCTGTGTATTTAGCATCTCTGATGCACCATTTATTTATAATTGCACTGCACGCATCGTTATATAAAATCCTTAAAAAAATTTTGTGATGTATAGGCTATGATGATCCCTATTTCACAGAAGAGTGAACTGGGACTTAGAAAGGCTGAGTAACTTTCCTAGTGCTGTTCAACTAATGAGGTATAGAGTTGGAATTCATAACCATGTCTGGCAGGGTACAAAGTGCCATGCCATGTAACCCACCCAGATTATGGCCTGGTAAACAGTGGGTGTTCAGTAAATATTAGTTCTGCCAGTCATGAAGGACTGATTGCGCTTTCTGGAGCATACCTGAATATGTCCTGTTTCTCTGTGGTCATCACCTGAGACAGCTGTGTGTTTCCTATGATCTTCCATCTTTCTTCGTTTCCCCAGACACATTCTTATATCTGCATCTTATTTGGCAGTTTAAAACAATCATCCAACAAGAAAACGATCATGTTGCCCCTTTTAAACTTCACAAGATTTATACGTATATATTTTTAGATGGGGACTCTCCCAGTCACCAGGCTGGAGTACAGTGGCACAATCTCGGCTCACTGCAACCTCCGCCTCCCAGGTTCAAGTGATTCTCCTGCCTCAGCCTCCCAAGTAGCTGGGAGTACAGGTGCGTGCCACCATGCCTAGCTAGTTTTTGTATTTTTAGTAGAGATGGGGTTTCACCATGTTGGCCAGGATGGTCTCTATCTCTTGACCACCTCGTGATCTGCCCTCCTCGGCCTCCCAAAGTGATGGGATTACAGGCATGAGCCACCGCGCCCGGCTGTTCACAAGATATTTCTTATCCTCATTTTACCTGTTGAAAAAAGGAGGTCTGAGGAGTTGCAGTAGTTCCTACATAGGTGAAATAATGTTTAAAAATCCAACAATTCCACTTCTACTTGTATGCCCAAGAGAAACGGTGCTTATGTCCACCAAAACAACACATGCAAGAATTCCCATAAAGGATTTATTTACCATACCCAAACACTGGAAACAAACCAAATGTCTATTAACAGAGTAACAGATCAATCAATAGTGGTGTATTCATGCAATGAAATACAATACAGCAATCAAAAAATATTATCTATAGGTGTATGACACAACCTGTATGACTCTTAGTAATATAATATTATAAGAAAAATATCAGAACAAAAGAATGTACCCTCCATGATTTCATTTACATATGTACATATACACACCTACATTTATATTATTTATATATTCTATATATTATTTATATATAAAAAATAAACAGACAACATTCATCTCTGATGATAAAAGTAGCAATAGTGGTTACCTCTGGGAGGCGTTGGCTGGGTAGGGGCAGAAAGGGACCTAATGGGAATGTCCAACACTCTCATCTGGATGTATTTACGGAGGTAACCATCATATATAAAACTGATAGAGCTCTACAATGAAAACGTGTGCATCTTACAGGTTGTAATTTGTATGGCAAAAAAAAAAAAAAAAAAATGAAGGCACTTGGCAAGAAAAAAGAGAGAAAACACAAAATGTATCAACCAGGATGATGGGGTGGGGGAATGGTCAGATGGTCATGGTGGGGGTAAGTGAGATGAAGGGAATTAGGAAGTGTAGGAATGCTTAATGTACAGAAACACTTTTGATCAAAAATAGTCTTCCTTCCTTCATTCTTTTTTTATTCCAGTCTCCCATTTCCCAGATGGAACAGTTTTTTTTAGTCTTTTTTTTTTCCTTACCATTTTTCCTAAGGCTGAATTATCATTGCTGCAGCCACATCATATTTTTTTTCATGACAGCAGGGAGGTAACCTTTTATTAATTGAATTTCTAATGGCAATTCATCAAAACAAGCGATCACCGTTATTTAATGCGTGATCCATATTCATGGCATGTTCTGTTAGGTAAATAATAGTGGCTCTGGGAAAATGCTTCTCTAAGGTCCTTTTCCTTCTCAAATGACTTTCTTTCCCCCCCACCCCCAAGTAGAGACAAACAGTTGTAATTTAAGCAGAACAAACCCCACCTGTGGAGGAGATATTGGTTAAAAGGAGACAAAAAGAATGACAAACCCACAGAATCAGTGAGAATGAGTGGCTTTGCCAGTTCCCTTTCTCTCTGCAGATTGACAGTGAATATGTGAATAACGTTTGCTAAATCTGGACTTTGAAAACATGACAGCAAGCTGTTTGTGCCAATAAATTTTCATGGCATATGCCACCCCTCCCTGCACCACACACAGTTTTAATAAGATGGCACATGAGCTATTGAGAAACGTTAAAAACCCTGTAGAGGAAAGAGCTTTATCTTCTGACCAAATTCTGCCCAGCAATGTTTATGACAGCTGAAGAATTTATCTGAAATTCCCTCTGCTAGCCGCAAAGCACCTGGCCCTTTGTCCCCAAGCAGCCTTTAAGAACCAAACTAAGATGTCACATACATAATATAACAGATAAATGGCCCAATTTCCATGTCCACATGATGAATGGAATGCAAGTTCAGCACACACATATTTGCACATTAATTGGCCCTGCATGGTTCCATTTTGTTCCTAAGTTGCTACTGTATGTCTCCTAGACTCCTTCCCCTTCAAAATCATTAAGCCTGTTTTATCGCAAAAACGCATACACATTTCCCCCCTATTTATCGTCACGCAGCTTGCCCTGCTGAGAGAGAACGAAGTTACCTGGGCGCAGCCATTGGATTGCAAATGCGTATGTCTGAGTCCTCTCCACCACCAGCTGTATATTAACACAAAGATCTGAGACCCAGCCCCACGTTGTCTATGCTGACAGCCAAACAAAGGAGGTTATAGAAGAGGATGTTTGAGGAAAAAAAAAATTCATTTCATTTCACTTACCAGTTGGTTTCTTGCCTCACCTTAATGATTTCCTGTTGATACTTTAATGGCAATGTAAACTCAGTGGAGGGCCTCAATTTTGATAAATTGGCCTGCTTTTATTTCATGGCAAAGCAATCGAACTGAGATTGATTGATATTACAGCTCTGCTATCCCAAATAATTGCAATGGGAAACTACGCAGGTAGCAAACTCAGTGGCCTTGGGAGAATGTAGGTGGAATCTCCCTCCTACCATTATTTTTTCCTTCCAAAAGGAAACTTTATCCTAGGCCTAGGAATCATTTATTTCTCTTGTCTTCCAAGCCTCGTTCTCAGGAAAATAAATTGGGGGTTGCAGAGCCCATTAAAAATATTCTTACCTACTAAAAGACACCAGTGCGTTTGAGAAAGGGGCTGAGCTGCTTAGTCTGTGAACAGAAGATCAGTCCTAGCCATCCTGTGTCATTTGAGAACCTAGCACATTTAACAAGGGTCTGTTGAGCTGTTTCATCAAGAAGGTTACAGTGGAAAGAGCAAGAGTTTTGGAGTCTTGTAGATGAGGTGTGAATGATGGGTCCACACTTGTGAGTTATGTGACTGTAGTCAAGTTACTTAACTGCTAAGCAAGTCTTTTCTCCACAAAATGGGAATGGTGAAATAAAGTACAAGGTTTGTTTGAACTTTAAATGAAATAATCAATATGCAATGCCTGGCTGGGCATGGTGGCTCACACCTGTAGTCCTAGCATTTTGGAGGGCCAAGGCAGGAAGATCACTTGAGCCCAGGAGTTCGAGACCAGCCTGGGCAACAGATGAGGAAGAACCGAATCTCTACAGAAAGAAAAAAAAAATTGGCAGGTGTGGTGCTGTGTGTTTGTAGTCCCAGCTACTCAGGAGGCTGAGGTGGGAGGGTTGCTTGAGCCCAGGAGGTTGAGGTTGCAGTGAGGCAAGATTGCACCACTGCACTCTAGCCTGGGTGACAGAGCTAGACCCTGTCTTAAAAAAAAAGAAAAAAAGAAAGAAAATAATACAATGCTTAAGACAGAGCCTGGCATACAGTAGATGTTCAACAATTAGTATTTTGCTTCCATACAAAGTCCCCCTTCACTTACATTTGTATTAAGTAAAACAATAATTAGGGTGTGGTGGCTCATGCCTGTAATCCCAGCACTTTGGGAGGCCAAGACAGGTGAATTATGAGGTCAAGAGATCCAGACCATTCTGGCCAACATGGTGAAGTACTATCTCTATTAAAAATACAAAAATTAGCTGGGTGTGGTGGCACGCACCTGTAGTCCTAGCTACTTGGGAGGCTGAGCAAGAGAATAGCTTGAACCCAGGAGGCAGAGGTTGCAGTGAGCTACTATCATGCCACTGCATAGTCCAGCCTAGCAACAGAGCAAGACTCCATCTCAAAACAAAGAAACAAACAACAACAACAACAACAACAACAAAACAATAATTAAATAACCTAATTAGGAATCATCGAGACCTGTTGTTTTGAAAGCTTGCTGTGCTACCTTTGCAACATGGCTGTATCCTGCCCTAACCAGACAGAAGTTCACTCCTATGACTTAATTCACATTGGAGTTAATGGCCCTCTTGTCTCCACCCAAGGACAAGATCCACTTGAAGATCAGCAGTACTTTCCAATGAGCACTCTTGGCCTTGTCTAATTTTGCCCAGTCATGCTTTGATAGTCATCTCCGTCCTTGAAGCCAGCACCAAAGAATATTTAAAGAACTCTAAACAATCATGTGGTCTTAATTCAAGAGTCCAGAATTCTCAGTTGGAGATATGGTTAGTGTTTTGTAATTTCTTGAACGTTTAAGTGACAGTCTCTTATAGTCTAGGCACAATACTAGGCCTGGGAATACGTGTACAAAGTTGACACACTATCATACCCTCAAATAACTGATGGTTCATTATAGCATTATAGAATAAATGCTGTAGTTTCACTTGTCTCATGAGGACTGATGTTGTCAATAGAGCAAAACTGTCCCCATAAGGCTTCCTACATATTTGGTAAGTTCTGGATCTCGGTTAAAACATAAATGAGTCTAGATAGGCTAGGGATATTTATAGAGGCTTCTCAGAGGAGGTAGTATGCAGACTGGAGCTTTGAAGGGTGGATTAGGTTAGGTTGTCATCAGGTAAAGAAAAGTCAAGGGCCTGAGAAAAGGAAGAGATGGGAAAAAAGCTGCCTGCTCAGAGAATAAGTGAAAAGTAAGTGTGGAAACAGTGAAGGAGAATGATGTAATCAGAAGGAACACAGAAGAACCAGGGCCCAGCATCCTCATGGAAATCAAAGAGTAAGATGGTTACAAGAGAGAGGTAGGGGTATTGGATAATTCAGAGGGTTTGAGGAAACAGGGTCAGGACCCATGGCACTGAGTTTGGCAGTCGTGCCATCATTAGTGTCCTTAACAGCAGCCTTTCCAATGTGGATGTCTTAGGAGTAAACAGAAGGAGAAGACACATGGGCCACACTGGAGCCCAGCTGTTCAAAGCAGCCATTGGTTGATTCAAGGGATCAATGGTCCTCTGGCTTGAAGGAAAGGCAGGAGTTGGGAAGGAATTTGGAAGATGGCAGAGGCTTGGGTATATTGTAGTCTTGGAGAACAGGCCTCAGAGGATACGATGGTGGGGCACAGTCGGGGATTTACACATTGAAAGGTGATCCGAGTGTTCTTGAGGCTGTTGTGTTTTGCTCATCATTGTCTAGCACCAGAGAGCTATGGTACTGATTGGACTGAGCAGAGATATTTTTTTTTCTTCTAAGAACACTGAAGGAAAAAAAGATGGAGAGTAAATGTGGATACATTTTGAAGGAGAAGGAAGATAAATTGAAACAGGTTATGCCTGGCAACCTTCACTTCCCCAGTGAATAGCAGAGGGAAATATATGTGCTGAGAATAAGGAGAGCAGCTGGGCGAGGTGGTTTATGCCTGTAATCCAAGCACTTGGGGAGGCAGAGACAGGAAAATCACTTGAACCAGGAGTTTGAGACCAGCCAGGGCATTGTAGCAAGACCCTCTCTCTCCAAACAATTTAGAAAATTAGCCAGGCAATGTGGTGCACACCTGTAATCTTGGCTGCTCAGGAGGCTGAGACGGGAGGATCACTTGGGACCCAGGAGTTTGAGGCTGCAGTGAGCTATGATTGCACCACTGGACCCCTGTCTTGGTGACAGAGCAAGACCCCGTCCCCCATAAATAAATGCATGAATGAATGGATGGAGAATAGAGGCAGAACTAGAGGTTAGAGGGGAAAAATAAGCAGAGAGAAGAAATAGCTGATATGAGATGCTGGTGAGAGGCTGACTAACCAGCAAGCTGACATCCAAAAGCACTTAGCGGGGAGATGAGTAAGAACCTTCCCATAGCAACAGCAGCAGCAGCGTTGATAATTGCAGCCATCATTTACCACATGTGAACGGAGTCCCAAGCACTGCATTATCTTTACAGCAATCTTTGAAATAACTGTGAATGCCTCCATGTTACAGACAAAAAAACTGAGATGTGGAGAAGTGGTGTAGGTTGGCCAAACTTACTCAAAAATAGTGGGAGCCATATCTGAACCAGGTTTGTCTGATTGCAACACCTGGGCTGTCTCCACTAGGAACAGCATGACTGCCATTGTTTATCTCCAGTCCCAGTGAGTGGTGAAACTCGGGCAAATGACTTAATCTTTCTTTGTCTCGTTTGTCTGTTACATAGCATGGGGACAATTAAAGAATGAACCTTATGGCTTATTCTGAGAAGTGGAAAGGCATACTGTAGCTTACAGAAGGCAATAAGCATATTATTTGGTGCGTAAGTAGTCCATAATACACACTAGTCGTTGTAGTGGTTACTTTTATTAGTGTGCTTGGTGACTCATTCTAAGCTACAATAGGAAATAGCAGAAGTATCAACTAGAACCAATTCCTGGCGTCTGAACCCACATGGAAGCATCATTCCTAAGAGTGTTTCAGAAGCATCTTCCTCTGTGAAAATTGATTAAGGGTCTCTGGAAAAGTGAACCGTTGTAAAATTTCTCTACTTCTTTATTTGAAAAACTAGGTATCTGTTGCTGTGAGGTTTGGGGGATGAATTAGAAGAATCCCACTTTTTTTTTTTTTTTGAGAGGGAGTCTTGCTTTGTCTCCCAGGCTGGAGTGCAGTGGCGCCATCTGGGCTCACTGCAAGCCCCGCCTCCCAGCTTCATGTCATTCTCCTGCCTCAGCCTCCCGAGTAGCTGGGACTACAGGCCCCCGACAGCACACCCAGCTAATTTTTTGTATTTTTAGTAGAGAAGGGGTTTCGCCGTGTTAGCCAGGGTAGTCTTGATCTTATGACCTCGTGATCCACCCGCCTTGGCCTCCCAAAGTGCTGGGATTACAGGTGTGAACCACCGCGCCCGGCCTATCCCACAATTTTTACCTTGCATTGGGGGTTAATGAGTAAAAACAACCAAATGGGGGGAAAAACAGCTAACTTTTAATTAGCACCTGAGTCTGTGCCAGCCAGGCCACTCTGCAAGTCATTCCGCCTGCCTTATCTTATTTAATTTCATCCTCACAATATAACCCTATGAAGTACATCCTATCATTTTTTCTGTTTTACAGATGAGCATACTGAGGCTTAACATGGTTAGTTAAATGAGTCACAAATGTAATAGGAGGGAAGTTGAGACTCACACCCGAGGCTATCAGACCCCCAAACCAGCTGGGGTGCTTAGAAAGTGAAGTCAGGAGTCACCTCCAGTCTCTTAGAGGCAAAGGCTCAGTCTTTTAAACCTAGAGAGAAAAATCTCATCTCTCCTCCTCTAAATTATCTCATCTTCCAAGGCTTCCCCTGCTACAGCTAAACCAGCCTCGTTGACTGCCTGTTTTAAGATTTTTTGAGTGTTCTGTGATCACAAAACCCATTCCCAGAACCATATATTATTTCCTACAGTTTTGACACCATTTATTTCCATAGCATTATACATTCCAACCTTCTGACTGTTTAAGATCAAAAGATGTGCTCCCGGGCTCATACTTCACTCCAGCTCTCAGACTCTGTGCACCAAATTAGACAGAACAGCAGAAGTTCCAGCCTGTCATAGTCTGTAATGTTGCATAATTCCAAGGATTCACCATGTTTTATCAATGGCAAAAGGAGAGACAGACTCAGCCACAGTGGTGGGGCTTTCATGGAGGATATGGGGGAAGGCCTGGAGATGCAATGGTTGAAGGGGAGTGCTGGGATGTTCAGAATCAGTCTAGAACGTGGTGAGTTAAATTGGTTGATTGTGGAAATCCCAGGCCAAGGGCAAAGATTTATAAAGGGTCAGAGAAGAAGGAGGAGATCCATGTAGGGCACTGTGCTCCCTCCTAACAGAATAAAAGAATTACTGATTATATCCAGGAGGAGGGAAAAGAGATTGTGTCTGCTCTCCAGGCTAGGCTTAGCGGTTCTAGAATGAAGCAAACTACATACTGATTAGCAGATGGACTTCTTTGGAGGGGTCACGCATTTATTCAGAAAGTCAGAGAGTTTTAAAGAGCATCTCATATGTGATAGCCAGTCTTTTAGACCCTGGTAACTTAAAATGAATGAAACACTTTTTTCTGCTCTCAAGGAGCCTGTGATCTATGAAAATACACTGATGGATGAACAGACGCTTTTAGCTAAGCTGTAATAGAAGTGGGTTCAAGGGGGAGAGTGAATACCTAGAGGGGGCTGTTTAGCTCTCCCAGGAAGCCTGGCTTCAGATGAGATGGGTCTTCCTTTCCCATTTACCCACATACACTTGATGCAGGGCAGGCGAGCCCCACAACTGGGGCTTAGCCGAAGAGGGTTCTTGGCTTTGCCCAGGAAATAATTCAAGGGTAAGCAGTGGTGTTAAACAGCAGCTTTTATTGAAGCATCAGTTACAGTAGCAGCAGAGGGACTGCTCCTTCCTGAGCAGGGCTACCCTGAAGGGAGTGTGCCCAGAGTAGCAGCTCAGAGGCAGTTGTGCAGTCATATTTAGACCCACTTTTAATTACATGCAAATTAAGGAACAGATTATGGAGAAATGTTTAGAAATAGGGTGGTAACTTCCAGGTCCTTGGGTTGTTGCCATGGCAAGGGCAGTAAGTCCTGGGTGTTCCCATGGTGATGATAAACTGGTATGGCACTCTGGTGGGCGTGTCTTATGGAAAGCTGCTTCTGCCCCATCTGTGTTTAAGCTAGTCCTCAATTTGGTCCAGTGTCTCGGCTCCACCTCCAGAGTTGAGTCCCACCTCCTACCTCACACTTGCTCTAGAACCAGTAAGGGGCATTGGAGACTATATACACAGACACCACATTCCATGACATATTTTAGTAATCTGAAAGCAAGCTTGAAAAATAGCAAAGAGATTGCTTTGGATCGACTGTGTGTATGGATAAGGGGTAGGGGATGAGGGAACAATTGGAAAATCAGCTGGACATGTGGATGAAGGGCACTGAAGGTGACTCTTCATTGTGGGGATGATAATGATAACAGTGATGGTGGTGGTGGTTATAGCGGCAGCAGTGAGAACAGCCAGCAGTTATTAATGCTCACTGTATGCTAGGCACTGAGCAATGTATTGTATATAAATTACCTCTTTTATTCCTTCCAATGAACTTAGGAGAATGAGTATTAATGTAGACTTCATTTAACAGATGAGAAAACCAAGGCTCAGAAGAGTTTATGGGACCCACTCAGGGCCATATGGCTAGTAGGCAAAGTTGGTATTTGATTCTATGCAATTTGCCTTCTGAACCAGCGGTCCAGCAAAGATGGGGGAAGCAGGCTTGAAAACCCCCTTGGGTTAAAGTCTACGTTGCTCAACGCAATCTTCTCCTGATAAATGTTGCTGATACACTTTGGAGAAACTTCGTGACTATGCCTGATTCCCGGCACTAATGTAGCTTGACTTAGGGCTGATATCCCACTTACCTCACCGGAATGACAATCGGGGTCGAAAAAAAAGAGTTATTGCAATTCTGGCTTCCTCTGTTGAGCTATGAATAAATGATGATAGCTGTGAAATGGTGTGGTGTTTAGATCGTTTCTGGTAAACTAAAAAAACTAAAAATTGAATAAAGTGGTAATCCATGCAGCCATTTAAAATAGGAGGGTTGGAACAAAATTGGTAAACTCTTTTAGTGTCTTCCTGGCCTTGTCATTCTAATGTAATTAGTTTGCAAAAATATTAATTAATACTCAAACATCTGACGCGTTTTACATGTTAATTTGAAATGTGTTAAGTTACATTTTCTACTTTTGCCCTGGTACTGTCTTCAGCAGCAGCACAGGCAAGAATTCTGGTCCTGTAGCCCCCTCCTTACAGCTCAGCAGCCAAGTAGATATTGAGTAGATACTGGGAGATCCTTGCAAAGCTCAGAGCTGCTTGCACCTTTGCAGAGAAGGGGAGAGAATGCTGTATGGAAACGCCATGTGAGTGGTTTTAGCTAATGGGGACTGACTGCAAATGCAGTATCTCAAGAAGGCTTCCTGAGTTCCAATGAGCAAATGCTGTGCTGGGCCAGCAGGGGTTTCAGATGGTAAGCAGAAGCTGGAGGGAGAAACTCCTCAGATCGTATTTGGACTAGGTTCTTTCCAGATCTTGCAAATGGGTTGTGTGCTCATGTCCTAGAGAAAAGTGCTGAATTCTAGGCATGTCTCATGAACTGCAACCTCCGCCTCCCAGGTTCAACGATTCTCCTGCCTCAGGCTCCTAGGTAACCGGGACTACAGGTGTGTGCCACCATACCTGGCTAATTTTTGTATTTTTCGTGGAGACAGGGTTTCACCATGTTGGCCTGGCTGGTCTCAAACTCCTGACCTCAGGTGATCTGCCTCTTTTGGCCTCCCAAAGTGCTGGGATTATAGGCGTGAGCCACCACGCCTGATCTATTTTCTTATTTAGTTCATACATTAGTCAGGAGAGGCTAAGCTATGCAAGTAACAAGTTAACCATGAAATCTCAATGGCCTACCCAAAGAGGCTTATTTCTCTCCCATGCTATGTCTGATGAGAGCTGGGGGTGGCTCTATCCATCTGTTGACCTCGCAGTACAGGATGCTTCTCTCTTGTGGCTTCTCTGGGTCAGTGCATACCTCCACTATCACTCTGGCAGGGGAAGAAAGGAAACGGGGAATCTCTCTTGACCTTTTCATTGCCTTAGCGCAGAGATGGCACACATTCCTTCTACTCACAGTCCGCCAGCTAGAACGTATCTCAGGGAACCTGTAACAAGAGGCCTGAGAAGGTGAGGAGCACATGGATATTCTCTGGGAATTAAATGCCTGCCATGGTGTGCCAGTGAGGCCCGTGACAGTGATCACAGCAAGCACCTCTATTCTCATCTCAGTTCTGTGCTTCACTGACTCCTACACTGGGGTTGCTTGCCTGGCACTCTTTTATGCACTTTGTTCCATTCATGTCACTGCAGTGTCAGTCTTTCCGTTCCAAACAAGAGGAAATGGAGGCTCAGAGGGCTCAAACTATTTGTCAATGGTCACACAGTTAGTAAGGGGTACAGTCAGCATTCACCCCAAAATCTGACTCCAGTACCTCCACTGGTTTTTTGCCTCCCAAGGTTCTTGACAGATTTCCTTTGGTAGCATTGTAGTAGAAAGAGCTACAGGCAACACTTAGAGAACACCCATGAAGACCCAGAGGACAAGGATCTTTTAAGTCTCCAAGGGATGATACGAGTGATGTCCAAGTTTGTGCAGAATTTATTACTTTCAGCCAGCAGATCCATATTCTGCATCGTATTTCAATCTTACAATAATCCTATGGAAGATTTGGGAAGAATAATATTAGCTTTGCTTTGTAGATGCATTATTAGAGGGTCTAGGAGGCTAAAGACCTGCTAGAGGTCACCTTGGTAGTCACTGATGGGTGTCTGGACTTTGGAATGAGTCTCTGTGTGTGTATGGGATTGTGGATCCTGCAGATCCTAGACTGAGGTCCCTTAACCTCTTCTGTTTCATGACCCCCTTGGACATCTGGGGAGAACAACAGGCCTCCTTGCAGAATAAAGATTTCAAATACACAATACAAAATACTTAGAATCACAAAGGAAACTATTTATATTGAAATACATTTATTAAATAAATTAAAACATGATTCAGTCAAATCTTTGCTTTCTTTGTTAACACATTGAACAAGCAAATCTAGTAATTACCATAATTTGGAAGTAGCGATAAGCATTATGATATTTTGAGATATCTGTGACAATTATAATGTAATGTGACTAAAATATCTGTGATTTCTCTTGGTGACAAAGTCACAGGTACTTGTAATACTACTGCAATGTTGTGTCTTATATTTAAAGGGAGTGCTAGATTTGTTAGAGGCTAGTGAAAATCAAGTTTTATTTTTTCCTATCGAAGTTCACGGACTCACTGTGTTCTATCTAGGAACCCCTGTAGAATCTTGGATCCCCAGTGAAGAATCCTCTCCATCTTGGCCCTGAACTGTCTTCTGATTCTAGTTGGGTGAAAGTCTAGAACTGGATGAGTCCAAGCTCAAATTATGTTTGATTTTGTTGCATGTATTCACTTGGTCTCTACCACCTTGTGGTAGTGATGGCATCTCTGCCCAGTGCCTGGTTTTAACCTGTGGCTTCTTCTTTTCCAATACAGCACATGTGGCATTTAAGAGTATTAGGGGTCTGGGTGTGGTGGCTCACACCTGTAATCCCAGCACTTTGGGAGGCTGAGGCAGGTGGATCACTTGAGGTGAAGAGTTCGAGACCAACCTGGCCAACATGATGAAACACTGTCTGTACCAAAAATACAAAAATTAGCTGGGTGTGGTGGCACATGCTTATAATCCCAGCTACTTGGGAGGCTGAGGTGGGAGGAGCATTTGAACCTGGGAGGCGGAGGTTGCTGTGAGTCAAAATTGTACCGCTGCACTCCAGCCTGGGTGACAGAGCAAGACTCCATCTCAAAAAAAAAGTTTTTTTAAAAAAAGATCAGGGATTAATAAAGGCTAAAATTTTCCCCCCAATGCTAGGTGGTATAGTAAGACTTCATACGCACTATTTCACTTAATTCTGCTAGATTCTAGTGTTAAATGTATTTTGCAGAAAGTAATAATGATGGTTAACATTTATAAATACTTACTATGCACCAGGCACTCTTCTAAGCACATTTAAGGTACTAAAATAATAATAATTACTTCAGTAGCAGTGGTAGCAGCAGCAGTAATAGTAGCAGCTACGACTTGTTAAGCACTCCCTTGGTGCCAGGTTTATTATCTTCTGAGTATTTTACATACTTAATCTCAATTATTCCCCACCACATTCCTATCAGGTCAGTATTAGTTATTTACATTTTACAGAATAGGAACTAGGTTCAGAGAGATTAAGTAACAAAGTCACATGACTACACAGCCAACCTTTGAATTCAGGCATTCTCTTTCCACACACTGTGAAGGTGAAATCACTAACCTCTACTGCCTTGTTTTCCACTTTGTTTACCGTTCCTCGTAGCTATGTCAGAGGTGGAAGTGAATTTTTCACTCCCATTTTACAGATTGGGCAACTGAGGTGCAGTCACCTTAAGAAACTTGTCTTAGAGTTGGCTTCATTCAACTCAAAGATGGAACAACAAAGCCTGCGGATGAGCAATTTACAGGAAAGATTTATGGGCAACACCTGGAAAAGTCATACATTACTTTTGCCCCCCTCCCATTGGCCAGAACTCAGTCACTTGGTCTCATAAACTGCAAGGGTGCCTGGGAAATGTAGTCCAGCTGTGAACCCAAGGGGAAGAAACAAATTTTGATGAACTCAGAGCTGCCTCTACCACAGGCACTGAGCAGAGACCTGGAGGGCTCATGATTTGTGGTGAAACTCCATCCACAGCAAGAGTGAAACTAGGGGTTCAACATTTGAGGGGACACTCTCACAGTAGCCAAGCTCACGCCCTGCTCCAGAGCTCCCCATGGTGCCTGGACTGAAATGTTAGTTTGTGCAGCAGAGGCCCCATGTGCCAGTGTTGTCCCTGGGCGGGTTAAAGACGGAATTTGACACAATACATTACTGCAAATTAGAGAATGTGAAAAATCTCATGCTGTGGAGATTTGGACTCTGGGTATATTTTTATAAGCCATGGAGAGTCTGCAAATGAAACACTGTCAAAGAGAAAACATGAAAATGTGTAATAGTCTGTTACTGTACATTTAAATGAATATTTAAAATGCAGTCTATTCTTTTTTAAAGGAACGTTGTTGTTGGCATTTTGTTTTCTTTAGTTTGGTGTGTATTTTTAATTTAAATGATCCAGACCCTGCTCTTAGGATCTCCTGCTCAAAGCCTGTACAAGCAGCCAGTTTATTGGCACAGGATGAGAAAATTGGGTACTTGAATCATGTATCATACAGTACTGTGTGTTATATTCCCTCCATTCTTAGATATCAGGGGTTATACATCTCAGCTTCACTTTAATAATAATTTTTTTTTGCAGGAGGAGAGGATGTGGAACAAAAGCAACACATTAAATGTACATGTTGATTTTAAAACACATTTATATTTCAGATATATTTTAAAAATATATGTGTGTTAAAATCAGAAAAATCTCTCTTACCCCGAAAGAGAAAACAAACCAATAAACAATAACAACAAAAATACAATCCTATTCCTCATAATACTTTTTCTGACATTCTCTAAGTATGAAACAAAGCTACTTGGTAACTGCCTCATAACTATTCATCTCTTAGCATTGCATCTTACCATATTGGTAAGTAAACTGTCTCGGAGGAACCTGCAATCCCAGATACGGGTGGCAAACCCACAGTCCCAACGTTGGACTGCTCTAATTGTTTTGAGTGAGGAATTTGAACACACATGTCTCTCTGCTTTTGGATTTTGAAGGCTGTTGGCCCAAGGCTGAGAGCATGCTTGAGGCTCTGTCTAATAAGCCTGGTGTCTTCAGCTAACGACTCTTTCTTTCTTGTTCTGAGTAGAACACAAGCCTTATAGGCAGCTAAGCAGTGATTTTTTTAAAAAAAATCACTCTGATTAGCAACATTCCTGTGAGTAGATTTGTGTCTTTTTCATATTTCACATTCTGAATGTTTTATGAAAATGGTTTCTTTTCCCAGTGACCTAATGCTGTGGTTTAAATAATAGGATGAGAAGGTAGGAACCCTGATATTTCTCCCTTTAGGGACAACACATTATCTT
Source organism: Homo sapiens (assembly GCF_000001405.40). Lineage (NCBI taxonomy): Eukaryota > Metazoa > Chordata > Mammalia > Primates > Hominidae > Homo > Homo sapiens. The sequence goes on from NC_000016.10 coordinate 5,883,920, forward strand.
GTTGATTGGAAGAAATGAGGATAGATGGGTAAAAGCCATTGAGGTAAGCACCTGAATGCTGAGATCCCATTGACTTGGATGTGATTTCTGGTTCTCTTGTGACTTAGTGTACCACTTCTCAACATTTCAACTTCTCATCTGAAAGATGGGGATAATCACTGTAGCTGCCTAATATTATCAAGGTGAGGATTAAATGAGAGAGGCTATTAATTACAGCATGGGTCACAGTGCCTGGCAAATAGCAAGTTGTCAGTAAATGATACCTCAATTTTACATTTAAGCAGCATCTCAGATGATAACTCCCCCATAGAGAACCTTCCCTTCATGCCTCCCCAGCAGAGTGTTGTCCAGTGATACAGTTGAGAGCTTTTATTGTAACTCTGGAGTGGATAAGGTGGGTGATTAAAAAATGATAGTGTGCTTTTGAGTCTGGCTTCCCAGACTAATTTCAGCTCTGTAGGGCTTTGCCTGGTGCCTATGGTAGAGACAGCTCTGAGTCCACCAAAATCCATCTGTTCCACCGCCCCGCCCCCCGCTCCCCACCACCCCCCTACCCCCGCCCCCGGCTAGGGTACACAGCTGGACTACATTTCCCAGCCTCCCTTGTAGTTGATAAGACCATGTGACTGAGTTCTGCCCAATGGAAGGTGGGTAGAAGTAATGTATGACTTTTTCCAACGTAGCCATAAGCCTTTCCCGTGGATTGCTCATCCCCATGTTCTCTCATTCCATGTTGGAGTCGAATAAATCAGATTCTGAGGCAAGTTTCTTAATGTACTTTTGCCACAGTTGCCTGATCTGTAAATTGGAGTTGTAACAGGTGGAGGAATGAGAAGCAGTTATCCTGATGGTGGGTAGATGGTGTAGTTGATGAGTGAGGTCCAGAAGGTGCTCTCAAGAGGCTCCATGAGGGGCTTTGGTGCTCTGGAGGCAAAGTGTGGCACGAGCTTGGAGTGTCTTTCTCCCATTTTGCCATAGTCTGGTGCACTCAGAATCTCTTTAGACTCTCCTGGAAAGAGCTGGTGGTGCTGTAGGGATACCTAATGTTGGCCCAGAGGTAGGGGAACCTAGAACCAATGCTTTTGGAGCCTGCATGTAAAATGACACTCTGTTTTGTAATGCATGGTCTCTGAGGCCAGATGGTCTTCGGGTCTCTTGTAGATGAGCATTCTCCAAATGGAGAAGCTCCCAGACCTCTTAACCTTTCCTTTCTCACTTCCAAGGTAAGGGTGGCAGCTATGGTTTACCACGCTGTTGCAGGTTTCCTGTCAGGTTTCTCAGCGCCTCCTCAGTGATCTGCCACCATAAAGAGATTTCATAAATCATTAAGGGAGGTGTCATATGAATCAACATAATACTGTGTTCTTACCCAGAATGTCACGTTAGACTCCTGGAGGCTTAAAAAAAAAAAAAAAAAACTCCAAATACGACTGCATTTTTCCCCTTAAATCATCCAATCTGCCATCTGAGGCCCCCAAAGGAAGCTGCTAGTAAAATAGCAACTTGCAAGGTTAAGAAAAGCATCACAAAACATGTTAGCTAAAATGTGAACTTTTGCAACCTGTGCTTAGGGAATGGAGTCAGAGGGTTCACAGAGGCCTTTTGCTGTTTTTCAGAATCTCCTTTCCTTCCTCAAAGTGATGGGTAAGAGTGTTTGGGACAGGGCTAATGGTCTCTGAAGACCCCTGGCTTGATTGGAGTTGTCTATTCTATGTTCTCTTTCAGAATTTCCGCTATGCTAATGTTGCCCAGGGAAACTTGTATGGACGCCAAAATAAAGAAATACGTTCTGCTTTCTCATCGAGTTTAGAGGCAGGAAGTGATTTTCTTACTTAGGCATTCATTGACAAACCTTCACTGGGCATCTGCATCAGACCAGGTGCCCTAAAGTATCTAGGTGCTGCTGCTCTGAACTGTTCCACCTACTAGCTGGGTTACTGATACAGGTTGGCTCTGTGACCCCACCCAAATCTCGTGTTGAATTGTAATCCTCGATGCTGGAGGAGGGTCCAGGTGGGAGGTGATTGGGTTATGTGGGTGGATTTCTCTGTTGCCACTCTCATGATAGTGAGTTGTCATGAGATCTGGTTGTTTAAACGTGGGTAACACCTCTCCCTTCACTCCCTCTTTCTCCCGCTCTGCCGTATCAAAATGTGCCTCCTCCCCTTTAGCCTTCTGCCATGGTCATAAGCTTCCTGAGGCCTCCCAGCCCTGCTTCCTCTACAGCTTGTGGAACTGCCAGTCAATTAAGCCTCTATTCTTCATAAATTCCCCAGTTTCAGGTATTGCCTTGTAGCAGAGCAAAAATTGACTAATACCGTTACCTTGGACAAGCAAACTAATGCCTCTGTATCCCTCTGTCCTTATCTGTAAAACAGAGATGATGGGTGGTTATGAGGATTAAATAAATTAATACATGTGAAGTGCTTAGCCCAGTACCCAGCAAAGTAAGGCTTTAAAAAATATTAGTTATTACCAATCTCAAGAGGAGTTCTGTAGAAATAGACAGAAATAACTTTGGCGTATGAATTCTTCTGAAATTGTGGAGACCATTTCTCCATGGATCATTCAGGTTCTCAATGGCTATTTTAATTAAAACAGCAATAACTAACATTTGGTCTTCTTATGTGAAAGAATACCATTGGCCCTGAGCTGGAGGATGACTCATTATTCAAATCGTCTCTTTGGCTGGGCGCGGTGGCTCACGCCTGTCATCTCAGCACTTTGGGAGGCCAAAGCAGGCAGATCATCTGAGGTCAGGAGTTTTGGACCAGCCTGGCCAATATGGGGAAACCCTGTCTCTACTTAAAATACAAAAATTAGCTCTGTGTAGTGGCAGATGCCTGTAATCCCAGCTACTTGGGAGGCTGAGGCAGGGGAATCACTTGAACCTGGGAGGTGGAGGTTGCAGTGAGCCGAGATTGTGCCACAGCATTCTAGCCTGGGCAACGGAGTGAGACTCTGTCTCAAACAAACAAATCATCTCTTCAATCATTCATTGTGTCCTATGACCAGTCATTCCCTTAGACCAGTTTCTCAGCCTCAGCACTATTGACATTCTGGGCCAGCCAATTGTTGTGGGGAGCTGTCCTGTGCATTGCAGAATGTTTACCATCATTCCCGGCCTCTACTCCCTAGATGTCGGTAGCATTTTCTCCCCAGGTTGTGACAACCAAAAATGTTTCCAGACATTGGCAAATGTCCCGTGGAGAAGGAGGTGAGGAGTAACTTGCTTTAGAGTCATAAATAATTGGAGTCCTAAGAAGACTTCAGAGATTAGTCCATTCAGGGATTCACTGTTTTCAGGAATCCCCCATGCATGGCAGCACAGTCAGCATTCGTGGTACCTGGCCCTGGACACCACAGCAGCCCCAGTGAATGTAACAACTAGAAATGATGCAACTTTTCTCCAGATGCCCCAAAGACCATAGTACTGCCTTCAATGGATTTCCTTCTACCTTGTATTTCTCTCTCCTGTGTTATTTGTTTGTTTGTTTTGTGAGATGTAGTCTCACTCTGTTGCCCAGGCTGGAGTGCAGTGGTGCAATCTCAGCTAAGTGCAACCTGCACCTGCAGGGTTCAAGCAATTCTCCTGCCTTAGCCTCCTGAGTAGCTGGGATTACAGGCACTCCCCAATGCGCCTGGATAATTTTTTTTTCTTTTAAGTAGAGATGAGGTTTCACCAAGTTGGCCAGGCTGGCCTTGAACTCCTGAACTCAAGTGATCCACCCGCCTCAGCCTCTGAAAGTGCTGGAATTACAGATGTGAGCCACCATACCTGGCCTCCTTTCTCCTGTTTTTTACAGAAGTGAAAATGTAGGGCCAGAGACAGGGATTGGTTCACCCGAGGAGTCAGACCACGCAACCGAATGGTTGTGCCAGAATTCTGAGCAGTCTTAGTTCTTTGTGCTCTTTTTAGGAGAGAGATTTTTTGCATACCTGCTGAGTTACAGCAAAATTTGAGGGATACCAGATAAAATGATGGCATGAAGATTTCCACTATTCTGAACAACAGGGCAAGGACCACACACACACATCAAAACTTCTACAAGACGAGCAAGGTCCTGCCAGACTGTGTTCCTGCAATACTGTCTTCCTATAAGACTGCATTCCTGCAAGACAGCCTTCCTGCAAGACTGCCCTCCTGCAAGATTGTGTTCCTGCTGGCCTCACCACCTTCCTCTCAGACCACTTTCCACTTGCTCATTCCCCAGCTTTGTGACTTTCTCAGCCACTGTGGTGTGCCAGGTTCCTCCTGCCCCAGCGCCTTTGCAGAGTTTGTTTCCTCTGCCGGGAATGGTCCCTAATTGGCTTTCCACTTGGCCAGGTCCTCTTCTTCCTGTGGGCCACCTTTTCTCCAGTTGCCTCCCCTCATTATCCATCCCAAAGTGAGCATCTTCCTTTATTCTACAAAGCTTTTTTTCTTAATGACTTATCACAATTTATGATCATTTTACTCATTATTATTATTGTTGCTTAAAAGTGTTTTATTCTATGATAGTTCCCTGAGAGTCTAAGTCACAGTGTCCTGCTGTGTTCCAGCCTCCAATACTGAAACCATAGTTGCCAAACACTTAAAAAAAATAGTTGTTGAGGCCGGGCGCAGTGGCTCACGCCTGTAATCCCAGCACTTTGGGAGACTGAGTTGGGCAGATAATCTGAGGTCAGGAGTTCAAGACCAGCCTGACCAACATGGGGAAACCTCGTCTCTACTAAAAATACAAAATCAGCAGGGTGTGGTGGCACATGCCTGTAATCCCAGCTACTCAACAAGGCTGAGGCAGGAGAATTGCTTGAATCCGGGAGGTGGAGGTTGCGGTGAGGTTGCGATCGTGCCACTGCACTCCAATCTGGGCGACAAGAGCGAAACTCAGTCTAAAAAAAAAAAAAAAAAAAAAAAAAAGTTGTTGAATTAAAAGAAACCTGAATGAAGGAATAAACAATAGCATGTACACAGCCCTATCTAGAAGCTGAGGATGGTGACTAGTTCAGCTTCATAAACCTTCCTAGATACTGGGAAGATCTCTTCATCCTCTGCTGTGGGCTGTGAGGTTCCCTTTGTTGGGAGTATTAAGCAAGATTGGTCAAGATTTGGCCAAATAATATATTGATCACCACACGCTCTTCAATAAAAATGTCACTACGTAGTCATTTACTTAAAATTTTATCTTATTTTTCTTCAACTTTTAAGTTGTGAGGTCCATGTGTAGGATGTGCAGGCTTGTAAATGTGTGCCATGGTGGTTTGCTGCACAGATCAACTCATCACCTAGGTAATAAGGCCAGCATCCATTAACTATTCCTCCTGATGCTCTCCCTCCCCACACTCTCCGGCAGTGTGTGCCATTCCTCCCCATGTGTTCTCATCATTCAGCTCCCCCTTATAAGTGAGAACACGTGGTGTTTGCTTTTCTTTTCTTGTGTTAGTTGGCTGAGGATAATGGCTTCCAGTTCCATGTCCCTGCAAAAGACATGCTCTCATTTTGTTTTATGGCTGCATAGTATTCCATGTGTCTGTGTGCCACATTTTCTTTATCCGTTCTATCATTGATGGGCATTTGGGTTGATTTCATGTCTTTACTATGTGAAATAGTGCTGCAATGAACATACATGTGTGTGTACCTTTATAATAGAATGATTGATATTCTTTTGGATGTATTTAGCACCCACTATGTGCCAGTCACACTTTTGGGCACTGAGGATGCAGGACAAGCAGACTCCACACATGTCCTCGTGCACTGAGGATAAATAACCAAAAGCCAACGTGGAGGAGCGCCTGTCCGTGGCAGCCCATGCTAGAGGGATCTCACCTAGTCCTGGGGTTGGGGAAGGCCTCTTTGAGGAACTAATGTTTTGATCAAGGCCTGAGAGAGATGTAGGTGTTGGCAAGACAAAAGCAGACGCAACAGCCTGTAGTCGAGTGGTTTTTAAAGACATGAATTCACCCCAGAATGGCTGGAAAGAGGAGAGACTGGATGCGGCCTGGAGCACAGGATCTGGCAGAGGACGAAGACTGGGCAAACAGCCTCTGTGATGATCACAATGCGTGTGAGATGTAGCTCCAGCTTCTCCTCTTCATCTTTTGACATGCAGCAAAGTGGACATGACACACGGGGTGTGTTGACTGGCAGTTCCGTGTGTTCCAGCTTCACCACGAACAGACTGCCAGATCTTGGGTAAACTGTACTCTTTGCTTGGTCATGGAGGGAGGATATGAGCTTGGGGATGAGACCTGGCTTCAGATCCCAGGTGTATGTGCTTAAGTACGATACTGTACCTCTTTAAGCCTCTTGTCCTCACCTATGATAATAATATCTAATTATAACAGGCATTAGTAATGCTCTCTCCTTAGCAGACACTGGGCAAGGTGCCTCTTTCATGTTGACTGACTTTACCCTCCCCACCACGTAGTGAAGCTAGCGATAATTTCACAGCTGAGTAAACGGAGGTGCTGGTAGTTAATGATTTTGCCATGAAGTCCCAGAACTAAGAAGTGAAGGCTGGGCGCAGTGGCTCATGCCTGTAATCCCACCACTTTGGGAGGCTGAGGCGGGCAGATCACGAGGTCAGGAGTTTGAGACCAGCCTGACCAACATGGTGAAATTTTGTCTCTACTGAAAATAGAAAAATTAGCTGGGCGTGGTGGCTTGTGCCTGTAATCTCAGCTACTCCAGAGGCTGAAGCAGGAGAATCGCTTGAACCCAGGAGGTGGAGATTGCAGTGAGCCGAGATCATACCACTGCACTCTAGCCTGGGTGACAGACAGAGAGTCTGTATTGAAAAAAAAAAAAAAAAAAAAAAAAGTGAAGGTGCTGGTCTTCAGCCCTACATCTGTCTTATACTGGAGCCTGGGCTTTAGATCCTACACCATATTGCCATTTAGGATGACTAAGAGGGTTAAATGGAATGATCCATTCACCCAACATTGTGTCTGGCTTGAATTCAGGAAATGGAATACGGTCAAACAGATGTGGGCTCTTGTCTTCATTTTCTCTCATTGGATACATGGCTCCTTCAGTTGCTTCATCCGCCTGGATCTGAATTTCTCAGTCTGTGAAATGGGGATGAACTGAGATTATAGCTCATCTGGTAGGAGCATTTGGTGAGAAGATGCGTGCAAATCCCTTAGCACAATTCCCAGGGCACAGGAAGACTTGATACTTGTCAACCGTAACTGTTAGTAGGCAGATAGTAGGCCCAGCACAGAAGTCAGTTCTGCCTCTCTACCCTCCTTAGGATTTTTTCTTTGCACAAAGGGCTTCAGAAAGTGTAAACCCCCTCCTCTCTCTCGTGCATGTGAGGGACAGAGGTGTCCCTGATGTGAGGCAGTGGTAGAAGCCAAGGGCACGGGAGGAGCTGTCGGATGGCTGGAGCCGTTTCAGTGCACCAGCTGATCGCAGCACACGTCCAGGTAGGGGGATGCCCTTGGTTTCAAGTTCTTTGTGTTCTTTCCCCAAAACAAGCGCCTTCTATGCCAAGCCATCTTTCCTGTGCAACACTTTAATTTACATCTTTTAATAACTTTGGTTGCCATGGAAGCATTGGAATTCAGTTTTAAAATAGACAAACTAATTGTTTCAGTCAGAGTATTTGCTGTCAAGGAAACAGCCCGTTTTCCCTCATCCCCGAGAGCCCGCTTAATTGGATGGATGAGGTGGCAAAAATGGCAGAGGGGTTCCTTCTAGTCTACAGCTGGGTGAGGGTGCACCAGGAAGCTCCGAGGGAATCTCTGGGTCCTGGCCATGTGCCTAGGAAGAGCAGAGACTGGACTCATGAAGGGATCCACCTGGGGAGAAAGGAACAGTGAGAAAGGGCTGTGGGGCCCAGAAAGTTCCTGGGGCAGAGCTGGGGTAGAGCACAGGGCTCGGACATCTGATAGCCAGTGTGGTCAGCTGTTTCTCTGACCTTGATGGAGGCTTGGAGACCCTCCATCCTGTTCTGAGGGATTCTAGGAACAAAAACAACAGCAGCACACGTTGCGCAGGACTAAAGCCGCTTCCTCAGTGAGATCAACAAGAAGACGATGTCTCTTGTGGGACAAACTCTCACTTACTGCCCTCTCTGTGCTGGGTATCGGGGAGAGGGTGAAGTCATTGTTCACTTACTGAATCATTTCACAAATATTATTTGCATTCCCGTTAGGCACATCAGTGAGCACAATAGTGTTCTGTCCTTACGGCACTTATATTCTAGCAGGATGGATTACACAGGATGTTGAAAGTTAATGCATGGAACGGTGCAGAGAAAAGAAAAAGCAGGACAGAGAGAGGGGCTGGCAGTGCTAGGTACACAGCAGCGTGAATGGCTGAGAAAGTGAGGTTTGAGAAGAGACTTGGCGGGGTTGAGGGGAGACCAAGCCTGATCTTGGTGATTGAGCATGCTTAGCAGTGATTTAAAGTTCTGCCTTTGCTGTCAGAGAAGATCTGGGTTGCAATTCCATTTTTCATTGCTTACTTCCTGGATGACCTCTGTCCATGACTGTATCTCTTTATATGCCTCAGTCTCCTCATCTCTAGACTAGGGGTAATGGTACTTTAAATGGGTTAAGTGAGTTACTGCTTATAAAGTGCTTGGCTTGTAGTAAGAGTGGTGATGATGAAGATGAGGAAGAGAAGGAGGTCATAAAGCAATGAGAGACGAGCTGTGAGAAGTAAGCAGAGAGGCAATAACCACTTTTTTTGTGAAACAGTGAATGGTGGAATGCATCGCGGAATCTTGTAGAAGCTCTGAGGAAGATCAAATTCACCCTGCTAAAGACGGCTTCCCAGACGGGATTCCTAAGTCAAGATATGCAGCACTCTCAAAGCCTGTCCAGGGGTAGTGGGGAGAAAATGGTGCTTTATTTTAGGAACAGCATGTGCAAAGGCCAAGTAGTAAGAGAGCATGGCCAAGTCAAGGCACTGTGCAGAGTGCGCTGGAGCTGAGCATGTGAGATTCAGCACCCCAGGTGCCATGAGAGGGGGTTGCAGATGTCAACAGGGGCTGTAGGCCTTGAATAAAGTTGAGCTTTACCCTAAAGCTGGCCTTCTCCCAATGTTCAACGAAGTCTTCCCAAGGGTAAAGAGGAGGAAACAAAAAATTTCTGGTGAGGAATAGGGTAATGGGGAACCTGAAGCTTTCAGTGACCCAACCCAGCTGGGAAGCCTCTTCAAAATCTCATGCGTCAGTATCAAATGTGTATGCAAGTTTGGCATTTTACCTCACATTATATCACATTTCCTTAACATTCTAAATTACTTACCGTGGAATTCAGCTGATGCTCCAGAAGTATGCTCCTCATCCTCACATAGCTTTGAATGCCCAACACATAATTTTGCACTCTGGTTTTAGCATAGTATTTTACAAGTAAATACGTGGCAGCCTTTGAAGGTGTTAAGATCACATGGTGAATGGGCACAAAAAATAGAAAGAATGAATAAGACCTAGTATTGCTAGCATAACAGGGAGACTATAGTCAAAAACAATATAGTTGTACGTTTCAAAATAACTAAAAGAGTCTAACTGGATTGTTTGTATCACAAAGGATAAATGCTTGAGGTAATGGAGACCCCATTTAACCTGATGTGATTGTTACGCATCGCATACCTGTGTCCATCTGTTTTATCTGGCTAGGCATGGTGGCTCACACCTGTAATCCCAGCCCTTTGGTAGGCTGAGGCGGGTGGATCACCTGAGGTCAGGGGTTCGAGACCAACCTGGCCAACGTGGCAAAACCCCGTCTCCACTAAAAATAAAAAATTAGCTGGGCGTGGTGGTGGTTGCTTGTAATCCCGGTTGCTATGGAGGCTGAGACATAAGAATTGCTTGAACCCAGGAAGCAGAGGTTGCAGTGAGCCAAGATTGCGCCACTGCACTCCAGCCTGGGTGACAGAGCAAGACTCCACCTCAAAAAAAAAAAAATCTCATGTAACCCATAAATATATGCACCTGCTATGTACCTACAAAAATTGAAGATTAAACATAAACAAGTAAAGTGTGCTTAGAACAATTAAAAAAAAGATCACCCACAGCCATGTCCGTCATTCTAAGGATAATTTAGTTGCAAAATGTGGAATTGAAGATGAGGAGGGGAGGGAATCAAGGCTGAAAGCTGGGTCACCACTAGGAGGAAGTAGCAGTCATCCACTGGGGAATGATGGTGGCCTGGCAAATGGTCATGGTGTGGGTGAGGGAGGAGGGGAGAGATATGCATGGGGATGATTTTTTAAACATGCCACCAAATTCGAACACAATTCTGGAGCTCTATTTTCCCCGGTGTTCCCTTTCACACCACTCTGTTTCTTTTAGTGTTTTACTTTACTTATTTTTTAAATTGAGGTGGACTCGTAGAATCAAACATAATTAAAACAATTCAAAACATTATAAAAACTTTTTTTTTGTATGAGATGGAGTGTTGCTGTGTTGCCCAGGCTGGAGTGCAGTGGCACAGTTTTGGCTCACTTTCACCTCCACCTCCTGGGTTCCAGTGATTCTCTTGCCTCAGCCTCCCAAGTAGCTGTCATGTACCACTACACCTGGCTAATTTTTTGTATTTTTAGTAGAGATAGGGTTTTGCCATGTTGGCCTGGCTGGTCTTGAACTCCTGACCTCAGATAACCCACCAGCCTTGGCCTCCCAAAGTGCTGGTATTACAGGAGTGAGCCACCATGCCCTGTTACTAAAAACATTTTAAAGGAGTAGACAATTAAGAACAGTCGTATATACATCAGAGCCCTGAGTTTCCTTCTGAGCTCCCTGGAAGCAAAGGAAAAATGAGAAATACATTGGACCATGTTATCTATATTGCACAGCAAGAAGAAGAAACAGGAAATTCATCTACAGGGCCAGGCGTGGTGGCTCACGCCTGTAATCCCAGCACTTTGGGAGGCCGAGGCAGGCGGATCACGAGGTCAGGAGATCGAGACCATCTTGGCTAACACGGTGAAACCCCGTCTCTACTAAAAATACAAAAATATTAGCTACGCATGGTGGCAGGTGCCTGTAGTCCCCTTCTACTCTGGAGGCTGAGGCAGGAGAATGGCATGAACCCGGGAGGCAGAGCTTGCAGTAGGCAGAGATCGTGCCACTGCACTCCAGCCTGGGCAACAGAGTGAGACTCCGTCTAAAAAAAAATAAAGAAGTTAATTTACAGAAGGGGGTATTACACAAGTACTGAACTCTGAGAGAGAGTGAATCACTTGAATCCACATTTAAGGGGTATTTTTATAATAGAAAAGCCATGTCTTCAACCATAAGATTGTCCATATCAACATTTCATGCCCTTGCCTGCTATAAATGCTGAGGTCATAGTGTTAAGTCTTAACTTAGTTGAGGCAGTTTCATGGGGGATGATAAAATAATGTGGTCCAGATGCCTGTCTTTCTAACTTAATACAAGCTTAGAACTTGTAGAAAATCCCAGGAAATGGATGACTCACATGCCCATTACATTATCTGTCTCAGATATTAGATTTCTAAGATGAGCTTCTGGAAGTAGGAGCTGGATCTTAGTCAACTCATGGCTGGACTCTCTAGTGAATGCCAACCTCTGTGTCACTGACTGAAGAAGAAAACGTACGTGATTGAAATACCAGTGCCAGAGGACTCTGCGTTTTCATTCGGAAATGATAACTTGGCAGCCTGATCTTTATTCTTACTGAGCTGGAGAAGGGTCTGATGTGGCCCAGGGCATAGGAAGGAGGTATCAGAATCACAAAAGCTGGTTTACATTTCTGCCACTAACGTGCAGTCTAACTGTGGGTAAGTCAATTTAACTCTTGCAGACTTAGTCTTCTCATTTATAACATAGGATCTAAGGGGCATCTCGCAGGGGTTTTGGGAGGATTAAATGACATGTCATGCGTCAGTCACCTATGACAGTGCCTAGAACAGAGACATTTAATACCTTATACTGTTGCTGTTATTTGTATTATAAACGGAAAGCGATGTAACTGTTTTGCTGGACCTTAAGGCCAATCACAAAATATTATCATGTTCCCAAGAGGCACATTTCTAAATCAAAAAGAATGGAAGAATGAAGTCTGTATTCCTGAGCTTTCCAGGAAAGAGGGATGTGAAGGGAGGAGGAAGTACGACAAACTTGGTGTAAAATGTTCTGTCTTACGTTGGGTACTTCAGATGCCGAGCCTGAGAGGGGATTTTCCTTAGGAGATTTATTGGGGAAGTGCCGTCAGGAGAAGGGGACTAAATTAGTATAAGGAAGGGAGAGGCTGGAATCTGATCCTGGATGGATCCCAGGAAAGGCTGTGGAGCATGAATGGTCCCCACAGCTGGTCTCATCTAGAGGCAGAGAGCCAAGCTGCTTGTATCTTGCTACAGTTTAGATGTTTGTCCTCCCAAACCTCATGCTGAAAGTTGATCCTAATGTTGGAGGTGGGGCCTCCTGGGAGGTGTTTTGATCGTGGGCAAGGGTCTTTCATGAATATATTAATCCCCTCCCTGTGGGGTGGGAGGATAGTGAGTTCTCACTCTGTAAGTCCCCTTGAGAACTGATTGCTAAAAAAACCTGGCACCTCCCTGCGCTCCCCCTGTTTTGCTTCCTCTCTTGCCATGGCTTCTCTGCACATGTGGGCTCTCCTTTGCGTTCCAACATGAGTGGAAGCAGCCTGAGACTCTCACCAGAAGCAGATGCTGGTGCCATGCTTCTTGTACAGCTTGCAGAACCATGAGACAAATAAAATGTTTTTCTTTATACATTACCCAGCCTCAGGTATTCCTTTATGTTATATCAACATAGAATGGACTAAGACATATCGTCATGTCATTAGCTGAGGTTTGCCTGCAGGGTTGGGGAGAATAGGCATAGCTCTTCAGGGGAGAGGGTTTCCATTTGGAGAAGAGGAGATATGAGCTGTATCAGCCAACACTTTAGTATGTGGCATCCAGTGTTCTTGCAAGTAACAGAGATCTGGTGAAGCATCAACAGCATCACTATAGTTCCTAAACATCATATATTCATTCCCATTTTCTTCTGCTTTTGAGCAGCTGCCAAAATCTCTCACCTTTGTCTCTCCAACATTCGTTTGAAAGCTACGTTACCCCCGCTATTTTTTTAAAATCATAAGGCTCTCCACCCCCCACTAAAAATGTATCCATCCGCTTTTTTTTTTTTTTTTTTTTTTTTTTTTTTGGGACGGAGTCTCGCTCTGTCGCCCAGGCCGGACTGCGGACTGCAGTGGCGCAATCTCGGCTCACTGCAAGCTCCGCTTCCCGGGTTCAAGCGATTCTCCCGCCTCAGCCTCCCCAGTAGCTGGGACTACAGGCGCCCGCCACCGCGCCCGGCTAATTTTTTCTATTTTTAGTAGAGACGGGGTTTCACCTTGTTAGCCAGGATGGTCTCGATCTCCTGACCTCATGATCCACCCGCCTCGGCCTCCCAAAGTGCTGGGATTACAGGCGTGAGCCACCGCGCCCGGCCCTCCATCCGCTTTTAAACAGAAAAGGCATTCCACTCTGCTTTCTTTTCTCTGCATCTTTATCCACCCTCCTTAAAGGGTCTTACATACTTAATCTTCAGTATTTCATATTCCTATCATCACTACCTCATGGGAAACATATGAGTAGGATCAATGTTATTCTCGAAAATTGGCTTTGAATCTGCAAGATCACATGGGAAAATATATAGTGATGACCCCCGGGGTTTGCTCCACTTAATATAAAAGAGAAACTCTGTGTTAGCAGGATGTGGTTCAGCACCTGGGAAACCAAGGCCCCTCAAGGTGGGCCTCTCTTAGCTGGGATAAGGTGAACAAACCTTTTCATCCTGCCTGCAAGCTTCTCCAGAGACTGTTCAGTTTGAAAGACCTGACTGGTGTCTCCCCAGCATTTTGTTTTTTAGTCTGATCATAGCCACATGTAAGAGCATCTCTCAAGACAGCCAATAAATCATACCTTCTATTGCAATTCATTTAACTTCTCTTTTTTTTTTTTTTTGAGCAGACTAGTTTCACTCTGAAATATTACATGTTTGAGCTTTGTAACTCCAAATAATTTTTCATAGTCCCCTGGAAAACCAAGAGTTTAGGTAATGACTTCTGGGTATGTATTGGTTTGCTCTCAGGCTGCTAATAAAGACATACCTGAAACTGGGTAATTTATAAGGAAAGAGGTTTAATTGACTCACGGTTCTTCTTGACTGGGTAGGCCTCAGGAATCTTTCAATCATGGTGGAAGGGGCAGCAAACCTGTCCTTCTTCACATGATGGCAGGAAGGAGAAGTGTCAAGCAAAAGCAGGAAAAATCCTTATAAAACCATCAGATCTTGTGAGAACTCACTCACTCTCATGAGAACAGCATGAGGGTAACTTCCCCCATGATTAAATTACCTCCTACCAGGTCCCTTCCATGACACGTGGGGTTTATGGGAACTAAATTCGAGTTGAGATTTGGGTGGGGACATGGCCAAACCATGTCAGGGTATCATAGAGCAAGATCTTAACTCTTCTACCTGAGAAGTAGGGAGGACATGACCCAGAAGATCTGGTGGGCCTCTTGCTTAGACATAAAACGTATCAGACCTCTGATTCATCCTGGCCTAGAGAATAATCCACTGTCCTGTGTGGCCTTTAAGGAGGAGTAATGATGATAATAATAAGCAACAGTAGCAGGGTTTTTTTTTTTTTGGTCATCTACATGTAAAATCATATTTAATCCTCTCTACAATGAGCATAGATTCTATTGTCAAGTCTGTTTTGCAGATGAATGAATCAAGGCCCAGAGAGGTTGTCCAAAATTACCCAGGTAGTGAGTGGCAAGTCCAGAATTTGATCTCAAGCCATTTGACTTCACGGGCAAGTTTAACCATTATGCTCTACTATTTTGTAGCTTCCCTCTCATTAATTCATATAAAAAAATAGCTACTGGTTGCACACAGTGGCTCATGCCTATAATCCCAGCACTTTGTGGGGCTGAGAAGGGAACATTGCTTGAGGCCAGGCATTTGAGATCAGCCTGGGCAACATAGTGAGTCTCCATCTCTATTAAAAAAAAAAAAAAAAGTAGCCGGGTGTGGTGTCATTTGCCTGTGGTCCCAGCTACGTGGGAGGTTGAGGTGAGAGGATCACTTGAGCCCAGGAGACTAAGACTGCAGTGAGCCTTGGTTTGCAGTGAGCCTCACTGCTTTTAGTTTCAGAGATACCTGCCTCCCCTCTCTTATTCCAGATCACAAGCCCTTCTCAGTAGTTGCACCACTGCACTCCAGCCCAGGAAACAGAGCGAGACCCTGTCTCAAAAAAAAAAAAAAAAAAAAAATAGGCTACTGACTATCCACTGTAGCAGGATGCAAGACACTCTTCAGGTGTTGATATATACTGATGAGAAATACAAACACAATCTTATCTTTAGTCTAAGGGGAAAGAGATCTCAAAGGATCATACAAACAGACACAAACATGATGAGATCTACAGAGGAGAGCCTGTCATGCAGAAGCTGTCCATTATAGGGGAAACTGACCTGGTCCATTGAGTCAGGGAAGGCTCTCTGAGGTGGTGACAAGCTGAGACTGAATGATGAACAGGGCACAGTTAAAAGGAAATTAATGAAGATTACCAAAGTAGCATTTGAAATCAAGCTGAATTCTCTGCTTGACTAGCTAGGAAGAGTGGGGCCACTCTGTGTGAATTCCACGGGTTTCACAGAGCAAACTGAAAGAGCTGGATATTGAGCAAAAAGAGGAAGTAGCCAAGCTGAGCAAGATTCTGATGTCGGGTACCTGATTGGGTCAAAACCCCTCCCTGGTGGGTGGTGCATTATCAAAGCTGGAGAGTCTGGTTTAAAACATGGCTGCTGGGGGCCATGGAAGATTCCAACCCGCCTGGTCCATCCACAGATTCACCTGAATGGGCATGCTGAAAGCTATGGCGACAGTTCCTTTGATGGCCCGGCATGGTGGCTTACACCTGCAATCGCAGCACTTTGGGAGACTGAGGCAGGTGGATCACGTGAGCCCAGGAGTTCGAGACTAGCCTGGGCAACATGGTGCAACCCTGTCTCTACAAAAATACAAAAATGAGTCAGGCATGGTGGTGCAGACCTGTCGTCCCAGCTACTGGGATGGGGAGGCTGAGATGGGAGGATTGCTTGAACCCAGGAACTGGAGGTTGCAGTGAGCCGAGATTGTGCCACTGCACTCCAGCCTTGGTGACAGAGCAAGACTCTGTCTCAAAAACCAAACAAAACAAAACCAGGAGTTTCTTCAACAACGTTGTCTATGCTTATATTGTACCTTTGTTTGGGCAGTTTATTGACTAATATCTAAGCTTTCTCATTACACTCCAAATGTCATGGGTGGGGCCAATGTGGGAGATCCTGTCTTGCTTTGTCATTGTGGCATACTGAATTTCTAACACAATGATAGGCAGGTGGTAGATGCTTAGCATATTACTCATTGATTCATGAATGCCTGTAAATGTGAATAAAAATAGTGGAGGAGAGAATAGCGTGTGTTTTCCTAGCAGAGAGAATTGTACATGCCAAAAGGAAGGGGGAAAAAAAGAAAGAGAAAATTCCCCAAACAACTGTGTTTCTGCAAGGAGATTTATTTCAGTAGACATGAGTAAAGAAATGAAGATTCTGTTTCCTTTTTTAGCCCTTTTGCCCCAGAGTAGAAATCCACCAGGAGACCTTTGTCTGGACCCGTTCATCGCAACCTTCCTGCTCCCGCCTCATGCAGCCAGTTCCTCATCCGTATTCTTCCCAGGCCATCCCTCTAGCCCAGCAATCTGTTTCTGTCCTTTGCAGGAGCTAATAGGACAAAAACAAATCGCAGCTCTCCAGCAAGTCATGCGGGGTTCTTGGGGACCTGGCGGCCAGCTTCGAGAAGGACATGAGAGGAGGGGATGGTGCCAGGAATGTCAAATTAGCCTCCTTCCTCTCCCTAGAAGAATTCACAACCACCGTCAAGACATCCAGGAAGCTGCAGGAGCTCCCTCCCGGCCCCAGAGCCCCTATTCCAAAAAACCAAGTCTACATAGTTCTGATTACCTGGGGAAATTAATAGAACAAATCTTTCCCTTGGGAGAGACTGACAGTGCAGTGGCTCTATCTCAGAGGTGGCATGTGAGAAGCAGAGAAGCACTGTCCTTTCAGTCTGCAATCACTGCCTTTGGTTGCAGAGATACCTGCCTCCTCTCCATTATTCCAGAGCACCAGCCCTTCTTCACTCTGTGCTGTGACTAGTGTCAGGAGAAACGGAGACGCGTGTTGATTAAGTCTGGCGTCTCAGCAGCAGCCCAGTCATGTTCGTCTCCCTGGACCCTCTCAGCTTACCATTCCCTAAGGGCTGTATGTGGGGGCTACTTCTTATATCCATCTCCTCATCCCCCGTTCACGCGGTCTTTGTTTTAGGCAGGTCCTAATCGTTCCTCTTTGAAACAATTTTATGCTCTGGTAATCTGATCCCCTTACTGTTGGGGTTACCTTTTATAATTCACCTTGCACCCTGTAGCTGGCGATGACTTCCCAGAGCTGAGCAATGATGTCTTATGATGTAAGGATGAAATATAACTCCTAGCTTAAGCTCAAGGTGCTCCACAGTCTCAGCTCATTTGTTCCGAAGGTTTGCCTATAATTTCCCTTCACACCTTTGCTAGCCAATATGGTAGCCACTCAATGCATGTGGCCGTTACACCTAAACTGAAATTGGTTAAAATTAGAAATTCAGCCCCTCAGCCATAACAGCCCCATTTCAAGCAGTCAGAGGCCTCATGGAGCTCAAGGCTGCCATATTGGAGAGTAAGGATATAGGAAATTTCCATCACTACAAAAATTAGTTGGACATCCACATCAGAGAGCAAGGTTATAGGACGTTTTCATCACTACAGAATTTTTTGGGGGCAGTGATGTTTCACACATTACCCAAATTGAGCTTTTCTGTATCTTTTCTTCATAGCCTCAGGATTTCCACCTAATGCTTTTGCTTATCATTTCGTCTCTGCTGAAAATTCCTTCCCTCAATCTGCCTATGCCCAAGCATTCTTGATCTTCAGACTCCTTTTGGAAGCCTTCTTTGGTTCTCCACCTAGAAGCGACTTATCCTACGTCTAAACTCTCATAGCCCCTAGTCCTCCTGATACTACCTGTAACTTCCCATTATTACTCAGTTATTCATGTCATAGTACTTATAACGTGGATGGGGTTCAATGCATGTTTCTTGAATGAATTAATCATATTCCCTCTTTTGAACTGTAAGCTCTAAATACTGTCAATTACCCATTATTGTTCACCTGCCATGAGTCAGAAAATATTCCAGAAAATTTATTTATCGCCCTCTCTCACCCTTACAACAGACCCATTAAGTACGAATTAATGTTCCCATTTTATAGATGAGTAAACTGAGGCTTAGAGAAATTCTGCACCCTAGCCTAAGAGCCACAGTTGACAAATAATAGAGCTAGAATTTGAACCCAAATTTGGGTGAGTCTCATCCTCTGTTTTCCCACAGAGAAATGCTCTGCTGCCTTTCTTTGAAGAGATGTTCCTTAATTTAATTAATTAATTTATTTTTATTTTTATTTTTGAGATGGAGTCTTGCTCTGACACCCAGACTGGAGCGTAGTGATGCCATCTTGGCTTACTCTGCAGCCACCGCCTCCCAGGTTCGAGTGATTCTCCCGCGCCAGCCACCCGAGTAGCTGGGATTGCAGGTGCCTGCCACCATGGCCAGCTGATGTTTTTATTTTTAGTAGAGACAGGATTTCACTATGTTAGCCAGGCTGGTCTCAAACTCCTGGCCTCAAGTGATCTGCATACCTCGGCCTCCCAAAGTCCTGGGATTACAAGCATGAGCCACCGTGCCCGGCCTTATTTAATCATAGAGGACAAGAAGCCTTCATCAATCTCTTATTCTATCCACCCTCCTTTTTTTGATTCCAAGCGCCTTGTCTGGCCTGTAGTTGCCACTCTTTAAACACTGAACTAAAAGTGTATCATTCACAAAGAGACCCCCAGGATCTGCTGCTCACCTCCAAGCTCTGCCCACATGGACACTTTGACGCGTATCGAAGTGACCATGTGCTAACCTTGCCCTTGTCTCTACTACAGTTCTTATCTCAGGTAAGTGTTTCTAAACTCCCCCACCCTCAACAAACGTGTGCACCCCTTTCCAGCCTCCCATGGTTAGGCTCCTAGCCTTTTCTTGGACTTGCCTGAGCCGACTTACTGTTTGTATTAGATGGGTGTGTGTGGGTGTGTGTGTGTGGGTGTGGGTGTGTGTATGTGAGTGTGTATGTATGCATGTCTGTATGGGAAATATGTTCTGCACTGGAAAATGTAAACCCATGCAGTGTTTCAGAAGACAGTCTCCTAAACTAACACCTGCCATAATATTCTCCACTCTACCTTGTTGCTCTGACATATTTCACCACTGCTTCGTCATCCTCCCTCTTGCCCTCCCTGCTGTGCATGCTCCAGTATCAACCTGTCCTCTGAGAAGTCATGCGTGACTATGCCTATTCTTCCTGACACTTCCTATTACTCAGTAGCAACATGACACAAAGCGGCTGGGCAGATCCCTGTTTGCAAAAGGGGGCATTTATGGGGTACAGTTGCTGTGTGCTCCTCTTTCTCATCTGGTCCATAAAACAACTTAAGCTCATTTGGACAGAAGGAAGAGGATGATAAGTGGATAGAAAGGAGACAGGCAGGGGCCAGCCAGACAAAAACACTGTCTCTTGCAGCCGTGGGAGTGGTTTGCCCCCATTAGACCTATGAGAACTCAGAGGCTGAAAAAAAGTCTATGTGTTTGGGGGCACCTCTAATAGTAAAATTTATGCTTGGCCTTAGATATGTGACCCCATTTCACCACTTTGTCTCTCCTCCTCCCACCCCACAAACACTACCTATGAGAGCTAGGCTGACTTAGATGTTTCTGTGTGCCCCAGGAAGGATGCATCCCCCTGAATTGACCAGTTTTCATTGCGAGGGACCATAGGAAAGCAGATGCGGGGGCCTTGGTTGGTGCAAGCCCTGCATGTGCTCACCAGAGCTGGCTTCCTCTGTCTTTGCTGAGGGAAGCTGGTGGAGGCACGTTTTCCTCTAAGCTGGGTATATGTCACCTTCGGGCAAAATATGAGCTAATAGAATGGAGATGAATGTAATTGGCAGAAGGTCAGCGAGGCAGCCATGTGCGTCTGGAGCTTCCCGAAAAGGCCAGCATGTTCCCTGCTCCCCTGTGTCATGATTAGTATGCAGGTAAGGCGAATGGGCCTCCGCAGAGTAATTGGATCATTCGGAGATCGGCAATGCCTGGTGTATGCACAAAGCCTCAACAGTGATTAGATCCTGCCCGCTCATCTCGGCAAGCCTTGAAATTCTTCCCACTGTGAAAAACTAATTTTCTGTGGGAATTTATTAAATAAGAAATCTGCATGCCACTTTACCTTGTAAGTCAGGCCAGCAGAATACAAAGCTTCCCCTCGACTTTGATGCCTGCTCCCAGCAGAGGCTGCTCCATCACTTGGGGACAGGTGTTTAGGAGCTCGTTTTGTCTCAGGGCATTATATATTTTTCACTCTGCCCTCAGGGCAGGAAATATGGGGAACCTCCTCGCTAAAAGCCTCTGAGAGAGAAAAATCAAGACAAGCAGAATGTGGGGATGGTGGTGGGAGTGGGTAGGCGGAAGGCAGGCAGGTGCATTCAGACCATGGTGTGGTCTCTGTCCCTATCTTGGGCTAAGATGTGAAATGTTCCCCCTTGAAAAGACTTCTATGTTGAGGTCTTTGCCCTCAGTACCTCAGAATGTGACTGCTTTTGAAGACAGCATCTTGAAGAGATAATCAGATGGGCCGGGCACAGTGTCTCGCGCCTGTAATCCCAGCACTTTGGGAGGCTGAGGTGGGCAGATCACGAGGTCAGGAGATCAAGACCATCCTGGCTAACACAGTGAAACCCTGTCTCTACTAAAAATACAAAAAGTTAACCGGGCATGGTGGTGGGCGCCTGTAGTCCCAGCTACTCGGGAGGCTGAGGCAGGAGAATGGCGTGAACCCGGGAGGCGGAGCTTGCAGTGAGCCGAGATCGCACCAATGCACTCCAGCCTGGGCGACAGAGCAAGACTCCGTCTCAAAAAAAAAAAAAAAAAAGAGAGGTAATCAGATGAAAATAAGTTCACTGGGTGAGCCTTAATCCCATATGACTCCATATGACTGGTGCTTTTTTTTTTTTTTTTTTTTGAGACAGAGTTTTGCTCTTGTTGCCCAGGCTGGAGTGCAATGGTACAATCTTGGCTCACTGCAACCTCCACCTCCTAGATTCAAGTGATTCTCCTGCCTCAGCCTCACGAGTAGCTGGGATTATAGGTGGGTG
This sequence comes from Homo sapiens, assembly GCF_000001405.40. NCBI lineage: Eukaryota > Metazoa > Chordata > Mammalia > Primates > Hominidae > Homo > Homo sapiens. The sequence goes on from NC_000016.10 coordinate 5,905,218, forward strand.
CCACCACACCTAGCTAATTTTCGTATTATTAGTAGAGACGGCCCAGGCTGGTCTAGAACTCCGGACCTCAGGTAATCCACCCGCCTCGGCCTCCCAAAGTGCTAGGATTCCAGGCATGAGCTGCTGTGACGGACCTAACTGGTGTTTTTACAAGGAGAGATGATTAGGACACAGACACATATAGAGGGAAGCCCATGTGAAGACACACAGAAGGCCAGGCGCAGTGGCTCTTGCCTGTAATCCCAGCATTTTGGGAGGCTGAGGTGGACAGATTGCTTGAGCCCAGGAGTTTTTGACCAGCTTGGAAAACATGTTGAAACCGAATCTCTACAAAAAAATGCAAAAACTGGCTGGATGTGGTGGTACACATCTGCCGTCATGGCTGTTCAGGAGGCTGAGCCTAGGAGGTCAAGGCTGCAGTACGCTGTGAACATACCACTCCACTCCAGCCAGAGGGAGACCCTGTCCAACGCAACAACAAAAGACACAGGGAGAAGACAGCATCTAGAAGCCAAGGAGAGAGGACTCAGAAGTACCCAACCCTTCAGATTTCTTGATCTCAGGCTTCCATCCTCCTGAAGGGTGAGAAAACTGATCCACTCCCAAGCCCCAGCAAAGTGATACACTCCCCAAATGCCTCCTCCGGAAGCCTTCCTAATTTCCCTCTTTAGAATTCATCTCTTTTTCCCGACGATGGAGGATAAGAAGGTTTTCAGCTCTCTTGTAGTGGGAATTGGCTGCCCAAAGCCCTACCTTAGGATGTGGTTTTCAGGCTGAGTCCAGGCAGGGGAGGATGCTGTCTGCAGGTATTTGCTGCTTTGGCTGTGAGTGGGGGTAGTCGCTGCCCATGTGCCCTGCTTGTTATGTTCTTAGCTGGCAGCAAACACCTCAACTGGTATTTTTCTTGACACAAGCATTAGGGATTGAGTCATGCCTCCCCCAGACTGGTGAAGTCCTAGGCCTCAGTGCCTCAGACTGTGTCCTTATTTGGAAATAGGGTTCTTGTAGATACAATTAGTTAAGCTGAGGTCATCCGGGAGTAGGGTGGGCCCCAAATGAAGTATGACTGGTTTCTTTGTAAAAAGGGGAAATTTGGACACAAACACGCACGTGGGGATAATGCAGTAATGTGAAAATAAAAGCAGAGATCAAGGTAATGTTTCTGCAAAGAATTCCAAAGATTGCTAACAAACTACTGCATGCTAGGGTAGAGCTACGGAACAGATCCTGCTTCACAGTCCTCAGAAGGAACCAAACCTGCCAACGCCTTGATCTTGCACTTCCAGCCTCCAGAACTGAGATGATACATGTTTGTTGTTTAAGCTCCCTGTCTGCAGGACTTTATTATGGCAGCCCTCCAAACGAATACTTGCAGGAAGGCTCTTTTTCATGGGAGTGCTCCTGGACTGGGAGTCGGGACATGTGTACTCTAACTTAACAGAGGGTTGGCTGCTGAGTGTTGTCGCTGACCACACTCCCAGCAGCCGCTGAAGCCATGAATCCTAGATTCTTTTTTTTTTTTTTTTTTTTTTTTTGAGATGGAGTCTCGCACTGTCTTCCAGGCTGGAGTGCAGTGACGCTTTCTTGGCTCACTGCAACCTCCACCTCTCGGGGTCAAGCAATTCTCTTGCCTCAACCTCCTGAGTAACTAGGATTACAGGTGCCCACCACCATGCCTGGCTCATTTTTTTGTATTATTAGTAGAGACAGGGTTTCAACATGTTGGTCAGGCTGGTCTTGAACTCCTGACCTCAGGTGATCCACCTGCCTCGGCCTCCCAAAGTGCTGGGATTACAGGCATGAGCCACTGTGCCCGGCCCATCTGGGGGATTTTAAAACAGAAGCATGACTCCTCAGAGGCTTTAGGGAGGAGATGGGGGTTGGAGGGGTGTACGCATTTGGTGGATGATTTCTGTGACACCTTAAAATTTGGAAACTTTGCAGATTGTTGACCTGCTGTGGCTTCAGGGCAACGTGAACTAAGTCAGTGATTTATGTGAGAAATCATGCAGTTGGAAGAGCGTGAAATTTGGAATTGAGATAGTGGAGTTCTCATCCTGCCTCATCCTCTGTGCATGCCCCTGGACCAGGATCTTCTAGATTTCATGCCTCTTTCTCTCTAAGTGTCAAAGAAGGGATTAAACTAGACAAACACTTCTCCATCCAAAACCATTCTCCCAGAGTCATGCTGCTTTTTTTCAGAGCACGTTGCACCTTTGTGATTATATTAATATCATCATCTGTGTGACATTGTGATCCACATCTGTCTCCTTCAGAGGGCTTGGGCCTATGGAGAACAGGGGCTTGTCTTGCTTATGCTGTGTGATTTTACGTGCTTATATTTACTGAGTACCACACATATGTCCAATACATAAGTACTCATTTAAGTCTCGTAACAACCCCTGAGTAGGACTCTTGTTTTCCTGACGATGCATGTGGGGAAGTTCCACAAAGACATGCCTACTTGCTGGTATAATTAAGACGCGAACTCAAGGAGACTATTTATCATCATCATCATCATCATCATCATCATCATCATCATCATCATTTGAGATGGCATCTTTTCTCTATTGCCCAGGCTGGAGTGTAGTGGTATGATCTCAGCTCACTATAGCCTCTGCCTCCCAGGTTCAAGCAATTCTCCTGCCTCAGCCTCCCAGCTAGCTAGGATTACAGGCATGCACCACCATGCCCAGCTAATTTTTTTACTGTTAGTAGAGACTGGATTTCACTATGTTGGCCAGGCTGATCTCAAACTGCTGACCTCAAGTTCTCCACCCTCTTCGGCCTCTGCAAGTGCTGGGATTACAGGCATGAGCCATAGCACCTGGTAGATGTATGTATGTGTGTATGTATATATATATATATACACATATATACACATATATATATACACATATATACACATATATATATACACATATATACACATATATACACATATATATACACATATATACACATATATACACATATATACATATACACACATATATATACATATATACACACATATATATACATATACATACACACACATATATACACATATATATACATACATATATATACACATATATATATACACACATATATACACACACACATATATATATGTGTGTGTGTGTGTGTGTGTCTGTGTGTGTTTTTTGTAAGACAGAGTCTGACTCTGTTGTCCAGGCTGGAGTGCAGTAGTGCGATCTTGGCTCACTACATCCTCTGCCTCCCGGTTTCAGGTGATTCTTCTGCCTCAGCTTCCCAAGTAGCAGGGATTACAGGTGCCTGCCACCATGCCCGGCTATTTTTTGTATTTTTAGTAGAGAAGCGTTTTCACCATATTGGCCTGGCTGGTCTCGAACTCCTGACCTCAAGTGATCCACCCACCTTGGCCTCCCAAAGTGCAGAGATTTATTATTAATTACTATATGATCCTCCCTACTAGGGCCTAAAAGTGTGGCAGGGCATTGCAGACTCTTAGTTTCAATTCGATGCATATAAACTCGTGGGCCCCTGCTATAGACTGAATGTTTGTGTCCCACCATCCTAATTCATGTGTTGAAACTTAATTCCTGATGTGAGGATGTTCAGAGGTGGGGCCTTTGGGAGTGGAGGAACCCATGAGGGTGAAGCCTTCATGAGTGGGATTAGTGTCCTTATAGAAGAGGTCACAGAGAGCTCCTCTCTGTGTGAGGACACAGCAAGAAGCTGGCTGTCTGTCAACAGGGGAAGTGAGCCCTCACCAAACACCAAATCTGCTAGAGACTTGATCTTGGGCTTCCATCCTCCAGAACTGTGAGAAATAAATTTCTTTTGTGTATAAACCACTTAGTTCATGGTATTTTATTATATCGGCTCCAACAGACTAAGCCCCCCTTTTTTTTTTTTTTTTTTTTGAGACAGAGTCTTGCTGTGTCACCTAGGCTGGAGTGCAGTGGTGCGGTCTGGGCTCACTGCAAGCTCCGCCTCCCGGGTTCACGCCATTCTCCTGCTTCAGCCTCCCGAGTAGCTGGGACTACAGGCACCCACCACCACGCCTGGGTAATTTTTTGTATTTTTAGTAGAGACTGGGTTTCACTGTGTTAGCCAGGATGGTCTCGATCTCTGGACCTCATCATCCGCATGCCTTGGCCTCCCAAAGTGCTGGGATTACAGGCGTGAGCCACTGTGCCCGGCCCAAGCCCTTTCTAAAAAAAATAAAATAAAATAATAGAGAAGCCCAATATTTAATAGATAAAAGGAGAGATGGTCTGCTTCAGGAAGGGCCTCCCGTCAGTCAGTCCTCTTCAGCACCTCCACCATCAACTTTGACAGGTGCAGGAGGCACGGTTTATAGACCACAGCAACAGTTGATCCATGCAATCTCTCTTATCCTGAGTATAAGTGAAGCCACTGGAGAGCCTAACTCTGTAGCCTCCCTCCTGGGCATCTCTACCTGAGGTCTGTTTGCCTTCTCAGTTGCTGGAGGGCAGATGCTTTGAGTGGCTGATTCACCAAACTGGGGAACAAGCCCAGCCCTGGTAAGATGTCAGAGCACTGAAATTTTTAGCAACGTGGCTGGGCGTGGTGGCTCAGGCCTGTAATCTCAGCACTTTGGGAGACCGCGGCGGGCAGATCACTTGAGGTCAGGAGTTTCGAGACCAGCCTGACCAATATGGTGAAACCCCGTCTCCACTAAAAATACAAAAATTAGCCGGGTGTGGTGGCAGGCACCTGTAATCCCAGCTACTCAGGAGGCTAAGGCAGGAGAGTCACTTGAACCTGGGAGGCGGAGGTTGCAGTGAGCCAAGATTGTGCCACTATACTCCAGCCTTGGTGACAGAGCAAGACTTCAAAAACAAACAAAAACAAAAAACAAAAAAAAAAGAAAAATAAATCTTTGGCAACCTGTTTTTAATCCTCCACCAACCTGCTCAGAGGCAACTTGATCACATGGGGGTTTGTGAAGCCTTTTCTGTCCTGCAGCCTAGAATGGTCACCAAAGGTTCTCAGAATGAGAAGGGAACTAAAGTGGGTAGAGACCTCTATATAGCCTGGTCCTCAGGCCAGTCTCAGGGAGAAGTTTCACATAGCATCACACAGAGGGGCACGTTCTCCCGTTCCCTGCCTCCATAGCACCCCAAATTCAGTGCACCCTCTAGGAGGTACCAGAGCCTTCTTGACTGGAAGAATGTCCCTTCTTCAGCTCAGAATGCTTATGGGAGGTTCAATTCATCCATCCCTCTGCCTTCAGGCAGGATGAAACATGGTCAGGAAAGTCTTGACAATGGTTGGCTACTATAAGAATCTCTTCTTGTGTAGATGGGATAGGTAGAAAGATTTAGGAGCCCTTTTGGTTATTGGAGTGGAGGAAGGTGTGAGGGTTGAGCTGGGTGCAGGGCTAGCAGAGGCAGGGAAGGAGCTGTCCGGAGTGGCTTTTTGGTCCTAGGAGGTGAGGGTTTCTCAGCCTTTGCTATGTGTCTCTCCATCAATGCCCCACTTCTATTTTTATCAGTAGGATGCCCATCAACCGAACTTCAAGCTGTCAGAATCTGCATCTCTGCCTGAAAACTTTGTTTGTTTGTTTTTGCCCATCTGAGTTTCTCTGTGTGCAGTGCAGGCTGGAAGTGCTGGCAGATTCACAACCCCAGGAAAGCTCCCTGTTCCGTGACAGATGGAAGCTGGTGTACAAACACCCCACATCCCTCATCCTCTGGATGGGATAACTCTGACTCTCCTCCCTGTGTTCCCCAAAGGGATCAAGCTTCGTTTACCCAGAGTGGTAATTTGCCTAATAATGCAAATCATGCCCCCTTTCTCACCTCTCTTATCTGTAATCATACCCCAAATAAACTACTTGTGCTTGGATCTTTGACTTAGCATCTGCTTCTAGGGGAACAGAAACTAAGGTACTCTGTCATTGGACTGGCATTGATGGAGGGAGCCTGGGGTGCTTGGCAGACATAGGTCCTACCTGCAGACAAATCTTGCAGCCCATTTGGCTTGCTGGATCCACCCTGTTCTCTAGGGCCTCCCACTTGAGGTCCACTGTCTGTTTTTCACCCCCAGAAAAACGTCCATCATCTGTTTTGACTCCACACTTATTACTGATGGGAATTTTCACTGGATACTTGTGGAAGATCCGAAGCTCTGAAGTTCCTGTTCCCCTTATCTTGTGCCACAGCCGTATCTTCAGAGACCTCTTGCTGTTGAGATAAGCACAACTTCCCTGGGGGCACCATCCTAGCATTTCACGCTTCATCCCCACAGTATTGAGTACATGTTTATTTTCTTTACTAACAGAGAGCTCGGCTGTAAAAGAGCTGGTGTACGTTATGAGTCTTCAACGCCTTGTTCGTGCACCATGCACTAATCCCATTTCTAGCTTCTGACGGGGGGTGCGGAGGCATTGTTTTACTCTGTTTGGGCTGATGTAACAAAATACCATGAACAGGGCCACTTCTAAACAGCAGAGATTTATTTTTCACAGCTCTGGAGTCTGGGAAGTCCAGGATGAAGGCAGATTCCGTGTCTGGTGAGAGTCCACATTCTGGTTCACAGGTGGTGCCTTTGCACCATGTCTGCATATGGTGGGAGGGGAAGGGGAGCTCTCTAGGACTTCTTTTATAAGGCCACTCATCTCAACCATGAGGGCCCCACCCCCATGGCCTCATACCCTCCCTAAAGCCCGAACTCTGAATACCATCACCTTGGGGATTCGGATTTCAGTATATGAATTTTGAGGGGACACAAACATTCAGACCTTAGTAGGCACCTTCACGGGGAGAAATTTGGAGACAGGAAGACCAAAGGAGAACCTCTAAAATAATGATCCACTGATTCATCCATCCTCACCACTCCACCCAAGCGCCATCTAAAGTAGAGACTGGTGGAAAAACAAATAAGCATTTGGGGATTGGACAGACCTGAGCTTCACACCCATCTCTGCCATTTGCTAACGTTTGTGTCTTTGGCTAAGTGACTTAGCCTCTCTGAGCCTCAGTTTTTTCATCCATGTAGGGGGTTTGCTGAGGTTACCTCTTAGGCATTTATAGTGATCAAATGAGGCAAGACCTGTCAGTTTCTCAGAATGAAGCTCACCGTATCATTGACACATAATAAATGTTAGCCGTTGTTTTCCGTTTGTGTCCCATTGATGCCTGTACATTTAGCTGCGCCTGGGAGAAGCTGAGCAGCTTTGCACTAATCAGAGATTAGGAGTCTACCCTGAGAACAGTGTGGTTTGGGGACATGTCACGGCCACCTGGCATCTCCCAGCTCCTCTCACCTCACTCCAGTCCCACTACATCACACAATAAGGGAAGATGCATTGCACGTTGAAAGGCTTTTATGCCAAAGTCATTTTCCTACTCATGACCTCTTGTTTTTACACAAGAACTTGGTAGGCATCTGGCAAAACACCAGCCACAACCCAGATAAAAGTATAATTATTTCCTATTTGCTTGCTGGGGTTTTTAAATCAGTGCAGTAATTTAAGCATGACTCTTGGAGGCTTACAAAAAACATGTTATGATTAGTTTTATCTCCTTTGTTAAGAAAAAATAATTACAGTGAAATAATTAGAGGCGGCAGAGTTGACAGGAGATTAGGAGAGCTGGTTTGGCGATGAAAGTGAAGTTCTAATGAGGAAAAGTATAACGAAGGGATGGGTCCATGGGGAGAGTGCCAGGAGCTTGTCCAGTTCTGGCCTCCAGACCCAAGAACAGAGGGGAGGCAGGACAGCTGACCTGGTGGGGTGGCCAGCTTCCTAATGTACTTAAGTGACTCAGGATAAAAGTTCTCTTCTTAGGGTCAGAAGACCCAAGTCTAAGTTCAGACTCTAGCATTGCCAAGCGTGTGACCTTAGGCGAGTCCCTTGACATTTCCAAGCTGCATGTAGTAGCTATGTGTTGTGTTAGCCTCTCTTTCTTGGTCTAGAAATTCAGCTTGTGGGTGTATGATAAGGATAGCAGGTTGACCTGGCTTAATAGGTAGAAAGCCACACACGGGTGCATGACACCATCTTATTTATCCCACGGTTATTTATTGGGACTTATGTATCTCCCCACCCCTACCATGTATGGGTTGTTTCGACCCACGCAGGGGTTGATATGATTTGAATATTCATCCCCTCCAAATCTCATTCGGAAATGTGATTCCAATGTTGGAGATAGGGCCTAGTGAAAGGGGTTTGGGTGATGGGGGGCAGTTGCCTCATGAATGGCTTGGTACCTTCCCCACAGTAATGAGCTCAAGTCAGAGCTGGCTGTTTAAAAGAGCCTGGTATCTCTCTTGCTTCCTCTTCCTTGCCGTATGACACACCTGCACCCCTTTGCTTTCCGCTGTGATTGAAAACTCTCTGAGATCCTGCCTGGAAGCTGAGCAGATGCTGGAGCCATGCTTGTACAGCCTGAAGAACTGTGAGCCAAGTAAACCTCTTTTCTTTATACATTACCCAGTCTCAGGTATTCCTCTGTAGCAATGCAAAACAGGCTAACACAGGTGTATCACCAGATCCTTGCTCAAGAAGAATGATATTCCAAACATTCCAGCAACACATCCAAAATGCCAATAATTGTGCATTCTGGCCTTTGTTAAAGGTTTGAGAAAAGGTAAAGATAACAGCTAACATTGTCTTCGTACCTATCATGTACCAGACACCATGCTGAGCACTTTGGATATATGAATGACATCTTTCTTTACACCAACGCTAAGAGGTGGACAGGGTATATTCTGTCACTCCTCTCATTCCGTCATGAGGACATCAAGGGTCAGTGGTGGTAAGGAACTTCCTTAGAGCCATCCAACTTGCAGTTTGCAGGATCAAGATTCAAACCTAGGTGTGTTTGATTCAAGGACAGAGGCATTAACCCACAACTTTCATGAGATGTCTTGGGGACTTTCAAGCTGTGTTGTCTCATTTGGTGATGGCAGCCAGGAGGAAAGGACGTTTTGGCCCCAAAATAATCCAGGAAAAAGACGGAAAACTGTCTTCATTTTGAGTTAACAGTGCCTAGTAGATGTCTTCTCACATGTATTTATTTTCTGTTACATAACAAATTATCACAAAACTTGGCAACTTAAAATAAGAAATTTTTATTATCCCCAATTTTTGTTGGGTCAGAAATTAGGAAGTAGCTTGGCTGGGTTCCCCTGGTGCAGGATCTCTCATGAGTTTGCATTTATGCTGTCAGCCAGGGCTGCAGTCTCATCTGAATCCTGACTGAGGCTAGAGAATCCCCTTCCAAGTTCATTCATGTAACCTTTGGCAGATCCTGGATCTGCTTGTAAGCTCACTCATGTGGTTGTTGGCCAGCCTCAGTTCCCCATCATGTGGGACTCTCTGTAGACTGCTTGAGTGCCCTTACAACATGGCAGCTGGTGATGAGAGAGAGAGAGCAAAAGAAAAAAAAGGGAGAGAGGCCGGGCGAGGTGGCTCATGCCTGTAATCCCAGCACTTTGGGAGGCCCAGGCGGGCGGATCACGAGGTCAGGAGATTGAGACCATCCTGGCTAACATGGTGAAAGCCCACCTCTACTAAAAATACAAAAAAATAGCGGGCATGGTGGCAGGCGCCTGTAGTCCCAGCTACTCAGGAGGCTGAGGCAGGAGAATGGCATGAACCTGGGAGGCGGAGCTTGCAGTGAGCCGAGACTGTGCCACTGCACTCCAGCCTAGGCGACAGAGTGATACTCTGTCTCAAAAACAAAACAAAACAAAAACAAAAAAAAAGAGAGTCTATGACAAAGGGTTCACCAGTTGGAACCCACAGCCTTTTTATCACCTACTATTGTGATGTGCCATCACTTTTGCTCTATGGTGTTGAGTAGAAGTAAGTTGCTATGTTGAGTTTACACCCAAGGGGAGGGTGTTACACAGGGGTAGAACACCAGGAGGTGGAAACCACTGTGGATATTTTAGAGGCTGCTCATTCCACTACTTTTTATTGCCCACTCCCTTTGTCTCTTCTAGGTATCTAGATTGTAGATGGAGCATCTTGTTACATCCTCTGATGAGTGAACAGATCCTAAGAGGTCAAGATCATCACTAATTTGACTTCTGTCTTTGCTTTTCCATCTATTAATATTTTATTCCACATGATTTGAGTAGAGTCAAGATAATTCAACTGGCTATTGCATCCTTTCCATATTTTGAGACTCTAGAGAGGGCTGAAGCACTCCAGAGACTAAAATGCCACTCAACACTTGTACCTAAATGATGTTCATTCATCCATTCAATGAACACTTTAGTGCCTACTTATTCCTTGGGGCTAAGAAGAGAGAGTGAATGAGACGGCAGGGTTCCTTCAGAGAGGACCTACTTTTAGTAGGTAGTCAGAGAAGTTTATAGAAGACAGGCTGGGCGCCGTGGCTCATGCCTCTAATCCCAGCACTTTGGGAGGTCAAGGTGGGCAGATCACCTGAGGTCAGGAGTTTGAGACCAGCCTGGCCAATATGGTAAAACCCTGTCTCTACTAAAAATACAAAAATTAGCCTGGCATGGTGGCGCTTGCCTGTAATCTCAGCTACTCCGGAGGCTGAGGCGCGAAAATTGCTTGAACCCTTGAGGTGGAGGTTGCAGTGAGCCAAGATCATGCCACGGCACTCCAGCCTGGGTGACAGGGCGAGACTCAGTATAAAAAGAAAAAAAAAAGTTTATAGACTACAATATGACACATTACCATCATAAGCCTTAAAAAATGTCATATTAAAATTCATGATGATCACATTGGGAATAATGGGGCTTAGAGTTATTCAGTGCACTGCCCTATGAACTTCACACAGCTTTCTTGGTAGAAGCAGTCTTATTTCTCCAGCCTTCACAGCAGCTAGTAATGCCTGTCCCCTGGTAGCTATAAGATTGGATTGTGCAGATTCCTACAGACTGTGTTAAGGACTTTAAGCCGTATCTCAAGTGCAAATGTAAGACATTGGAGAGCCTGAAACAGGAGACCAAGCCTGAAAATTCGTTTGGTGTCTGAACTGTCTCCCTGACACTCTAGCAAAAAAACCCAGATGAAAGGATGATTTCTTCCCATCACCGTAACAGGTTGGAAAGCTTTATCCATAACAGCTCTAATTCTCGGATTATTCTTAATTCCCCCCTCCTTTGTTGGAGTTTGTCTTCTATTTGTTTTTGTCTTACTGTCTATCAGCTTGTATTAATTCTCGGTTTCACCTTCCTCCCTCTCTTATTTCTTTCTTTACCTCCTTTCCCAATCTCTTTGCTCATAAGAATCTCAGAGAAAAGTCTTAGGGAAAAGGCCTCTGCTTGACCATTGCTTCCATCTAAATTTGCCTATTCACCACTTGTTTTAAGCTTTTGTAGGGGCCTATGTGCCCAGCCCTTCCTCTCATTTTCCCTTTATAATTAGGAGGTGCTGGGTCCTCCACTGCTTCCCAGCTTTGGAACTAATTTCAGGGGAAGCAGGAGGAGGAGGACCTCCTAGAAGGGAGACATAATTCTCATTTTTCCTTGTGGTAAGCCCCACAGGTGGTTGTCAGGTGAGAAAGCTGCCGGGTCAGCACCACCCCCCACACTAAGCTGCTTATCTCTGACTCCACTGGGCTGCCGTTTTATTAGCTTTACTTCTCAAAGGCACAACCCCTGGATTGAGCTGGGAGAGAGTCGGAAACCACATCCTCTTAGCCAGGAGAGAGAAAGCTCTCCTGACGGGGGAAAGCAGGTTTCCCAATGCCTGGGTGACTCCTGCCTCAGGACTGAATTCAGCTGTGCGCAGGACGAGCTAGTGGGTGTCTCCCCTGCCTTTGATGCGGGTGTTATGACCTGCATCCCATGTGCCCCTGGGATGGGGATGAATTGAGTCAGAAGGGCTTCCACTGAGTCGCCCTTTCTCCCTTCACCGCACCCTGCAGGCGTGGCCCCACTTGAACCTGCTCTACAGTCTGGAATTTGTGGGTCTGTTTTCCTTCCTGTTCCTCTGCTTTAGACAACCGCTTCCTAAGCACCACAGGATGCCAGGCTGTTTTTCACTCCCAGCGCCCGTGCTTTGAATCCACACCCCAGAGGAGAGACTTGCTAAAGGGCTCCAGTGTTTTAAAACATGCCCATGGAAGCGTGATAATATTGATAATAACATAATGGAGAATACTCAGTAAGTCCATTAAGCGCCCACCACCGGACATGCTGCTAAGCACTTTATGTGCATCTTACGGTGAATCCTCCCAACAGCCTAAGAGATTTGGTGCTTTCAGAACTCATCTTCATTTTATAAAAACAGAGAGGTTGAGACGTTAAGTAATTTTCTCAAGATAATCTGTCGGATCGGGACCTCATAATGATTGCAGTCAAAGAAGACGGGAATTCCCAGGTTGTTCTGACACCACCTGTGGGAGCCACAGTGGGTGGGAAGGAAGGAGACTCAAACTCTGGACTGCACTGGGTGTGTCCATGTGAGTTCTGCCTCCTTTCTCCTGGGCCCTGGGAAATGTGTCAGCACGGAAATGGTTATGTCCCCAGTCCATGCCGCCATCCACCGTTTCTTCCCTGGATACCTGACATAACCTCTCCCTTGCTTCACCACGTGATCCCTCAAATGTATTTTTTAATGTAGTCTCAAAGTGTGACCAGAATGATCATTATAAAATTCATACCGGGTTGTGACTCTTCTCTGTTTGAAATGACTTCCCATTGCAGGGTCTAGCCCCTGGTCCCCGTCAGGTTCCTTCCTCCCCTTTCTCTTCCCGCTGCACTGACCTCTTAGCTCCTAGAATATGATCCTCTCTCTCCCACACGGGAGAAAGAATCTGTCACAAGTTATGCTCTCCCCACCTCTCAGATTTAGAGTGCAGCTTGATCCTCGCCTTCTAAGAAAGCCCTCCTTTCACAGGTCAAATTCCATGTCCCAAGCACTCAGTCAGCAACAGCCTGCAGTTCTCTTAACACAACTGCAGTTTTACGTTTATTTTTATTGTTATTATTTTGAGACAGAGTCTTGTTTTATTGCCCAGGTTGGAATGCAGTGGCACAATCTCAGGTCACTGCAACCTCTGCCTCCCAGGTTCAAGTGATTCTCCTGCCTCAGCCTCCCGAGTAGCTGGGACTACAGGCAGCTGCCACCATGCCTGGCTAATTTTTGTATTTTTAGTACAGACGGGGTTTCACCATGTTGGCCAGGCTGGTCTCGAACTTCTGACCTCAGGTGATCCACTCGCCTTCGCCTCCCAAAGTGCTGGGATTATAGGCGAGAGCAACCACGCCCAGCCAGTTTTACCTTTTTCCACCAACACCGGTGTGTGTGCAACTTGACATCCCAGAGCATGCACCTAGTTCCGTATCGTAAGTCACCAGCACCTGACAGATAGTAAGGGTTAATAGGCCTACTGACCAGCTTTAACAGAGCCCTCACTATCTATAACAAAATTAGTCCACAATTCTCTGGATGAATGATTAAAACCCCTCTAAAATTTGCAGGGTAGACAGTGAGCTGTAGGCATTCCTTATCTCCAGGAAAATGAACTCATTCAGTTAACCAAGATGTTACTCCAGAGTTACAAAGTACCCACTAGGACTGTGAATTTGCATAAGACTTCCTGGTTGTCCTGAGGTTGATCACAGTCAAGGGAGGAGCGACTAAGGTGCAGTGATAGTGAGACCTGCAACAAAGCAGGCTTGGCCAGAGTAAGAAGCAACACTTGACTTTTCCTGGGAAGTCAAGGAGGCTTCTCAGAAAAGTCGTCTTTAGGTCCAGCTCCAAGGAATGCTGGCTCTACAGGTGCTCAAGGAAGGAAGGTGTTCCACATGGGGTGAACAGTGGACACAAGGAGGCGCAGTGGAGCCTGGGGCTGTGACCATGGGATAATTTGCCTCTCAGGAAGGAATCATATATCCACGTCTTTCCCAGTGTCTGAGAGCTGAGGCAGTTTCAGCCTATCACCTGATAGCACATAGGTACCTGGAAAATTGGTTGTGGTGTTTATACTTCTTATCCTGATATGTAGAAAAAAAATGTACAAATTGCTGACACTTCAGTGAAGGTCAGGCTGACCATATATCCCTGGATGGTTCTAGTTAATGCCTATTTCTCTGAATTAGCCCTGTAACATGTTCCAGGTTAGACAGTAAATCATGGTGTCACCCTACTAAAAGCCCAAAGTGAAACGCAGAGCTGTTGTTTTAATTGCATTTTTAAATTTTTTTTATTTTGAGACGGAGTTTTGTTCTTGTTTCCTAGGCTGGAGTGCAATGGTGCAATCTCAGCTCACTGCAACTTCCTCCTCCTGGGTTCAAGCGATTCTCCTGCCTCAGCCTCCCGAGTAGCTGGGAGTACAGGCATGTGCTGCCAGGCCCGGCTAATTTTTTGTATTTTTAGTAGAGACGGGGTTTCCCCATGTTGGTCAGGTGGGTCCCAAACTCCCGACCCGAGGTGATCCGCATGCCTCGGCCTCCCAAAGTGCTGGGATTATGCAAATTTTATATAATATAAAGTTAACCATTTTAAAGCGTATAATTCCATGGTATTTAGTGCATTCACAAGGTTGTGCCACCACCACCTTGATCTCGTTTCAAAACATTTTCATTTCTCCAAAGGAAACCCCATACCCGTTAGGAGTGACTCTGCATTCCCCTTCTCCACAGCCCTGGAAGTTACTCATCTACTTTCTATAGATTCACTTTGCTGGGTATTTCCTATACATGGAGTCCTATAGCCTGTGACCCTTTCTCTCTGCCTTTTTTTTCACTGAGCATAATGTGTTCAAGGTTCATCCATATTGAAACATATATCAGTACTTCCATTTTTTTTAGACGGAGTCTCGCACTGTCGCCCAGGCTGGAGTGCAGTGGCGCGATCTCACTGCAAGCTCCGCCTCCGGGCTTCACGTCATTCTCCTGCCTCAGCCTCCCGAGTAGCGGGGACTACAGGCGCCCGCCACCACACCCAGCTAATTTTTTGCATTTTTTGGTAGAGACGGGATTTCACCGCGTTAGCCAGGATGGTCTCGATCTCCTGACCTTGTGATCCACCTGCCTTGGCCTCCCAAAGTGCTGGGTTTACAGGCCTGAGCCACCACACCCGGCCATATTAGTACTTCCTTTCTGTAGAAGGAAGTACTGTATTTCACTCAGTCTTATTCCTTTTTATTGTACATTACCCATATAATTGTATGTAGAGAGATCCTACTTTGTTTATTCACTCATCGGTGGCTATACATTTGGGCTGTTCCTACCTTTGGATTGTTTAGAGCTGCTCTTAGCGTTTGTGTACAAGGGTCTGTTTGGGGACCTGTTTTTATTTCTCGTGGGTGTATACCTAGGAGTGGAATTACTGGGTTATATGGCAATTCGTTAACTTATAGGGGAACTGATCACAGCTTTTTGAGTGTGTGCCATGGTAGCCTTGACCTGGCTCCCTAGTCTCAAGAGCACAGCCCAGGCAGCTCTGTACTGGGCAGAGGAGGAAGCACCCTTCCAGGGACGGCCAAAAGACCTTGTCCAAAAGTGGGGCAGCGGGGAGACCAGGAGCGTGCCCAGGTAGGATCCTCGTCCTTGAGATGCAGGGCCGTCCCTAGACAATGATGTCGGTGTGGGATCTGAACTGGAATTAAAACGTCCTTCAGGAGGACCTGGGTGGAAATTCTTCCTGCTCAGCATTATAATTTTTAAAAATCCTTCGAAAGGACAAAATAAGTACATTATCACAAGGATCTTAAAGGAAAAGCACAGACACTTCCTGCCCAATGGAGTTGTCTATTTGTACGTGCAGTGGTGGGATGTGAACATGTGCCGTGCAAGGCTACCTGAAGAATCTGTTCTCCTCTTCCCTGTGTGACGTTGAGCAGGAGACTCCATGGATAATGGGAATCATTGATTCTAATTCCTGCTCCGTCTCTGATGTGTTGGTGGGAATCTAACTTAGCCCTTCCAAATTGCAAGCAATTCTGTAAATATTACTGATCTCCTGTTAGGATATAGGTATCATGCTAGGCACCCCAGAGAATGCTAAGGCCATAGAAAGCAGTGGAATTTGGGAGAAAGCTAGAGAAACAAGAGTTCTGGTCCCATTCTAGCTCATAATGAGCTTTCTGTGTAGCTTCTCATGTGACCAGGATCTTTCCCTCTTTCGCCTCCCTTCTCCAGAGATTGTCTTTCTTTACTGGCTCAAGTGTTCACATCCTGTCCCCTTGGAGGGATAGCAATTTTTGTATAAATTACTTAAGATGCAAGGTGGAATCTGATGAAAGTTAGGAGCAAAGTACCTGGGATGTGTGGGGGGAGTAGGTTGTAAGGGAAGCATTCAGGCAGGAAAAGAATCTTATCTGACTTGACTGAGAAGGACCGATGAGGGCATCAAGATGAAATTGATTTTGAATGGAGCCAGTCACTGATATTGATAAGACTATTGATAATAGCAACTATTTCTGGAAAGGTAATGAAGGGGATGAGAAATAGGAAAAGGAAGTGTGTTAGGTGGTTCTTGCGTTGCCCTAAAGAAATACCTGAGGCTGGGTAATTTATAAAGAAAAGAGGTTTAATTGGCTAATGGTTCTGCAGGCTGTACAGGGAGCGTAGTGCCAGAATCTGCTGCTGGGGAGGCCTCAGGAAGCTTCCAATTATGGTGGAAGATAAAGGGAGAGCAGGTGCATGACATGGCGTGAGAGGGAGGGAGCAAGAGAGAGCAAGAGGGGGAGGAGCCAGGCTCTTTTAACAACCAGATAGGCCAGGTGTGGTGGCTTAGGCCTGTAATCCCAGCACTTTGGGAAGGCAAGGTGGGAGGATCGCTTGAGGCTAGGAGTTTGCGACTAGCATGAGCAACACAGCTGGACGCCATCTTCACAAAAAAAAAACAAAAAAGAAAAATTCGCCGGGCATGGTGATGTACTCTTGTGGTCTCAGCTACTTGGGAGGCTGAAGTAGGAGGATCACTTGAGTCCAGGAGGTCGAGGCTGCAGTGAGCTCTGATCGCACCACTGCATTCCAGCCTAGGCAACACAGCAAGACCCTGTCTCGACAAAGAAACAAACCCCCAAACCCTAGCTCTCTATGTGAACTCAGAGCGAGAACTCACTCATCACCAAGGGGATGGTGTTAATCCATTCATGAGGGATCCATCCCCATGATTCAACACCTGCCATCTCCAACACTGGGATCACATTTTGACTTGAGAGCTGAGATGTAAAGGGGACAAACATCTAAACCATATAGGGATGGACGGAAGGAAGGGAAGAAGAAAAAGGGACACAAGGAGATGTGGCAAGGAGGGTGTCTCAGCTATGGATAGCCCTTGTTCACCCCCTTGTCTTGCTGGAGCAAGGCTAACACACTGGAAGTTCCTGCCCAGCTCAGGGCAGAGGAGAGCCCAGGCACAGCATGTACTTCTGAATGGTCACCATCTCCCTGCTGGACCCAGAACCCAGGTGAAGTGTCCCCGTGGTGCACAGTCATCCGCCCACTCTGGCAGAAAGCTGCTGCTGGTTTAAACCATTTAACATCCCCACCATCAGTAACCACCCACCCTCATATAATTTATTTATCTATTCATTCTCCTTACCCAGATTTCCATAAACTCTTCCAACCCCTCAATGTATTCAGATGGAAATAAATGAGTTTAATTACTTAAAGTAAATTTGGAATTCAGGGGCTAACGCTCTCCATTCTGCATGTGAGCCCAGCCACAGAAGGAAGTGTAAAATATTCAAGCCTTTGAAAGATTGCAACCACTGGGCTTGGCAGACACCAGCACTTTGCCTTTTTTCCTGGATATGCTCCCACACTTGAGGGGGAAGTGATGGGCTCTTCCTTTCTTCCCAAGTTGAGCAGAGGATGTGGAGGACAGAGAAAGCCTCAGCCAGGTGTCTCAACCCCCATGCCTCTTCCCAGGGGACTCTCCACAAGGCCTTGGATGGTTTTCACATTAACCTCTTCCGCTGCTTGCTGGAGCAGCTGATAATTTTGCTGTGCACCAAATGATGCATATGAGAGATCAGAAAAATCTGTAACCAGAGAGGAAAAACGGCTGCTAATGTAGTGGTAATAGGGTAGTTTAGGCGAGACTTCCAGGGAAGAGATTTACAATTTAAATAAGAAAAATAATAAACTCTAAATTAACAAAAAGAGAGGAGAAGAAGAATGCTATGGCTGTGTGATTGGGGATGGGGATGGTGGGGACCTTGCAGGACCCTCAGAACAAGGCTGGAAGGGGCCTCACTGAGTCAGAGGGATGCCAAAGGTGGAGGTTGAATAATGAGGGCCTTCAGGATTAGCCCCAGCTCCAGCAAGGACAGGGGCACATGGGATTGGAGCAGCTCCCTGAAGGCTCACGGAGAGCAGAGGACAGATTGCGAATTCAGACCTAGATCATCTGTCTCCAGAGCCAGGCTTTTTTTTTTTTTTTTTTTTCTTTTTTTTGAGGTAGAGCCTTGCTGTGTGGCCCAGGCTCGAATGCAGTGGTGCGATCTTGGCTGACTGCAACCTCCACCTCCTGAGTTCATACATTTCTCCTGCCTTAACCTCCCAAATAGCTGGGATTACAGGCATGCGCCACCACACCTGCTAATTTTTGTGTTTTTAGTGGAGATGGGGTTTCACCATGTTGGCCAGACTGGTCTCAAACTCCTGACCTCAAGTGATGTGCCTACCTCAGCCTCCCAAAGTGCTGGGATTACAGGTGTGAGCCACCGTACCTAGCCTCCAGAGCCAGTTTTTAGGCATCATGACTTCCTGTCCTTTCCCTAATTCTTAGAGACCTTCCTGGCTTTCCTACTGACATGGTTTGTCTGTGTCTCCACACAAAATCTCATCTTGAATTGTAATTCCCATAATCTCCACGTGTCAAGGTCAGGACAATGTGGAGGTAATTGGCTCATGGGGGTAGTGTACCCCATGCTGTTCTCAGGATAGTGACTGAATCTCATGGTATCTGATGGTTTTATAAGCATCTGGTAGTTCCCCTCCTTGCACTCATCCCGTCCTGCTACCCCATGAAGAAGGTGCCTGCTTCTCCTTTGCCTTCTGCCATTATTGTAAGTTTCCTGAGGCCTCCCCAGCCATGTGGAACTGTGAGTCAATTAAACCTCTTTCCTTTATAAATTACCCAGTGTCAGGTATTTCTTCATAGCAGAGTAAGAATGGACTAATACACCTACTGCTATAATTTGGATGTTTAACCCCTCCAAACCTCATGTTAAAATTTGATTGCTAATGTTGGAGATGGGGCCTAATGAGAGGTGTTCGGGTCATGAGGGCTGATCCCTCATGAATAGATTAATGTCCTCCCTGGCAGGGGAATGCGATTGGTGGGTAAATGAATTCTCTATTCATTCCTTTGAGAGCTGGTTGTTAAAATGAGCCTGGCACCTTCTCCCTCTCTCTCTTGCCTTCTCTCTTGCCCTGTGATCTCTGTACTCACCAACTCCCCTTCATTTTCCACCATAAGTAGAAGTAGCCTGAAGCCCTCAGCAGAAACAGATGCTGGCACCATGCTTCTTGTGCAGCCTGCAGAACCATGAGCTAAATAAACTTCTTTTCATTCTAAATTACCCAGCCTATGTATTCTTTTATAGCAACACAAGTGGTCTAAGACACCTACCTTTCCAGGAATCATTCTGACCATGTGAGTCTTATCTTCATGATTTTTTGTTTCCATCTTCATGTCTCCAGATACTGTGTTCCTTCCCAAGGATGGACGTGATGCTGTGGGGCCCAGGGATTGGGGAGTAAAGTCTAACTGTATCCGCCTTTGCAGACTGGGAGCTCAGTAAAGACTAGAGCTTTTTCTAGGCAAAACCACAATACAGTGCCCTAAGTTGGTTCAGGGACCTTCCTATTCTTCCTTGGCTTTTTTAGTTAGAAATTGAGGGTCATCCTGTTATCTGATGCCTTTTAGCACAGACACCTACTGAAGCTGGTCATCCATACTTTCCCACCCTCCCTGTTTCCACACCAACCCTTGTCTCTCCTGATTATTGATCCTCAGATCCCGATGCCTCTGCAGACAAACTTCCCTTGACCTAAGTAAGGTCCCTGCACCTGAGCCCAGTCCCTACTGCCTGTATACAAATGCTTATAGCTGTACCATTCACAAGAGCCAAAAGATGGAAGCAAACCAAATGTCCATCAGCAAGTGAACAGACAAAATGCTGTCTACCCATACAGTGGGATATTATTCAGCCTTGAAAAGGAATGAAGTTCTCACCCAAGCTACAGTGTAGATGAACCTTGAAAATACCATACTTAGTAGAAAAAACTAGACCTGAAGAACACTTACTCCATGATTGCATTTATAAAAGTGTCCAGAACAGGAAAACCCATGGAAACAGAAAGTAGATTAATGGTTGAACATAAACTTGGACGTGATTCGTGGAACATGAACATGATTAGTGGTTGAACAGGAACATTACTGGAAGCAGGTAGTGGTGATGGTTGCATAACATTGTGAATGTACTAAATGCCACTGAATTGTTCACTATAAAATGATTAACATAGTGAATTTTATGTTATGTGTATTTTACCACAAATATACATATTATATATATATTATGTTATACTGAAATATAGAATTACCTAAAACTGTACATAATTGTATGTGTAAAACCAGGTTGTTTTTCTCAGTCTCTCAGGTCTCTTCCACCCTCTTTCCTGAAGAGGAGCTTTCTCTGCTCACACATCGGCATAAACCTCCAAATAACTACCTGGGCCCCTCTCAGCACTGCTACCTTGGGCAGTGTTTCACTACCACAAATCGAACTTCTAAACCTGATGGGCCAAGCTTATCTCTCCGTAGACTAAACATGCAGTGGCCTTCCTTACCTTTCCTATTGTCTATTGTCCTCTGTTTACTACAGGTGTGGTAGCAGTCAGACTACCCCTCGAGGGTTCCCTTGCTCACTTGGGTGATGTTCTGACTGTTAGCTGGGAGTTGGAGGAACAAAGGTAAGCCATTATGTAAATATCAGGCCATTCAAAGACATATTGTTATCTCTTCCAGTGAAAAGGGAAGGTAAAAGCTTGAGAATGATGCATTCCTTTTAAATCTGATACTATTTAAAATGAGATATGCGTATAATTACCCATATGACACTTTGGCAAAACCCAGGTCTATCTGAGTCTCCTGCCTGCATTCAGGAACGCTGTAGCTCTCACTGGAAATCCTATGTGTAAAATTGGTATATTGGAGAAGGGTTGGGGCTGGAACAGGGATACTGGCTGTTCTTAATCAGCTTCCTAGGGAGTCTTTGAAAATGTGGTGAAATTTGGAGTTGTTAGCTGACTGGGGGGTGCTTTTGGAATCTAGTGTAGGCAGGGCAGGAGTTAGGGATGCCAGAAGTCCTGCAGTGAGTGGTCCAGACCTCACAATCATTATCCCATGCCAATGTGACTGTAGCCCACTGACAGAAGGAGATTTGGATTCTACTACACCTCAGACTCGTAACTCGTTGTGTGACCTTGGAAAAATCACCTAAATCTCAATCTCTTCATTATTTATTTTTGCAATGCCTGGATCCGTGGTTTACAAATTGGATTCTTAGCTGAAGACTTGGGGTCTGCAAACATTTTTACCCATTGGGTGGATTCATGAGAATCGCTTTTCCTCTGAAGGGGGTCCCTACATTATTTAAGTTTGAGAAACATTAAGCTTGTTTTTAACAATAATAGAAAACAGTAGCTGAGTGATTCCTTTCCTCCTACATTCTCAGCAACCTGTTAAGTCGGGTATTTTTATTAGCTCCATTTTCTAGAGGAGGAACTGAAGTTTATACAGTTTGGGAAGGCAAGTAGGTGGTAGAGTTGGGATGTGAATGCGTGCATTCACTATAATCCACAGTCTTAGCCATCAAACCAGTGTCCCAAAATGTACTTTTCCACAAACCTCTTTATTTATTTCTGCAGTTTCAAATACCAGAATGATTTTTGACATATTTTTATACCCTAGCTCTGTGATTCATTTAATGTTTTAAATTGATTCCATTTTGACTGACATTTATTTTAATTGGAAACTATGATTATTTTTCTTAAAATCCAATGAAAGTAAAACAATGTTACTAAATTCTATGCAGATTCCTAAAAGGCTCCAAGTGTGTGACTTGCTCTGTCTTTGTTAAAAAGGAGATACAAAAATATTAGAAGTTAAATATATATGTGTGTGGCAAACAGACTTTTTGCTTGTTGAATTCCAAAATGTTGCAAGAAAATTGAATATGAAATTACTTTCTCACTCTAGGCACCAATGGCTTTTAACACTCTATGTACGAGTGATCTAAAGTCATTACCTTAGGTATTATCAAAAAGTCAAAAGGTAAGTGTTGGTAAGGGTGTGGAGAAAAGAGAACGCTTGTACACTGCTAGTGGGAATGTAAATTAGTACAGCTATGATGGAAAACAATATGGAGGTTCCCCCCAAAAGTAGAAGTAGAACTACCGTATGATCCAGCAATAGTGCTTCTGGGTATATATCCAAAGGGAATGAAATCTGTATATCGAAGAGATATCTGCAGTCTCATGTTCATTGCAGCACTATTCACAACAGTCAAAATGTGGAATCAGTGTAAGTGTCCTGCAACGGATGAATGGGTAAAAATAATGTGGTGTATATACATGATGGAATACTATTCAGCCTTGAAAAAGAAGGAATTTCTGTTATTTGTGACAAAATGGGTAAACCTGGAAGACCTTATGCTAAGTGAAATAAGCTAGGCACAGAAACACAAATATTACACGATCCCACTTGTAAATGGAATCTAAAAACATCAAAATCCTGGAAACAGAGAGTAGAATGGTGGTTACCAGAGGCTGGGGCAGGAGCTGGAGGTTGTTGGTGAGATAGAATAAAGTTTTGGTTAGACAAGAGGAATGTGTTTTAGTGATCTGTGGCAGGGCATGGTGACTATCATTAGTAATAAAGTGTATTTTGAAATAGCTGAATAAATGTATTTTATTTTTATTTATTTATTTTTTATTTTTTGAGACAGGGTATTGCTCTGTCACCCAGGCTGGAGAACAGTGGTGTGATCACAGCTCACTGTAGCCTTGATCTCCTGGGCCCAAGTGGTGTTCCTGCCTCAGCCTCCTGAGTAGCTGAGATTACCACACCTTGCTAGTGTTTTAATTGTTTGTAGAGACGGGGGTCTCACTGTGTTGCTCTGGCTGGTCTTAAAACTCCTGGCCTCAAATGATCCTCCAGCCCCTGCCTTCCCAAGTGTTGGGATTATAGGCAGGAGCCACCACACCCAGTCATGCATAGATTTTAAATGTTCTCGCCATGAAAAAAAAAAAAAAGTATGTGAGATGATGGATATGCTAATTAGCTTGATTTAATCATCCCACAATGTATGGATGTATCAAAACATCATGTTGTACCCCATAAACATATACAATTATTATTTGTCAATTTAAAATAAAATTGTTATGTTAGGTAACACTGGTGAAAGTCACTATATGTTCCTCCTGCCACCACATCCCTTCCTGCTGTCAGATTCTGGCCCTGTAACTTTACACCAGAGCCGATGCTGACCAGGTCCTAGGTGCTTTCACTCTCTGTGCTTCTGCCCAATAAAAAAAAAAAAAAAAAAAATTCCTGAAATGCGTTCTTGGCTGCCTCAATCCTGGTATTGTGGGCCACCATTTTGGTTCCACAGTTGTCTGACCAGTTCTTTCCCACCCTGGCTTTGGAAGGTTAGAAATCTTTTGTTTTTCCTACTTTTCAATTACAAAAGCCTGTTTGAACAGCCTCTGTGACAGCCCATGTTCAAATAAGCTTTTGTAATTGAAAACAGAGCTCGCAATGTGGCTGCAGGGATGCTCGCCTCAAAAGGAGGGGTTGCAGATCCAGCTGTGAGCTGGTCCCTAAGGCCACTTTCAAAGTGTTTAAAGCTTCTTTCCAATTTAAAAAAAAAAAAAAAAAAGGAAAGAAAATCCTATTTAAACACACAGTCCAGACCGACTGGCTTGGGTGATTGAAAATGAAAATTTTGACAGAGACATTGCTTTGGATCCAGGGGCAGTAGTCTTGGGAAGCGGACAGGGAAGGGGCATTACCTCCTGGTGGGCCTTCTCACCCCTCCCCCAGCACCTCTGTGCCACTTTCTAAGGGGTCTCTGAGGTTGAATGCACAGGTCTCAGCAAGTTCAAGTTCTTACTTAGGCTCACCTTCAAGTTCAGTCTTAAGCCTCTCTCTCTCTCTCTCTCTCTTTCTCTGCCCACCACCCCCAAGCATTATAAATGTAATGTCTGAGAATCATGGTTCTGGAAAGAGAATTGGGTTCAAATTCTAGCTATGTGACGTTGAGCAATCATCAAACTCCTCTGGGACTCAGTTTCCTCTCCTATAAGACAGCATGACATTAGAGTGTCTTTGAAGATTAAAGGACATAATCTATTTAAATTACCTCTTACTATACTGCAAGACAAAGGTTCCATGTTCCATATGTGTAGTTATTTTTACTATTAATGCTGGTAACAATATGGATCATAATATAATAATAAAGTGAAAGACTTCATAGTGTTTAAGAATGTAGACTTTGGTGTCAGATTGGTCTGAGTGATCATCCCTGAGCATCTGTTTTTTTTATGTTAAAATGGGAATAATGATAGATTTACACACATGCATACCTAGTCACTTGCTGTGTGCCACACGCTGGGATGGGATGTGAACAGAACTCACTAAGAGCTGGCAAGGGAGTAGGCTAGAAGGTAAGTAGGTACAAACAGAGTCTTCTGAGAGTCCAGAAAAGGAGAGAATTAATTCTTAATGAGGGTGGGGAGGGTGGGAAATTGTCAAGAACAGATGTGCTTTGAGTGGGGCACAATGTGGCTGGTCAGGAAAGGAGAAAGACGGATGCACTACGAAGCAGGTGTGAGTGAGTGAAGTGAGTGAAGAAAGAAGGCGGAATGGCTTGCATTTCAGTACAGCTGGAGAATGGGGGCTGGGAGGGGGTTTGCGTTTGTGAAAGTTGAATGGAAGGATGGGAGACAGGGTGCCTCCAGGGGCATCTGTGTTAATGTTGGGATTATAAGTGACAGAAACTCAACACCAAATAGCTTAAAAGAAAGAAGAATGGATGGATGGATGGATGGATGGATGGATGGATGGATGGATGCTTGGATGTATAGATGGGTAGGTGGGAGGGTGAGTAGGTGAGTGGGTGGGAGGGTGGGTGGTTGGTTGGATGGATGGATGGATGGGAGGTGGGAAGGTTGGTAGCTGGATGGATGGGAGGGTGGATGGATGGATGCATGGATGGATGCATGGTTGGGTAGGTGGGAGGGTGGATGGATGGATGGATGCATGGATGGAAGCATGGTTGGGTGGGTGGGAGGGTGTGTATGTGGGTGGGTGGGAGGGTGGATGGATGCATGGTTGGGTAGGTGGGAGGGTGGGTATGTGGGCGGGTGGGAGGGTGGATGTATGCCTGGATGGATGCATGGTTGGGTACATGGGAGGGTGGGTAGGTGGACGGGTGGCAGGGTGGATGGATGCATGGCTGGATGCATGGTTGGGTAGGTGGGAGGGTGGGTAGGTGGGCACATGGGTAAGTGGGAGGGTGGGTGGATGCATGGTTGGGTAGGTGGGAGGGTGAGTAGGTGGGCAGGTGGGAGGGTGGATGGATGCATGGATGGATGCATGGTTGGGTGGGTGGGAGGGCGGGTATGTTGGTGGGTGGGAGGGTGGATGGTTGCATGGATGGATGGATGGATTCACCGATGGATGCATGGATGGATGTATGGCTGGGTAGGTGGGAGGGTGGATGGATGCATGGATGGGTGCATGGTTGGGTAGGTGGGAGGATGGGTAGGTGGGTGGGTGGGAGGGTGGATGGATGGATGCATGGATGGATGCATGGATGGGTAGGTGGGAGGGTGGTTGAATGGATGGATAGATGAGAAGTAAACTTATTTGTCCAAGAGTAGTCTAACTTCAGGCTCAGTAGGACCAAAAAGCTTAGATGTTGTCATTAGTACCCACCTCTTGCTCTCTGCACGTAGGGCTATTCTTTTGTATTGGCTTCATTATTAGGCTCCACCTGGTTACCCCTTGAGCTCCAACCACATCAATCATCCTATTGCTCATGGCCTCAGTGAGAAAAAGAAAAAAGTGCCTTTCTGGTAGATTCCACCTGTGTTCCTATTGACCACCATGGGTCATTTAACTATTCTCATACTTAACACTGTGAGATCAAGGTGCGGGGAAAGGGGACTGAATTAACAAAATAACATCACTTGGCCATATCTGGAGGTGGAGATGGGTCCTTTGTCTGAACCACAGAGACTTAAAGTGGGAGAAAAGTTTGACAGGAGAGGAAGATCAGGCAGGTGTTAACAGAGAAGGAGAGTGGTTTCCAGGCTGAAAAAGCAACAGATGCCCACCGTAGCCCTGCATGCTCAACCACATTCTGACTTAATGTGTAGGCAGATAGGTAAGTCTTTGAGCAGCTGGGTCTGAAAAGACGTTACAGACCTGAGATCATATGGTCCTGGTGAGAGCTTCCAGGATCAAACAGGTCAGGCTGAAGGAGACTCAAGTTTTGTGGGTCCTGAATCTTACAGTTTGGAGCCCTTCTTTGTGTAGGCAGAATCCTGAAATGGCCCCTGAGATTCCCTACCCGTCTCATGCATATACCCTGAATATTGTTTGGAACTTGAATATGATGCATTTTACTGCTGTGATTAGATTGTTATGTGGCATAGGTCTTGCTCTGTCTCCCAGGCTGGAGTACAGTGGCACAGTCCTAACTCACTGCAGCCTTGACCTCCTGGGCTCGAGCATTCCACCCACTTCAGCCTCCCAAGTAGCTGGGACAACAAGCATGCACCATCACTCCTAGCTAATTTTTTTTTGTACACTTGGGCCTCTCCCTATGTTTCCCAGGCTGGTTTCGGACTCTTGGACTCAAGCAGTCCTCCCGCCTTGGCTTCCCAAAGTGTTGCGGATTGCAGGAATGAGCCACTGTGCCTGGCCTTGTATGGCATAGTTGGTCCTAAGAGAGGAAGAATGATTTGGCTGGGATTGACTTAATCACACCAGTCCATTAAAAGCCGAGAATTTTCTGCTGTTGGTCAAAAAAGAGGAAGTTAGAGATCAGTGAGAAGGTTTTGATGCACCGTAGCTGGTTTAAAGATGGAAGGGCCGTGCCCTAAGGAATACAGAAGGTCTGTGGGACTGAGGGCTGCCCTTGTCTGACAGCTGCCAGAAAACAGAGCCTCAGTCCTGAAACGTCAAGGAACTGCATTTTTCCAACAACGGGAATGAATATTGAGGCAGATTTTTCTCCAGCACCTCCAGATGAAAATTCAGCAAGGTCGACAGTTTGATGTCAGGCTTGTAGGACTCTAAGCAGACAGAGACCCCAGCCATGCCATGCTAGACATCTGCCCTTACAGAACTGTGAGCGAATGAGTGAGTGTTGTTTTGAGCTCCTAAGGTTGTCGTGATTTGTTCTGCAGCAATAGAAAACAAACACACTCTTTAAGTAAAAGGAACAAAATTATGATTATAACATTAGATATATAAAATTAGGTCAGTTTCATCAATGTCATGGAAAATCCACCACTGGGGTCAGGAGGCTCTGGTCTTGTTTACGTGCATTTCCCATCTCTCCCAATTCTCTATAAACGTGGGATGCTGAAGAATTCACATACTCATTTCCCACGTGACCTCGGGTGCTTGGTTCTCCCTGCTCTTTGGCCCCAGTGCCTCACACCCGCCACTCCCTGCTCCCATATGGTTGTGGCATTGCCAAGCCATTTGGTCCATTTCCCTTCCTGGCAAAGAAAAAAAAGGTAAAGCTCTCAAAATTATTAGGTAATGATATCACTTTAAAAAGCGACACAATATTTTAACAGCATGACGCCACTTAGCTGTGGTTTAATAAAATGTAGAAAGCCCAGAGCCGAGGAAGCTGCAGCAGCCTTAGGTGGGGGCAGACAAACAGCTCTGGAAACTCACATCAGGAAAATTACTTCTTCTTCAAATGGAAACTTTTCAATTGCTTTCAAATAGCTGGAGCTGATAGAAATAATTTCCTTAGCACGTTTGCATACGCTGCCTGTGTCTTCTCCGCATGGCGCCAGGAGCTTCATTAATAAAGATTGTTGCGAGGTTCCGATGTTGCCAGGCTCTTGTTATTTAGAAAAAGCACCAAACCAAGTCAAGGGGAGTCAATTGATTACTAAATGCAATTCCTGTTTGGTGTCCCTGAGGCAAACTGAGGGCAGTGGGGGAGTGTTCGTGTGTTCTTATGCACGCATGTACCAGGGATCCTGCCAGAGTGGCTCCGACATGTCAGCCTGATCCTTGGCCCGTTTTGAGGGATCTCTTTAGGATCACAGGGACCGTCAGGGTTGAATCTCCTTGTTTTCCTGATGTGAAAAACGGATGCTCCTGCAGGGAAAAGTGACTTAGGAACAATCACACAGAAAAACAGAAATTGCCATTTAGGGAGGCCAAGCTATTGTCTTGGGTCTAGCAGACCTTATTATGTTTTCATAATGGATAGGGAGTTAGGCTTTGATTGTTCTCTTTCTGGGCCTTTCTTTCCAAAGCCCTGAAATACTATGTAGAGTTTGGGGTAGAAGATTAATGAGCTCAGTGTTTTTAATAATGAAGTTTGGGAGGGCTGGTGGCCACAAGGTGTTTTTTTTTGTTTTTTTTTTAACTTATATTTTAGGCTTGTGGGTACGTGTGCAGGTTTGTTATATAGGTAAACTCGAGTGATGGGGGTTTGTTGTACAGATTATTTCATCACTCAGGTAGTAAGCCTAGTACCCAATAATTATTTTTTCTGTTCCTCTCCCTCCTCCCACCCTCCACCCTCAAGTAGGCGCCTGTGTCTGTTGTTCCCTTCTTTGTGTTCATGAGTTCTCATCATTTAGCTTATAAGTGAGAACATGTGACATTTGGGGTTTCTGCTCCTGCATTAGTTCACTAAGGATAATGGCCTCCAGCCCCATCCATGTTCCTGCCACAAGGTGGTTTTATGTGGACACGGCATGGCATCATCCTCAGGAGCTCAGTATAAGGAACATGCTGCTGTTTCGTTGGCCTTCCATTTTTCAAATCCTGTAGGGAGAAAGGCCCAGATTGGTGCAAACACAGCTTTAATGCCTCTCCAAAGCTCCCCAGCTTCCCTTTACTACAAAGAGGCACAGAGCCTTGGAAAGACAGTGGTACCCAGCTCATTGTGTTTATTATATCTATTGTGCTTATTTTATGGTTATTCTTTATGGCAGCTGGTGTGGATTTTGCATTTATGTAAAGCTTCCTTTCTAAATCTATTACTTTCTTTTAAAAACTGAGTCCACTTAAAGAAATACATAAAGTATGAGGTGAATTACAAGACATCAGAGTGAAGCCAAGATATCCTGGCCTAGTCCACGACTCACGTTGCAGATCAGGAGACTGAGGCCTGCAGTATGGACAGATCCCGCCAAGTGTTTTAAAAGAGAAGAGGATATTGAATGTTCCCAACACAAAGAAATGATAAATATTTGAGATGATGGATATGCTGATTACTCTGATGTGATTACTACACGTTATATTTATGGAAATATCAGGATGTGCCCCATAAATATGTATAATTATTACGTGTCATTTAATTAATTAATTAATGTGGGGGACTGACCCACAGACCAAGGCTGCACGATGGATGAATAACATACTCAGACACTGATATTCAGTGAAAGAGCAGGGCAGGGGACCGGGCCACTCACAGAAAGAGTTGTGGCAGCTGCACACAGACTGGCTGGCCCTGTGGGCATTTATTCAGCACAGATTTAATGACAAAGGCTTTGAGTCAACACACCTGTGGGTAATTAATCTGGTTGGCCTCCCCCAGAGAGATCAGTCCTGCATCTGCAGAATATCGAAGGGTCAATCTTTGGGCCACATGATTAAACAAGTGTCTACACCCTCAGCTTTTAAGAGAATTCAGCTGCCTTCAGCCAACTCTTTTACTGAAGCTTTGCAAACCTCCTGGCCTTCCAAGAAGGCTTGTGTCTATTTCCTATAACTTTATCTTTATAATTTTTCCCACTACCCTGACCAATCCCCTACAATCTAAAAAATGGAAAATTTGAGCTATAGTGAGGTTAACAGATCAGGAAGTATCTGCCATTGAAAAGATTGTTACTCATGTTCCCAAGAGTAGGGGGCAGGCCATGCCACATGGGGCCACATGGGGACACACGAGGATCCATCCTGCGTGTGGCAGAGGGTGGAAGGAGGACCATGGCCAGGAGCCTGTATTGTGGTTTCTGTGTAAGGATCAGGTAGGCAGCATAAGGAGATTTAGGAATGGCTGGTTTGAATAATGGCAGAGAGGTCTGGGGCATAGGAGCTGTTCCTAATTGGTACCTGGCCCTGGGGTGATTAGGGCCGGTGGACAGTGGCCTGGAGTGTGAGAGCAGGAAAGAAGAGGTAGTTGGGGGATCTGGGTTCTGGACTGGTTGGCTTGTATTTGAAATGCATACTTACACAGGACTTGTTTCTAGTCTCTAGGAATTAGCTGACCCTAGGAAGGGCGGTCCCTCCAGAGTCAGCAAGGTCTCAGATGTTAAAGCAACAGAATATAAGAAATAAATGACATGGATCAAAGACCAAGAGCCTGGTCTACTTAGCGGCAGGGCCAGGTTTCAAATTCAAGTCTCCACATCCAATGGCTAGTTTATCTCTTGTGCTGCCTACTTTGGGTGGTCATGGTTCTAAATGCCCCATTGGATATCCTGGTTGTTGGCTGAATTCACAGAGGTATAATGGCTACAGAAGTACAAGCAAAACTCTACCTCAACCAGCCTCCCCTGGAGGCCCTCAGGGCCTTCGTTCTGTAAACCTGCAAGCTCCACTGTATTCCATTTTGAAGCTTACTCCATTCCTTCAACTGATCTGAACCCATTTTTTTTTTATGTCAAGAGTGGAAATATATGGTAAAAATTATATGATGGTAGCATCTGGCATCATAAACCTTCCTAGGGAGGAATGGTGGTGGTGGTTGTTGTTTTGAGACAGAGTTTCACTCTGTCACCCAGGCTGGAGTGCCGTGGCGTGATCTTGGCTCACTGCAACTTCTGTCTCCCAGGTTCAAGCGATTCTCGTGCCTCAGCATCCTGAGTAGCTGGGATTACAGGCATGTGCCAACGTGCCTGGCTAATTTTTGTATTTTTAGTAGAGATGGGGTTTCACCACGTTCACCAGACTGGTCTCAAATGCCTGACCTCAAGTGATCCACCTACCTTAGCCTCCCACAGTGCTGGGATTACAAGTATGAGCCACTGCACCTGGCCATTAGGGAGGAATTTTGTTTGGAAAAATAGTAAGGCAGGACAGTGAGACTGGAAGGAGTCCTGTGTGAGCCAAGTTAATGAAAGAGAATGACCAAGTTCCTCTGCCCATGTCAAGGAGACTGATGTGTTTTGCTCTAGACCAGGGCAGAGAGAGAGGAAGGCACAGAAAGAGGTGGAGACACAGGTCAGATTGATGGTGGATGATGAACATTTTAAGAACAAGGATGTACCTTTCAACTTGTAATTGTGTGCTCATTCTCCACCCAACTTCCTACCTCACCTAAATCATTGTACTGTGTATAAATGGGGATTTTGTTGGAAATGGAGAAAAGAGCTGAGTTTCATACAAGGGTCAATTGTTTCTGCAGCAGAGACAGCACATGCCAAGACAAGAGCGGCAAAGCAGAGGTGATCCCCAGAAAGCCAGCCATCTGGGTATCAAAGATCTCACAGAGGGCTTTGGGACTGGGGGTGTTGACCAGGCTTACCTTCATCTCAAGGGACTGTAGAGCACTGCATACATCTGTTTTTCACTTACATATTTCTGCTCCTATATAATCAGTGTCAGTGTACCTTTTACTCAATATCTCTGAGCCTTAGTTTTCTCATCTGTCAAATGGGGATAAAATCTGGTTTGTCTGCATCATAGACCTATTGTAAGGGCTAAAGTCTAGTGTGGATAATTTATAAATAAGGCCAAAATGTTGCCTGGAAATGTGCTAATCCTGCTTTTTGCTGTGTCTTGGAATTGTGTTCTCTGGTCTCCATTGGACTATCTCTTTATGGAAAGAACACGAGAGATTGTGCAGCTTTTCCTATAGTGTGTGGATTTACAGGAGCAAAGGCATCACTTTGTGAACAAACTTGGCAAACACTGGAAAGAGAGAAGTGAGAAGACAGTATCCCTGTCCTCAGAGAACTGAAGACCTCTACCTGCCATTAAGCAAATGCCATGGTTTACATTCTAGAGTAGAGGCGTGAACCAAGTGTTGAGTTCTAGTGACACACGTTTATTTCTGTTTGGGAGAGTTAAAGAAAAGCCCCTGGAATAAGCAGGAATTTTTCAGCAGTGAATATATAAATATTTGCAGGCAACTATATGATATATAGTTACATATTTATATATAACTGTATGATATATAGTTGCTTATTTATATATAACTATATGATACAGTTTTATATATATAGCTACATATAGAACTTTATAATACAGTTTTATATATATAGCTACATATAGAACTTTATAATATATAGTTATATGGTTACATATTTATATGTAAGTAGTATAGTTATATATAGTTACATATCTCCATATAACTATAAATATGTACAGATACAAATATATGTATATAATGTATATATAAAATATATACCTATATAAATTATACAAATATATGTTCATAGTATACATACATATATATGGTTATATGTACATATATACATGCTTACATAGATATATATTGCAAAATGTGGTTTTCAGTTGACTTATTTCTTATCGATGTCAAATATATGTTACAACAGGAGTAACATCCATAAAGTTACTTTGCTTATTTGAATAGTTATTAATTTAAATCACATTTAATTTTTGGGTATCTGTTTTTAATCCATCAGGATAATTTCACATGAGTATTTATTTTTTGCTAACATTCTGGCCAAAAGCTGAAACACCTCTGTACCCTTTTCATTCTTTTCTTCTCCTTTTCTTTTCTTTGCTTCCGTACTTTACACAGAAAACCTGGAACCAAAAAATACTCCTTCTGGAATATTCTACCTATCTTGGTGTCTTCCTGGGAAGTATATAGCTTTCAGGTTTGTAGCCAGCTTTCTGGAAACAAATTAAACTACTAACTGTCCCATGACCTGAGCTAGACCAGTGTCTGGAGCCAGTTCTCCTCCAGAGTGTCTCACTGATCGTTGCTGATGGAATTTCAATTTTGGCCCTATTTCAGTGCACATTCTCAAGCTGAGTGACTTAGCAAGTTCGAATATTAAAATTACTAGGCTGCTGATGGTGATGGTCATGTTGCATAGCTACCATATTTAAAATAAACTCAGTCTCCGTGGCAAGTTGCAAAATGTCCCCAATTCTCCATACCTCCCTAAAACCAGGGAAACTCTACAACCTATTTCACTAAGGTGTGGGGTCTGCTTCCCACATCCTTGAATTTTTTAGCTCACCTTGTAACTTGATTTGGCTAATAGGATGCAACAGACCTGACTTTGCAATTTTACACCTGGGGTCATTTTTTCTTTGTCATTTGGATCCTGAGGAATAGCCTGGTTGCTTCTCATTGCTCCAGGTGACACCATCACAACCTCCATAAACAGTCATTTTGGTTACCTGCAGCTCACCACAAAGCAGGAGGAAGCCCAGCTGAAAACAGATGAACCACTCAGCTGAGCCTAGCCCAAATTGCTGATTCATTAGTATCATAAAGAAAATAAATGGTTATTGTTTTAAACCACTAAATTTTGGGATGGCTATTATGTTAAAAAAGGATGAGTTTATGTCCTTTGTAGGGACATGGATGAAGCTGGCAACCATCATTATCAGCAAACTATCGCAAGGACAAAAAGCAAACAGCTTATGTTCTCATTCATAGGTGGGAATTGAACAATGAGAACACTTGGACACAGGGCAGGGAACATCACACACCACTGCGTGTCGTGGGGTTGGGGGAGGCGGGAGGGATAGCATTAGGAGATATACCTCATGTAAATGATGAATTAATGGGTACAGCACACCAACATGGCATATGTAGACATGTAACAAACCTGCCCATTGTGCACATGTACCCTAGAACTTAAAGTATAATAAAAAGTTAATCATATTAGTATATGTAATTGTCTAATAAATCATCACAAACTTAGATTAAAACAACGGATAGTTATTATATGACAGTTTCTGAGGTTCAGGAATTTGGGAGCTGTTTAGAGAGGGCATTCTGCCCCAGGGTCTGTCATGAGTTTGCAGTCATCTGAAGGTCTGACTGGGACTGGGAGAGCTACTCCCAAGATGGCTCACACATGTGGCTTTTGGCAAAATTCCTGTTTCTTGTCATGGAGGACCTTCCACAGGACTGTCTGAGCATCCTCACAACATGGCTGCTGGCCGCCCTTCAGAGCCATGGATCCAAGAGAGAAGGTAAAGAAGAAATCACAGTGCCTTTTATGACACAATTTTGGAAGTCACCCACTGTCACTTTTTCCATATTCTATTTATTAGAGAGTCACTAAAGTCCAGCCTTGACTCAAGGGAGGTGGTGGCTCCATTTTTTAAAAAAAAAAGTGTCAGCAAATCTGTGGATGTATTCTAAAACCACCATACCAGCTGATAGAGCCTCACATAGATAATTGAAATGTTTAAGGAGATTTTTTCATAAAGCCACAGCCATACCCTGACCATATGGACATGGGGATCTATTGAGGCACAGTTGCAGGTTGACAGTGTGGTGGGATGAAAGTGAGTAGGCTTCACAGTCAAGCAGACTTGGGGTAGAATCTTGACTCTAGAGCCTACTAGCTGTGTGACCCTGGTCAGGTTATTTACCCTCTCTGAGCTTCAGATTTCTTATTTGTAAAATGGGGCAGATGCCATCTTCCTTACAGGATTATACAGTCATAGTGAGTGCTAGGTAAATTTAAATTTCTTTATTTTTCCATCTTCTGCCCTGAAGGCTCACCCCGTATTCCACACTGATAATGGTCCCCTGAGACCATGGGGAAAAGGAGGAAGCCTTAAGAAGTATTGGAATGATGGAGACACTAGAGTAACCATTGAGAAACCATCTCTAGTTGTGTGACCTTAGTTAGGCAAGTCACTTTCTACTTCTGAGTCGCATCTTCCACCTAAGTTAAATTCAGTATTTGAACTAGATGGTCCCTAAAGCCTCATTTAGCTTATTGAGCATCTCGTTTTTCCAGGCATGCCCTAAGAGCCCAATGTTCACGTTCTCATTTGATCCTCCTATTAGCCCTGTGTGGTGGCAAAAGGGAATCTAGGCACTGAGAATTGGAGGGACCTTTCCAAGGTCACCCACCTGGAAAACCATGGGGGAATGTCAGACTGAGCCCAGATCTATGGGGATATTAAGATCCTCACAGGGAGGTTTGTAGAATTTTAATGACAGCTTGCTTTGGGAAATTATAATTCTTTAAAAATTTCAATCAGGGCTCTCAGAACAGCACCAAAAGACTCCTTCAGGAAGCAATTAAAGGGCCTGCCCCATAGTGGGAGCACCCGTGGTAAATCACCATTTCAGCAGAGCAGTTTCTAGGCCAGGAATTAGAGGGGAAAATGAAATCATTCAAGTGGAGGGGAGGAGAAATAAATTCTTTGCTGAGGCCACAGCCGGCTAGTCTGGCACATATGGGACTTGGGCTGGCAGCTGTGCTGTGAGCATTTCCGCTTGGGATCTAGGTGGCTGGGTGGGGGTTCCAACCCTGCGTTTACATGTTGGGCTGTGTGTAAGAAGGAGCTGAGGTCTTGATTTTGGAGTCAGACTGCCTCGGTTTGAATCTCAATTCTGCCCCTTAATTGAATGACCTTCTGAGTCTGTTTCCTCATCTTTACAGTAGAAGGAATAACATACTTATCTACTGGTGGGTTGTTGTGAGAATTAAATGAGATGATGCATGCAAATCCTGGAACACATTGCCTGGGATACACCCATCCCCAGTAAAGTAGTTTAATAGCTTAAATTAACAAAAAGCGTTCAAATAAGACTTTCTTGGTGGTGTGGAGAAAGTCACTACAATAATGTAGTTTTAAAAAGTAAAGAAGGGCCCAGGAGTGATTGCTCATGTTTGTAATCCCAATGCTTTGGAAGGCTGAGGTAGGAGGATGGATTGAGGCCAGGAGTTCAAGACCAGCCTGGGCAACGTAGTGAGATCTTATCTCTACATTTTTTTTTTAAGTTAGCTGGGCATGGTAGAGCATGCCTGTCGTCCCAGCTACTTGAGGGGCTAAGGTGGGTGGATCACTTGAGCCCAGGAGTTTGACATTGCAGTGAGCTATGATAGCTCTTCTGCGCTCCAGCCTGGGTGACAAAGCAAGATCTTATCTCAAGGAAAAAAAAAAAGGTAAAAGAGGCTTGGAAAATATACTAATATTTACTGAGGGTCCCATGAGAGCAGAAATTGTGCTTACTTTGCACATAAGTATTTCCAGTAAAATACCTGGCACATAATATGTGCTCAATTAAAATGTGCCAAATAATTGGAGCACATGGAAGACCTACTGGGGCATCCCACTTAGTCATTTTAAATGAACTAGCCAGGAATTATCCCATTTTTTTTTCCATACAGAGGTTGAAACTGAAGTTTAGGAAGACTAAAACCTCTTCCCGTGAGCTCATAGCTTCTCACTGGGTCTCAAGTATGTCTTGCTCCGTGCGAAATAGACAAGAGAGCCAGCGTTAGTATGGATGACGCAGTACATCCCCTTTTCCGGCCTGAGTCTGCTTCAGAAAAATAAGGAAATGTACCTGGTATGAACTTTCTCCTCTATACTAGATAACAACGACCACCATTGTTATGGTATTTTTCTAAATCATATCTGACACTGAAACCTGAGTGGAGGAATAACAGAAATCAGTCATTAGTAAGGCTTCCTCCCCATGTCCGTTGGCTTATTCAATTATCCTAGACCAGCCTGTAACCACCCAGTGGGTTCTTCTTGCCTGATGCCCAGGTACAGCCAATTTATCTAGACAGGGGGAGTGCAATAGAGAAAGAAGTTTAATACATATAGACGCAGCTAAATGGGAGACTGGAGTTTTTTTTATTACTCAAAGCAGCCTCTCCATAGTTTGCAGGCTAGGGTTTTTGAAATATAGTTTGATTGGCAGGGGACTAGGAAATGGGTGCTGCTTATTGGTTAGGAAATGTAATCATAGGTGTGTGGACAACGGTCCTCATATGCTGAGTCTGCTTCTGGGTGAGAGCTACAGGACTAGTTGAGTCATGAGTCACGGGTCTGAGTGGAATCATTTGGTTGTCAGAAATGCAAAACTCTGAAAAGATATCTCATTCGACCAATCTTAGGTTCTACAATAGTAATGTTGTTACAGGTGCAATTGGGGAAGTTATTAATCTTGTGATCTCCAGAACAGTGGCTGGTTATCGTTTAATTATGCCTACCTCTTAGCAGGATTCAAGTCCCTTTCATGATCCTAAATTTGTGGGCTTTTATTACTTTTACAGAGGCAGTTTAGTTTTGATAAGGTCTATTATGTTTTAAAATACAAACTACCTTTCTCCCAAAGTTAGCTTGGCCTATACCCCCGAACAACCAAGGGTAGTTTGTAGGTTAAAGACAAGGTGGAGTTGGTTAGATCAGATCTCTCTCACTGATATAATTTTCTCACTGTTGTATTAAATACTTTTTGCAAAGGCACTTTCAAGCTGAGGGCCCAGGAAACTAAGATGAGGATGGGAGCTGATCCTTTGCATTGTGGTTGCCATCTTTATTGTTGATTCTTGGGATATGCAATGTCCCTGTCTGGTGCTGAGCCTACACTGTCTCGGGCTGGTAGGGCTTGACTGCTCCAGGTGGGCTGCCAAGCACCCCCCAAGGGGTCTGCACTGACCACAAGCTCAGTATGGGGGGCCATGACCCCACTGTTCTCAAGCCTTTGTTCCTATTCCCTCATCAGAGATTCTCCCACCCTGAGGGGAGCTGTCCCTGGACCTCAGCACCCAGACACACATCCCTAACACAGCAGATCAGCACCTCCATATGCCCAAGCCAGTGCTTCTAGGTGTAGCCCCTGGAGCACCTGCATTCACATCATCTGGGAATTGTTTAAAAGTGCAGTTTTCCCAGCCCATCACAGGCTTCTTAAGTGAACTTTCTTAGTATGTAGTCCAGGAATCCACAGTGGAATCTCCAGTTGATTCTGCACATTAGAATTTGAGAATCATGGGGCTAAACCGTTGATACCAAGCCTTGTAGGGTTTCCCTGGGTCCACATACCCAGGTGCTCGTTTAAGTGGAGAAACAGCAGGAAACATTTCTGGGTCAAAAGAAAGAAAAATATGAGGAATTCTCATTTAGACCACAGGGTTAACTGAAACTCAGGGCATCCTATGCCAGAAACAGGAGGGAAGAAGAGGTCAAGACACAGCACTGGGAGACCCTAAGTCCTTTATGTCACTAACTCTTTGGGTCAACTTGGCCAAGGTGCTTGTCTTCTCTGCATCTTGATTGATTTATCTGTGAAATGGAGCTAATGAGGTATCCCCAGAAATCTGAGAATTCGAAGGAGGTTGATCTGAAGAGGCTGAATGTATCAACAGTTTGCCAAGTAAACTACAAGTAGTGCCTGAACAAGGTCCAAAAGATTACCATTCACATTCACCCATTAATTTATCTATTCACCCACCTACCCACTCACCCATCCATCGACCCACCCATTTATCCACCTATTCATCCACTCATCCATTAATCTACCTGTTCACCCAGCCATTCATCTACTCATCCATCCATCCACTCCTCCTCTGTCTTTCCTTCTATTTTCCATCCATCCATCCATCCATCCACCCCCCCACCCATCCATCTTTCCATCCACCCATCCATCCATCCACTCACCCATCCACCATCCATTCATCCAGTTATCATCAATCCATCCATCCATCCATCATTCAGCCCACATACATAGAGCATCAATTCCATTCCAGACACATGGACACAGTAGTGAACAAGCCTTAGTTCATATCCTAATGTACAAGATGGCCATTGATCTAATGACCTCAACGATGTGTGAACAATGATAAGATTGAGTTCTGAAGGAAAGAACGAGATACATGGGCTACACTCCTTGCACTGTGTAAGTTCAATCTTGGTTGCTTATCTCTAGGAATGGATGAATGGTCACCAGGCGGCTTTTGAGGTTCTGAACGAGCTTAGAGGCTGCAGGACTTTGGGATGGAGAAGAGAGAGACATAGCTGTGTATACATAGCAGTTACATGAAGACGTGAGACTGCTCTTATCATAGAATAAACATCTGAGGACAGAGTAGCTTTTCTCAGGCAGGTATGGCCGTGGCCTTTAGCTGCACTTCTCAGTGGAGAAAGCAAGGCTTTGTATTAAGCTACATCTGGCTGCAAATCCCGAGTTGGTCCCTTCGGAGCTGTGTGAGTCATGCCTCAGTTTCGACAAATGTGAAGTCAGATGGAGGCAACGAGGAAATCTATACTGTCCCCGCCATTGTCACCTTTGGAAGTCCCTTAAGAGAAAGCTATTCTCGGCCAGGTGTGGTGGCTCACGCCTGTAATCCCAGCACTTTGAGAGGCCAAGGTGGGCAGATCACGAGGTCAAGAGATAGAGACCATCCTGGCCAACTTGGTGAAACCCTGTCTCTGCTAAAAAAAAAAAAAAAAAAATTAGCTGGGTGTGGTGTCACACACCTGTAGTCCCAGCTACTCAGGAGGCAGAAGGCTGAGGCAGGAGAATCACTTGAACCCAGGAGGCAGAGGTTGCAATGAGCTGAGTTTGCGCCACTGCACTCCAGCCTGGAGACAGAGCAAGACTCTGTCATAAAAAAAAAAAAAAAAAAAAAAAAGAGAGAGAGAGAGAGAGAAAGAGAGAGAAAACCATTCTCACCTCCCTTGCTGGGCTTCTTCTGGAGGGAGACTGGAGCTCTATGTAGGTTTAAGGGCTGTGAAATGGACTGCCGGGCACTCCCTGGTGCACATCCATCCAGGCTTAGATGGTTCTGGCAGGGACATTGAGCAAGTCATTACAGAATTACTCACAGGCTGACCACATGCCAGGAAGTGAACAACTCAGATAAAAAAGCTGCCTGGCCCTTCGTGGGTCTTACCTTTGGTTTTAGCTAGCAGACACGAGGACCCACACATGGTCTGATGTTGTGTCTGGAGTCATCATCGTTGAGGAACAAGGGGTGAGTTACAATAAAGGTAACTGGATTTGGGACAGCCATTATACTTTGAGGAATGGTATTCTGCTGCTGCTGGACATTGGCCATGATTGTGAATGTCTATGCTTCGCCCCAGATCTAGAGATGATAACATCTATTGAGCTCTAGGCATGTGCCAGGCTGTGGATTGAAAGCCTTGTCTGACTTGCTTATTTTAATAATTCTCACTGCCCTCTGAAACGGATATTGTTATGATGTCATCTTTACAGAAGAGAAACTGAGCCTCAGAGAGATTAATAACTCCTAGGTTCACAGAGCCAGGGCCAGAGCCAGGATCAAAACACAGATGTGGCTGGCTTTAGCACCCCTGCCCTTCTGCACAGCACAGCCCTTCCTCAGGTAGAATCTGCAAACCTCCACTGTCCATCACCACCCCTGACTTTGCCAGATATTGCTGGATGTAGGTGGCTACCCAGTGAGGCTCTAGAATTCATATCCTGCTCAGACCATCTGGGCATCCTTCCTCCCTAGTGTGTGAGAAGTCTACTCCATCCATCAGTATTTCAAAGCCCCTCCCACAGGGTGTCTGACACTGAGCCACTCCATGCCATGGGCGAGAGAGGGATTGGTGTGCTTCACATCCTCCTTTCAAGCCGCTCTGAGTCTAGTACCAGGGAATGGAACATCCACACCGGCGTCCACATTGGGTTTAAAAAGAGAAAAGAAGTCTGCTTTGTTTGCTAGTAAAGTGAGGGGGAGACAGGGTTTTAATTAGTGGACTGACTTACCCGCTATTCTTGTCTTTTTAAAAAAGATTTTGTTAATAGACCACCACTCCTGTCCTAACATGGCAGGATGTGATGGAAAGTGCACAGACGGCCCGAGGTGGGGGCCAGGCTCTGCCACATTAGATGCCTTCACGTCTCTAAGTGTCTCTAAGTCTCAGCTTTCTAATCTGTAAAAGGGACACAATCATAGGACCTCCCTCATAGGGTTATTTGAGGCTCAGACTAAATGGATGTGAGTGTGTCTTCAATGATTTACTTCTCCATTCCTTTTCTTTTCGTTTGCTCATGGATGTTTATCAAACACCAACCAAGTGCCGGATGCACTACTCTATCTTGCGACAGAGCCATGAACAGCTCAGCCAAGATCTCTGCTCTCATGGAATGGGAGTGCCTCATGGTGGGGTGCCTGGAGAGGACATGGAAGTTCTACGCCCTTCCCCGTATCTCACTCTATGCATATTTTTTTCCAACTGGGTGTTCCTGAGTTATATCCTTTACGATATACCGGTAATAGTAATTTCCTAAATTCTGTGAGCCGTGCTAGGCAACTATTGAACCAGAGAAGGGGGTTATGAGAATCTCTGATTTATAACCAGATGGTGAGAAGGGAAGTACAGGCTTGCTCTGAAGTGGGGCCAGTCTTGTGGGACTGGGCCCTCAACCTGTGGAATCTGATTCTAACTCCAGGTGGATCATGTCAGAATTGAACTGTAGGACACCCAGTTGGTGATGGCAGAGATTTGGAGCATTGCTTGGTGTGAAATAAAACCCAACACATATGAGTGTAGAGGTATGCTGCTTGAGTGGAGAAACAGAGTTTTCTCTGTTAGAAGAAAGGCCAGAGCAGTGGCTCACAGCCGTAATCCTAGCACTTAGGGAGGCAGAAGTAGGAGGATTGCTTGAGGCCAGGAGTTTGAGACCAGCTCTAGCAATATAGTGACACCCCATCTGTACAAAATAAAGTGAAAATAAAATCATCCCATGTGGTTGTGCATACTGTAGTCCCAGATACTCAGGAGGCTGAGGTAGGAGGATCATGTGAACTCAGGAGGTTGAGGTTGCAGCGAGCCGTGATTCTGCCACTGCTCTCCAGCCTGGGTGGCAGAGTGAGACTCTGTCTCTAAAACAAAACAAACCAGAAGAAAGGCTACTAAGGCTGGAGAGCACAGTGGGTAAGGAGGAGGTGGCCAAGCTGAGGTCAGAGGGGGAGGTCAGATCGCCATCGAATGGACACCTCTTTTTACAACCATGTGTTCTACATTGCAATGACAGATTTTTGTTCTGTTTTGTTTTCAGACAGGGTCTTGCTCTCGCTCAGACTGGAGTGCATTGGTATGATCATGGCTCACTACAGCCTCGAAATCTTGTGCTCAAGCCATTTTCCTGCCTCTGCCAGTTTTTAAAATTTTTAGAGACAGGGGTCTCTGTATGTTGCCTAGGCTGGTGTCAGACTCCTAGCCCCAAGCAATTCTCACATATCAGCCTCCCAAAGTGCTGGGATTACATGCATGATCCACCATGTCTTGACCCTTCGATTTTAGGTATTTTTATGGCATCCCTTACCATCTTCCTTCTCTATTGTAAATCTGCCCTTTTGAGAGAGTGGGGTTAGGGATTTCTGCACCCTTTTTACTATGTCCAGGAACATTCTTAAGGGGGTGTCTCCACCTAACAGTGCAAGGATACAGCTGCCCTTGGTATTCTTCATGGTGATAATGGAAACCTAAGTTGCTTTTTAAATTTGCTAAAAGTACCTGTTGTAATTACCGGGCCACCCGTAACGGGAGTTTATGTAATTATTAGTTTGAATGGCTCTGCTCATTATGGTACAGAATTTTAATTTGCAAATGCATCACCAGATTCTTGATTGAATTCCCTTTTGACCGTGGCGCTGAGGACATATGTTCATACATTTTCATGGCAGGAACTCTTCAGCAGAACCAACGCTGCTCAGGAGAGGCAGGTGCACAAGGGTGGTGGGCATGTGGGCATGGTGAGTCTATGTTTGCAAGAAAGGAAGTGCAGTTGAAACAGGACAGGGGTGACTCTTTCCCTAATGCTATATATAGTAGCCTCTGTTTGCTATAGAGGGGAGGAAGGAGACATCTCACATGTTAATTGCGCTGACCGAGCTGGGCAGGTGGGTGTTAGTTCTATGGAAGGCTTTGCTGCTGCTGATTTGTAATTGAGTTCAAGGAGAGGAGAGGACCAAAACATTTGTGGGAGACACATGGCCTTTGGCTCCTGGCCATCTTCTCCTCCGTGGCTGTGGTCCAGCAGTGGGGACATTGATTTCTCAGGCCCACCATAGATTGGGTTGAACAGCGTCTGCCCAAAATTCATGTCTACCTGGAACCTCAGAATGTGGCCATATTTGGAAATAAGGCCTTTGAAGATATAATTAGTTAAGATGAGGTCATGCTGGATTTTGGGGTTGGAGTGGCTAATTCATTGACTGGTCTCCTTAAAAGAAGAGGGAAGTTTGGAGACCTACAGGGAAGGCCGTGCGATGGCAGAGGCAGAGATTTTAATGACACAGCTGAAATTCAAGGAATGCTGCAGATTTCCAGCAGCAACAAGAAACCGGGAGGGACGCCTGATGTTCCCTCAGAGCCGCAGGATGGAACCAACCCTACCAGTGCTTTGATTTCAGACTTTCAGTCTCCAGAAGGGTGAGAGAATAATCTCCTGTTGTTTTAAGCTGCTTAGATTGTGTTACTTTCTTACGGCATCCCTGGGACACTAATACACACTAGTAGGTCCTATCACAAGGACAGGGGCACTGCCATTTTATTCACTCACCCAACACCTAGTGGGTACATTACACAACAACAGATGTTTCAATGATTTCGTATTATTTTACCTGTTTGGCATCTTCTCTCTTGCTGTCACAATCTCTTTCTCTCTATGTGTTTGTGTGTCTACGTGCGTCATATACACAACTATTATGGGGGGTGTACTCTTTGAAGGTAATTGGAGCCATCATGAATGACATGTCCTCCCCAACTACTAGAGTCTGTATCTACTAAGAGCAAGGGTATTCTCCCATATAACCAGCATACCATTAGCTGACCTAAGACATATAACAATGATACAAGGATATTATCTACTATACAGCCTGTGTCCAAATCCTCACAGCTGTCCCAGAAGTGTCCTTTCTAGCTATCTTTAAAAAAAGAATACAGGCTTTTGGAGGCTGAGGCAGGCCGATCACGAGGTCAGGAGATCGAGACCATCCTGTCTAACACAGTGAAACCCTGTCTGTACTAAAAATATAAAAAATTAGCCTGGCATGGTGGTGGGCGCCTGTAGTCCCAGCTACTCGGGAGGCTGAGGCAGGAGAATGACGTGAACCCGGGAGGCAGAGCTTGCAGTGAGTCGAGATCACGCCAGTGCACTCTAGCCTGGGTGGCAGTGCGAGAGTCCATCTCAAAAAAAAAAAAAAAAAAAAGAAAAGAATACAGGATCCAATTAAAGATAATACATTGCATTTGGTTACAATGTCTCGAGTCTTTTGTGTTGTAGCATGGGTCACCCACTCTTTTCTTGTTGGTCTTTTACAACAATTAACAGTTTTGAATGGTCAAGCCATTTGTTTTGTAGAACAGCAGTTCTCAAAATATGCTACCTCAACCAGCAGCAGCAGCATCAACTAGGAGCTTATTAATTCATCACCCCGAATATTCTTTGGCCTCATCCCAAGCCTATTGAATCAGAAACTCTGGAAGTGGGGCCCAGAAATCCATTCTAACAAGCCCTGCAGGGGATTCTGAGACAAGCTCAAGCT
Organism: Homo sapiens; assembly: GCF_000001405.40. Taxonomy (NCBI): domain Eukaryota; kingdom Metazoa; phylum Chordata; class Mammalia; order Primates; family Hominidae; genus Homo; species Homo sapiens. The sequence continues at coordinate 5,949,882 of NC_000016.10, forward strand.
AGAGAGCTTCGGTCATAGAGTGTCTGTCTCATAATCTGGGCCTCTCTGACTGGCCCCCCAGATGAGATTCAGTTAGATAATTTTTGACAAGAATGTTACATAGGTTGATGTGGCCATCATTCAGCACATCACACCAGTGGGCAGTGAGTGATACATTTAATTGCTCTAATCAATCAGTGATAGATTTAATCACTTATTTAAGGCAGTGTCCTCCAGTCTTCTGCAATGTAGAGACGTTTCCACCTGTAATTGGTAAGAATGACTACATCATTTGCAAAACCCAGTGAAAAATAAAAGTGTGAGGCCTCTTGTTAAAAAATGACACGGACTTTCAAGGCAGACAGCAGAACATTCACTAAGCATAAAGCTTTTCTGCCTGTGGGTGTCTGTGCACCTGCCTAGACTGAACACCCAGGAAGCCAGCCCTGCCATGGGCTGATATTGAGACGATGTGAAGATTTCATTTCCTATCAATCTTTCACCCAGTGGTTTTTAGCACCCACTTATGATACTTACTTGAGTTAATTGTCACATTGGCAGTTCCACATTGGTGGGTTTCAAACTCTTATGGTCATTCTTTCTATTTTCATTATCTGGTATTCTGATGTGAAAATGAGCCCTCTCCCTCCACTCCCCATTCTTGAGTATCACTACGGGCTCATAGATCCTTCTTAAGTTATTTAATGTGTTACAATCATTGCTATTCTTCTTTTTGATGCTCAAATTGTCCGAAGTCTAACCAGCGAGTGGAAACCTTTCGGTTATTATTTTGCACTTACCTGGCCAAGCTCTTCTTCCATCTATGTCTCTTCCCAGTCCAGCAAACATTTATCAGGCACCTACTGGGTACTCATTTCAGGGCTGGGAGCCAGGAGTAAGATGAGTAAGATGCTTTTTTTTCCCTTGAGGGTAGGATACCTGAGTTCAAGGGAAACTCAGTGTGGTGAATATCTGTTCTGCAGTGGTCCAAGTGCCAGGAGAGAGGGAGCTAGGGGGAGATGGCATTATGGGGGAGGGGCATCCAACCCAGGCCAGAGAGGATAAGAGACCTACCCAAAGTTGTACAGTGGTGGTGACACTGGGTGTTCAGCTCAGGACTTCTCACCTCAAGTGTAACTCACTTTTCATCACTGTCTCTCCAGGTGTAGACTAATTACCAGGTACCTCAGAATCACCTGTGCTGCTTATCAGAGGTGGCGATTTGGGGGCCTCACAGAGACCTATACAATCTGAATGAATAGAGAGAGATATCCTGAACTTTTTATTTAAAAAGAGTATATATTTGGCCGGGCACAGTGGCTCACGCCTGAAATCTCAGCACTTTGGGAGACCGAGGCAGGCAGATCACTTGAGATCAGGAGTTTGAGACCAGCCTGGAGAACATGATGAAACCCTGTCTTTACTAAAAATACAAAAATTACCCGGGTGTGGTGGTGTGTGCCTGTAGTCCCAGCTATTCAAGAGGCTAAGGCAGGAGAATTGCTTGAACCCGGGAGGCAGAGGTTGCACAGAGTCGAGATGGCACCACTGCATTCCAGCCTGGGCAACACAGCAAGACTCCATCTCAAAATATATGTGTGTGTGTGTATGTGTATGTGTATATATATGTGTGTGTATATATATAACTATGTATTACATTATGCATGTGTATATAAGCTGCTGGTTGATGGAGTGTATTTTTGTTGAGTTTGCTGGTTATATGCAGATGTTGGAGCGTAATGTTAAAAAGAGTACTCCAGAAACCCCCACACCACTTATCAGCAGAAACAGTCCCTGCACTGCTGAGTCTCCCCTATGACCGTCCCCTGACTCATCTTCACAGGTAGCCACTTCCTTGTATTTCCATCCTTCTCCCTTACTTACTGCACGTTTGAGTATCTTTAAAGGACACAAGGGATAGATTGTTAAAAGTTAAAAGTTAAAGTTGTTAAAAGCTTCTGGATTTTGCATTTTCCAAAAGTAGTGTGTGCGCGTGTGTGTGTGTATATATGTGTTTGTGTGTGTATATACATATATATACATACTCTCAAGGTGTAGACTAATTACCAGGTACGTCAGAATCACCTGTGCTGGTTATCAGAGGTGGAGATTTGGGGGCCTCGCATATATATATATGTGTGTGTGTATATATATATGCACACACACACATATATATAGACATACACATATATACACACACATCTATATAAATATATGTGTATATATGCATATATATATATACACACATATATGTATACACACACACATATATATATAGGTTTTGTTTTTTGGTTTTGTTTTTTTTTTTGAGATGAAGTCTCACTCTGTTTCCCTGGCTGGAGTGCAGCAGTGTGACCTCGGCTCACTGCAACCTCCACCTCCCGGGTTCAAGCGATTCTCCTGCCTCAGCCTCCTGAGTAGCTGGGATTACAGGCGTGCGCCACCACACCTGGTTAATCTTTGTATTTTTCGTAGAGATGGGGTTTCACCATGTTGACCAGTCTGGTCTCAAATTCCTGACCTCAAGCGATCTGTCCACCTTGGCCTCCTGAGTAGCTGGGATTATAGTCGTGTGCCACCATGCCCAGCTAATTTTTGGTATTTTTAATAGAGATGGGGTTTCACTATGTTGCCCAGGCTGGTCTCGAACCACTGACCTCAGGTGATCTGCCCACCTTGGCCTTCCAAAGTGCTAAGATTACAGGCATAAGTCACCATGCCCAGCCTATGTATATATTTTTGTTCTTATGTTATTTACCATTATATTCTTCATCTGTATCGATAGTGATGGGTGTAGCTGTAATTAGTGATTCTCCCGCTTCAGAATGCCGTGTGGTGTGACACAGAATTCTTCCACGGATGGGCATCTCTCTGGGGTTTCCCTGTTACAGAAATGATTTGTGTGGGTGTCTTGTGCACACCTGGGAGAGTTTCTCCAGGACAAGGCCTCCCATACTGACCTGATGACCAGAGTAACCCGAGACTTGGTAAAAATCCAGGGTTATCAGACCTCTGCCTCTGAAAATTATGTTTCATTAGGTTTGTGCTCAGGATCAAGAATCTTTTTATTTAATTTGCTTTGGTTTTGGTTTTTACAAGCACTTCAGATGTTAATATTATCACTAGGAAACTTTTGGAAATACAATGGCAGCAGTTCCCAGCCTGGCTACATGGTAGAATCTCCTGCGGAAGATTATCAAGAAAGTACCACTGATTTAGCTCTGCCTCTGTAGATTCTGTGTCAATTGGTTGGGAGGGTGGGGTGGGAGGTAGGGATATTTTAAAACCTTGCTGGGTGATTCTAATATTCAGTTAAGACCAAGTGCCCTGGGGCCATGTTTCTCAGCTAGGGAATGATTTTGCCCCTCAGATAAGGCCATCAGATAGTTAAGGATGCCCAATGAAACTGGAAATGTGTAACAATTTTTTAGTATATGTGTTGTAAATATTGCATGGGCATACTTTTAAAAAAATTATTTCCATAGGTTATTTGGGGACAGGTTATTTGGGGACAGGTGGTGTTTGGTTACATGAGTAAGTTCTTTAGGGGTGATTTGTGAGATTTTGGTACATCTATCACCTGAGCACTGTACGCTGCACCCAGTTTGTAGTCTTTTATCCCTCACCTCCTTCCCACCCTTTCCCCCCGAGTCCCCAAAGTCCACTGGGTCATTCTTATGCCTTTGCATCCTCATAGCTTAGCTCCCACTTATGAGTGAGAACATACGATGTTTGGTCTTCCATTCCTGAGTTAGTTCACTTAGAATAATAGTCTCTAATCTCATCCAGGTTGCTGCGAATGCCATTCATTCATTCATTTTTAGGGCTAAGTAGTCTTCTGTCTTATATATATATATATATATATAAAAAACACATTTTCTTCATCCACTTGATTGATGGACATTTGAGTTGGTTTCACATTTTTGCAATTGTGAATTGTGCTGCTGTAAACCTGCGTGTGCAAGTATTTTTTTGTATAATGACTTCTAGATACCCAGTAGTGGGATTGCTGTATACTTACACTAAAAATGAGTTGTTGTTTATCTGAAATTCAAATTTAACTGGGCCACCTGTGTTTCTGTTGCCAACCGTGGTACCCATACCCCCAGGGGACATTTGGAAATGTCTGGAGACACCTTGGCTTGTCACCACTGGGTGGCGAGTGCCATCAGCATCTAGTGGGTAGAGGATGGGGCACTGCACACTATGCTACAGTGCACAGGACAGCCCCCTGCCATCGAGAATGACGCAGTCCAAACGTCAGTGGTGCTGAGGTTGAGAACCTCTTCCCTTGTGTTTGCCTCAGTGTTTGTGGAACATCTCAGTTTGAAGAATGCTTCATCACATATTCAGGCTGGCCGTGGTCTCATGGATGGAGGGGCTTCCTGGCCTTGTGACAGACCCCCACCCACCCACCTCTGGAGAGATGGACAGGCCCTCAGGTGAGCATCCTCCTGTCTAACTCAGGCCGGGTGGGGGTTGGGAACAATAACGGTGGAGCAGGTGGTGCCGGGTCTCTTCTTTCGCCACCACCGCTGGACACTGCTGAGAACGAAGCATTAAACCCAGCAGAAAATGATCTCGGTGAAGGTACAAAACAGGGAGATTTTTCATCCTAATTTCAGAGATGCTCGTGGTGCCCTTGCGTGGCATCTTGAGTCTTCCATTATTAAAAGTGTTCTTAATTAAAGTGGTTTATGACCTTCAAAGGGGGCAGGCCAGAAAGGGCATTGTTTTGTGGTGCTAAGCAGAGTTTTTCAGCTCTGGAAACTGTAATGAGGACTCATAAGTTGGCAGAGCAGTCAGTAATCACCCCTTAACTCTCGGCAAGCATCTGATCGTGTGCGCCGTGAGCTATTATTTCATCTCTGCCACCCGGCACTTGGCCAAATTGCAGAGGCTACATTTAAAATGCTTCCTTCCTCCCCTTCCTGCAGCCTCTTTACCTCTTAGCCAATATTTCTAGGATGTTATGGAGGAGGAGAGCATTCCCAGGGTGGACAGGTGGACTGAGTAACTTGAAATTTAGGCAAGGGTCTCACTGTTTCTAAGTGAACAGCACCATTCAGTTCCTGGGTTCCTCTTGAAGGAGGAGCAAATACTTGATGAGGCAGCAGCCTAAGAAAGTCAGTCTTTCTAGCTGGACGTGGCAGCTCATCCTTGTAATCCCAGCACTTGCGGAGGCCGAAGCGGGTGGATCACTTGAGGTCAGGAGTTCAAGACCAGCCTGGGCAACAGGGTGAAACTCCATCTCTACTAAAAAAAAAAAAAAAAAAAAAAAAAAAGCCAGGCGCACCTGTAGTCCCAGCTTCTCAGGAGGCTGAGGCACAGGAATTGCTTGAACCAGGAAGCTGAGGCTGTAGTGAGCCAAGATTATGCCATTGCACTTCAGCCTGGGTGACAAGAGTGAGACTCTGTCTCCCAATAAAATAAAATAAAATAAAATAAAATAAAATAAAATAAAATAAAATAAAATAAAATAAAATAAAATAAATAAAAATAAAATAAAATAAAATAAAATAAAATAAAATAAAATAAAATAAAATAAAATAAAAGTCTTTCCTCAGTGCCTGAGAACTAACTATACCCTTTTGGACATTTCTGTTATGGAAACCAGGCAAGACATAGGACATAACCTTCTGCAAATAAATAATCATCATAGAAGTAACAGTAGCAAAGGTTTATTGAACACCTACAATATGGTAAATATTGTTGAAATAAATGTATAAGTCACCTCTTTGGTAGCAGTTTTTGACTTTTTGTGATGAGCACTGTTGTTATTATCATAGAGGGAAAAACTGATAGACTTCACCACATTGAGATTTTAAAATTCTTCTGGATAAAAGATATAAATTAAGCTTACAGATATTTCTAATACACAAAATGGAAATATTAGTATCAGTCAATAAGAAAAAGGCAGTGACCAGTAGAAAAATGAGCAAAGTCACTCCCGGAAAACTAATATATATGACATGTTAATGTAGTTACCAGCGGAATGCAGGTTGATTCAGGAAGATAACGGGTCCAATGCTCAAATAGCAAACACTTAAAAATGTGATAATACCAAATGTTGGTGAGGATATTTGTAGGGGTGCACATCTAACAAATAAAAATACATTGGCCATGCATGGTGGCTCGTGCCTGTAATCCCAGTACTTTGGGAGCCTGAGGCAGGAGGATCACTTGAGGCCAAGATCACAAGAGCAGGAGTTCAAGACCAGCCTGGCCAACATGGTGAAACCCCATCTCTACAAGTAATACCAAAATTAGCCAGGTGTGGTGGCGCGCACCTGTACCCTCAGCTGCTCCAGAGGGTGAGGCACGAGGATTGCTTGAACCCAGGAGGTGGAGTTTGCAATGAGCCGAGATTACTCCACTGCACTGCATCCTGGGCGATGGAGTGAAACTGTTTCAAAATGAACAAACAAACAAACTAAATATGTATTAAGCCCAGTAAAATTTGAATTTTACATAAACAATGAATAAATTTTTAGTATAAATATGTTGCAAATTTGACAGATTTATATGAAAAATTATGGTCTCTCTGGAATTTAAATTTAAGTAGGAGTGTGGCAACTCTAGATGTGGGGAGATGCAAGTTACTGTACAGTCAAATTTACATGAATGCCCTGGAGCTCCTGTTAAAAATGCAAATCACTGGGCTTCCTCTCTGAGATTCTGATTAAGTTAGATGTGGGGTGGAAAACAGGCAGTGGGCTGCTGGTGCTTGTGATAGCAAACTAGTGAGGAACAATTGGTAAATTCTTAGCAAAAAACAAATATATATATATATATATTTATATATATATATATATATATTTTTTTTGAGGCACAGTCTCATCCTGTCACCCAGGCTGGAGTGCACTGGCACAATCATGGCTCACTGCAGCCTAGACCTCCTGGGGCTCAGATGATCTTTCCACCTCAACTTCCTGTGTATATGGGATTACAAGCATGCACCACCATGCCTGGCTAATTTTTTTTTTTTTTTATAGAGATGGGGTTTCGCCATTTTGGCCAGGCTGCTTGGTCTCCTGGTCTCCAGCAATCCATCTGCCTTGGCATCCCAAAGTGCTAGGGATTACATGCCTGAGCCACTGCGCCCAGCCTGCAATTTTTGTAAAATGAGTTTTAAGTAGGCTGAAACTTGGTAGCTTGAAATCAACAGAGTGGAAATATTTACACCACAGTAATTGGTGAATTACTTTAAGTCAGGGCTTTAAAAATTGTTTTACCGAAGAGCCACTTATTAAATGTTTACCAGCACACTGTTGGACCAAATGTCTACCTGAACAAGTTCTTAGGTGATTGATATGCTACGATCACACTATGAGAAACAATTTATTTTTTTTCTTTTTCTTTTTCTTTTTTTGAGACAGAGTCTTGGTCTGTTGCCCAGGCTGGAGTGCAGTGGCATGATCTCAGCTCACTGCAACCTCCACCTCCGGTGTTCAAGCGATTCTCTTGCCTCAGCCTCCCGAGTAGCTGGGATTATAGGCATGTGCCACCATGCCCAGCTAATTTTTGTATTTTTAGTAGAGATGGGGTTTCACCATGTTGGTCATGAACCCCTCACCTGGTCTTGAACCCCTCACCTCAAGTGATCTGCCTGACTCGGCCTCCCAAAGTACTGGGATTACAGGCATGAGTCGCCTTGCCCAGCCATAATTTCTAATTGTTATATCAGGAGGTCAATTTCTGGAGCAGCTGATCCTTCATATGTGGAAGCAGGAGTCTCTCAGCAAGTAATCTTCAATCACTTGCATGATGATGGGCAGCCTCGTTTTATTTTTCATTAAAACATTTTTAAATTTTGGAATTTTGTGGGTACACAGCAGGTGTGTATATTTGGGGGGCACATGAGATGTTTTGATACACGCATGCAATGTACCACAGTCACATCATGGAGTGTGGGGGTCTCCATCCCTTTGAGCATTGATCCTTTGTGTTACAAACAATCCACTTATACTCTTTTAGTTATTTGGAAATGTACAATTAATTTATTATTAACTATAGTCACCCTATTGTACTATTAAGTAGAAGGTCTTATTCCTTCTTTCTGTTACTGTACCCGTTAACCATCCCCACCTTCCCCCCACCATCCTCTCATTACTTTTCCCAGCCTCCGGTAATTATCCTTCTACTCTCTATGTCCATATGTTCAATTATGTTGATTCTAGATTTGATGGGCATCTTTAGACCAAAGAATCTACTGCACTTCAAATTCTTCATGTGTGTAATGAGAATAGTGATGGCACTACCTTTGTAGTGTTTGGGAATGATTTGGGGAGATACTTTTTTGTGTAAAGGGCTTAGCACCCTCAATACTTATCAAAGGGGTGCTATAAATGTTTTACTAAAACAGAGCTTTCTTGTGGCCCTGCTTTAATGAGTACATGAGACTTGCTTGGAATTAGCATTATTTGCTAATTGTATCACACTTGTGGAGCAGTCTTTAGAAAGTGACTGTTTTGCTAAGGATGTGGAGATAAGCCTCCTTGCAGTGTTGTCTGTGCTCTTGCCTGCTCCCTCAAAGCCTTCCTATCATACAGTGGTTATAAGTGCATAGTCTGATGCCAGACCACCACAGTCCATTCCATGGGTCTGCCAATTATTAGGTATTATTAGGTGCGTGATATTAAATTGCTTAGCCTCAGTTTGCCCCAGTTTCCCCATCTGAAAAAGGGGGATGATAAGAGCAGGTGAGGATTTAAATGAGATAATACAGGTGTATTACTTTCCTTTTCTGTTGTAACAAATTACCACAGAATTAGTGGCTTAAAACAGCACAGACTTATTCTCTTACAGATCTGGACGTCAAAAGTCTAAATGCAGACCTGTGGGGTTAAAATCAAGGTTTCTACTGGCAGCTCCAGGAGATAATCTATTCCTTGCCTTGTCTAGCTTCTGGCACCCACCCACATTCCTTGGCTGGTAGCCACATCACGCTAATCTCTGATACTATTGTCTCTGCATATTACTAACCTTGGTTCTCCTGGCTACCTCCTCTGGGGACCCTTGAGATTGCAACTCTAGGCACACCCTGATAGTCCAGGATAACCTCCCCATCTCAACAACCTAAATCACATCTGCAGAGTTCCTTTTGCCATATAAAATGACATATTTGCAAGTTCCAGGGATTAGGATGTGAACATCTTTGGAGGAAGGAAGGCCATTATTCTGCTGACCACACCAGGTAAAACTTGCAGCAGTGCCTGGCACAGAGAAAGGCTTGTTATGTGCTACCTGTGGTTTTAACTGAAGTGTAAGGAGGTCAAGGACAGACTGCCCATCCTGTTCCAGTGAGCACTGATGCTGGCTAAGCATCAGACAGTGGCTTTCTATTGCTCACTTGAGTTTAACCATTCACAGAGGGAACTCTTGCATAGCCACCTCTTGCCTTGAGAACCAATAGAACATGGATGCTCCCAGCCCACTTTCCAATTCCCAGGTTTCTTCCTCAGCCTGAATCTCTCAGTTGTCTGTCTGGAGAGATTTCTCAGGCCCCAAAGGTCAACTGTTATTAAAATTTTAAATTGGGTGAATGCAGATTCTACACACGTCATTCCATTGACCTAGCATCCATTCTTGCTCAGGAACATACAATGACAGGGGTGTTTTCTAAGAGTAGTGTTCCTCATTTTGAGTGCATGGGGTAAGAAAAAAGGAAATTTGTATAAAAGTCCAAAACAGAATTTCTTTATTTAAGTTTCTGATGAAGGAAAAAAACACATGGTAAGCCCAAAGCAAAAATACAACTGAGTTTGGATTGAATTTTAAGGATGTGTAAGGAATGACAGTTTTCACCAGAAAACAGAAAGATGCTGTGCAGATCCTAAAGAAATTGTTGCTGAGGCAGGAGAATCACTTGATCCCAGGAGGCAGAGGTTGTAGTGAGCCGAGATCGCACCACTGAACTCCAGCCTGGCTGACAGAGCAAGACTCTATCTGAAGAAAAAGAAATAAAGAAAGAAAGAAATTGCTGGTGGCTTTCTCTCTCTGCCCCTCTCTCTCCCCATCCAGCTACCAACAAGTGTTTTTGAATAAGAGGAACCCTAGGCTGGGCGCGGTGGCTCACGCCTGTAATCCCAGTACTTTGGGAGGCAGAGGCGGGGGGATCACCTGAGGTCCGGAGTTCAAGACCAGCCTTGCCAACATGGTGAAACCCCGTCTCTACTATAAATAAAAAAATTAGCCGGGCATGGTGACATGTGCCTGTAATCCCAGCTACTTAGGAGGCCGAGACAGGAGAATTGCTTGAACCCAAGTGGCGGAGGCTGCAGTGAGCCAAGATCGTGCCATTGCACTCCAGCCTGGGCAACAGAGTGAGACTCTGTCTCAAGAAGAAGAAAGAAAGAAAAAAAGAATAAGAGGAAGTCAGCACTTACTAAGCCCTTTTATCTATATTATTTCACTTAATTATTACCATAACTCATTTTGCAATAAACAAACTGAGGCTGAAAGAAGTTATTATTTATTCACAGTCACACGGATACGGAGTGGAAGAAGGTGACCCAAACCTATTAGATTTCACATTACCACCAGCCCCATGCCCCTCCCAAATTCCATTTTTTATGTTCCCCCAAAGTATTACGTGAAAACAGCAAATATGGAGCTATGACAATGTCATCTTCAAACACATTCCCCAGATGTAGCTATAAATACATTCTGCTTGCCATTAAACCATGCACATTTCCACCTTCTTTTTTCTTGCCTTTTTTAGTGTTAATCAGATTCATGCCGTTCACAGAGCAGTCATATCTCCGAAACCTCTAGCTCCTCATGAAGTGTTTGGGGAGTTAAGAAGTGGCCTGGTTTCCCTGAAAGAGTTTTCAACTTCACAGAGCCCAGCCGCACCTCCTCCATCATTCTGTCAGTGTGGAGCAACCCCAACACAGTGAAAAGCCAAACATCCCTTTGATTTAATCAGCCCCTTTTATGCAGAATTGAAGCCAAGTGTCTCTTCTTCCCAACAGCACAGGATTTCCTGGAACATGAAGATCAATGGTGTTGATAGGCTGTTGACAGAGTGTTGACCATAAGCCCATTAAACAGAAGGTGGAACCGCAATTGTGGTCAAAGGCTCCCTCCCAAGATGGCCAGAAGACAGCAGGGCTGAGATGGGGGAAAAAGCTACCTTCTCCGGACTTTTCATTTTCACGGCATGAAGGTGACATGGGTGATCCTGGAAAGGAGAAAGAAAGTTTGAGAAATGTGTTTTCCAGGAAGCTTTTCTAACCTCTCACAACCCTCTGGCAGAAATATCCATTCCCTTCTCATTCATTTCCTCTCTCCAAGAATTTTGAGCCTTTTTTTCATTTGGGGCATATTCTATTCTATTTTATTCAGCATTGCTTAATAAAATTTGCACCACAGAGCATGCTGAACATTTTACATTAGTTGTTGCATTTAATCATCTTAAGAATCCATTAGGTAAGTACTACTTATCATTATTCCATATTTAACCGTTGTTGAAACCAAGGTACTTGCTTGAGCTTCCAAAATTACTCAATAGCAAAGCCAGAACCTAAATTCGGGTGGTGGGACAGAAATTCTTAACCCTTACTTCACACTATATTTGTTTGGCTTATTAGGTCTCCCTTTGTGCTCTTTTGTTTAAAAAAAACAAAACAAAACAAAACAATAGTTTAATTTTTTAATTATTGTTTTATTTTTTTGAGACAGGGTCTTCCTCTATCACCCAGGGTAAGTGCAGTGGTGCAATCATGGCTCACTGCAGCCTCAACCTCCCCAGTTCAAACAATCCTCCCACCTCAGCCTCCCAAGCAGCTGAGAATACAGGCATGTGCCACCATGGCTGGCTGATGTTTCTTTTTTGTAAATTTTGGTAGAGATGAGGTTTTGCTTTGTTGCCCAGGCTGGTCTCAAACTCCCGGCCTCAAGCAGTCCTCCTGCCTCAGCCTTCCAAAGCACTGGGGTTGCATGCATGAGTCATCATGTCCCGCCTCCCCTTGTTCTCTAACCTCCTTTATCAGGTATAACTGGATTCAGTTGCTTCTAGGAGAAACTCCAAATAACAGTAAATTAAGGTGAAGTTTATCTTTCTCTAATGTAAAAAAGATCCAGAAACAGGTAGGCTTTGATTAGTGTGGTAGCTCGATGAAGGTATTGGGAGCCCATCTCTCTCCTTCCAAATCCGTTATGCATCCATGGCTCCTGTTCTCGTGGTACAAAATAGCCCCTGGAGATCCAGCCATCGCTTACATGTTCCAGGTGGTATGATGAATAAAGGAGCAAAGAAGGCTGTATCTCCTGTCTTTAAGATTTTCCAGAGATCTCACATCATACTTACACTCATATATAGTTGGTCAAAACATAGTCACATTCACTCTTTATACCTACATCCTTGGCAAGATCCACTTCTCATCAAGCCTGAGCTATTACAGTATTTCCCTAAATTGTTTCCCAGACTCAGTCTCTCCCTGTTCTCATCCTGACCCTGTACTGCTATCAGGACAGTTTTCTTTGAACTATGCTTTGTCATCCCAGTCCCTAGATATGAAGCACTCAGGGGACCTTCTTTATCTCTAAGATTACATCTGAATTCCATTTTCTGCTAAAAAATGCCTGCCTCCTTTCCCATTATGTGGCATGCCTTTCTCCACCTTTTTTCTTCACTTCACATCATCCTCTCTGGCCTAAAATGTCTTTACTCCTTTGTCTCATTGGGTCTAAATCTCATGTCTCCTTTAATATGCATTTCAAATTCTACCTCATTCATAGTCATTCATTCACTGAGCAAATGTTGTTTATGATGATATGTAAAGCACTGAGAAATGGCTAACAGATCGTAGAAGGTGACTATTATTATCATTAAGAGTAATTATAGTAAAAGTGGTAATAGTGTGTATAGCCTGTTTCTTGGGCTCTGGATTAGGAATTGGGTCATTCGCTTTTCAGTAATCCAGCAGCTACGGTATGAGAAGTGAGGGTTTGGTTTTTTTTTTTTTTTTTTTAATATATAATGATAATGGTGAGTATGTCGCCTTGAGAGAAAGAATTTCCTTTTATATGATAGGGCTTATCTTTGGGACTCCAGACAGAGATCCAAGTTCAATATGGTCTTCTAATCCTTGGGAAGTAATTGCCTCCACTCTGGTCTTGAATTTAGAAAGTGTTAACTTAATAAGATAGAATGGCATTTTACTCATTTACGGTTGTATTATGTATCCTGATCGTAATATGTGAGTTAATATTTGAAAATGTATTTTTATGTGTATAAGATAAACTGTAGCTTTAAAAAGACTCATGAAAATCTGCATGTTGATCTAAGTGCATTTTAGATGCCCACATCCGTCTTTATAGGTTAGGTAATGCTGCTGTATCAAACCCCAAACCTGAATAGCTTAAACCAGCAAAGGTTTGGTTCTTGCTCCATTACATGACCATTGCAGGTGGGTCATGGAGCTGGTCCAAGGTGATAGAGCAGTTATCATTCCCACCATTGCCATTCTCTGGCTCAGAAAGATAAAGAAAGTTCTGGAGTGTTATACGCCAGGTTTAAACCATCAGGTTGTACACACAGAAAAAATCCAAAGTTGGCAAGGAACAACAGATGTTGAATCTTGAGCAAGATTATTCTGGGGGAATGAAGCTGGAGGTATCACACTTCCTGGTTTCAAATTATATTACAAAGTTATAGTAATTAAAACACTATGGTACTGGCATATAAACAGACACATAGACCAGTGGAGCTTAATAGAGAGCTCAGAAATAAATCCATACATCTATAATCAACTGACCTTCAACAAGGGTGACAAGAACCTGCAATGGGGAAAGGATGGTCTCTTCGAGAAATGTTAATGGGACAACTGGATATCCAGAGGCAGAAGAGTGAAATTAGATCCTTATCTTATACTATACATAAAAATCAAGTCAAAATGGATTAAATGCTTAAACTTAAGACCTAAAGCCATAAGACTCCTAGAAACAAAACAGGAGAAAGTGCCTTGACATTGGTCTTAGCAGTTTTTTGGACATGACACAAAAACACAGGCAACAAAAGCAAAAATAAAAAGTGGTTTTACGTGAGAGCAGAAAGTTTTTGCATAGCAAAGGAAACCCTCAACAAAATGGAAAGGCAGCCTATGAAATGGGAGAAAATATTTGCAAATCACATATCTGATAAGTGATTAATATCTGTGTTTTATATAAAAAGTAGTACAACTCAGTAGCAAAAAGCCAATAGCCAGATTTTTAAAAATAGACATAAGACTCAAATAGATATTTTTCCAAAGAAGACACACAAATGGACCACAGGTACATGAAAAGGTGCTCAGCATGATCAGGGAGGTTAAAATCAAAACCGTAATGAGATACCACCTCATACCTATTAGGATGGCTGTTGTCCAAAGGCCAAAACGTAAGTGTTGGTGACGTTGTGGAGAAAAGACAACTCTTAGGCACTTGTTGGTGGGAATGTAAATTGGTACAGCCATTATGGGAAACAGTATGGAGATTTCTCAAATAATTAAAACTAGAGCTACCATATGACCCAACAATCCCACTTCTGGGTATAAATCCAAAGGAAATAAAGAGAGGACTGCACTTCCATGTTTATTGCACTTTATTCACATTATTCACAATAGCCAAAATATGAAATGACCTAAGAGTCCAATGGTGGATGAATGGATATGGAAAATGTGAGATACTTGTATACATAGATATATATGTATATGTGTATATATGTATCTATGTGTGTATATATGCATCTATATCTATGTATATATATATCTCACATATACCATATACACATATACACACACATATATACATACAGTGACTTTTAGGCCATTGTGTGTTTGTGTATATATATGTACATATAACATATACACTTATATATACACACAATGACTCTTAGGTTATGTGTGTGTATATGTATATATATATATACACACATATACACACACACATTGGTGCATATATACATTTATATACCATATACACGTATATACACACACACAATGACCTTAGAGTTCATTAATGGCTGAATGGATAAAGAAAATGTGGTGTGTGTATATATATAGATATGTTTGTGTGTTTGCATGCGTATACACAATGAAATTATATTCAGTCTTAAAAAGGAGTTTTTCTATTTGTGACAACATGGATGATTCTGGAGGACATTATGCTAGGTGAAGTAAGCCAGATACAGAAAGACACAAATACTCTATAATATCACTTATACGTAGAATCTAAAAATGTCGAACCCATAGAAACAGAGGGTAAAATGCTGGTTACTCAGAGCTGGACGGTGGGAAAAATAGGAAGATGCTAGCCACTCTGTTTATACCACACAGTATAAGTTTTCAGTTATAAGTTGAACAAGTTCTGGAGACCTAAAATACAGTATAGTGACTATAGTTAATAATAATGTGGTGTATACTTGAAATTTGCTAGGAGAGTAGACCTCAAATGTTCTTACCACAAGCAAACGTAGCTGTGTGAAGTGATTGATATGTTAATTAGCTTCATTATGGTAATCACTTCAAAATGTGTACATATATCAAAACATCATGAGGTACATCTTAAATATATACGATTTTTATTTGTCAACCATACCTCCACAAAGCTAGGGGGTGGGGAAACCAATCAAGCTGTAAGTGGCATGCTTCAACTCAGGCAGAACTAAACACATAACCACACCTTCACCTACAAAAGAACCAGGAAATGTTCTGTCACATAAGAAGCAGGTGGAAAGCCCAACATTTTTAATGACTGGCACCAATGACCTCCACAAAGCTTCAAAAGAAATTACTGTTGAAAAGCAGTATCGTGGTTGATACTCAGATCACTGCGTCCCTAAACCCTGCCTCATCTCTGACTTAAGCAGACTCTAATTTTGCCTCTGAGTGAGGATATTTTTCTGGTTTCATGGGCAGAGTAGCCGTTCTGAGTGTGGTGGGTGTGGGGACCAGGTTTCCCTTGGCCCTTCTTTGGAGAGTTCAGTGGGTGGATTACCATGTTGTCTTTCTACGTCAATCCTCCTTTCCTCCTCCAGCTCACACCTCTCATTATAAATCAGCTGATCCCTGAGATACCCTCCCCAGAAGATCTGGATGTTATCCACCTGGCTGTGAAATGTTTCGGCCAAGGAGCTGGCATTCTTGCTGCCCCCAACAGTTTCCTCTTCATACTTCATGCAGCAGGTTTTCCTTATTTTTCGTCTGTGCTTTCTCCAGCCATAAAATTCCTAACTCTTTTTTCAGATGTACTATATTTTATTGAAGTCTAATATACATCAAGTAAACAAATTGTAAATTCATTGCTCAATGAATTTTCACAAGTGAATACACTCATAAAGCCACCGTGAGTGATGCATATAGAAATAGAACGTGACTGGCTATATTCGGCCATTCTTGTGCTGCTGTAAAGAAATACCTGAGACTGGGTAAAGTAGAAGTGAAGGTTTCATTGGCTCATGGTTCTGCAGGCTGTTCGGGAAGGGCAGTGGCATCCGCTTCCAGGGAAGCCTCATGGGGCTTTTGCTCATGGCAGAAGGCAACATGAGGGCTGACGGTTCACATGGCCGGAGCAGGAGCAAGTGTGAGGTGAGGAGATGCCACACACTTTTTTTTGGTTTTGTTTTTGTTTTGAGGTAGAGTCTTACTCAGTCCCCCAGGCTGGAGCGCAATGGCGCGTTCTCGGCTCACTGCAATCTCCGCCTCCCAGGTTCAAGCAATTCTGCCTCAGCCTCCCAAGTAGCTGGGATTACAGCACCTTCCACCACAGCCAGCTAATTTTTGTATTTTTAGTAGACAAGGTTTCGCCACACACCTTTAAACGCCCAAAATCTTTTGACAACTCGCTGTTGTGAGAACAGTACCAAGAGGATGGTGCTAAAATCATTCACAAGAAACCTGTCTCCATGATCACATCACTCCACCAGCCCCCACCCTTGGCGAATTGCAATTTGAGATGAGATTTGGGTAGGGGGGCAGATCCAAACCATATCAGCAGCCTCATGGAAGTGCAATTCATGCCTCCACCAGTCACTATCCTGTCCTCTTCCCAAACAGCCTTTGTTCTGATTCAAATCACTGAAGATTTATTTTCTCCAGTCTAACACTGATTGAAATGACCTACTTAATTGTCTTTCTTGCACTAAATCGGGGGGGGGGGGGTCAATAAATGATAGCTCAGGTGCCACCTGTTTTTGTAAATTAAGTTTGATGGGAAAACAGCCATGACCGCTCATTTATATATAGTTGACGGCTGCTTCTTCGAGTTAACAACAGCAGAGTTGGGTAGTTGCAACAGAGACCATCTGGCCCGCAAAGCCACAAATATTTACTACTTGACCTTTTACAAAAACATTTGCCAGTCCCAGGACTAGACCAGAGGTCTGAAAGCTTTTTTGATCTACTAATCCCTAAAAATGAGCATATATCAATCTATGAATAATTTTTATACTATGTATACATTATGTAACATTACTGTGGCTCTTGAGTTCTTTTGATAAGACTTAGTTCTTCTTGATAGCTTCCTTGCTACCTGGTTTGATAAGATTTCCAGGCTCATTTTATACATTTCTTAACCCGGTATTGGAATCAGTAATTTCTCCAAGAAGCCCTGATTTCTTTTAGTGAGAAGTGATATTTTATGACCATAATCTGAGTGCTAGAGATGCTCATTGTTACTGAGTTATTCATCGTTTCTATGCCTTTATAGTAGATAAAGCAAGAAAAACACACACAATTTTAAAAGGATAAAATACACCATGGGCTCATACTGATACTTCCAATCCATGTTTTACACTTCAGGGATTTTAACAAATCTATTCTCTGTTTTATCTATCTCTTCTTCTTCCCCCTAAGAATCCTGCTTGTAAAGGACACAGGATGTTATATAATTAGGATATTCCCAAATTATGTGATTGCTTCAACAATATATACACACAGGCTCAGAATTATAATACTCAGACTACGTCAGTTTTTACTACCATCAATTCGGATATCTGAAAGCAGGGGTATTTTGCTTTGGGGACTGGCTGTTTTGTTTTGTTTTGCTTTGCATGTGGTATCCCTACCATTCCTCTGTTTTTCGTAGTTGTGCTGTGTCTCCATTGTCAGATCATATATATGTTACTTATGACTACTTTGCTTTATAAACCCTCAGTCTTAGTTCTACAAATAACCATCCTGATGTTTACATCTGTCTGACCATTTTGACGGTCTAAAGCTCATTCTCCAGTACTTTATTTTATTTCATTGAGATAGAGTCTTGCTCTATCACCCAGGCTGGAGTGCAGCGGTGCAATCTTGGCTCACTGCAACCTCCACCTCCTGGGTTTAAGCAATTCTGCTGTTTCAGCCTCCCCAGTAGCTGGGATTATGGGCATGTACCACCATGCCCGGTTAATTTTTGTATTTTTAGTAGAGATGGGGTTTCACCATGTTGGCCCGGCTGGTCTCAAACTCCTGACATCACATGATCCCCCCGCCTCAGCCTCCCCAAGTGCTGGGATTACCGGTGTGAGCCACTGCCCTGGCCTCTCCAGTACATTTTTAGGGGACGATCAATGAGGATTCTCTTCTCTGAGTTACTGCATGTTGTTTACAGTTTATATCCTTTCTGTGTGTAGGTGACTTGTGTTGGATGTAGAACACGTGGGTCACTTTATTTAAGTCTCTTAAATATTATTATTTCCTTTTCTTCAGGCCTACAGTGATTCTGTCAAGCTACCTGAAAATAATTTTCTTTCCCTTATAAATCATGTGTTCTTTTGCCAAGATGCCTGAAGATTTTTTTTTTCTAATGTCTAGTAATTTGCAATCCTATCCTTGACAAAGGACACTTGAGAACACTATTTGCAGGTATACTGTTTGTTTTTGTTTCGATGTGTGATTCCATTAATTTTTAAAAATTTTTAATTTTGGGAAAGTCTCTTTGAAATAGGATTTTTAGAATTTGTTCTTTTCTCTTGTTTTCTCTTTCTTTTTCAAGGACTCTTATCTCTATTTTACCCATCTTTAAAATGTGCTACGTACTCTTGAATCTTCTTTTTATTTATCTCTCTTTTTAACAGCTTGATTTACACATCATAAAATTCACCTTTGCTGAGAGGACTATTTATATTTTCTCCCTTTTCTCTTTTAGTTTTCATATTGATTTGCCCTTAGGTTTTTCTAGTTTATTCTTGGTTATTAAAATGAGTTTTTTCTTTTATTTCTTTGCCTTAGACTCTGTCACCTCATTTTTATGCCTTTCTAATTCTGATTTATATTGTTTTCCATTTCTTGTATCCCTTTCTCAATGCCTGTTGGCATGTTTTGAAATAGAATGTTGCAGCATTGATCTTATTTTTGACAATGCCTCTCTGGCATGCTTTTGTTATCTGTAGAGATTTTAGTCTGCTCCTTTTTCTCTTTCATAATAAATTTGTATGAGGTATGCCTGTGATTATTTTCGGTTGTTCTTTTTTTTTTTTTTTTTTTTTTTTTGGTTTGGAAATGGAGTCTCTCACTGTCACCCGGGCTGGAGTGCAATGGTATGAACTAGGCTCACTGCAACCTCTGCCTTCTGGGTTCAAGCGATTCTCCTGCCTCAGCCTCCCAAGTAGCTGGGATTACAGGCACATGCCATCACGCCTGGCTATTTTTTTTTTTTTTTTTTGTATTTTTAGTAGAGACGGGGTTTCACTGTGTTGGCCAGGCTGGTCTCGAACTGCTGATCTCATGATCCGCCTGCCTCAACCTCCCACAGTGCTGGGATTACAGGTGTGAACCACCATGTCCAGCCTTTGTTGTTCATTTTTAAGTGATATTATATTTCATAAAATCTTAGGTAGCTTATCTAACTTCACAGAGCTCCCTCTTTTGTTGTTTTTGCTTCTTTTCATGTAGTTTTAAAAAATTGTCCCTTGCTGTCTGCGATGTCTGTCCCCTCCTCCTCACCACCATCACTTTTATTTGGACTTTGTTTCATTTTTTTTTCTTTTGCTGCTGACTTCCAGCAATATCTTCTCAGTGTGGATGGTCCTCCAAGCAACTCTGACTGGTTAGTTGAGTTTGGGAGTTTGCAAGCAGAGTTTGGAGTCTTGGAGTTTGAACGTTTGCAGGGAGTTGACCACATCTGTTGCTTCGCAGCTCACTGGGGATACGTTGTGTTCACTCACCGTTGGGTTGGGAAATACTCTTCCTAGTTCAGCTGCTGTCTTCAGATTGGCACTCTACACATTGCTGCCACTGCCTCTTGGTCACGATGGGTGTCTCCTTTTGTTGAGTCTGCCGCATGACCTGAGGTTTCTTGCTGCTTCCTGTCACATAGAGGAGGGTAGCACAGGAGTCTTGGGATATGGATGGTTGGTCTCTGTCCACTTATATCTTGACATTCATGAAGGCACTTTGTTGTTTCTCATAGATGTTGTCTATTTACTCATTTTGTTCTGGTTACTCTTTTTTTTTATGTAGGGATTTTGGAAGAATTAGAGACTATATGGCCATCATTCTTCCAGAATTCTAAATATTAAACACGTGTTTCTGGTGGGGATTTGAAACCCCAGAGGGTGAGTGGCTTGCTTATGGTCATTTTTTTGGGATTAAAACCAAGGCAGTCTCCTCTCTTGACTATGGTGGCATATTTCTGCTACACATAAGGAACATTCTCTAGGTTCTAAGCCAGAATGCACGCTAATCACATTTCCAGTTTCAACCAATGAGTTGCTCAAGTAGAAATAAGATAGAAATCTTGACCCTGAGTAATTTTACAGTCTGTAGAGAAGACAGACTGTGGGCCGACCAAGTCAAATTAGCACCTGCCAGACTGTCATGAAAGAGGAAGCAGGACTTAGACCTGAGTCATGAATATGGAGGTCTTTCTTTTCCTTCTTTTAGAGAAAGGACCCTGCGAAATTGACTGAAATGGCACTGACATCAAAATCATGAAGTCTATGACTATATGGCCATGTTTTCATTGCACAGCAAAATATGCCTTGAGTCAGTATGCACATTGCAAGATACTCATTTTTCATTCTCTCTTAGGATTGGCTTAAGCATAATATTCAAGTAAAGTGACTGTTGTCAAGCATGTGTTCTCAGTGCACCCTAAAGCACATATCCCAAACTGTTTTATACCCAGATGTTTTTCCTCAACCATCTCATTCCACAAGGAGACATCTCTATCCTGTCTTGCTATGTGTCCATACCAGAGGATGCTCCCTGTGTGAGCTGACATGACAGTGTTCCTGTCCCCTTTCGATCTTTATCTTTCTTCCTCCCGTATCCAGGTGTCCAGCTGTCAACACGTTTATTGAGGATCTACTATGTGCTAGGCACTCTGCTGGCTCTGGGGATAGAGCAGTGAACCAGACTTACTTATTATTTTTCCTCAAGGAATTTATATCACAGTGGTGAGGATGTATTTCTGAGCTGATTCTGAGCCAAATCAGTTTAGGCTCCCATAACAGTCCTTGTCATGTGACAGGAAATGACATCATGTGTGGACGTTATCCTCAAGAAGAGGAAGAGGAAGTTCATAGAAGGTGTGAGGGTGGTAAATAAGATATGCTGGGTGTGGGGACCATAGATCTCAGGAGGTTTCAAGGATGAAAGGAGGTAATTTGTTTTTGTTTTTTTCCCCCAAAGCTAAATTATCTATCATTTGGAGTGTTAATTTTATTTTTATGATACAGACTCATTGTGTTTAAGGAAAGCAAATAATTGGGGCAGCATCATAAGTTAAAATCCTGCTAATGCACTAGCTCTTGTGGTCTTGGATAACTAATTTAATCAACGGTTTAAGCCAGAGTTCCCTTAGCAGTAAAATGAGGATAATGATGCCTTCCCTAGGTCAGAGTCAGAAAAGTCATATACGAAGGATATGAAGGACCAGTCTGGATTTATTACATTTGCAGTTGTTATGTTGACTTCATGGTTAATTTTATGTGTCAAGCTGACTAGGCCATGGGGTGCCCAGATATTTGGTCAAATATTATTCTGCATGCTTCTATGAGGGTGTTTTGGATGAGATTAACATTTATGTCAGTAGACTGAGTAAAGCAGATGGCTCCATGTAATGTGGGTGGGCCTCATCCAGTCAGCTGAAGGCCTGAACAGAGCAGAAAAACTGAGCTCCCCTGCATCAGAGAGAATTCCTCTTGCCTGCCTGACTTCAAACTGGGACGTGTGCTTCTTCCTGCCTTCGGACTCAAACTGAAGCATGGGCTCTTTCTGGGTCTGCAGCCTGCTGCCTTCAGACTGAAACACCACCATTCATTCTCCTGGGCCTCCAGCATGCTGACTCATCCTGCAGATCTTGGAACTTCTTGGTCTCCATAATTGTGTGAGCCAATTCCTTATGATAAGTAAATACACACACATAAGCACACACACACACCCTCCCTCCCTCCCTATCTGTTCTGATCCTCTGGAGAACCCTGACTAATACAGTTGCTAAGTGGATTCCTAGAAAAAATGTTATTTCCATAGGCTACACATGGAAAAAGAATTCCGGAATCAGCTTTACAGCTAGACAGTGTCACTGACCATCAATAGTGCATGATATGCATGGTGATGGCAGGTCCCTCTGTTTTGAAAGAAACCTCTCATTATGTGTCCAGTGCCTGAGAGTCCATCATTCACTCCATCAAGTATTCCAGCGTCCTCTCTTAAAATGAGAATGTTTCTGGGAAAGGGAAGGGGAGTTGGCCCTTATGGCTAATTCCTTAGCTAGGAGTACCTCTGTGATGGGAAAACAGGGATGAGATGCGGCACCTGGAATAATTGGTTGCGGGCAATCAGGGAAGGTTCAGGCACGTAATGGACCAGGAGATGGGAACATGTCCTGTTCATTATTTGACCTTACGGTGGCTCAGGACCTGCCTGCCTCATGGTGGGGCTCTGGCAGTCTCCCCTGGGAGCTGCACGTGTTTCTCACCCTCTCCACTCCAGAGAATCTCCTATCTGTTTGCCACCTTCCTGGGCACCATGCACCCTTGGCTGTTTGGCTTCCTTAGTAGCAGGGGAGGTAAATCTTGTCTTCAAGATCAGCTTTGAATGCTTGAGGAGTTTTCTGCAAGGTATGCTTTCCCCAGCTTTTCCACAGACAAAAACAGGGCTTTTCATGAGTCATCATTTCTGTTGAGTCCCGTATAGCTACAGAAAGTGTGAGAATGGATGAAACATGCCTGCCTGGCAGGGTCTTAAACATTTCAGCTGCCCTGAGATGTACCAAAGGTGTGTGGCAGAAGGTTAAAGAGTCAGCTGACTACCTGCTGTAAAGAGACAGAGCTAAAAATAATATTCTATTCTACCTTATGATATTGGTAAATGTGATATCTATATTTAGGAGTGGTGGAGAGAACTGGACTTACCGTCAAAAATATTAGGGATGTTCGTGAAAGAAGGAGGTATTGGAAAATATATGAACAGAGTCTAAGGTGTGATATATACATTGATTTAAACGTCATATGTCTTTGATGGTTAGGAGCAATTAGATCTATATCACACATGAACTCTATTCCCTGACCACTCTTCACCAACCTGCTATTTTTCTGACATTGTTTCCTTCAAACTCATCATAGTTAGTATGTCTTGCCATTTTGTTCACACACCTGTATGCACAAAGCCAGAGTTCCCTTAGCAGTAAAATGGGGATAATGATGCCTTCCCTAGGTCAGAGTCAGAAAAGTCATATACGCAGGATATGAAGGACCAGTCTCGATTTATTACTTTTGTTATTGTTAGGTTGCTTTGATGGTTAATTTTGTGTCAGGTTGACTAGGCCATGGGGTGCCCAGATATTTGGTCAAGTATTATTCTGCATGCTTCCATGAGGGAGTTTTGGATGAGATTCACATTTATATCAGTAGACTGAGTTTCTTTGTTCTAAACAATAATACATTTATTTGTTTATTCATTCTTTGTTCATTCATTCAATTGTTTCTTTGTTCATTCATTCATTTGGAGCAAGGACAAGGATCTGTCTCTTCTGCTAAAATTATGTTCCACATACTTGGGGCTTATCCAAACTTAGCCGTGATGAATCTCCTGTACCTTAAACTTCACTTCGTAGGGCTCAGAAAATGCATATTGAATGGACTCTGGCATCAGGATGACCGGCATTTTCATTTTCAGGTCACCTGCTGACTGTGAAGCCTTGGTTAAATTAATTTAACATCCTTAAAACCTCATTTCCTCATTTGTAAAATAGAGATGATCATCGTATCTACATGGAAGGATTATAATGCATATGAAATGCAATAATGAATGTAGAGTGCTCAGCCCAGTGAGAATAGAATACATTCTTAACCATTGTTCTCTATATGGCCGTTGTTCTACCTCGGATGCACAGCAGGCAATGCCAGATCCAATTTGGTTTAGCCCTCAACTGCTTCAGCTGTTCCTGTTGCATTTGGAACTGCAAAGAGAGGTAGAGTTTCATGAATAACTTGATAAAGCCTTATTTCTCATCAAAGAGAGAAACATACCTGATTAAAAGAGATCTGGGCCAGGCACGGTGGCTCACACCTGTAATCCCAGCACGTTGGGAGGCCGAGGCGGGTAGATCATTTGAGGTCAGGAGTTCGAGACCAGCCTGGCCAACATGGTGAAACCCCGTCCCTACTAAAAATACAAAAAATTAGCTGGCCGTGGTGGTGTGCACCTGTAATCCCAGCTACTCGGGAGGCTGAGGCAGGAGAATCACTCGAACCCGGGAGGCGGAGGTTGCAGTGAGCTGAGATGGCACCATTGCACTTGAGCCTGGGCGACAGAGCGAAAGTCCATCTCAAAAGAAATAAAATAAAATAAGATCTGTCCCCAACCCAGGTTTTATCTTTAGTTTAAGGATTTCATTAGTTGTAATTATTTGTATAGAGGAACTTTACTATTTAAAAGTAAAAACCAAGCCAGGCGCAGTGGCTCACGTCTGTAATCCCAGCACTTTGGGAGGCAGAGGTGGGAGGATCACCTGAGGTCGGGAGTTCCAGACCAGCCTGACCAACATGGAGAAACCCTGTCTCTATTAAAAATACAAAATTAGCCGGGCATGGTGGCACATGCCTATTACCCTGGCTACTCAGGAGGCTGAGGCAGGAGAATTGCTGGAACCTAGGAGACGGAGGTTGCGGTGAGCAGAGAACACGCCTTTGCACTCCAGCCTGGGCAACAAGAGCGAAACTCCGTCTCAAAAATAAATAAATAAATAAAAATAACAAAAGTAAAAAACCAAAATCACTTTAAAAAGTTGGCCTCTTTTTTTAATAAGTTGAAACAACAACAACAAAAGTGCCTTTGATGCCTATGTTGTTTAGTACTTAATAAATCATGGCACATAATTATGTTGATAAATTCCAACAGCCTAGCTGACTCCTCTTTCTCGATGCCGGCTTGGGATGGCCCTGATAAATCGATCTCTACTTTCTAACTGCATCGCTATCCTGCACGGGATCTGCCTCATGCCTCCATTGCAGTATGTTGGAGCAATACATCACCCAAGCTCTGCAGCCTTCGTCCATATCATTAGAGCAATAGCTGCTTCTGATAATGCATTAATGTAATACATCACAGAGCTGGGTGCCTGGCTGCTACATTACTCAAAAGCTCATCTGATAGGGAAGGGAAAAACCGAGTGTGCTTATAACTCATAAAGTTGGGTTGTATACTTATGGTTTAGTATTGCTTGGCATTTGAAACTTTAGGGTCCAGATTTTTCCCCTTTATAAGCTGTTTTCACAGGCACTGCTGTTTGTTTTTCCTGAACCAGTGTATTCATCTTTCCTGTGTCCAGAAAGTTACTTTATCTGTGATCAGTTCTGGAGTAAAGGATGTCATGTCATAGTCTGTGCTCTTGCCCATGTTGGAGGAGCTCCTAGCATAATTTAAGCTTAATGTCAAAATGCTTGGGGTTGCAATCTAGGTTCTGCCATTTGCTGGTTGTGCTGCTTTGGGTAGAGCAGTTGTATAATTCAATGAGATATTGAATGGCTAGCGCTCGACATATAGTAATAACTCAGTCAAAATAATTAATATTTTTTATTATCTGGAAGGGTGCAGTGGCTCATTCCTATAATCCCAGTACTTTGGAGCTGAGGCAGGTGGATCACTTGAGGTCAGAAGTTCAAGACCAGCCTGGCCAACACGGTGAAACCCCATCTCTGCTAATAATACAAAAATTAGCCGGATGTGGTGGCGTGTACCTGTAGTCCTAGCCACTCAGGAGGCTGAGGCAAGAGAATTGCTTGAACCTGGGAGGCGGAGGTTGCAGTGAGCCAAGACTCTCTAGACTGCACTCTAGACTGGGCAACAGAGTGAGATTCAATCTCAAAATAAATTAATAAATAAATAATAAAATAAAATAAAATAATTAGTATTTTCTAGCCCGCCACTTACCCAGTTCGGTATCCCAGGACTTTGTTAGTAGCAAGTAGCATACAAGAAAACAACAGCAGCAACAACAGAGTTCTGTGAGCACACGAGTTAGGAAAACATCAGGATGAAAAGCTCACATAGACTCCTTTATGGCAGGACTTAGTCTCTAAAATGTTACATAATGTGTTTTGTAGAGAAGAGCGGAATAAACGCTAATTACCAAACTATTTGGCCTTAGAACCCCTTTTGTTTTAGGGTGGCATGGTAGAGAGAGTGATGTTCCTTAGAATCCCATTAGGAAAGAAATTCCAGGGTGGTCCACTTCCCTTAGGAATTCTAAGGTATTCTGAGGAACATCACGGTCTCTATCCTGCCATCCTTGAAAACAGTATTTGAGGCCAGGCACAGTGGCTCATACCTGCAGTCCCAGGACTTTGGGAGGCCGAGGTAGACAGATTACTTGAGGTCAGGAGTTCGAGACCAGCCTGGCCAATATGGTGAAACCTTGTTTCTACTAAAAATACAAAAATTCTCTGGGTGCGGTGGCACATGTCTGTAATCCCAGCTACTTGGGGGGCTTAGCCAGGAGAGTTGCTTGAACTTGGGAGGTGGAGGTTGCAGTGAGCCAAAATCATGCCACTGCACTTCAGCCTGGGCAGCAGAGCAAGACTCTGTCAATCAATGTATCAATAAGGTCTTGCTAAAGATGATAAAGCAAATTAGATGTGGAACAACGTTAGAAGTGCAGGTTCCTCTCTGCTTCCTCCTGCACGTGCACTTCTCAAAGTCTGATCTTTGATACACCTCTGCCAGCATCACCTGGGGAGGGGATGGGTAGGAACACAGATCACAGACACAGGGCATCAGAATCTCCTGTCTCAGAGCCCAGGAATCTGCATGGTGGCAAGTCTTCTGGGTAATTTTCTAGTAAGCTAAATTCCGGAAACCACTGGACTGGACCACCCATCTCTGTAGCTATATTGTGTGGGCAGAACTGAGGTTGCTGCTCCTTCCAAAAACTCTGGTGACTTTGGAAAAATGGTTGATGATGGCTCCTCACCACCTCTCTGCCTGCCCCATGACCCTGGAGGAGGTGTGTATCTTGGGAGAATGCTGGAGGCCTTCCTGGGCTTTCACAGGCCAGCCCGTCATGCAGAGTCTCTCCAGAGACCGCTCCCTGCCCTCCATGGTCACTGTGGGAGCTATGTGTCCCTACGATCCCTGGTAATGCTCCCCCAGGGAAACCTGTGTGTGCGGTGCAGGGGAGATTAGTTCGAAATGGAGAGACACGTACTTGGGGCCTTGCCAAGTCGCTCTGGAGAGAGCATGGCGATGCTTCGGTTTCCATGGAAACCAGGTGACTGTAAGCTCACCTTTGGCCCTTGAAACAGCCTCCAGCTTCTGGGAACAACTGCAAGGCTGCTGCTTACTATGAGAGGGGAGAGCAGCCACAGAGAAGAGAAAACCAACTGCTGATTGGAAAACAGGCTCAGTTGTCTGTTTTGAACTGCAAGAAAAGTTAGAAGAGTGCTCCAATCCAAAGATACAGAAGGTCAGATGTGGGGCAGGCAACTAGCCCACTGTCCCGATCTGTATTAAGAGACACCACCATCAAGGTGGCTCCCTTCTCTAGGTTTTCTACTCAAAAAGCCTTTTTTGGCTTTTTGAGTCGAAATTTATGAACATCACAGGCTTAGACAGTTTTTTTGACTGTTCCTTTATTCCCTGCTAAAATCGATATTCCATGATATCCAGACATTGCCATGCTGGCTTCAATTCCCACTTTGTGTGTGTTCTTCCTCTTTCTCATATGTGAGCAGCTGTGGATAGCACCGCGCCCCCAGTTTTGTAAAGTAAGCTTTCCAAAGTGGAAGGATCACTTGCAGGGCAGGAGTTTAAGACCAGGCTGGGCATCCTAGGGAGAATCCTGTCTCTTCCAAAAAAAAAAAAAAAAAAAAAAAAAAAAAAAAAGCAAGAGCCAGGTGTGGTAGTGCATTCCTGTATTCCCAAATACTCAGGAGGCTGAGGTGGGAGGATCACTTGCACCCTGGAATTGGAGGCTGCAGTGAGCTATGATCACACCACTGCACTCCAGCCTGGGTGACAGAGTGAGGCCCCATTTCTTAAGAGATAAAATAAAAATAAAAAATAAAAAAAATAAGCTTTGTATTTGGGGATAATTTTGGATTTGCAGAAATGTTTCCAAGTTAGCACAGAGAGTTCCTGTATACCCTACATATGGTTTTCCCGACTGATAACGTCATCCATCAACAGGGTAGGTTTGTTGTAATGAAGCGACCAGCGTTGCTATATTACTATTAAGGCCACATTCTATTCAGATCTCACTGGTGTTTCCATTAATCACCTGTTTCTATTCCAAATCCAAGTCCAGGTACCACATTGCATTTGGTTATCCCTTTTCACTAATCTCCTCTGTTATGTGAAAAAGACTCAGAGTCTCAAAGTGTTTTTTTTGTTTTTTTGTTTGTTTTTTTTTTTGTTGTTGTTGTTTTTTTAAATGATGACAGTGTTGAGGGGTACCAGTCCGGCGTCCTGTACATCCAGTCTGGGTTTGGCTGATGTGTTTCTCATGATTAGCCTGGGGTTTGGAGTTGTGGGGAACAACACTGCAGAAGTGAAATGCTCTTCTCATCATATAGCGAGAGCTACACCCCCAATACTGTTCATCACGGTGCCCACTTTGGTGGGCTGAGGGGGTGGCTGCCAGCTTCTCCATTGTGAAGTCACTGTGTTTCCCGTTCCATGCTGTATTCTTTGTTACTAAATTAATGAGTTATGGTGCTAAGAAAGTTACTAGGCCTAGGCCCCTCTCGCCTTCTCCTCCATTTTTGCAGAACCATGGACAATGGTTTAACTGAAACTGGGAATGAGTGTTCCTTAAATGAGACAGCTGCTTTCTTTTGGGGCAGAAATGATTGGCATGAAAGCTTCCAGTTAAAACTCCCTTACCTGTCTGAGGTGAGCTCCAAGGATGCCCCTGCTCACCTGGTTCTTGCAGTAAAAGTAAACCCCAGCACGTTTCTGGAATGGAGGATTTTTTCTTGATCTGATGAGCGTGAGAGGTATCATTTGTTGCAGTGATGTGAAATGTATGTTTCTGGGAATGAATGGGAGACTCGGATTGTAATGTAGCCCTCTTGACAACCATAGCCAGCAGTCAAAATTTGTTATTTTGTTATTTCCTTCTTTTTATCTCAAGAGAGGAAACATTCATTCAATGTGATTAGTGACTGTTGAGGGGCTTAACACCATAATAACTAATTCACTGAGCATTTACTATGTGATATGAGGATAGTTTATATGTATTGCCCTCATGTAATCCTTACATTCTCTCAGTTAAGTTTCACCACGTAGAAATTAAAATGCAGCTGGCTGGGCATGGTGGCTCACGCCTCTAATCTCAGCACTTTGGGAGTACGACGCAGATGGATCACGAAGTCAAGAGATCAAGACCATCCTGGTCAACATGGTGAAACCCCATCTCTACTAAAAATACAAAAATTAGCTAGGTGTGGTGGTGTGCACCTGTAGTCCCAGCTGCTCCGGAGGCTGAGTTAGGAGAATCGCTTGAACCCGGGAGGCAGAGGTTGCAGTGCGCCGAGATCGTACCACTGCGCTCCAGCCTGGCAACAGAGTGAGACTCTGACTCAAAGAAAGAAAGAAATTAAAGTGTATTTAAGGTGCAAGAGGTTAAATTGCTTCCCCATGGTCACTCACACAGGTAGGACGTGGCAGAGCTGGGATTTGAACCCAGACAGTCTGACACCAGAGTCCAGACTCTTGCCTGCAGAAACTGCTGTGCTAGGGAATTTGATCCAAGGGTTCCTGAAAAGTCTTCCAATCAGCTCCACCCTCCTCCCTCTCTCTAGGAACTTAGGCTCCTTTCTGCCAGCAGCCTTTCTCTGGAAGGCAGGAAACTGCAATCTTAGCTATCATAAACAATTCTGTTTATTTAGCTTCGGGCATAAAGGTCAAGTGTTAAAATGCTTTAATGTCTCCTACCACTGTTTGCATCTCCCTTGGCTAAGTGATTGCCATCTCCAAATCGACTCCTTCCCTCCAGCAGGATCTTGTGACTAGGCCACAGCTTGCAGAGAGAGCAGGGGGCGGCAGAACGGTATAGATGGTAATGACCTCCCAGGCAGGTGGGACTGGTTGTGGTGAGTTCCGGGGGAAAGTGCAGATAGCGTCAGTGGGATGGGGAGCTTCAGGGTGTCTCAGGATCCTGCAGGAGGCCGAATTCTCGCTCTGGCCCTGGGCAGACAGCAGACCTGAGAGCTGTTCACAGTTTTTATTGGCTACCTGTGGGGCAATGAGCAGTGATCCTCCGCATTCTCAGAAGTTAAGTAGAGAAAATTGGACTTCTTGAGTATTTCCCAGAGTTGAGGGGTCTGCTTGGTGACTTTGGAGGGGATTTGTGATAATTTTAGGTAAGACACTGAGCAGGCATTAGACAACATTAATTAATATCATGAGGAGGTTTCATTCCCTCTTAGTGCTTCTGGTGGCCTGAAAGAGCAAATAGCAGGTAGGTGTGTGTGCGTCTGTGAATGGGTGTGTTTAATGCCTCTTAAATCCTTCTAATGTCCCCTTTTAGCACCAGAGGGAGCAGACCTCAGGCTCAGACACTTTGTCGGGCAACGCTGTCGTCCTGCCATTTCACATGGTTTTGTTTACACTGGGCTTGCTTTTTATAACTACCTTCTATGTGCCACAAGTAGGGTTTCCATTTCTGGAAGTGATGTGGAGTTTCAGAAGTCAGAGTGCGATCTGCAGACCCACAGCCTGCCTCCCTGGGAGCTCACGGAAAATGCGCATCAGACTCCACCCCAGGCTACGTTCCTCTTGACAGGATGCTCAGTGGGTCCTACACCTTTGATATCAGTTTGGGAGCTACCGATACAGATTTCCCTTTTTAGCATCAATAATTAAGTAAAAGACATTGGGTGACTTAGGGAAACATATGATTAAATAATAGTACAGGCTCTGCGCCTTGGCAGCAGCAATGTGAAGGGTCAACAGGAAAGACAGGGATTGGAGGAGGGCTGGGCTGGATCTTTGGGGTATTATGGAGAGCTGGCATCTACAAATGTTCTGGAGCCCTAGCCCCTGGGGACACAGGTTCTGTGGGTCTGGGGTGATGCTCTGGAATCTGTATTTGGAAAAACAAACTTCCCAGATAATGCTAATGTTTAATGAGGCATGGAAACTATTGGATTAGATTATTTCTTTCCTTCTGAAGTTGTGTGATGTTTTATTTTATTATTTTATTTTTGAGATGGAGTCTCATTCTGTCACCCAGGCTGGACTGAAGTGGCACCATCTCAGCTCACTGCAGCCTCCGCCTCCCAGGCTCAGGTGATTCTCCTGCTTCAGCCTCATGAGTAGCTGGGATTATAGGTGCCCACTATCAGGCTGGGCCAATTTTTATATTTTTAGTAGAGATGGGGTTTCACCATATTGGTCAGTCTGGTCTTGAACTCCTGACCTCGAGTGGTCCACCTGCCTCACCCTCCCAAATTACTGGGATTGTAGGTGTGAGCCGCTGTGCCCGGCCGTGTGATGTTTTAAAACGGTGGTCCTCAACTAGATGCCCCTGAACGGACGTTTGACAATGTGCATGGGATATTTTTGGCTGTCAGAATAGGGGAGCTGCTACTTGTGTTTAGCGGGCGGAGGCCAGGCAGGCCGGTAAACATCCCATAGTGCACCCCCTCACCACAAAGAACTATGCAGTCCCAAAGGTCAGTGGTGCCAAGAATGAAAAACGCTTATCTAAAGGGTGTTTCTGTTATCCAAGGAGTCTATGCAGATTGAGGAGTCTGTCAAAAGGCCAGGACACATCTCTGCTCCAGATCCAGCAGTTGCCATCTCATGGGGCACAGGGCCAGAAGCCTTATAATGGCCTGTCAGCTTCTGTGGCATGTGGTCCCATTGACCCTCTGACTGCATCTCACCCTACTACCTTTACCCAAGCATGCTGAGAACCAGCTACATTGCCGCCAAGTTGTTTCTGGAATAGTCCAGGGATGTTCCCACCATAGGGCCTTTGCACATGAATTTTTTTTTTTCTTTTTTTTGAGATGGAGTCTCGCTCTGTTGCACAGGCTGGAGTGCAGTGGTTTGATCTGGGCTCACTGCAACCTCCGCCTTCTGGGTTCAAGCAGTTTTCCCTTCCTCAGCCTCCCAAGTAGCTGGGATTACAGGCACCCACCACCACACCCAGCTAATTTTTGTATTTTTTAGTAGAGAAGGGGTTTCGCCATGTTGGTCAGGCTGGTCTTGAACTCCTGACCTCAGGTGATCCGCCTTCCCCAGCCTCCCAAAGTGCTGGGATTACAGGCGTGAGCCACTGTGCCCAGCCTGCACATGATTTTTTAAAAGCCCTCTCATACCTAGAATGCTCATCCATATGGCTCTATCCATTTTCTTCAAGTGGGCTCCTGCTGAAATCTCATCTCACCACTGAGGACGTTCCTGACCATCTTGACTAATAAGCAGCCCCCTTGTCATCTCTCTTTCTCCTTACTGTGCTGTGTTTTCCTTACAGAACTTACTAGAAATAGATGGTTACTTCCCATTTCTCTCTACTAGAACGTAAATACCTGGAATGTGGAGCCTTTGCTGTGTTCACTATTATATCTGTTATGTCTCAAGATGTAGCAGTGTCTGGCAGATGAATGCTTTAATGAATCATGAGTGAATGAATGGGTGAGTACATGAATACCTGAATTATAGTCCCAGATGTACCATTGTCCAGTTACCACTCCCTCTCTGCCTCAGTTTCCTCCTCTGTCAGGTAAGAGGGTCACACAGACCGCCTCTAAGTCATCCCAGCGCTGATGTCTGCAGCTCTGACTCAAGAGTGAGTGCGACTTCACTTCTCACCTGCATCTCCGTCTCTCCAATTAACTCCCTGCATTCTCCCAGCTCTGCGTCCCTGCCCCCCATTACCCCAGATGCCTCCTGTCAGAGCTGAGAGGCCACGGGGAATTAGGGATGTCAGAAATCCTCAGAAAGTGGCAGATCCATTGTGTGCGCCACTGAATTGGGTAATTAGGGAGGGTGGCACTTGAGTCGTTTTAAAAGCTTAGTGGGTGGGGAGGAGAAAATATTCCCTGACAGCTCCTGCACATCCACTTAGACGTGGAGCTTCTCCGCGGACAAATCTAGTTTTGTCACTGAATAGTGCTTTATCGGTCTCCCAAGGAGTGTGTGAAGGAAAGGAGATAAGGGCTGGGGCCCTGGCACTGACTCATGGAACCTTCCAGTGAAGAGAGGGGTACGGTGGGGTAGGCGGGGAAAAACCGCACAGCCCAGTTCGGGGATCACCACTCTGTGGTGCAGGAAACGCTAGCACCCTGGGCAGGAGGATGGCTCAGGTGCTCAGGAAGCGTGGTCCTTGTTTTTTGAAACCAACTTCATTTCTGACTCTCGTTGTTATTCTGTAACTCAACCTCCATCCTGCTTGGGGCTTCCCCACACCCAAGAGAGCATCGAGTTGGAATTAGATTGGATTTGATTGTTTCTTCCACTCCTGGAGTCATGAGTATTCTGAACAGTGATTTTTAACAGGGCCAGGCTGTCGGGGGGTGTCAGGTCTGGCTGTTCAGGCGTTCTTCCCTCCCTCCCTCCCTCCCTGCCTTCCTTCTTTCCTCCTCCTCCTCCTTCCCTACCCCTCCTCGTTCTCCTCCTCCTCCTCTTCCTCCTCCTCCCCCTCCTCCTCCTCCTCTTCCTCCTCTTCTTCTTCTTCCTTCTTCCTCTTCTTCTTCCTCCCACATTCTTCTTCTTCTCCTTCCTCCTTTTCTTCCTTCTTCCTTCTTCTTCCTCCTCTTCTTCCTCCCCCTCCTTCTCCCTCCCACTCCCCCTCCTCCTCCTCCCTCCCACTCCCCCTCCTCCTCCTCTCCTTCCCCTCCCCCTCCTCCTCCTCTCCTTCCCCTCCCCCTCCTCCTCCTCCCCTTCCCCTCCCCCTCCTCCTCTCCTTCCCCTCCCCCTTCTTCTTCTCTTCCTCTTCCTCCTCATGGAACCAGGAGCAATAAAAGTCCCTATTTCTTTTCTGCTGCCTAAATACACGTTACCTCTCTCCATATTGGGGCTTATGCTTTTAGAGACAAAGGACAGGTAAGAAAGTCTTTGCAGTAACCGACTTTTCTAAAGCAATGAACTACTTGAATAGAGGAAGCAAAGAAGGAAAACTGCAGGGAGAAGAGGAACGCATCAATTAATTTACCAAATTATTATCCAGCCATAGTTATCCCAGTGAACTGTCAAGTCCTGAGCATTGTCTGTGTGGCAGCTGCTATGCAAAAGGTTTCATTGACAGGAATTACTTACCTAACCCTTGGAACAATCTTATGAGAGAATAGTAACTGCACATTCTGGTATTATCTTACCATGGGTCTGCACAGGGCTAAGTGCTTTACCTGTACAGGCATAGCTCTCTTAACAATGGGGACACATTCTGAGAAGTGCATCGTTAGGGAATGTTGTCATTATGGGAACATCACAGAAGGCACTTAACGCAAACCTAGATGGTATAGCCTCCTGCCCACCTAGGCGGTATGTTCTGGCCTTTTGCTCCTAGGCTACAAACTTATATGGCGTTTTTCTGTACTGAATACTGTAGGCAGTTGGAACACAGTGGTCACATTTGTGAATCAAAACACACCTAAACATAGAAAAGGTACAGTAAAAAGACAGAATAAAAATGGTACACCTGTATAGGGCAACTCCATTATATATATATATATATATATATATATATATTTTTTTTTTTTTTTTTTTTCTTTGAGACAGAGTTTCACTCTGTCGCCCAGGCTGGAGTGCAGTAGTAGTGCGATCTTGGCTCACTTCCACCTCCGCTTCCCGGGTTCACACCATTCTCCTGTCTCAGCCTCCTGAGTAGCCAGGACTACAGGCACCCGCCACCATACCCGGCTCATATATATATATTTTTATTTTTAGTAGAGGCGGGGTTTCACCGTGTTAGCCAGGATGGTCTCGATCTCCTGACCTCCTGATCCATCCCCCTCGGCCTCCCAAAGTGGTGGGATTACAGGCATGAGTCATCATGTCCGGCCAACTCCATCATAATCTTATGGGGCCATTGTCATGGATGCCATCCATCCTTGGTGAGAAACTCATTCTGCAGTTCAGGACTGTATTAATTCAGTCCCTTCTCTCCACAGTCCTGTAAGGTATAATAGTTGCTATTATGATTCCCATTTTACGGATGAAGAAATGAGGCACAGAGGAGTTAAGTGATGGGCCCAAAGCCACAGAAGCTGGTATTAGGTTGGTGTAAAAGTAATTACTTTTGCACCCATCTAATAGCAGAGGGAAGGTTCAAACCCAGGCAGCCAGCTCCAAGGCTAGAAGCCAGGACTGCCCCAGCAGCCCCCAGGGGAGGGGGAGCACCTGCCTTTTCTGGGACATTCCTAGTAGTACTCTTCCTCCATCTTGCCATTTGGGAAGGTGTTTGTGACTTTTAGGCAGTTGCACACGCATGGTACCTGGAGGCAGGCTGCCCCCAAAGACAAGAATCCAGTGTGTCCTCAGTGACCTGCAGCAGTGTGATGGAGAAAATGAAACATCTGGCTGCCTCTGGGGGCGCACAGAAAGGCCAGGTGCTCTACAACCCAAGCAATAATGGCTTGGCCATCACACTTACGTTTGAGAAGAATGAGGCCAAGGCAAACCGGTGCTACTTTTCATCTTTTCATATGGACTTAGGAATCCATTAGTATCCACCCGTATACCATCTAGAGAGACATTTATTTTATAGAAACAATAGCACTTTTTTGGGTACCCAAAATTCCTCTTTATTTTCTATTGATTTTTTTCTTTACTTTTTTTTTTTTTTGTTTTCCAGACAGGGTCTCGCTCTTGTTACCCAGGCTGGGTGCAGTGGTGTAATCTTGGCAGATCTTGCAACCTCTGCCTCCCAGGTTCAAGCCATTCTCCTGCCTCAGCCTCCCAGGTAGCTGGGTTTACAGGCATGCACCACCCCAGCTGGCTAATTTTTGTATTGTTAGTAGAGATGGGGTTTCACCAAGTTGCTCAGGCTGGTCTCAAACTCCTGACCTCAGGCCATCTACCCGCCCCGGCCTCCCATAGTGCTGGGATTACAGGCGTGAGCCATCGCGTCCAGACTGTTGAAATTTTTATTGAGTCAATTGTACATTCACAGGCAGTTCTGATCAGAAACTATGTACACTTTACCCAGTTTCTCCCAGTGTCAACATTTTGCAAAACTATGGTACAATATCTTAAGATATCGAATCATTCCATTACTGTAAGTGTCCCTTTCATACCCACATTCACCTCCCTCTCACCCCTGCCTCCTGTCACGTGTTACCACTGATTCGTTGTCTGTATCTAAAATGTTGTCATTCCTAAAATGTTATATACATAGAATCACATAGTAGGCAGTCTTTTAGGATGGGCTTTTTTTCACTTAGCATAATTCCCTGAAGATTCCCCCAAGTTGTGTGTATCAATATTTCACTCCCTTTCATTGCTGAATAGTGTCCCATGGTATGAATATACACAGTTGCACTGTTCACTTGTTGAAGGACATGTGGGTTGTTTGGGGGTACTGTGAGTGAAGTTGCTGTAAACATTGGTGTACAGGGTGTTGTGTGAATATAAAGTTGTAATTTCTTTAGGACAGATGCCGAAGCGTACAACTGCCGGATCGTGTGGTAATTGGATGTTTAGTTTATGTGTCACTGATACACTGTTTCCTAGAGTGGCTAAGCGGTTTTACATTCCTAGTGGCATTGTATGAACAATCCAGTTTATTTGCATCCTCACCAGCTTTTGGGATTGTCATTATTTTTAATTTTTTTGCTATTCTTACAGGTTGTAGTGATATTGCCTTTTGAATTTATAGTTCATTCCCTGATGGCTAATGATGTCGAATACGTTCTTATGTTCTCATTTACCAACTGCATCTACTTTTTATTGAATTGTTTGTTCACATATTTTGCCTCCTGTCTAATTGGATTGGTTTTTTTCTTTGTTTATTACTGAGTTTTGAAAGTTATTTTTATATTCTGGATATTATTCATTCGTTATTGTGGGGTATGTGGTTTACAAATATTTTCCCCCAGCTGTAGCTTGTCTCCTCATCCTCTTTCCAGGATCTTCTGCACAGCAAAGGTTTTTAGTCTTGATGAAGTCCAATTTATGAATTTTTAAAAATGGATCATGTTTTGGCCTGAAAGCTCTTTGCCTAGCCCTAGATCCATCATTTTCTTTTATATTTTTCAAAGCTTTTTATAGTTTTACATTTTACACTTAAGGTTGTGATCTATTCTGTTATAAAAGTCATAAGCGGGGCACAGGGGCATGTGGGCATGTGCCTGTTTTTCTAGGTACTCGGGAGGCAGAGGCAGGAGAATCACTTGAGGCCAGGAGTTCGAGGCTGTAGGGCACTATCATCATTCCTATGAGTAGCCACCGTACTGCAGCCCAGGCAACATAGCAAGGCCCCATCTCCAGCTCTCTTTTTTAAAAGTTATGTTTAGTTTGAGGTTTATCTTTTTTGTTTTTGGCTTATGAATGTCCAATTGCAACAGCACCATTTACTGAAAACTATAGCTAATTTTTTAACTCTTACTCTATCCCTGACACCCAGCTAAGCACTTTTCAATAGCATTTTATATAATCCCTGAAGTTACACTGTGACATGGGAACTGTATTCCAAGATTTCTAGATGCAGAGAGTGAAGATCAGAGAGGTCGCTTGATTTTCCTGAGGCCCCACAGCCAGAGACAAGCTGCAAATCTCTGCCTGGCTCTAGCCCACAGTACTTCACCAGCTCTAGTTTGATTTTTGAGTGGCTGTCTCTACATACATGTGCTCCCGACATCATGGCAGAAAATTCAGACCCGATTCAATTCGCATTCTATCTTGGGACTTCTCTTTGGGCTGTAACTAAATCAGATTTTCAGGAGGTGCAAATGTAATATAATATGAAATATCTGTTCATCATTTAACTCAGGGAAGTCTTTTCCCCCTCACTAATATCCATGATAAAGCATATGCAAATGTCTGTAATTGAACATAATTAAAATAATGAGAGTTGAAAGAATGTGATATTCAAAATAAATGCAATAAGGAGTTGGACACAGCCATTATCCTAATTCAAAGTGATTACTTTAGGATTACGTTATCAAGCCTCTAATATTTCTGTCTTTAATATAATTTTATTTACTTTTGGGAGGCAGGTGCTCTCTGATTGGGATGAATTCCTGTCTTAGGTCTGGTTACCACTACTTCGTCTAAGTTCCCAGAGGAAGGAGGGTGAGATTTTGATCAGAACCATCTGCTGTTACCCCCTTCCTGCCACCCTGCTTGGCGGCATGAGCCTCCACTGGGACGACTGAGTGCCGTGACACGGACAGCCTCGTATCCTGTGAGCACGTCCAAGACCTGCCTGATCATGAGTGAGCTGGAGGAATGAAAGGCCAGGGGTTGCATCCCAGGAAGTGCCTGTCAGGGTGACATCTTTGTGGATCAGTAATCTGAGTGATTCAGAGAGATTTTCTTTCCCTGCCCTTTCTCAATTTTTTTTTAAATATAAAATTCAGCTTAAATGCATAGTGATAGTTAACCAAGACTCAGAGAGTATGAAACACAGCTCTTTGGCAGGTAGGAAAGTATATGCAGTGCAATATAGAGAATATCGCTCTGGCTTTAGATGGGCATGCTCCAAACCCTCCCTCTGTCCTGCATCTGCTGTGTGACCTTGGGTGAGTTGCTTACCCTCTCTGGATTCCAAATTGCTTTTCTTTAAATGGTAAGATAAAAACTTAATTACAAGCCAGGCGCGGTGGCTCACGCCTGTAATCCCAGCACTTTGGGAGGCCGAGGCGGGTGGATCACGAGGTCAAGGGATCGAGACCATCCTGACTAACACAGTGAAACCCTGTCTCTACTAAAAAAAAAAAAAAAATACAAAAAATTAGCTGGGCGTGGTGGCAGGAGCCTGTAGTCCCAGCTGCTCGGGAGGCTGAGGCAGGAGAATGGTGTGAACCCGGGAGGCGGAGTTTACAGTGAGCCGAGATGGCGCCACTGCACTGCAGCCTGGGTGACAGAGCAAGACTCTGTCTGAAAAAAACAGAACAAAACAAACAAAAAAACCCCAAAAAACTTAATTACAGGGGGTTTCCCTATAAAATGAGAAAATATGCAGGAAGAACTTAGCATGGAAAGATGCTCAACAATGTTGAATGTGTACTGTCACAGGAAATGGAGGCAATTTTTAATGTTGTGTTCAAAGTTAGTTGCTACAAGAGATAGGATTTAGGGGCAAGAACCTGAGACTCTGGGCTGTGGATTCAGCAAGGGCTCGCCGACCTAGAATGGGTGCTGGCGATGTGGGTGGGGGCAGAAGACCTCTGCCATGCTTTTCTGCCCTTCACCTCCAATCAATAAAGGGCGGTGGCTTCCATAGTGGACCTTAAATTTCTCTGGGGGTGGGGAAGATGATCTCACTCATTTGTCTCGCTTCTGGGCTCTGTAGCTTATCTTGGTCATGAGAATGATCCTGGGCTAAGTCATCCAGGTAGAGGTTGACACCCACCGAACTCTTTATAAGAAATGAGAGACTAGTAACACCCCCTAACACACACACACACACACACACACACACACACACACACCACCCCTGTTTTATAATAGGAGTAACCACCCAGGTTGGTCTGAGGCTAAATCCAGAGGAAGCCAGTGAGATTTTGTGTTTCCTTCCTTGGAGAATCTCCTCACACCAGCCTTTTTGTTTGTTGGTTAGAGACTGGGTCTCCCTCTGTTGCCCAGGCTGGAGTGGCGCTATCATGGTTCACTGCAGCCTCAAACTCCTGGGTTCAAGCAATCCTTGCTCCTCAGCCTCTGGAGTAGCTGGGACTGTAGGCATGTGCCACCGTACCTGGGTAATTTTTTACCTTTTTTTGTGGAGATAGGGTCTCACTTTGTGGCTCAGGCTGGTTTGGAACTCCTGGGCTCTTCAAGTGATCCTCCCACTTTGGCCTCCCAAATTGCTGGGGTTACAGGCATGAGCCCACTGTACCCAGCCCATAAAGGCATATGTGAAGATTTCCACTGGCCGTAATGGAAAGAATCAGCTGGCCTTGGGCAATGAACTATAACAACATTATATACCATAGGCTGAGCACTGGACAAAGCATTTCAAGTACGTGTTATGACCAAACTTATTCACATTCGAGGATCCCCAGCCTCTATACTTAATACCTAGATTCTGGCTTGACCTATTCCATTTCTTTCTTTTTTCTGCCCTCCCAAGGGATTTCTGCTACAGCCTGACTTGTTCTGTGGGTTATAAAAATAGGAGGACAAGGAGAAGGACAAGCCCATGGACTATAGCTTTTTCAGAGAGAGGCCTGGAAAAATAGTTGCGGTGTATGGGGAAGGTGGGTGGGAGGGAGGCTTGTAAAGAGGAAGTGAATTTGGGCCAGGCACAGTGGCTCACGCCTGTAATCGCAACACTTCAGAAGGCTGAGGCGGGCAGATCGCTGGAGGTCAGGAGTTCAAGACCAGCCCCAGCCTGGCCAACATGAGGAAAATCCATCTCTACTAAAAATACAAAAATTAGCTGGGTGTGGTGGTGCACGCCTGTAGTCCCATCTACTCGGGAGGCTGAGGCAGGAGACTCGCTTGAACCTGGAAGGCAGAGGTTGCAGTGAGATGAGCACACACCACTGAACTCCAGCCTGGGCCACAAGAGCAAGACTCTGTCAGAGAGAGAAAAAAAATACATTTGGTTATGCCTCCCATCAAGGTTCTCATGAAATAAAAAAAATGTTTTAATGGAAAATTCTTGTGAAACAAGGAAACTGAGTTTATTTTGAAAGCATTCTTTGTGTGCTTGGCTCCCCTTGCCCCTCTTATTAAAGTTGGACCATTTGGGGGGTGACTGTAGGGTTACATACAATGCGTTGTATTCAGTTGACCCTCATGGCAATCCCACTAGGTTGATTTTCATATTCCCCATTTGCAGAGGAGCAGCAAAGTTCTAGCACAAGACCACACAGGCAGGAAGTGGAAGCCCATGATTTTAATATACGTCTCCCAGGTCTGATTGCACCCCTTCCCTTCCTTTCCCTTGCAAACGGGTAGCTACAGCTCACAGTTAGTGAGCAGAGTAGAGCGCCGTGGGCTGTGAGCACGTAGAAGGAATTAAAGAATCATCGTCACTGCAGCTTTGTGCTGGGGAATGGCAATTAGCCTCTAGTTTGTTTGGATTAATATCTCTGGAGACCTTTACGGAAGTATTATTTATTGATAAGGACCATGCATCGTGGCTGGATAGGAGCTGGGAGATCTGTACTCAATGATCGCAGTGGAGCAATTGCACAAGGAGAAACTCCTCATCGAAAAGATGCCATTTGGTTTGGGAAATTATTAGATAGTTTTTTTTTTTTTTTTTTTTTCTTTTTTTGGAAGTTCTATAACTTCTGTGGGGAAGTTTGCTCTGTGAGTTGAGCCTGCCTTAGGAGCTAAACAGACCCGGGAAAATCCCAGCCCTGCCAATAATCAACAATGTTGCCTGGGATTGATAAGACTTCTAACCTCCTTCAACCTTAGCATGTACCTGGTTGCAGGGCTGGGAAATTAGATATGGTGTATCTGATGCTCTAGCACCTGAGCAATGGAAGGCATTTAAAAGCAACCATTCTTACCATCACAGTTTTAAAAAAATTTGAACACTTGTTAACTGGAATTGCTATGCACACACAGGCTAGAGAGAATCAGGTAGTGAGAAAAAAATACAGAGATTTGTAAAAATGCATATACATTTTACACAAAGTTATGGGCTGAGCTTTAATGTAAGGAGAGATGAACTGTAAAAATCCTTCACCAAACTGTGATCTTTGGGAATTGAATTAGACTACATTTACCTTGACATAAAATATCAAAAATTCTGAAGAAAAAAAAAGA
Source organism: Homo sapiens (assembly GCF_000001405.40). NCBI lineage: Eukaryota > Metazoa > Chordata > Mammalia > Primates > Hominidae > Homo > Homo sapiens. The sequence goes on from NC_000016.10 coordinate 5,992,175, forward strand.
GAAAAGAAGTAAAATAAAAAATGAGGAAAATAACTTCCTTCTTCAAAGAACAAAGAGTTTTCAAGTTCTTTAGAAGATTGTTTATGTCAGAATGATACAGCTGCAGTGGGATTGCAATAGATAGGGAAAAAAAGGTTAACATTGCTTAGGCAACTCTGTTCAGCAAAAGCTACTTCAGTAATTGACTCAAATTTTATCTATTCATTAAAGCGAGACCAATGGGTAACCCTTTCTTAGCCATCACTCAGTACTGTGTAGAATGAAAATGCGTAAGACTGAATTCCTTTTGACAGGATCCCCCAACTTAGATCTTGCAGGTTTTTCCTGCAACTGGTATGAGTCACCAAGCCTTCGTGTGCATGTATGTGTGTGTGCTTGTGTGTGTGCTTATGTGTGTGTTGGGGAGTTTGTGGTTGCTTCTCTAGGAATCCGATGAGAAACTAATATTTTCTGACAGGAGACACTATTAAGATTTGTGGTCAGGCGTGGTGGCTCACATCTGTAATCCCAGCACTTTGGGAGGCCAAGGTGGGTGGATCACCTGAGGTCAGTAGTTCAAGACCGGCCTGGCCAACATGGTGAAACCTTGTCTCTGCTGAAAATACAAAAATTAGCTGGGCATGGTGGCAGGTGCCTGTAATCCCAGCTATTCGGGAGGCTGATACAGGAGAATTGCTTGAACCTGGGAGGTGGAAGAGGTTGCAGTGAGCCAAGATCATGCCATTGCACTCCAGCCTGGGTGTCAGAGTAAGACTCTGTCTCAAAAGAAAGAAAAAAAAGATTTGCATGACAGTGGCAGACATCTGCCGACTTGAGTCAGTAGTAGGACATGGCAGCTCCAGGCTGGGGGACCCTGGGCTTGAGCCTGATCTTTCTCTATGCTTACCCACAGGCCCTCTCAAATCCACAAGTACCATCCTGTCTAAAACTGAAAGAGATACGGAACAAGCCATGTCCTCAAGGTTGAACCAGTGACCTTTTGTCTTCTGTCCACTTACACATGATAAATAAGTAGCAACACATGGATGCAGGTACCTCAGAGTAACTGTTACTGGCTGGGCTCTGAGCCATATAAACCCATTAATTTCTCTTTCTTTTTGTAGCATGTATGTGAAAACCACAAGAGAGAATGTGCCTGTTTGCCTGCCTATTTGATAATGCTGTACGTGTGTGTGTGTGTGTGTGTGTGTGTGTGTGTGTGTGTGTGTGTGAGAGAGAGAGAGACAGAGAGAGAGAGAGAGAGAGAAGGAGACAGAGAGAGACAGAGACTTTCAAGCCTGTTTTGTATGAAGCTCTCAGTAAACACATCTGGTGAAGGAGGCAGAAAATACAGCCAAGTCTGTAGAATTCACCTTCTTACCCAGCAAGCATGAGTCTGTGTTCATTGAAATGTTGGCCATTATTCTATTTGACTTCTCTGATGTTCTCAGGTTGATATGTTTAAGATTAATGAGGCATTAGTTCTCCATCAAGGAGCCATAATCAAGATTACCCATTTAGCTGCAGTGAGTTGTGTCGCTGCATTAATTAATATCATTTGACCTTTGTATTTTGGGTGGGATGATGTATCGCTGCATTTTCCTGAGCAGTGCCGTAAAATTGATGGCTTGAATATTGCCGCTCATATGGCCGAATGGTTCGTTTAAGTTAAATACTGTGCTTGTAATTAATATAGGATAGGTAAGTCTGGGAAGATGATGTATATTAATTCTTATTTAGTGAAGCAGGTCCCGCTGGGTGGGAGATTCAGCACTTGATTTGGATGCCTTATTGGAAGCACTTTGCTGCTGGGGATGTTGGCACGTATGGGACGGTTCCTCTGAAAGCATGACTTGAGGAGTCCTTTCCTAACTCAGAGATCATGTCTGCACAAAGAGTTAAATGATGCAGGATGGGAATGGAGCTATGGGGGCTCGTTCGACTCTCTCTGTTCCTGTTTTTCCAGCTGTAATGGGTGTATTGCTAACGCAGATGCCAATTCATTGGGTTTTTTGTTTATGTTTTTGAGACAGAGTCTTGCTCTGTCACCCAGGTTGAAGTACAGTGGTGCAATCTTGGCTCACTGCAACCTCTGCCTCCTGGGTTTAAGCAATTCTCATGCTTCAGCCTCCTTAGTAGCTGGGATTATAGGCATGTGCCAACATGCCTGGCTAATATTTGTATTTTTAGTAGAGACTGGGTTTCGCCATATTGGCCAGGCTGGTCTCGAACTCCTGGCCTTGGGTGATCTCCCTGCTTTGGCTTCCCAAAGTGCTGGGATTACAAGCATGAGCCACCACTCCTGGGCATTAGGTCTTGAGCAAACTGAAAGTTTCAGATTTTTCCAAGTGGTCCTGGTACCACAATTTTAGCAGCAGATTTCTATACCAGGTATATTTCTACACGAGCTTGGCAAGGTTCAGAGAATAGATATTTCTGGCTGTGTAGGTCCTACAGTCTCCATTGCAGCTACTCAACTCTGCTCTGCAGTGGGAAAACAGTCACAGATAATATGGCAATGAGTGTGTGTGGCTGTGTTCCAATAAAACTTTATTTGAGAAATCAGGTGGCACGCTGGATTTGGCCCATGGGCAGTAGTTTGATGAGCCCTACTCCACACCACAAATTCCTCCTGGGCAAGTCTCTTTTCTTCTCCACTATATTTCAGGGCCTAGCAAAGGGCCAAGTGCCCAATGAGAAATGCATACATATCTACGAATTGAGTGATGAGTTTCCACTCTTCTTCAGTGTCATGAACAGATCAACTTGCCCACAGCAAAAGTGACATCCATCGATGCAGGAACCAAAAGCCCCAGCTTCAGGCTCCTCTCACTAGCTGTGAGACAGGAGGAAAGGTTGGGAGATATTTTTTTCCCCTTTCCTACAACCATGCATTGATCTTAAATGAGTTCCAAATAGATGAGTTCTGCCAAGTCTTCTTGAAGTACATTTCTGTACCTTACACTATAACCTGCTTCGAAATGTTAAGTGTTTTAAAAACAACTTTCCACATAATTAAATATTCCTTACCATTATTTTTATTTATTGACTGCTCAGTATTTCACATTTTAAGCAATATTCTGTGGGAAAGCATTTGCGTTGCTTTCTTTTTGCAAACTGCTAAACATAGTTGCACATATATCTTAGAGCCCAAATCCACATATTGTCTTGAAATAAATACCTGAATAGGGCAACTTCTGTGTAGAAAGGCAAGCTCATTAAGATAGATTGCCCGCCATGAATTTTAGAGTCCTACCAGAAGAGCATGATGGTAAGTGCTTTTATCAAAGGTTTTTGAAGAGGAATTTAGAGAGAGAGGGAGAAAAAAAATAAATCTTTTTAAGGATGATTATTATGCCAAGTGGAATAAGGATACAGAAATGTGAGAGGGGACAAAGAAATCTTTGTGCATCTAACTGTTGCTGTGAGGACTTAGCTGTAGAATTCAATTTTCTAAAATAGAATGGACAGACAGAAATCCTGGATGCTACAAGTCAACCCTTTGCTTCATTGCAAGTCCAGATTATGTTCAAGCTTGGTGGAAAATCTTTGATATAAACAGAAGAAGAGTTCCTGGGGCTCTTAGATCAAACTGATGTACACAGTACCATAAATAGGGTAGGGAGGGAGCTTGGGCATTCTCACCATTTCATTAAGAGGAAAGTGTCTTAACCCATTTGGGCTACTGTAACAAAATAGCATCAATGTGTAGTTTATAAACAACAGAGATTTATTTCTCACAGTTCTGAGGGCTGGGAAGTCCAAGACTGAGGCAGTCTCCAAGATTGATTCGGTATGTGGTGAGGGCCCATGTTGTGGTTCATAGATGGCATCTTTTTCTTTGTTTTCACATGGTGGAAGGAGAAAAGGAGCTCTCTGGGACCTCTTTTATAAGAGTACTAATTCCAAGCATGAGGGTTCCATCCCTGTGACATAATCATCTCTGAAGGATCTCACCTCCTAACACCATCAACTTTGGTGTTGGGATTTCACCATATTAATTTTGGGGGCACATAAACATTCAGACCATAACAGAAAGGGATACTGAACTGCAAACAGTGGTCATTTTCCACGAGCTCTTCTTAAGCTCTGCAGCAGGGAGAACTTTCTCTACATCCGCACCATGGCATTCATTTCACCAGACGATGTAGACTCCACAGAAGGCATGCCTCTGATTTGAAACCCATGAGAACCCAGGTCATGACAATGATTTGGGACAAGCATTGGGTTCCCCTTAATTACATATTCAGAACTGGCTTTGCAATCTGGTTGGAGGAGTTCACGGAGGTGTGAGGGTGATTTTTTTTTTTTTCTCCCAATAAGCAGTGAGAGGTTTTGTGTGTAGATTAGTGGAGGTCCTAGGAGGGCACAGGCAGCATACTCAAATTAGGTAACTTGTAAGTGAGGGGGCTATTTGCAAAACATGGACAGGGAATGGGGAAATCACAAGGGCTAATTCTGTACCCTAGGGCTAATTGCAGCATAGGCATTTACCACCTTGGGGCTTGAAGGGGTAAGAGAGAGAGCAGTTAAAGGACCTTCAGGTAGAGAGAACTGTGGGATTTAACTGACGGTCACAGACAGCTCACAGCTCCCCTGCAGGAAATCTGGGGAATAAATATTCCAATGTCACCCTCTTTCCTTTCTCCATCTCTGCTAGTGCTCTCCATCAGCCAAACCCTCCAGGAAGCCAGAGGAAAAGAAACCCACTGTTGTAAAGAAACCCATTTTTGCCATTGAAAGTAAGAGCAAAAACCACAGTTACTTTTGCATCAACCTAATAGTTCGTCCAAACTGACGAGCAAGCACCTCCATCTCTGCTGGTGCTCTCCATTGTCCAAACCCACCAGGAAGCACCTCCGTCTCTGCTGGTGCTCTCCATTGTCCAAACTCACCAGGAAGCACCTCCGTCTCTGCTGGTGCTCTCCATTGTCCAAACCCACCAGGAAGCACCTCCGTCTCTGCTGGTGCTCTCCATTGTCCAAACCCACCAGGAAGCACCTCCGTCTCTGCTGGTGCTCTCCATTGTCCAAACCTACCAGGAAGCCCATAGCTGTTGTTGGTCCAGGTCAGCCTCCTGCCTGGGGCACAGAACAGAATGAAGATGTTGGAGCCTGGACCTCTACAGTTAAGGAGAAGGTAAACAGCCCAGTGTGGCTGCATGGATTATTTAATTGTATTCTGTTGTCTAGGGCAAGGTACTTTGGTTTAGACTTGAGTCTGAAAGCATCATGAATTTGTAGCTACATGATAGGATTGATGGTATAATTAAAAAGAAAATCCAGAGCTTAACCACATGCTAGCTCTGTGATATGAAGGTGGGGTTTTTGTGACTATGTGGCAGATAATGTGGCACACACCTGTACTTTATCTGACATAGTACTTCTTGGTAGCTTCAAGAACTCCATGAAGAATCACCAAATCTCTAGAGCGATTAGGCACTCACATTGTGCCTCCTGGGTTGCAGGTGATAAATGAATTATGCCAAGGAAAACAAAATATTGATTTCAGCTTTAAAGTTGGAAGAGGAATGGTTTTCACATTTTCCCAAGGCAAACCGTCCAAGAGCAAAATAAGCCTCATTCCCGTAAAAGTTTCTGTTAAATCTCACTCAACTAGGAGATCATCAAATCCAATAAATGAACCTGTTTGCTTGGTTCTCATGTAGTTTAATGCCTGTACATTTAGTTTACTTTACTTTTTTTTTATTTGCTGATAGTCAATCATTTGCTGATTTTCAAGATGTTAGAGTACATAACATGAAATTTGAGTTCCGACATCTCTTGAACAATATAAAAATGTGGCTGTTATTCCCACATAGGAAAAGCCGTAACATTGGAGTTAAGGATTTACCACTTCAGTTGGTGCCTCACCAGTTCCTCTTGGTCATTGTTAATGTGCCTGTGTGAGAAGACATTTGAGTTTCAAGACTGTATAAACCTACCAAGTCCCTGTACAGCAGAGTTTCAAGTCTGTATAAACCTACCAAGTCCCTGTACGAAGTCCCTGTTCATTCTGGTTTCATTTGTTTTGTTCTGGGGAAAATTCATGAACATACACTAGATTCCTCTGATGTGGAAGGTTTATCCTGGATCTCTCCCTTAGATCTCTTTGATAGTCTCTGATATTCTCAACAGCTGGATCTATTGCAATTCATTAAATTTGAGGAAAACTAAAATAGATTACACTGACATTTACATTTGCATTGTCTATAACAAAAGAAATAGAGTGAGGAATTATCAAAAAATAATCAGTAGTTTAAATCAGATATTGGGGGAAGGCGGGCAAGCGAACTTCTATCTTGAGTGTTTAGAACTAGAAGAGGCTTCGGACATTTCTAGGGCTAGGGTGTTTTCAACAAGATGATGTAGTTGTTTTTCTTTGAGTGAAATGTATGTGGATGCCCAGCATATAAAATGGATCAAAGCTGAGGGGCTTTCACTGAAGCAAGGTTGTGTGAGGGTGCAGAGCCACCTCCCTCACCCTTTTCCAAATCCTGAGTGCACTGGTGTGTTGTCGTCCCATCCGAATGTCCTTTCTGCTTACAGAATATGAGAACTTTACCCAGTCTCTGATTGTCCATAATTAAAGTGCAAATGGCATTTTTTCGCATACTCCTTCTGGTCTGTCGGCATCTTCTTGGCACCCACATCAGATGTTACTACGTATATAAATTCACGTGTCATATTGCAGTCAGATTTTAATCCATTTAATTCCAAATGGCATCTCCTTGTGTTCATCTGGATTTTTTCTAATTTTTTAATCTATGGAACATCTCCCTATGGAACATACTGGACTATCTGCATTTCCCAGTCCAAAAAAATCTATGTGGATGAACTGTTATGGGAAACATTTATCCTGAATCATCTGAACACTCCATTAATCACAGACTGCCTGAGACCTCTGTTCAAGGAGCATGACAGAGTTGTTGAGTGAAGAAGGAGGCTCAGGAGTCATTAGCAATTCATTAGTGGAAACTTTCTGAACAGTCCTCTCTGTCTTCACTCCTTAGAATGCATGCCCAGCCTCCTGCCAACACTGCCTTTCCATTATTTACTCACCTCTTCCCTTCTCCCACCTTATCTCTACCACAGGGCCTTTGAACATACTTTTCTGACTGCCTAGAATTCCCCCTCATGCTTCTTCCCCAAACTAACTTTGGCTTTTTCTCTCAGCTCAGACATCACTTCCACAAATAAATCCTTCCTTAAGTCTTCAGACCGGGTCAAACTCTTCCCCCATTGAAACCTTTCATAGCATCTTGTAAATACTTATTTGCAGGATCATTTGATTCATTTTTTTTAACCTCAAATTTCCTTAAAAACAGATAATGAAACAAAACTTACATGCTAAGGCTTTATAAAGAGGTGTAACGCCAGGGCAGCAAGAGTGAAGGAAGAAGGGTTGGCCGGGCGCCGCTGGGTGCGGCTGGGCTTGGTGGCTCACGCCTGTAATCCCGGCACTTTGGGAGGCTGAGGTGGGCGGATCACGAGGTCAGGAGATCGAGACCATTCTGGCTAACACGGTGAAACCGTGTCTCTACTAAAAATACAAAAAATTAGCCGGGCTTGGTGGCGGGCGCCTGTAGTCCCAGCTACTTGGGAGGCTGAGGCAGGAGAATGGCGTGAACCTGGGAGGCGGAGCTTGTGGTGAGCAGAGATCGCAGATCGCACCACTGCGCTCCAGCCTGGGCGACAGAGCGAGACTCCACCTCAAAAAAAAAAAAAAAAAAAAAAAAAAAAAAAAAAAAAAAAGAGTGAAGAAGGGAAATCAGACAAGGAAAGAAAGCAAGCATATATAAGGTGGTATGTTACTGAGCGGACCACAGCTTTATAAGGAACAATGGTAAGTTGCTCCATTATAGGGGATGTTTTTTAGGCAGGCTGTGTGGGATGACTGTACCTTGCAGTGATTTGTCGGAAGAGAGAAGGGTGTGTCTGCCAAGGCCTTACCTCCTCCTATTATCTCATAGGACACGTTCACTCAGTGAGAGAATTAACTCATCTACATTTACAGGATGTGTTTTCTGGCCTCTTAGGGCAGTACCTGGACAAGATCCCATGCCCCCCTGGTGCGATGCTTCCTCTGAAGCTGGAAGTAGTGGGACAAACCGTAGACTTCCTGAGTCTGGTTGGTTTGGACTTGGGTTATGAAGTCACAGCAGACATGATGAAGATCATGCCAAAGCTCAGCCCTGACCAGGGAGAGGCAGTAACAGCTGGGTTATGTTAAGATAGGAGGCACTGTGGGGGCGTTTCCTTTGCCAGAATTTCCTTTGAGGAAAGGGGCAGGTGGTGCTGAACACATCTGGAGAGTATAAAATTGGATCCCGTGCATGCCTGTCTTGTGTCTGCCACTCTCTTGTACGCAAAATAAGGGCGAAAACTCTATGTTTTCCTTTGCTGAATATTGTATAACTAGCCAGCCTCTAGAACAGTGCCAGGAAATAGAATTACTTAAATATTTGTTGAATGGATGGATAGGTGGATGGATGAAAGGGTAGGTGGATGGGTAGATGAATGGGTGACTAGGTGGATGGGTGGATGAGTGGGTTGGTGGATGGGTAGATGGGTGGATGAGTGCATGGGTAGATGGATGGATGAGTGGGTAGGTGGACAGGTAGATGGATAGGTGAATAGGTAGATGGTTAGGTGGGTGGATGAGTTGGTGGGTGGATGGATGGGTGGGTAGGTGGGTGGACAGGTAGGTGGGTGGATGAATGGGTGGGTGGATAGGTAGGTAGGTGGGTGGGTGGGCGGGTAGGTATTTAGATGGATGGGTGGTTGGATGGGTAGATGAATGAGTGGGTAGATGAGTGGATGGGTGGATGGATAGCTGGGTGGATTGACGGATGAGTAGATGAGTGGGTGAGTGGATTGGTGGATCGATGGATGGGTAGGTGGGTTGATGGACAGATGGGTAGATATTTAAATTAAAATTAATTAAAATATCTTAGCCTCTGCCCACTTCTTCAGAATTACTGGTAAGCTGTTGTGAGCTAGAGGCAACAATATTTGACCAACTGGAGAATCATCTTTGCACAGCATGCTTTGCCACATATTAGCCTGGAGCTCTCCAGTGGCTGAGTTGGTCCTGGAATTCTGATAATTTCCAATGAGGTGATTTTCTCTAGATTTTCACTTGTAGGATTTATGTAAGAGTTACTGGCATAAAGACACTAGGATCAAGTGTCTTTATTGCCAGTAAAGAAACCACCAATGGTGTGTGGCTTGTGGAGCTCTGCAATGTAATATTTTACAAGTGCCTTCCATGGGCCACACATACTGTGAAGGACTTTGCTCGAATTACAGAAAGCAATTCCTCTGGAGCAGCAGAATTGGGAGGTTGAACCCCATCATGTCTAACTCCAGAGTCCATGCTTTTAACAATGTTTTCCCGAGATAAGTGCGTAATTAAATATATACAAGATGGATTTTAGATACTACAGAGACAAGATTATTAACCTTAGTGCTTATGTATTTGCTTAAATACATGGTAACAATGCTAGTTTTTAATTAGGATGTTAATGTTTTCATTTCAAAATACATTAATTTAAATAAGGAAATAGTTTCAAGAAAAATATCAACTCTATAAGAGTGCAGCTGGTACAAATATATGACAGAAGCCATGAGGGTGGTGCACAGATGACTAAAGCCTGGGAAACACTGCAATAAGCCAAACTGGAATATCCAATGGGACTCAGAACCCTCTGAGGCCCTCCTCATTCCCTCTTCTTCCCCTATTCTTTACTCCCATGATTACTGTAGGGCTAGAAATTTTCCCTTCAAACATGAATAATCTATAGCTCTTAAACCTTTTTTTTTTTTTTTTGAGACTGGGTCTTGCTCTGTCACTCAGGCTGGAGTGCCGTGGCATGATTTCAGCCCCTGGGCTGAAATCTTCAAACTCTTGGGCTCAAGCGATTGTCCCTCTTCAGCCTCCCCAGTAGCTGGGACTACAAGCATGCACCACCATGCCCGGCTAATTAAAAGATAATTTTTTTTATAGAGACTAGGTCTTGATATGTTGCCCAGGCTGGTCTCAAATTCCTGGACTCAAATGATCCTCCCGCCCCAGCCTGCCAAAGTTCTCATTTTATAGGCATGAGCGACCGCTCGTGGCTACCATTTTCAACTTACGATTGTGTCTCTTTTGTCCTAGATTAACAGGCTAATTTGCTCTCAAGAACTGAGGGAGTGGTACAGAGGAAATAGAGTTTTGACATGGAGACCCAGAGGAAGTAGCAGCTCTGGCTGTGCGTACTAGTTAACAAGACTCACTTTCCACATGGCATGCACCTTTGCATTTTGAACTGATTTTGGTGCCCTGTTGTTTAAAACAGGAAATCTTCTTTGCCCATGAGTTTGAATGAAAGGTTGAAGTAGGTGGAGATAATTGAGAGAAGTGAATCCATAATTGAGAGAAGAGAACTCCATAATTGAGAGAAGAGAATCACTAAGATCTCTGTCACTCTTTCTTCTCCTACCGTTCTGTGTTTCCAGAAAGGACACAGCTTCTAGCACATGATAGGCACTTGGAAAAGTGAATAAAGCAATATAAAGTTCTTAAAATAGTGGCTGACACATTTTAAGTACCATATTTATGTTTGCTAATTTCTTCAATATGATTACAATAGTAAATTGATTGAGTTAGAGCAAATAAAGTGGGAAGAGCGTGGTTTGTGGACTCCCATAGGGTTGTGTGTTAAATATCCTCTGTGGTATCTGAGATATGCACTCTACACATACTTCCATCCTGTTCTCTGCCCTTCATCAACAAGGTTGTAGATCCTCTGACAGCCATTTCAATTTTCCTCGTTGGGGGACACAAGAAATGGGAGGGAAGACTGGGCGTGGTGGCTCATGCCTGTAATCCCAACACTTTGGGAGGCTGAGGCGGGTGGATCACGAGGTCAGGAGATCGAGATCATCCTGGCTAACATGGTGAAACCCCGTCTCTACTAAAAATACAAAAAATTAGCTGGGCGTGGTGGCGGGCGGTTGTAGTCCCAGGTACTCCGGAAGCTGACGCAGGAGAATGGCATGAAACTGGGAGGCGGAGCTTCCGGTGAGCCGAGATCGCGCCACTGCACTCCAGCCTGGGCGACAGAGAGCAAGACTCTGTCTCCAAAAAAAAAAAAAAAAAGCAATGAGAGGGAAAGAGAAAAATGAGATCAAGACGTTTGTTTCCCTGGTTCCCTCCTTGTGAGATCTCCTGTGCTCCTTGCCTGAAGGTAGCTCTTCCTCCTCTCAATGCACCTGCTCCAAACAGTTTCTCCTCCTGCATTTTGGTGACTACTTCTCGCCACCGCCCACCACCACCCCTCCCACCCGGCCCATTGTTTGAGACCTAGGCACAAGGATGACTTCATTGACAGGAGTCTAGGGTCATTGCTCCACCCCTGCGGTACCTTTGTAGCTAGTGCCTTTTTAAATACAGCGACAGCTTCCTGATCACCTACATTGGAGTGTGCCAGGTCTTTTCTTTCCTATTGGGATCCTGCCAACTGCAAAGCTAGCCTCTGCTATTCCCTAGGCCTGGGGCCTTGGCCAAGTTCTTTAACATCTCTTGGGTTCAGCATCTTTGTCTGCAAAACAGCTAAGCCAGGGTCTCAATCTCAAATGCCTCAGGAACCACACAAGTGGTCAAATGAGTGAGGAGGGTCTGTGCCCCCCAACTGAGGCCTCTTGTCAAAGGCCTTCAAGAGAGCAGGCCTAGGTGGCCAGATGTTTTGATTTATTAAGAGAGTCCACAAATCTGGCTTTTCTATGAAGTCTCCTGACTTTGAAATGCTAATTTTAGAAATATTCAGCAGGCCAAACTTTGGGTTTATTGAGAGTTTATTGAGAGGACTAGAAGGCAATGCATACAAGGTCATGTTGCACGGTGATTAAGAATATGTACTCTAGGATAAATAGCTAATGCATGTGGGGCTTAATACCAAGGTGATGGGTTGATAGGTGCAGCAAACCACCATAGCACACGTTTGCCTGTGTAACAAACCTGCACGTCTTACACATGTATCCTGAAACTTAAGATAAAATAAAATTTTTTTTAAAGAAAATAAAAAAGAATACCTGCTCTACAGCCTGACTACCTGGCTTTGCCTGCAGGCTCTGCTGCTTATTACCTGGGTGACCTTGGACATTTCACTTAGCTTCTCTAAGCCTCAGTTTTCTTATCTGCAAAATGGAGATAATATTTTATCCATTGCATAGAGTCATAATGAGGGTTTACATAGTTAATATTTGTAAAGATTTAGGAAAGTGTACATAGGAAGCATTACTGAAGCATTTGTGAACTTAAAAAATGGGTCAGTGTGATATGCCTGATGCAATACTTGGCATATCAGAGACTTTTAGTCTATGGCCACTCAATGAATGTCCAGAAGGTTTTAATGATGGGAATATAAACACAGATTTCTGCAGCTTCTTATATGCTATTCATTTAACATGCACTCTCAAAATAATGGAAGCCTTTCATTTTATTTCTCTCTCCAGAATGGTCTATTTAATGCCCCTTGCCTTGAGATAGTGTCTGACTTTAGAGGTCCTCATCAGGGTATATTGATACTCGGCCCTAAGATTGTTCTAATAAGCTTTATTGACTTGGTGAACCTCGGAGTACTTTTTATTGACATGCAGTGTAAATCATTCCATCTGACATTTGAATGTCCTTTCTGAGAAACGTATTAGACCTTAGGTGGAATCCTGAGCTGCTGGTGATGTGTGCATTTCTTAGTCAAGCGTGCAGTGTGTTAGATGAAGATGTCACATGCACAGTCTTGTCTTAAACCAAAATCGGATGAGGGAAAGGGTCATGAAATTTGTTTTGTTGCTAAAAAACAAAACAAAACAAAACAAAACTTGGGGGAACTTTAAGAAGAGAGTGTGTTTTAATGGGAGTGTAAATATTTCCTCTGTCTTTAGAAATTATAAAAAGCCAAGAGTCCATTTCTTAATACCAGGAGCATGAGACACACAGACAGTAATAGATTTGCTGAGAAAGTCACATGACTTCAAATGCGGAAGTTTATATTTCGTTCAAATGTATTCGTGGAAAGAGGGGAAAAACACCCTGCAGCTGAAATTTTCTAATACAATAGCCATTTAAGGAATGATCACACCTTCCAGGAACTCCATTTCTTGGATAATGTTTCATAAGCCCATCTGGACACTCATTCCCTTATGCAGTCATTCTGCCAATGTTTGTTGAGCATCTGCTATGGGCCAGGCACCTGCTAGAGCTGGGAGCACATTGAGAAATGCAACAGTGTCCCTGCCCCCAAGGAGCTCATGGTCTAGCTGGGAAGATACAGAAATGATTGGTGTAATACAAGGCATGAAGTGTTAGGTGATACAAGGGTTTTCAACTTTGGCAGTGTTGACGTTCTGAGCTGGGTCATTCTTTGTTGTGGGGCACTGCCTCTGTGTTGCAGGATATTAAACAGCCTCCCTGGCCTCTACCCACTGGATACCACAAGCATCCCTTCTCCAGTCATGACAACCAAAAATGTCTCTAGACATTGCCAAATGCCCCTGGGGGAAAAACATTGCCCCTGTTGAGAAAGTCTGTTCAGTAGAGATATTTACACAATTTGTTAGGAAAAGAGCAGCTGATTCAGCCAGGAGGAGTTGGGTGGATTTTAAAAAAAGGCTAATGGCATTTGAGCTGGGTCTTGAGTCAGGTATATGGCTCAATAGGTGATGAAGTAGAAGTTTAGCATGCCAGGCAAATGGGTGCAGTGGGATGACAGAAGAGACTATTTAGAGACGAATGTGTCATTCTTTGTGGGTGAAATCAGACTGTATAGCAGACAAGGCTAGGAAGGCAGGCTTGGGCCAATTCATGGAGAGTCTTGTATGGTAAGCAAAGATGTTAGAACTGGATCCTATAGGTGGTGCAGAGGTTGAGAGGCAATGAGGTTATTCATTAGATAAGTGGTGTGTTAACATTTGTGTTGTATTGCCTAATTACTTGGCTGTTTAGCATCTGTATAACTTTGCTGGTAATAGCACCCGGTTTCCTACGGGGAAATCACCTCTCCTCCCTTCTCAGACCAGATAGTTCAGGTGGGGTTGAATCTGTACTCTGGTTCCACAGATGTGGCTGGTCAGAGGGCTGCATCCACCAAGTCACAGTGATGGTTCAGCCCCGGGTATGTGATCCCATCTGGACCAGTGAGTGCACACACAAGGATTTGTTTGAGCCCTACTGTAGGGAAAAAAAAAAAAGGAAAAAAATGTTCTCCTTCTGCTGGAGTTAGTAGTCAGTAGAATATTACATGCCAGTCTGTGCCTATTGGAGGGCATTTTGATGCAGTAACCAGAGAACCTGCCAACGTGGACCATGACACAGAAGAAAGAAAGAAGAGATGGAGACAGAAGGGTCCTCACTGATGAAGCATTTGGCTCCAGCATTGCCTAAAGCCAGTTTTCCTTATAATTATTACACCTGTGTGTCCATAAATCCCATTTTCAGCTTCAACTAGTTTGAGTTGAGTTTCTGTCACTCAGAAGGGGAAGAGAGAGACCTGACAAATGGAGTGTTTTAAAATATTGGTCTTGGATATGTGGAGAGTGGGTTTTCATAATACCAGCTAAAGCTGTTGTTCAAGGCCAGACAAGAGGCGATAAGATACAATGAGTGGAAATGAGGGGAACCTAAGAGGATTGTAGGAGGGAATGAGAGTTTAATTGGGCATATGTTGAATTGCATGCTCAGCACACAAGCTCTTTTGTCACATGGGTCCGCCTTCTCTCCCCATATTTTTTCTCCCATATCTCTGCCATCCATGTAGGATTATATCTCACTGGAACCAAGCTTTCTGGGAATGGGGATGTGACAATATGGATTTACCCTCTCTCCCCATCCTTTTCTTCCGTATCTCTGCCATCCATGTAGGATTATTTCTCACTGGAACCAAGCTTTCTGGGAATGAGGATATGACAGTCACCCTCTAAGATGGCACTAAATGATCCCTCTCTCCTGGTATCTGCAGTCTGTGTAATCTCCCTTTCAGCTTGGCGTGAATGAATTGATTCACTTCCCATAAGTGGAATAGGACAGAAATGATGAGATATCACTTCCAAGACTGAGTCATAAGAAGAAGTCAGTTTCCCGCTTGGATGCTTGCTCTCCTGCTCTAAGGGGATCCAGCTACCACATCCTGAGCTGCCCACTGGAGATACTAACATGACAAGGCACTGAGGGTGACCAGTAGCCTGAAGCCCCCAAGGAACTGAATCCTGCCAGTAGTCACATGACTGAGCAGGCAGCTGGATCCTTCTTCAGTCAGGTCTTGAGATGAAACTGCAGCCACAGTTGACATGTTGATTCCAGCCTTGCCAGAGACCTTGAACGAGAGGTACCCAGTAGAGCCATGCTACTTACTGACCCATAGGCACTGTGAGTTAATGTTTCTTGTTTCAAGCTGCTAATTTTTGGAGTAAACAACACTAGCAAGAGATAACTAATACAGTGGATATTTTGTTTCCACTTTAGTTTGCGTAAATAGTAGGCACTCAATACATACTTGTGGGATGAATGAACAGATTGATTATAAACAGCAGCCCCAGAAGCCTGGAAGATAGCCAGGCGATGACGATGTGTTTTGAGCTGGAGATATGGGTATGGGAACTTAGCCAAGAGGTGAGGGATGCACAGAACTTTGATATCTAGCAGCCGTGGGGACATTGATGACATCTGTAGGAAGTGATTTAGGGGAACTCGTGGAGAACGCAGTGGAGAGGAGTATCATTTAAGAAAGGTGATATGGGCCAGGTGCAGTGGCTCACATCTGTAATCCCAACACCTTAGGAGGTTGACTTGGGCAGATCACTTGAGGTCAGGAGTTTTTCACCAACATGTTGAAACCTCATCTCTACTGAAAACACAAAACATTAGCCAGGCATGGTGGCATGCACCTGTAGTCCCAGCTACTCAGGAGGCTGAAGCAGGAGGGTCACTTGAACCTGGCAGGCAGAGGTTGCAGTGAGTCGAGCTGGTGCCACTGTACTCCAGCCTGGGTGGCATAGTGAAACTGTATCCCCCCCACCCACCCCCCAAAAAAAGGTAGTGTGTAGGCAGAGTGAATAAAGAGACAAGAGGGATGGAGCAGTTCAGAAGCAGGAAGGTGGCCAGGAGTGTGGTGTTCCTGAAGCCACAGAGAGCTGCCAGGAGATTGTTAATACATCCTATGATGAAGAAATAGCAGCTGGGATCCAGGAATGCACATGGGCACGGCATGAAGAAGATACTAAGACAGTAGCTTTAGTGGAGTGGTGTGAATGGGAAATGGCAGGGGGTCACCAGAAGGTGGAGAAACTGGAGGTGATAAATGTGGATTACCATTTTCTAAAAGCTTGCTGGTTAGAGGCACATCCAAATCAAGATTGCGGTTAAGGTTGAGGAAGAGTTGAAGGAGCTGGAGTCATATCCCAGAGCTTCAGCATGTGTATATCCTGACAACCAGGGGAGTTTGAAGATGGAGCAGAGGGAAGGGTTAACTGTTGGAAAAAAGAACCCAGAGGAAAGATGGACACAGCACCCTGGCAGAGCGTTTAGCCTTGGCACAAAGAAGTGTGTTCAGATAAGTACCTACGTTTTGGTTCAACATCTGTCCTGTGCTGTTCTGTGTTCTCCGTGAACTGCTCCAGGAAAAATGTGGTTGCTTTTATTGCCAAGTTGCTTAATTGCCTTACGGAATAATGGCAAGCAAGCTCGTCTTAGAGCTTTTGAACACAGAGACGAATCAAAGCAGGAAGAGGTAGAGAAATCAAATAGACGGATGGCTTTCTCATTGACAGCCTCTCAAGTTGGCTACCCCTTCTTTTATTGGTCTATTAATGGCTGCTGACATCTGTGAAATGCCTTTTCGACTAAAAATGGAGAGGGATGCAAGAAAATTCTACGTGCTATCATAAGGCATATGGTTTGTCTTTTACTTTTTTTTTTTTTTTCTTCTCCATCTTGTCCATTGTAAAAGAGCCTCTTGTGCACACGGGTTCACAACATTCTTCAACAGTGATTCCAGGTCCAGGATGACTGCCACTTCGTGGTCTCTAAAAAAGACCTACCAAAAAGCCACGATGGTACCTCATTCCATTTTTCTACCACCTTAAAACTGCCAACTCATTTTCACGTGGTTGCACTTTGCTCTCACACCTGTGAGTCAAGTAGGGCTTTGATACAAAGAAGCACGTTCCACAGGGCTTGACTGCCTCCAGTTGCCAGTCTGGGACAAGAATTTCTGATGCCTAATTTGTTTATTTTTCCTAATACATTACATCACTGTTTCTTAGTCCTAGTTATGGCTCCAGGGACTTAGAAATGGCACTTCCTGAGTGTTCCCATGGGTTCCCTGCAAAATACCTGTAGATTTTAATATATTTATGGTGCATAATCAGTGCTTCAGAGACAGCCCTGCTAACAATTACCTCCTTTCTGAGAGCTTGAGAGCACAGCAAGCAATCATGTTTTCAGAGAAGGGAAATATCCATGCACAAAGCCCTCAGATCTTAAAATCACGTTAAATCCCTCCTCCCCCCACCTCCAAGCCTATCCACAAGTTATTCTGTTGTTGGACAAAATGCACTGATATTCCTTATCAGGCATTTGGAACATCTGTGACATGGGGCAGTGTGTGTATGTGTGTGTGTGTCTGTGTGTGTGTGTGTGTGTATAGGGGGATTTGAAAATTCAGATTCCCATTCTCATCCTATACTTCCTGAATCAGAATCTCCAGCATGGAGCCCAGCATCTGGATTTTGATAAGCATTACAGATGAGTCTTACATACACTGCAGTTGGACAGCCACAGCACATTTTGACATTCCGTCAGTGGAGCTCCATGGATGAGGAGAGATACTGGGGTTTTTCTTTCTTATCAGGCACGTGGCTGCTGCAGGAAAGCTAACAGTTTCCCTTCTTTCTTCCTGGGGACATTAAGAATACTGAGGGTGCTGTGTTGCCCCACACCTCGTATCCCCAGGTGTTTTCTGCTAACATGCATGCAGGCTGGACTTCCAAATCTCAGCACCTGACAACTCTCTTTGGTCGCTGAATTCTGCTCAACCCATGTCCAAGGAAGGCTGTAAGTGGTATAGGATTAACACCTCCCCTCCCCAGGATAACCAACCGTCACCAATAAGTGATGGAAACTGGTGAATGTACATTCCAGCTCCCTTGCCCCGGGGTGGGGTTGGGTGAAAACTCTGGGGAGTATGTTTTATACTAGCTCCAAGAAGTCTTTATTTGGAATAATTTCCAGGTACCCACAGTGGTAACTTGCTTGAGGACATTCTTTTTGTTGGCTTCTGTCTCTTCTCCATTTACTTCCCCACTCCTGGCCATTGGGCCATTGTTTCCTGGCTTCACCTCCCCAGTTCACTACTGACATTCAAATACTTATCTCATGGTCGACTTCTGGAGGAAGCAAACGGAGTGTCCGCTGATTAATGAGCAGAGCTTGTTGAGCCACCCCTAAAGCAATGGTGTAGAAGAACCCTATCAGAGAAGGCTGAAGTGGATGTAAACATGCTTCATGGAAGGGAGTTCAGTTTTGACTAAATTCCCAAACGGTATCCGTTAGATGTTTATGTTCAGGTTCCAGAATCCAACATTTTATCCATTTATTTATATTGCCCTCATATTATCTACTTTATAGTCCTAAAAGACATTCCCAGGGATTGTGATTTTTTTTCTTTAGTGGTTCATGTGTCTTAATCGAAGTATAAGGAATAAATAGAAATAATAAATGTACAAGTGGAAGCACAGAAATGTAAATTATGTGACTATAATTTACAGGTATTTTACTTCTTGGAGCATCTATATCCCACCAGTAACCACTGCAAATGCATACTCTTCTTTGTAAGGTTGCATATTTCATCCTAAATGGCTTAAATATCTTTACTTATCCATTTGTAATAAAAAGACTAGGACTTAAAGTTAAGTGCATTTGAAAGAAATCGATTGTCAATACTCTGTGCTGCTAATAGAGGGAACATTTTCGCCCCTGAGGTGTTAGTACATTAAGGCAAAGCTATGTATGTTCTGATTATAAATTCATTAACTATTTACACCTCATTGACTCGCAACTTTTTTTGCCTCTTGATAAGTCTCATTTTTAACCTTCATGGTTGACTTTAGATGGAGCTATTTAAAACAGCCTTTGTTTTTACAAAATGATTTCTAGTGGAACTTTAGAAAATTTACAGAGTGTTTTTTTTTTATTGGCCTTTGGATCCCCTATACATAAACAGAGGTTTTGGGTATATCAGACTGTTAAAGATTTAAAAACGAAGTCTTGAGCTTAAGTTTGTAAGCTTTGAAAATTTACTTATTTTCCTCTGAGCCTCAGTTTTCCTTATCTGTAAAATGGGAATAGTACTACAACTGCCGTGTAGGCTTCTCTGTAGTTAAAGGTCATGTCTCAGGCTTGGCATAGAGTATGTTCTCAAAAATATTTTTATTTTTACTCTTCTGCACAAGTCCTAAACGGGCATGTAATGACCTCTTGCTGCTCCAAGCAGCAGCAGTATGAAGCTTGCATGTGTCTCCCAATTTACCATCCATCAGTGAGTGAGCAAAGCTGGTGACCACTTTTTGCTAATGACCACGCACGCTGAGGACTTGCGCTTACTCTCCAAGTTGGAGACGAGGAGGTTGTGATCAGGTCTGGGTTATCATGGACAGTGGTGATCTTGTCATCTTTGTTAGTTTGAGGTAAAATGGTGTTGGCTGGAACACTCAGCCCAATATGAAGCATGAGAGGAGTGAACTACAATATTTGTAAGGTGGCATCGCCCACACCATCTTGCATTTCTTCACGATGACCCTGTTGTATGGCTGTTCTGAGGAAGTCACCACTCACTTCCACAGAGCTGTTACCCTGTGCCAGGCACAACGGTGAGAAATTTCTCGTGGATTCTGTCATTTAATTCTCCCGACAATGCTGGTTGAGAAGAATCATCACTGAGCTGGATTTGGATCCTAAATTAATTGCTTACTACCTTGGCGACTGTGAGCAAATGTCTTCATTTCTCTAGACCTCATCTGTAGAATGAGGATGGTAATCTGGTTTACAGTGTTGTTATGAGGACTCAATGAGAATCTGAATGGAGGTATAGACCTAGTGCCTAGTGCATAGTAAGGCTAAATGTATGCTAATTGCTATTCATATGTTACTATTAGTAGTTCTGTTACCACCACCACTATCGCCATGTTGGTGAGGATGCTTTAGAACAGTGGTTCCTACCTGGGAAGATTTTGCCCCTTGGGGAGCACTTGGAAATATCTGTACACATTTGGGAGGAGTACTGGCACTTAATGGGTAGAAGCCAAGAATACTGCTGAATATCCCACAGTGCCCAGGGAGTCCCTCCACAGCAAAGGGTTATTTGGCTCAAAATGTCAGTAGTGCTAAGTTTAAGAAACCCTGCTATAGGCAATATGTCATCTTCAACAAGCTAATGCAAAAAGGGGATGTGTCATCTCATGGAACAGGGAATGCAGCAGTATGGTAGTTTTGGAAGCCCGTTGATTTAGCAGCTTCACAATTTCCTGGATGTTACTGGTCCTTTATTCTTCCCTGCCCTGCCATCTTCAGTATTAATTTGTCCTCAGGCTCATTGCAAGGTACCTGTAGGGGGGTCCAGAGGTCAAAATCCCATGAGAAAACATCTGGAAGTAAAGAAAAAAATGTATTTTCCTGTGGCTTTCACTTGGATAAAGGAAATGTTTCCTAAAATGTGATAACAATCTTCTAGATCACGTGACTGGGAACCTATGACAGTTCCTGAAGCAGTCATTTACAAGGAGAATAGTTCACATATTTGGAGATGGGAATCAACTGCACTGTCCATTGTATTAATAGTAACTATTAATATGTTAATTATATCATCATCATCATCATTGTTGTCATTGTCCCCATTTTATGTACAGGGAAGTGAATAGTGATGTTTTTTAAAAATCTTGTTTAGCTCACATAGTTATTAAGTAGTAGATATGGAATATGAACGCAGGCTGTCCTACTCATGAGCTCCGTTCTGTTATTTCTAAAAGATGAATGATAGTATGTTTCATAAAGTTATACTAAATAGCATATAAACAAGCCTGCCCTAAATCAAAGACACAGCTTAGTTTCTACTTATTATTAGCCAAGAAATTAAGAATTTTTACTTGAATCTGATGAAGCTCAAAATATTTGTTTCCAAAGTGTTCTTTATATAGGCAGGCTCCCATTTGGTGCTGCAGATTACTGAACCTCCCTTTGTATTTTTTTACTCTAAGACCAATTGGTTAGGAATCTCCACCCTCATGATCATGAATCATTGACATGATTCTAAGCCTGGCTACATGGAGATGAGTCCTAGTAAACAAAAAGACAAGCTGTATCATGATTTATGTCTCATGAACCTGGCTCTGACACAAAACTGACTAAGTTTTGAGTCCCACTCTAACCACTAGCCAGCTCTGTGAGGTTGGGCAAGACACTGAATTTCCTCCTTTCAAGCTTTGGTTTGCTCATCTATTTAAAAAGGAAATAATTTTTTATGGCTGCATAGTATTCCACGGTGTATGTGTGCCACATTTTCTTAATCCAGTCTATCATTGTTGGACATTTGGGTTGGTTCCAAGTCTTTGCTATTGTGAATAGTGCCGCATGGATGAAGCTGGAAACCATCATTCTCAGCAAACTATGGCAAGGAAAAAAAAACAAACACCGCATGTTTTCACTCACAGGTGGGAATTGAACAATGAGAACACTTGGACACAGCAAGGGGAACATCACACACCGGGGCCTGTTGTGGGATGGGGGGAGGGGGGAGGGTTAGCATTAGGAGATACACCTAATGTTAAATGACGAGTTAATGGGTGCAGCACACCAACATGGTACATGTATGCATACGTAACAAACCTGCACGTTGTGCACATGTACCCTAAAACTTAAAGTATAATAAAAAAATTAAAAAATAAAAAGGAAATCATAATGGTACTTACACTGTGAGGACTAAATGAGATGATACAATCAAAGAGCTTATATAGTAAATACCACATGCTTGTTGCTTTTGTAGCTGTTTTTGTTATCATCATGACCATTGCTTAAGGTGCTGTCTTTGCTACCATTAGTATTTTCTCCATCTTATTAAGGGGATGAAGGCAGGAGAGGAAAAGGAATGAGCCCAAGTAGAAGAGGAAAAACTATCATGTTTACTATTTCAAAGACACATTGAAACAGAGTGCAAAAGTTGCTGTCTTTTCACAAAAAAGAGACCTCATCTGTGGACACCAGATAGCTCATTCTCAGTATTAAATGCCTTGGTTAATATCAAAACCCTGACCTACACGATAGATGGTGAGTGAGTTCAAGCAATCAATAACTATATATTGAGTATCTGCCATGTGCCCAAGGACTGAGGGGGGAACAGAGAATATAAGGTGCAATCCATTCCCCTGTGGTCCTCAGACTGACTGTTTTAATTAGTTCATTAGTTGACTCCGTTTGTGAGAAAGCCTTCAGGTAAGTCTGAAGACTGAGAACTTGTGGGCAAAGTAGGTCTTATATAATATTTAAATTGTGCAAATCATGTTATTGAACCCAGAGTCATTTATGGATACATTTGAGTATTGTATCAACTCTTCTGTGACTGCTATTGAAAGGTATCCTTGGGAGGAGGAATAAAAGGATGCTTGGCTACTTGATTTTTTTTTTTTTTTCTGAGACCAAGTCTCACTCTTTTGCCCAGGCTGGAGTACAGTGGTGTGGTTGCAGCTTTCTGTAGCCTCAAGCTCCCAGGCTTAAGCAATCCCCCCACCTCAGCCTCCCAAGTAGCTGAGACTACAGGTGCACACCACTACGCCTGGCTAATATTTTAAATTTCTTGTAGAGATGGGGTTTCACAGTGTTTCCCAGGCTGGTCTCAAACTCCTAGGCTCAAGCAGTCTGCCCACTTCAGCCTCCCAGACTGATGGGATTACAGGTATGAGCAAGAGCCACCACCCTCTGGCCTTCTTAGATTTTTAGATCTTAGATTTTTTTAGCTTGCTTTTTTCATCCTTTTCCTATTCTGTTTAATATATCACTGATAATCTCTTAAAAATCCTAGAGTACTCTGGAGTAATCTACAAATCCCTGGAATTCACTGGATGTTTACACTGACCTTCTGGAAAAGTTATTAAACAAATATAAGATAATAATGGAGAAAATGGTCATTGAAACATCAGTGAAGGCAGAGTGAAGCCCAGAGCACTGGCAGTGGAAATCATTATGGTAATGGTGCATCTTGAAAAGCTAACCAGTCACTCTCCACTGCCTGTGGTAAAGCAAATACGCCTTACAAATCATTTCAGAGCCTGCCTTGGGCCTTCCCTAGCCCATATCTTTAGTTCCAGCTTCTACTCTCTTGGCTCTTTCACCATTGTCCAGCCCCTTAACTTCAACAGGACTCTATTTATATTGAACAGATTTGCTGTTCCTAGAAGGAGCTATGCTGTTTTGCTTCAGGCACTTTCATAAGCTGTATTCTCCTTCGGGAATATCCATCACCCAACTCTCTGTGGAATTCCTATTTATCTTCTCTATTTAGACACGATCTTCTCTAGAATGCTTTGCCTGACCTTCTGCCCTTCTGCCATATCTGGCTATAGGCTCCTGCTCCGTATTGGCCAAATGTTTCAAGACAGTTGCAATCACTCATTTATGTGTCTGCATATGCTATTGGACTGTACGCTTCTCGAGTGCAGAAATTGAGTCTAGTTTATATACTAAATGGTTTACATGGGGGACTAGCCTCAAGAAGGATGCATGTTTGATGACTGAAAGAACAAAGGACTACATAAATGGATGAGCAGGTTGACTTCTCATTTCATTCCAAAGTGGTTAGCCCATTTAGACAGCAATCTACTGCAGGAAAGAAGGAAGGTTCACCTATCATTTATTGAGCTTATTATGTGGCTGGTGCTGTGCATCAGGGAACAAATCTTTGATGTAAAGACCTTTTAGTTTAATAGAAGAGAACAACATTTACAGTAAGCTGAGACAAATGACAGGGTAAAGGTAAATGGAGGTGTTAGAGGAGTTCGCAAGAACACCTTATCTGTGCCTATGGGGGGCTGGGTAGGGAGTTGAGGGATTGGCAGGGAGAAAGTGATATTGAAATGGAGATCTAAAAACTAAACAGAAGCTATCCAGGAAAAGAGAGTATGTAAGGGTATTCCTGGTTGGAGGAACAACATATACAAAAGATTGGATACAACAAGAGAAAAGCCCTCCTGGGTCACAGAGTGAACTTAAAAAGAGCCAGGAGCTGGTAAACCACATGGACAACTTTAGACCTTATCCTGGGGAATAATGAAGAGCTATAGGAAGATCCTAAGTTTTAAAGTAAGATGATGAAATTTACACTTTAGAGAGCTCTCAGCCAAGCACAAGGCTACAAAGTCCTTGTTCTTTTTAAACCAGCTTTATGAAAGGTACCATTTTTGACATTTGCTTAGATCACAAATTGGAAAGTATTTTTCATGTCCAGTAGGAGGAGCCAAAGTCTCCAGGTTCTTTCTAACCATAGCAGGGCGATTCTTGGCCCTAGGTTGTCCTGGGAGCTGTCAACTTCAGCACCTCTCATTTATCTTCCAGTGGCTCAACATGGAGAAATGACAGGAAAAACTCTACTTGGAATGCGAAAGGTCATTGTGAGAAAGAAACTAATACTTTCCAAATGAATAGCATAATGGCATGCCATATTGATCTTTACTCTAATTTTGTTTTAAATTGTAATGGATGCCTCTCACACTCATATTCTTAAGCCATGTAGCAATACAGGTACCAGTGAGTCATGCCTGACACTCATCACTAATCTATCTAAGCCTATTTCTACTCTACAATAAATAAATCAGAGCAGACTCAAGCTGAACTTGATTTTCAGATAGATGAATATGTTTTATTTCCAATGGTAAATATATATATGTATTAAAAATAATCAAAGGGCCCAGCAATTACCCATTTTAATGTAACAACAGCTGATGTTACTGCCTTGAATGATTGCATTCATTTGTTCCTTTCTGGAATAAAAAATGAAGGAGAATAGACAAACAATTCCTGTTGGTGAATTTGCACAAAACAGTATATTCCAACAGAATTTCCCGTTAACTGCCATTTATTTCTTCTATCATTATTGATAATTTGCTTTTAAATTGAGAATACCTCTTTTACAACCCATCTCATCTCCCTGCATGGCTAGACAATTACATTTAAATTCGGCGGTTTTCCCATTGTGAACAGTTTCTGGGGGAAATGATTATGATGTTACCAACCCAGATTTATGGTTTCATTTTGCTATCACTGAAGGATGAGACTAGTATAAAGAAAAAAAAATTGCTTACATACAAATATATTATTATCAAAGAGAATCCTAAGGAAACATATGGTAAAAATCAACCCAAATTGCAAAATCGCTGGGACCAATGATAAAGATATCTTTCTGGATTTTGCAAACTTACTTTTTCAAATGATGATTAAATATTGCGTGCTTTAAAAAGTAATATAGTTATAGGCAGAAGTTCCCTTTCTTTTATTCTGAGGTTGAAAGAAACCGCAGCCCGATAGGATTGCAAGAGGAACCCTTAAGGAATCTGCTCCTTGATGGGCGCTAGGAAATACACGTACATCTAGTACAAAGGAATGCACATCACATGGCCCCCTGTTTTGGAAAGCTTACAGCATTTCTTATAAGAGGATCCATGGTATAAGTGCAAACACAGTCACATCACAGGATGGGAAAATGAACAGGCGCCTCAGATCAAGTGCTCAAGGCTGGAATCTGGCCTTGTCCAATGCCACCTGCCCTTCAGAAGGCAGGGTGGTGCCACATAAAATGAGGTAGACTGCCTGGGGAGTCCTGGTTCCTTGCCAGCTATGTGACCTTGAACAAATTACAACTCACTGAACCTCAGACTGACTTTATTGTACAACAAAACCCCCTGGAATATTTGTGGAAAAAAGAGGAAGGGAGAAAGGAAGGAAGGGAGGAAAGGAGGAAGGAAGAAAGGGAGGGAGGAAGGAAGGGAGGGAGGGAAAGGAAAAGGTAGGGGAAGAGCAGAGTTTCTCACTCCAGTCCAGAGTGGGACCCAGGAAGGGAGAAATATTGCTTTAATCTCTCTAAGCATCTGTGAAATGGATAAACCTCCAGTATCTACTTCCAGTTGTTGAAAAGACTCCATGTAAAGTGCTTAAAACAGCATCTGGTGGAAAGTAAATGCTTATTAAGTGCTAGTGTGTATTAAGGCGTCATGGGGCTTCTGGCTGTAAGACATCTGCTAGGAGGACAATCCCTAGACCCCTTCAGCGTCCATTGCGGGAGTAGGTGGCCAGGAAGGGGGCAGGACAGGAGAGGCCCAGCTGTGCGGGGTGGGGGCGTCCCAGGCCAGCCGCACCCACCCCAGCCCTGCATCCCATCCAGCCTGGAGAACTTTTTGAATCTTGGATAGGGCTCGATCTCTGCCTGGCCGGAAGATTTGAAGACTTGCCAGAAAACTTCCTCAGAGAAGAAATGGACTGGGGCAAGAAGCTGCCTCCACTTGGCGTCTCTAGTGGGGGATTTGTCTACTTTGATTGGGGTTGGGAGGAGGGCGCTGGTGCTCAATGAGTGAGCCCACCTGGGGACTACCAGGACGAGGACGGGCGCAGGTGAAAGTCCTGGGCTCATTGCCCCAGCATCCAACTTTCACCCTCTGTCCCCTTTAGGCCAGGAGACCAGGGTACCGGGTCGCGTGTCCGCCGCCGCCGCCCGCTGGAATCCAGGGCTGCACGCGTGACCGCGGCGGCGGCGGCGCTGGCGAGGGGAAGGGGGAGGGGGCGCTCCCTCGCGCACCAGATTATTTTTGGCTCCGCAGCCGGGGCTGCTCGCTGCTTGTCGCGCGCTCACACACACACAGACACACACGCACACACACACATGCACACATTTTCTCGCGCTCTCTCCGGCTCTCCTTTGTTTATTTTCTAATCTATATTTTTACTGGAAGATTTCCTCTTTATTCTCTCCCGCCCTCCTACAAGCGCTCTTGCTGGCCGTCTGGGTGCACACACCGCTCCCTCGATC
Source organism: Homo sapiens (assembly GCF_000001405.40). Classification (NCBI taxonomy): domain Eukaryota; kingdom Metazoa; phylum Chordata; class Mammalia; order Primates; family Hominidae; genus Homo; species Homo sapiens. The sequence goes on from NC_000016.10 coordinate 6,019,254, forward strand.
ACCCCAGCCCCCTTCCTGGTCTCCCGAGCGCGGGGTTTGAAGGTCACCTCCTTTCCAGTCCCCGTGCGAGCCGCGCTGCCGCCGCCTCCTCCAGCCAGAGTCGGTGGGACTGGCTGCGCTGCCCTGAAGTGGTTCTCCAAGCAGCGCGGAGGGTGGCGGACGGCGGACGGAGCCCAGGGGCCGCGTCGGGTGGGGAAACCCGAACTCGCGGAGGGGAATCCCTCCCCCTCCGCCCCAGCCCCCCAGCAGCACCCGCGGTGGGGCGGGGGCGCTCTGCCAGCCCCGGGAACAGCAGAGGCGGCGGCACTGGCTGGACCCACGCGCGCGCCTCCGGGGCTGAAGAAGGAAGGAGTGAGCCGAGCCGAGCACCCCACATCTGGAGGGGACAGCCAGCCGTGGGCCCCGCCCCGGCGTCCGGAGCAGGAGAACTCCGAGCTTCTTGCCCAGGCAGAGAGAGCAGGAGCGGACCGCGCGCCCGGGATTGAGAGTCCTTGCGCTCCAGACCCCCACCCAGTGGCCGCCAGGGTCCCCGCCTGTCCGGACCCTCGCCGCGCCCAGGCAGGCGCGCCAGGGCGGGGCTGACCTGCCCGCGAAGTTGCGGACAGTGCGTGAGAAACCAGCACCCCCTTCCGCCGCCTCCAGCTTATGGTGAGTGTGGCTGGGGGTGCAGAGAGCGCACGGGAATTCGGGGGTCTGGGGCCGAGAACGTGACCGCAGCCGGGCTCGCCGGGAGTTCTAGGTAAGTCCAGGCGGAGTCATTGCCTCTGCACCCACCCTGACCTGGTGGGTCAGGTCCAGAAGGTCTCATGGAGGGAAGCGCTAGGTCCCCGAGAACTGGCCTCCTCCTAGCGCCAGTCTGGGCGCTCTGGACGGGAACTTTTTCAGGGTGTGTGGAAAGATCTCGAGGCGTGTCCCCCCCTACCCCCAGGAGGCCGAGACCCTGAGCCCCCTTGTGCGTCGCTTCCAGAAGCACGTCCTTCCTTGCCCCAGAGCGCCCCTCCGAAGCATCCAGGCTACCTCGTCCGTCCTCCTGGGAGCGAGTCCTAGGTGCCAGGAGCAGCGGGAGCCTGCCTGCGCACTTTGATTAGTCTCCCTGGCCGGCTGCAAGCGTGCACTCAGCGCGCCCCCGGACCGCTGCCTCCGCCCGCAGGGTGTGCAGGAGGAGGCATCTTAGTGACCCGGGAGGGTGTTTAGGTGCCCCGAACCCCTTGTGGGAGGAGGGGAAGAGAAGGCTCACTTATGTGGAGAAAGCGCCGCTGTGTTTACTGGCACTGGAATCGATGCCCCGCGGTGCCACCTCGACCCCAGGGGAGGGGGCCAGCCGGGAAACCTGCGAATGGGAAACTCCTACTGTGCCCCTGGTTCCTGGGAGCCTTAGAGAACCTTCACCCCAGAGAAGGAAACACAGGGGTAGCAGATCTTAGCCCTGTGTTGTTGTGCAGGCCAGGGGGGGGCTTGTCAGCTCCAATCAACCAATTGTCCAGCTATGGAAGCGAGGGCGGGGCTAGTGGGGCGCCGCTCCCATCTCCCCACCGCCCAGGAGGCCACTTGGCTGTGAGCTCCTGGAGCCTCCCTGGCGCCAGCTGCGGGGACCAGGTGTCACGCGGAGCCCGGAAGCTGTCCACTCAGCAAGGGAGGGGAAGACCCCGATCTAACCTTGTCCTGGAGCCCCCAGCTCCATTCCTTGCTGCCAGGGAATGGTCAGGGGGCTGGGAGAGCTCATCGCTCCTGTGTGGGCCAGAGCTGGGGTGCACCTGCTGGCACTGGAACATCTGGGGTGCGGCTACTGAAGAGCTTGGAAATCCTGGTCAGGCAGTCCGGGCAATTGGCACCCCAAAGGCGGATCTTTTCAGTTGAACTTGAAAAGAAGTGGGGGAGTGTGGTGAAATAGCTTTGTTGAGTTGAAACATCATGTCTCCTAACTTGGGTTTTCCTTTATTAGAATAATGATTGTTTATTTTTATTTTTAAACTCCGTTGTGCAGAGAGGCCTGGCCTTGACAGCCCAAGTTTAGGACATGCCCCAGCCTGCCATCCCTTCCCTGCCCCCTGTCCTAGTTCATCTCCCCTCCATTTATCATTTTATCTTTGTTACAAAAGAGAGAAAAAAAAGATGAGAGGGCCTGGATTCTTTCAATTTTTAAGTGACCACAGAGGCCCCGGCTGGAGCTACTGGCAGATTTATTTTTAGCTAAGATCTTTTATGTTCAGAAGCAAAGGACCTGGGGCCTGTGAAGGGTAAAGGTGGTGCTGGCAGTGGCTGTGCTGGTAAAAAGTGGGGCTGACTCAAAACCTGTGTCCTCTTTGAGCTCGTCAGGGAGGCCCTCCGTTTGGAAGAATCCCCTGGGCTTTCCTTAAGTTAGCTTATGGTTGCCTCGGGTTAGGAAGAAAAGTCATCATTCCTCGCGGTAGTGGAAGTGACACCTTAGGGGTCCAGAGAGTGGAGCTTTATGGCTCAGAAGAGCACAGGGCTTCTGGATCCGTTATCTGCCAGCTGTGTGACCTTGGGCAAGTTGCTTTACCTCTCTGAGCTTCGGGTTGTCACCTGTAAAATCAGAGTTTCAGTCGTAGTTCTGTCCTCAGAGGGTTTGGGGGTAAATTACTTAAAGCACTAAACATTTAGAACAGTTTGGCACATGGTAAGTGCCTGAATTCTATGAGTTTTGTTTCTTTATTCTTTCAAGTAGATTCCTCTAATTTTTGAGCCTTGTAGCACCGAGTGGTACAGGAAAGGCAGGTGGCTTGCCTTATACACACACGTTTTCTTTTAAGTAAGGAACAGAAGCCTCAAGCTCTCCCATTCTGCTCTCTGCATGTTCCAAGGAGGATCACGGACAAGCTGCCCACCCACTGGCCAAGATATAGGTTGGTGGCATTTGACTTGCTGTCTTGACAAGCACCTGAAATTAAGTTTTTGCAGCAGTTGTACATTTCTTCTGACCCACTGAAAGGACTTGATCTCCTTGGCCCCCTGGGATGAAAGTATTACCTTAGCAAATCTGTTTTTTTTTTTTTAATTAGAACATCATTTATTTAATACATAGAATATTTTGAAAACACAAGAATCGAAGAATATTAGAAGTGGCTTTATCATTCCTCCTGGGATTCACACATTGCAATTAGTATGTTTAGATATAAAATTTTGTGGCCAGGTGCAGTGGCTCATGCCTGTAATCCCATCACTCTGGGAGGCTGAGGTGGGCGTATTGCTTGAGTCCAGGAGTTCAAGACCAGCCTGGACAACTTAGCAAAACCCTGTCTGTACTAAAAATACAAACAATTAGATGGGTGTGGTGGTGCACACATGTAATCCCAGCTACCCTGGAGGCTGAAGTGGGAGAATCACCTGAGCCTGAGAAGGTTGAGGCTGCAGTGAGCCGATATCACGCCACTGCACTCCAGCCTGGGTGACCAGAATGAGACCCTGCCTCAAAAACAAAACAAAACAAACAAACAAACAAAAAACAATTTGTGATAGTATCTAAACAATTTGTGATAGTATTTAATTGTATAAACATATAAACATCTGTGGCACACATTTGCCCATAAATGAACTGAATGCACAAATACCTTGATCCAGTTTTTAGAAAGAATTTTAGTTTTGTTGTGGCAAGAACACAACATGGGCTGTACCCTGTGAAAAGATTTCTAAGTATATCATACATGACTGTTTTAAGGATAGTATTGTATAGGAGATGTCAAGGAGTTATTTACCTTTACTGCATGAGGGATTCGGGGATCTAAAATCGTCAAACTCATAGAAGCAGAGAGTAGAAGGTTGTGGCCAGGGTCTCAGGGGCCAGGGAAATGAGGATTTGCTGATCTAATCAACAGGTATAAAGTTTCAGTAATGTTGTAATAAATCTTGCTGTCCGTAGAACGTACAGTTTTTTACATCACCCTGAAGCTACAGAGTTTTCCACTCAGAAATGAAGCTGAAACATGGGTCTGAGCGGGTTTCTCCTCCTGGAATTGACCCACTCTGCCCTATTTTTCTTCTCATTATAATTGAAGCTATATATATATATATATATAGAACCTGCTCCTGTAAGGTTTGAGCACAGGTCTTCTAGACATCCTCATGTCTCTGATGATTTTAGAAAAAAATTAAGCTTAGTCCTTTTAGCTCGAACCATCCCAAGCTATTATATTTTATCAAAGTCCTTTCTGATAGTACATATTTTTTGTATCCAGAAAATTGGGTCTGCCCTGTATAGGAATCTGACATTTCACCTTTCCAAAAATTAGACCATTTCGTTTGCATCCTTTAAGCTGATGTGTGGAGTAATGAACACATTCCAAGAGGGAAATCGTATTTGACACAGAAAATACTTTGGAGACGCAGCGATTTCCCAGTGGCGTGTAAGGAGACTATTGAAATCCTAGCACGTTTGCTCTGAAGGACAGAGGGCAGCTCGTCCTGCCTTTGCCACCCAGCATGGGAGTTACACAGTAAGCATCATCCACAAATTAATACTGGCTGACTTTCCTAAAATCATCCTTTAATCTGTCGCTTTCACATTTACCCACAGTGTCGTGCCGGAGACCTCAAACACCGAGGCGACGTTTTTAAAGAAGCCACGAGGCTCTTCCCAATGTCTACCTCCATTATTTAAAATACTGCCTCGAGGCACAGGTATAAATATTAAAACTTTAATTAAAGAATCAATCAGTGATGGAGCTTCAAAACAAGGGGATCTAGCACTTTCAGATGATGTCAACTGTGAACACAGTTAGACTCGGTCGTAGGGCTAGGAGTTTTTATGAAAAATGACGCGTGGAGTTATATACACAGGCAACTGTCCTCATTTTTTGAATCTGTAGTCATTGTGAGCACTGTCACTCATTACCACTGGTTTGTCATTGTTCGCTAGTCAAAGAGACATGGGTGACTGTGGCCTGCTGCTACAGAAGAGTGTGTTGTCTTAGGGGAAGGAGTGGCTAATGCAAGAAATATTTATTTGGAATGTACCACATGTTAGACCCTGTGCTTGGTGAATAAGGCAGACGAGAACTTTCCTTTCTTGTAGCTTATATTGTCGTGGGGGAAGCCGCGTCATAAGCAAGACGTTGAAATATATTTTCATAAGGATAATGAAAAGGGTTCCAAAAATTATAGTGTGATAGTGACTTGGGGGGACATTCCAGAGAGGAGAGATTTGACCTGAGAAGTACATGAAAAGAAGTAGCTGATCTGTATGGATCCATACATTTATCCAATGAGTATTCTACTCATCTCCGCTTTCTTTTTTTTGAAACAGAGCCTCACGTTGTATCCCAGGCTGTAGTACAGTGGTGTGATCTCATCTCACTGCCACCTCCACCTCCTGGGTACAAGTGATTATTATGCTTCAGCCTCCTGAGTAGCTGGGATTACAGGTGTGCTCTGCCACGCCTGGCTAGTGTTTGTATTTTTAGTAGGGATGGAGTTTCCCCATGACTGGTCTTAAACGCCTGACCTCAAGTGATCCACCCGCCTCCTCGGCCTCTCAAAGTGCTAGGATTACAGGCGTGAGCCACCACGCCCAGCCTCATTCACCCCTACTTTCTATGAATTCCTGAGTGTTCATCAGGCACCCACTGTGTGCCAAGCACTATTGAAAGCACTTCAAGTGCAGAGTGATCAATACATGCAGATACCTTGTCCTAAAAGACTTCCGTTCTAGGATAGTTGTCTGCATGGAGGGCGTTTCAGAGAAGGGGACCAACAAGCACAACGATCCAGAGGCTGGAATAGTGACAAAATCATACAGTTGAAGGTTGGTCCTATAGGCCCTTGTGGCCTGGGAAGGGACCCTGGCTGTTATTCTAATGGGAAACCATTGGGGGATTTTATGCAGAGAGATACCAGGATATATTTATGTCTTAAACATTATGGGAAAATTGTTAGGTGTTTTTGAGATGAGTGAATAAACAAGCATGCCTTCCTGGCCGGCCGGCTCTATTTTTTCAAAGTTTCAATTCATTTCTATGACCAGATTTGGTCTGTGGACGTAGTGACATCTGAAAAGGTAAGCCTTGCAACGTCTGAGAAATTAAACTCGATTCCCCACCACCACCTACTTCGTAGGGCTTACACTAAAATCTTTCATTCAAGAAGAGGGATTACTTTATAGGGAAAAAGAACCTCATTTTCCAGTAATGTTCTTTGTGTGAGGGTGGAAGACCCTGGGAGGATACATCTGTATACATTAGCCTACTTAGATTTTCTTTCTCTGGGGCCTCCCTTCAAAGAGGCAACATCATGTGTTCTTGTGTGCCTGCATGAGCAGCCGCACCCTCCCACCACCACATCCTTTTGATGGCTTGACTGACAAGTCTCCTGGGAGTACCCTGAGAACAGTTGCACTCAGATGCCCTTTATTGATCGTCTGTCCGGGTAGGTTCCCTTTCAGAGTATGGCCACAGATTCTCCCATTGGTAGGTGTGGGCCAGGGTAATAACAGATATTGACAGTGCAAAGTGGGTTGCTTATGGAGAGCTCTGAGTGCAGCCGACGTTGTCCATCTTCAGAGGCTACCCTGCCCTTAGAAGGTTGAGGTGCAATTTGTTGGAGGGTTTGGACACCTGGACAATTCAGTTTTCCTCCCACATTGACTGTCTCTTTATCCACAATACTGGAACTGCATTATTGCCTATTATATGTGACATGAACATCAGAATAAGTGTACATGGATTGAACTCTTCCTATGTAGCACAAGCTGAGCCAAGCACTGTACCTTCATGGCTGTGTGTTGTGCTATGTGTTTCAGGCATGTGATCGCCTCCCCCACCCACCCAGCAGTTCACCTTATTCGATTCCTGCTCATCCTTCAGGTTACAACTCAAAAGCCCCAGGCTTAGAGAAACTGTCCCTGTTTGCCTGTGTCGATTCTCGTTTTTTACAGCCATCCCAGGGGCATCTTATATTTTATTGAGTGACTCTGTTTTATCCTTTTTCTCTTACTCCACTCCATGGTCAACTGCAGGTGGACCATGCATACACCTGTTTGGACATCACTGTCTCCTTAGCATCTAGCGTGGTGCAAGGCACACAGCAGAAGCCCCATATGGAAATAATGAATTATTCCATTTGATGCTTCTCACACACTTTGAGGTTAGTGCTTTTCAGATCCCCATTTTGCAGATAGAGAGTGGGGTGTAGGCAGGCGTTAAGCAATTTGTCCAAGGACACAACAGCAGGTAAGAGGCACTTCCAAGATTTTGAACCTGACAGTCTGAGTCCACAGCCCCTGATGCTCATCACTGTGCACATGGCCTCTTTTGCTGCCTTTGCAAGATACAAGGGAGGGTGGGAGGCAATGTGTGCAGTGGTTAGGGAGCTCTTGCTGCATAGCTTGAGTTGCTCTGAGAAGTGATGCTGAGCCCATTAGAGCCACAAAAGGAAAACAAGGCACTTGTTTCTATTTATTGCAGTATTACTTTATCGTTGTGTAAGAGCCTCGCTAGATTTCTGCACTGGTGCAATCTGGCTCTTGTTTTGTTGTTTGTCTCCTTGGAGTCTCAAGGCCCTGGGTTGCCCAGGGCATCTCTGGCCTCTTTATCTAGGCTCACGCTCTGAGTATGATTTTGAGGGAGCGGTTGGACCACCTGCCTGGTTACAGGCAGTCCTTGGGCATCATGCAGTCACAGCTGGAGCTGCTCTGATAGCCACTCAAAATGTGGTGTGCAAACCACTGCTCACTCCATCTAATCACCGTCATCTGAATCAGCTTCCCTCTTCATTTCTTCTGAGAACAAAATTAGATCTTTGCCAGCATAATGGATGAACTTGTGCAATCACCTTGTTCATTGCTAGTTCTGCATTTCCCCAAGATGTTGATGTCTCTTTTCTGTGAATTTTAGAATATAGAGTGTCAGAGATGAGGGTGAGGACTTGAGGTTTTCAAAATTGTCTTCTTTGTACCATGGTTGGGACCCTAATAGCTATGACACTCACTGGAAGCTCCTTCTGTGCTAGGGCTTCCTGTGTGTCATTTCATTAACTCTTCATGGCAAACCCTTTATTATACCACTTGACAGATGAAGGAACTGAGGCCCAGTGACTAAATGGCAAACCGAGATTGCAGACTCAAGCAGTTCTCTTCCCCTGCTGTGTGTGGAGAGGGCATGCTTGGGATGCAGGGAATAGCAGAGGCACCATGATAAGGTACTAGGAAGGAGGCAGTGCAGGTATTTCACTGAGATTCCAGAATCAGTGTGTCTGGCTTGAGATCCCAGCTCCATCACTTTCTAAGTCCATAACCTTTCACTTTCTTCAATTTCTCTGAACCTCAGTCCATCCCTACAAATGGAGATTATCACTACATTGTACAGTCCGTCTGAGGATTAATCAGCCTGGTAAATTATTTTAGCAAAGTGCCTGGCACCTAGTGTGTGTTTAGTGCAAGTAGGAGTCATAGGGCTGACTATGATAATCATGACGATTACTATTATCCATTGATAATAATGATATCATTATTAACCTTGTTTTTGTTGCTAGAATTTCACAATCCCTTTGGGCAGCAAATTGGTCCCAGAATGTGCTTCGTATATTTTCCTCTTGACTGTAACTGAGGTGACAAATTGAGAGTGAAGGGGGAAGAACCCAGCGTAGCTGCAAATGTACGGTTGAGATCGTTGACAGACTTGAGGCCCTGTGTGGAGTTCCGCCTGCAGAGGATGCTGACAGCAGCCATATGCATGGGCTCTGATTGATTGGCAGAGAGAAACACTAATTTATTAGACTCGTTATGAAAAGTGACGGAGCAGGGGATTGAGAGGGCTGATTCAGCAACAGTAGCCCTGGCTAGATCCCAGGGGTATTGGCTTGGTGTCTGTTTCCCTTGGGACCAGCCCCCTGTCTTGATTCTGGGTCACTGCCTGTGTTCTCAAGTGAGTCTCCTGAAGATGTCCATGGCATGGCTCACTTTTACCACGTTGTAAATGTCATACCTATTTCTTCAGTATCCTTAGAAAGCTGAGTCCAGTTCAGGTTGCTGTTGATTGCAAAGGCTGATAAGAGGAGGGAGGGAGTGTGTGCATGCAGAAATTCCCCAGTGGAGGGAAAATAGTCCTTTTCACAGGTTAGAGAAAGTGCAGTAGTTTCCTTGAGGGAGAATAAAGGGCATGGTTGATACCTCTCTTTAAGAACATGATGACCGGGCATGGTGGCTCCTGCCTGCAATCCCAACACTTTGGGAGGCTGAGGCAGGAAGATTGCTTGAGCCAGGAGTTGGAGACCAGCCTAGGCAACATAATGAGACCCTGTCTCTGTTAAAAAAAAAAAAAAAAAAAAAAAAATTAGCTGGGTGTGGTAGCTCATGCCTGTAGTCCTAGCTACTCAGGAGGCTGGGACAGGATTGCTTGGCTCTGGGAGTTTAAGGCTGCTATGAGCTGTAATTGTGCCACTGCACTCCATCCTTGGCAACAGAGCAAGACCCTATCTGTAAAAAAAAAGAACATGAAGCTCTTTGTAGAAAGATTTCTCATTTCTGATTTGGAGAGATTGTTCAGTCTGAATTACAGCAGGTAGGATGCTGGTTAAAGAAGTGTCTTGCCTTCAAGGTGATAAGGCACTGAATGGGGCTATGTTGGAGTCAGAAAAGCTTTGAGAAGACTGAATTCCCTGAGCGCCAAGGTGCGAAAGGACAAAGTCATGGCAGCCAGGTACACTTAACTTGTGGATCCAGATTCTGCCACTTCCTGGCTGTGTGAGCTTGGGCCAGTTACTGCACCTCTCTGAGCCTCCATTTACTTGTCTATTAAAAGGCAAATGATTCTGTCTCCAAGGATGGCTACCTGGGAGTGAGTTAAGTCAAGCAGCAATCACACAGACTTCCGAGCTAGTCACTTCTTATTTTTTTTTACCTTGTGGTATTCAGACAATAGCCTCTCACCCCATGACTCTTTGATACAAAAGGTTCCCTAGTTAGTGTGCTGTGATTTGTGGAAAGATATTTTGTTTCCTAGTGAATTTCATTCATTTTGCTCAGGAAACTTTATTGGTTTTGTCTGTGTAAACCTAAAATAATCTTCAAAAGTTCATAACAAGAACAAGGAACCATCCACCCCATTCTATAAACTTATTTCTACTGAATTGTGCTTCGCTGGTGTCAGTTTATAATGAGAAATAGTATAAGAAAGCCGATTAGCCACAAATTTTAAAAACTTGACATTATATATGCACACTGAAAGAGGATAGACTATTTAAAGTTTGAGAATTTTTACAGTTGAATCTAGCATTTGAAAGAAAAACATGGCCGGGCGTGGTGGCTCACGCCTGTAATCCCAGCACTTTGGGAGGCTGAGGCGGGTGGATCACGAGGTCAGGAGATCGAGACCATCCTGGCTAACATGGTGAAACCCCGTCTCTACTAAAAATACAAAAAATTAGCCGGGCGTGGTGGCGGGTGCCTGTAGTCCCAGCTACTCGGAAGGCTGAGGCAGGAGAACGGCGTGAACATGGGGAGCGGAGTTTGCAGTGAGCCGAGATCGCGCCACTGTACTCCAGCCTGGGCGACAGATCGAGACTCCGTCTCAAAAAAAAAAAAAAAAAAAGGGGAAAGAAAAACATGTTATTGAATGTAGGTGAGGGATAAGAACCAAGAACTTCTGGTAAGAACCCAGCAGGACAAGCGAGCTATGAAGAATTCAACTCTCTAATGTTATTTGCTATGATTATTATTGTTATTTTTTTGAGACAGAGAGTCTCATTTGTTGCCCAGGCTGGAGTGCAGTGATGCAATCATGTCTCACTTCAACCTCTGCCTCCTGGACTCAAGTGATCCCACCTCAGCCTCTTGAGTAGCCAGGACCACAGGCATGTGCCACCAAGCCTGGCTAATTTTCGTGTTTTTAAATTTTTGTATTTTTTTGTAGAGTTGTGATTTCACCATGTTGCCCAGGCTGGTCTTGAACTCCTGGGGTCAAGCAATCTTCCCTTACAAAGTGCTGGGATTACAGGCATGAGCCACTATGCCCAGCCCTATGATGATATTTTTGAGGACTCTGTTGGCTATTACTGTGTTAGCTTTGGTTTCAGGATCAGAAAGAGTTTGTCCTTTCTTCAGGTTCTGATTGGTATTTATGTACCAGACACTTCTAAGTGGAATACCTGTCCATGTTCCCTTTTCACAAAGCCTGCCAGGAATCTCAGAGCTGATTTTATAGTTCAGTCACAGTAGTAAATAGAATTTGATAGCATGGATTTTGCGTATTAACCTCACTTTTGACTCAGTTTTATTTCTCTACCCTTCCATTTTAATTTTCTCTTTTTATTGTGATGTATGTTACTGTATCAAAAGAATACCTTTGCAAGGTACCTAATGTGAACATATTCAAATATTGAATAAGAAAGCAATATAAAGGTATATAAGGTAGGTGAACATTGAAAGGTATACATAAATTACAGCCCTTTAAAACACCAGGAACCCTGGAAAATAGGACCATATAGTGCAGTGCTTGGTATCTTGAGCTAGACCTGAAGTTAGAGAAATGCAATTTTGAGTCCCAACAGTGCAAATGGTTACTCTTTCTTATTTTCTCCTTTTAAAAAACATTTTCCTGGAGCACTATTTATGCTATATAAATTCACTTTTATTGGGCCATTTATTGCCTTTTTCATGCATTCAGCAAACATTTTTGAGCCCATGCTCTGGGCCAGGCACTGTTAGGCACTGGGGATACTGTATGGGGTGGGTATATTGACCAATATTGACATCATCTCTGCCTAGTGAAACTTATGCTGTAGTGAGAGAGACTGACACGAAACATGAATGCAGGTAAAAAGACAATAGAATTACCCGTTATCATAAGTATTAAAACGGCAACAGAATGGAGCATTCATGTAATAAAAGAGTGAGTGACCCTGTTCGGTAGGAACATCAGGGAAATGTCTCCAAGGAGAGGTATTGGGCCACATTTAAGCTACGGCCTGAAGACTGAGAAGGGCCAAGCTGTGACCAGTGGGGAGAAGAGAAGAGAGGAGACCATGGTGAGCAGAGGTGGCAGTGTGTTCAGAAGCCCGGGGGAGGAAGGAGAGGGCTCTGCACATCCTGAGAACAGCAAGGTGGCCAGCGTGCCTGGGGTGGTGAGAGCAAGGGAAGGGATGTGGCTGGCAAAGCCTGCAGAGGCCAGAACAGGCAGCCTTGCTCTCAGGAGCCTGTGCCCTGTGTTATTTTTGAGATGGGGAAGATCTTAACTAGTACCATCCTTTATAAGCATATTCAAGATAGGTGCGAGAATAAGGTACAAGGAGCACCATGCCAGAAAAGCAATGTGTGTGCCTCTGTGTGTGCATGTGTAGATGTGTACACTTGTATGTGCACATGAGTGGATGTGCACACACATCTCTGTATGTGTGCAAACGTGCATTTTTGTGTACATTTCTGCACGTGTGTGTATGTATGTACATGCATGTATGTGGCATGCGCATACGTGCATGTATTGCAGCAGGAAGAGAAGGAGCCACGAACAGTATGACAGTGGGGAGATTGCTGACTTCAGAGCCCAGCAGAATGAGGGTCAGTGTTGCTGGGCACGCTGCTTACAGCATGTGCAGAGCATAGCTCTGTTTTGCCTCACATCCCTCCTGGACTGATCCCTTTCTGTTTGTATGGTACATTCAGTGAGTGACAGCATCACAGGAGGCAGACCCCAGCCTTATGAACATATCTTCATAACACCATACAGTCTCACGAGAAAGGGGAGGTCATTTGTTCACTGTAGTCCACCCCTGAATTGTTCCCTCACTGGCTCTGTGTCACTTTCAGAGATTTTTTTAAATTCTGGGAAATGCTTTGGGGACTTCGGCATTTTGGAGTGTGTTTTCAAGGATTGTATTAGCACCACAGAGACCCTTAGCCTCTTTCTTAAAGGTTCTGTTTTTAGACATCCTCCTCTTTTATCCGTGCTTTCAATTCTGCTGCTTCCTTCCTTCTGAGATTCCTTCTTCCTTGCTGGTCTTGGAACAAGAAACATTTAGCTGTATTTTCCTCGTTCTCGCCTAGGTAGGGTGTGGTCCCCCTGTGTCCTCATTTGTTCAACATTTTGAGACAAAGATTGGTGGAATTGCCACTTAAAAAAATAAAACCAGGGAAAGCAGCTCAGAGAATTTAATTTGCCTCTAACCCAACTCTTCTACTTATTAAAAAAATATACAATTATTCATTCCGTAGCACTCCAGATTGCTTCACTGAAAGAAAGAAAGAAAGGGATCCACTCCAGGGAGAAAGAGGCTCTTGAGCTTTTTGTTCCTTGATGATCCTGTCTTTACGTAATTTGGTGGAGCCTACTGGGGAATCATCATTTTGGGAGACTATGGATGTGCCTCATTGCAGAAGAATAAGTAGAGAGCAGTGTCTGGAACAAATGCTTGTCTTAAAAAAAGTTTATGAAATGCCAGCAGATGTCAGTGTGCCCTTGCCATTTGATTTTTTTTTTAAAGCAACATTAATTATTTTCGGTAGTAAAAACAACACAAGTATATTCTGCTACAGTTATAAATGAAAAGATCATGAGGCAACGTTTTTTAGGTTTGGAGAAGGACCAGCAGAATTTATGTCATAAGGTAAAATCCTCTAAATTATCTGTGTAATATAATTTGTCTTTTCCCAGAAAAGTGGTTTCAAAATGCAAAACCTAGTGTAAGTTTTTTTTTTTTTTTTCCCTCTCTCCCAGCCATTGTTCAGGTGCCAATAATAGCTTAGGATCCAGCTTAGCTTCTGAGAAGCTACTGGCTCTGCTAATTGATAACAGCTCCTTATTTCAAAGCTGGAGTTTGCAAAGGAAGGTAGTGTAGGGTTGGGTATGGCCTTGTCGTTTGTCATCTGAGTTGTGATGAGAAACTCTTGCAGTTTACGTTGTTACCGTGAGCACAGCAAATTGCGTGCTAATAGTTAGTTCCTCCGCAGACATTGTTTGGATCAAAAATGAGGGCCTCTATACAGGAAAAAGATTCACTCAAATAATTAAAAACTATTCATTTTAAGCAAGGGATAATTTGCCAGCATGTAGTGCAAGAGAGGTAGGGTCGTTTCTAGGCAGGGAATGATGTATGTTACAGGGCATATTTGATGCTTTGCTTTATTTATTTAATAGTTTTGATTAAATGGTACAATATTCAAAAATGCAGGAGTATGCAGAGAAAAATAAATCTCTCTTGCACTTGCCTTGCAGTTTATTAGAGACAACTATTTTTATAGTTTCTCATGCACCCTTTCATATATATTTTATGCGAATACAAACATTTACACAGATATTTATACCAACAAAAGATAGCATATGAAATGCATAGTTCCACTGTTTGCTCTTTTTAAAAAAATTAAGAATACCTTTTAAGGATTATTCCCTCTCATTGTGTGTGTGTGTGTGCACACGCACGTGTATTTTTTCTGCTCCACCTTTGTTAATGGATATATAGTATTCCATTGCACATGCTTACATTATTTAATTGGCCTCCTTTTGATGGATATTTATGTTGTTTCCATTTTTGAAGCGCTACATGGAATATCTTCAACCGCCACCACTTCCCACACATGTCTGTAGGATACATTCTTAGAGGTGAAATTGTTAGGTCAAAGGAAACATGCCTTTCATTTTGACAGACACTGCCAAACCTGATGCTCTGGCTGAGCTGCACCCTTACATGTTGGTGGATGAATGGGGTTTAGAACCAAATGAAGCCATGTGGTGATTCTGGTCTGACTTGGCTACCGTGATGACTGTCATGAATTATGTCCCTATTGGAAGTGTCTTAGTCTAGTTCTGCTGCTATAACAAAATGCTTATCCAGGGTGATTTAGAAAGAATAGGAATCGTTGGCCAGGCGCGGTGGCTCATGCCCGTAATCCCAGCCCTTTGGGAGGCCGAGGTGGGCGGATCACCTGAGGTCGGGAGTTCAAGACCTGCCTGGCCAACTTAGTGAAACCATGTCTCTACTAAAAATACAAAAATTAGCTGGGGGTGGTGGTGGGTGCCTGTAATCCCAGCTACTTGGGAGGCTGAGGCAGAAGAATTGCTTGAATGGAGTCGGAGGTTGCAGTGAGCTGAGATTGCGCCACTGCACTCCAGCCTGGGTGACAGAGCGAGACTGTTGCGCAAAAAAAAAAAAAAAAAAAAAAAAAAGAAAAGAAAAGAAAAGAAAGGAATAGAAGAGAAGTTGTTTTCTCATAGTTTTGGAGGCTGGGAAGTCCATGATCAAGGTGTGGCAAGTTCAATGTCTAGTGAGGGATGCCCGCTCTGCATCCAAGATGGTGCTTCCTGGCTGCATCTTCATATGGTGGAAGGTAGAAGTGCTGAAGAGTCTGACTAGTTCTCTCCAACCTTTGGGTAAGGTTCCCATCTAAGCATGAAGGCAGAGTCTTCATGGTCTAAACAGTCCTTAATAGTGTTGCATTGGAGAATAAGTTTGAACGTGAATTTTGGCGGGGACACAAACCTTCATACCGTAACAGAATGTTTTGCAGTTCTTGTCATTGCTGTTTTTTTGCTAACACTTTCCATCTGCCAAGTAGTTTGTTAAGATCTTTAATTCCACGTTCACATCTTTGTCCTCATAACAACCCTGTGGAGTAGACCCTGCTCTCATCCTGTTTCAGGATGGGGATGTGGGGGCTGAGAGACCTCAGGTGCTTTGCTTAGGGTTACAGGGTGGATGGTCAGCTCAGGAGTCACACTCAGGGCCTCTAGGCTTAACCATTGAGCTGGGAAGCTGTGGTGGGTTTTAAGCAGCAGAGAGCATACTATTGAGTTACAATGAGTTTAATGTCAACCCGATTGTGCTGTTGACCTTTTGGATTGCATAATTATCTGTTGTGCAGGCTGTCCTGTACACTGTAGGATGTTTAATAGCATCCCTGGCCTCTACCTGCTAGATGTTAGTAGCACCCCCTTCACCCATCCATGACAACCAAAGACGTCTCCAGATTTTGCCAAACGTCCCTGGGGTAGAACCTTGCCCCACTAACTCAGACAAAGAGCAAAATATGCCGTGGGCATCTGTAGCATAACACCAGAGACATGTATTTGAGGACACACATGGTGGCTGATGTCAGGGCATCTTCCATTCAGCCGTCTCAGCCAAGGGACACTCATTTAGTTCTTCCCCAAGGATGGAGCAGATGGGCTGCCCCTTGTGGCAGATGCCAGTCTAGGAAGAAACAAGACGGTATTACTCAAACCATTTCATCCTCCATTCGATCACAGTAGCACTGCCCAACAAGACTTTGTCTTTTAAAATGTAGTTTAGAAACGTCCTTGAAAAATTGCCTGGTAAAGTAGACTTATAAAAAATTATGTTCCCAACTATAGTCCAGCTTATATATTATACAGCTTTTCTATTCCTGCATTTTCCTTTGGTGTTCAGTAATGCTCTACATCAAAATGGCAAGCGGGAGGCATCAGCCCTCCCAGCTCCCTGCACGTGGCAGACATTGATAATCAATTCTTTTCCCCCCTCATCAGCGTCACCTTCTTAGAATCCTCAGTGCATCTCTCTAGGCATAGACTGTCAACCAATTGGAATTACTATGTGAAATGAAATGTATTTGCCACCCCTGTTACATGGTGCCTTTTTGGCTGAGAAGAAGGATTACGCTTTCCAAAGAGGCAAGCTTATCATGAGGTATTAGCTTATTTTTCAGTTACTCTGAGAAAAGTGCTTGATAGATGGGAAGAAATGTCTATTCTTAAAGCATTTGGAATTACGATCTTATTTTGTAACAGTAATTGGGTGCCTGAAGAATACTCCTCTTTCCTGAGGTGCTTTACATATACTATCATCCTATGTATTATTGTTTTTCTGTAGTAACATCTCTCTCCCCTCCACCACCAAAAATCAGTCCCCTCCCTTCAAAGCCTGGTGGAGGCAGCCACCTGAGGGTGACACAAAACGCTTTGTGTACAATGGGAACTGAGACAATTCCCTCAGCAAAGAACATTGAGAAGCTGCAGGACGTTACTGGAACTGTGTCACTTCTCAGCACAGGGCATGTGAGGGAGCTTTAAAGAGATGGGGAACTGAACCATCCAAGATTTCCAGAAGTAACTTCTGATGTATAAAGGCATGGAGGCCAGGCTGCTCTGGGAAGGCAACACAGGTTTCAGAGTTGAAAATGCTTTTAGGTGGCATCATAGAACCATCCATTCTAGCATAATGTTTTGTGTTTTTTTTTTGCCATTGCTTTTTTGGGGAGGGGTGGAAAAACTCCCATGGAATTGTGTGGTAACTTGGTAATTTGGTTTAGTAACTTGATGAACCTATATGCAAATACCTATCACTTAGATAGTTTTTAAGTCATCTCCTGTTTCTGATTCTAAGAAAATAGAGAAAAATAATCTTGGAAAGAAAAGGCCCTGGGTCAGACAGTGTCTGTCTCTTTTTATTTTTCAGACTGGTGGGAATGTTTTCCTTTCTCCACTTTTAGATGTTTTAGTCTGTGAGAGATAGGGACAAATACAACACGTCTCCTATTTCCTCTTCTGAGAAAGGAATTTTTAACTTAGATGGGAGGCACCAGTGAACTTCAAGGGCTTGAAATTGCATTTAAAATTTAAAGAATAAACATTTTTATCTGGGCAGAAGGCTCATAGCTTTTTAAAAATCACATTCTCAAAGTGCTATATGGGACACACAAAAAAGTAAGAGCCCATCTTTTTCAGAACAATAACTTTCAGACTCTTTTACCATGACCCTAGTAGGCAAGGAAAAAGGATACTACAGCCCAACCACTTCACCTGTTTTAACCTTCTGGTGGGACTGTGTGTGTTGGAGGTGGGGGGAGACAGGGAGGTCACAGAAAGCTCAGTAGTGATGAAGGATTGGGGTGCAACTGTATTTGGTGGGAGAGATACTTACCTCTTACTTAGCAGTAGGAATATGCATTTATTTGAGTCACAATCTCTGTATGTCTTAAAGTCCAATTATTTAGAAATTATCAGAAAAAAGTGCAGTTAATGCTAAAGTGTTAGCATTAACCAAACCCCATAAAACCACAACAGTAATGTTTTCTTAAAACATTGAATTGAGTCCCGCTTAACAACTTTGATAATAGCATGAGATCAGAAAGTCCTTCCTGAAAATTCCAAGAATGAAAGCCGTGTGCATGAGTTTTTGCGGGAGAATATTTGCAACATTTCTGTGAAGTTCTTGATAGCTAGACTTCCTGGTACAACATTTAATTGTAGTCCTTAGTAAACTTTTGTAATAATTTATGTTGATTTTTCAATAATACTTTCAAGTTTTCAATTTTACTAACTCAGTGGAATACTACTGTTGGTATCTATTGGTCACTTACAAAAAAAAAAAAAACAGTCCGTTGAATGCATTTTCTTTCTTTTTTTTCTTTTTTTTGTTTTGTTTTGTTTTATTTTTTGTTTTTGGAGACGGAATCTCGCTCTGTCGCCCAAGCTGGAGTGCAGTGGTGCAATCTCGGCTCACTGCAACCTCCGCCTCCTGGATTCAATCGATTCTCCTGCCTCAGCCTCCTGTGTAGCTGGGACTACAGGTGCCCGCCACCACGCCAGGCTAATTTTTTATATTTTAGTAGAGACAGGGTTTCACCGTGTTGCCCAGGCTGGTCTCAAACTCCTGAACTCAGACAATCTGCCCACCTCGGCCTCCCAAAGTGCTAGGATTACAGGTGTGAGCCACCACACCTGGCCTGTAGAATGCATTTCAATGTGCATAACGCTAATGAAAAGACTTGCAGTTTTGGTTCAGTTAATGGCCCATTGTGAGGACTCTTTAGGTCTGTATACTTAGGCATGATACATTATTGCTGTAGGAAGTTAGAGAAGATGGGAAGCACAGGGCTTCCATTCTACAGATATCCCTATATTTTTTGGCGGGGGATTGACTCCGCAAACCATATTTTCTAAACTTTTTCATATATACTTGCTTATGAATATATTGGAAGCAAGCCTATATTTATTTATTATTTTATTTTATTAGTTTTTTTTTTTTGAGATGGCATCTAACTCACCCTGTCATCCAGGCTGGAGTGCAGTGGTGCAATCTTGGCCCACTGCAGCCTCCGCCTCCTGGACTCAAATGATTCTCCTGCCTGAGCCTCCTGAGTAGGTGGGATTACAGGCGTGCACCATCACACCCAGCTAATTTTTGTATTTTTGGTAGAGACAGGGTTTTACCATGTTGGTCAAGCTGGTCTCGAACTCCTGACCTCAAGGGATCTGCCCACCTCAGCCTGCCAAAGTGCTGGAATTACAGGTGTGAGCCACTGCACCCTGCCCCAAGCTATATGTACACTGTACCTCAATATCCATATATATATCCGTGGAGATATATATATATATATATATCATCCATATATATATATCATCCATATATATATATAAAATCCATATATATATATATATCTCCATGGAGATATATATATATATGTGTATGAATGAAGCACTTAGTAGGAGCTTTTGTGACCCATTATTAAGCAAAATGAATAAAGTTCATTAAAATGAAACTGTATTTGATTGCTTTAGAGCTTTGATTTTTTTTTTTTTTCTTGAACAAATTCTGCAGAAAAGCTAAGTGGAATTATTTACCACTTGGGTTGGATTTTTGGTTATCCTTCCTATTTAAGGCCACACCCAGCAATCCTAATAGAGTTGAATGGCTGTGTTTTTAAATACGCAGTGATTCTATTGGACTCATGCCAAGCAGCATCCTGGATTTTCTGTGCATCAGTGTCTATGTGTGGATTAGCACTGACATATTACATACCAGCCAATGTCCTCTGCTCTCTTCATGTATGCTGGTTTGCAAAAAAAAAAAAAAAAAAAAAAAAAGTAGAAAAATTAAAAATGCTGAATCCCGCAGAAAGTTTCCACTCCCCAGACCAAACTGTGTGCATAGCGGGGAGAAGGGACCAGATGGCCAGTGGGTTGAAATCAGTGGAAAACCAGCTGGGATGCATGAGAGGGCATTTCCTCTTCCACTTCCCTGGAAGCCTGGTCGGGGCAAGTCCTGGAGGTCTGAGCAGGACAAGAGGTGTCAATGTCATGGCCTCTGTCTGGCTTTCTGGATCCTTAGATGAATTGCAGTTGGATTGGAATTTGGCACAAAAATCTGAGGATAAGCTGTTAGTTTTCTGCTTTCTGGAAAAAAAAAAAAAAAAAACAGAACAAAACATGCCAGCTTGACAGAAGGTTGGAGGGTAAAATGCTGATGAACAGGAAAGAACCATATTTCCCTGCGTTAGCACCAGCTTGGAGACCGAAGTTCTATGAGGAGGGCACATGATTTGGGTAGTTTTGAATCCTAAAGGCAGGATTTTTTTCCCCTCTCATTTAAAGCAAAACCTTTCATTGCCACTGAATAATTATGCATTTCTTAGACTGCCAGCTTCTGCAACAGTGATTCCTAGGCCCCAGTTTGACACTGAGTGTGTTCAGTTATTTTGAGGAAAGTTACAAACGTTTCAAATTCTCTCACCTCTAATAAAGGTTTAAAATCTGCCTTTTATGGTGCCTTTTTCTGGGTTAACATATTAGTTATCTATAGCTGCATAACAAATTAATGCAAAACATACCAATGAAAACAGCTATCTTTTGAGGTCTCTCCTGATGTTGCAGCTGAGATGTTGGCTGGCGCTGTGTCACCTGAAGGCTCAGCCGGGGCTGGAGGATGTCTCCAGGCTCACCTGTGTGTGTTGAGAGGCCTGAGCCCTTCAGTGGTTACTGATCAGAAGCTTCAATTCCCTGCCACATGTGCCATGATAGAGAGGTGCTTACAGCATGGCAGCTTTTGTCCTTTAGAGCAAGAGGTAGGGAGAGAGAGAGAGTCCATGACTTTTTTGAGATAGCTTCTCCTATTAACATCTGATCTCAGTGTGGTGTATTTGTTACAATTCATGAACACACGTTATTACATTACATTTTTATTAAAGCCCATAGTTTACATATTAATTCACTCTGTTGCATGATTCTATATTTTTAATGTTTTATTGTAAAATACACATAAAATAAATGTTACCGTCTTAACCATTTTGAAGTGTATGGTTCAGTAACATTGAATACATTCATATTGTTGCGCAAGCAACACTATCACCCGTCTCCAGAACTCCTTTCATCTTGCAAAACTGAAACTCTGTACCCATTAAAAAGTAACTCCTCATTCCTTCCTTCCCTAGTCCCTGGCAACCAACATTCTACTTTCTGTGTTTATGATTTTAACTACTCTTAAGTATCTCAAATAAGTGGAATCATGCAGCATATGTCCTTTTGTGGCTGGTTTCTTTTGCTTAGCATCTTGTCCTCAGGGTTTATCTGCGTGGAAGCAAGTGTGAGGGTGTGAATTAATCATTCTTTCTTTCTTTCTTTCTTTCTCTCTCTCTCTCTTTCTTTCTTATTTATTTATTTATTTATTTTGAGACAGTCTTACTCTGTTGCCTAGCTGGAGTGCTGTGGTGCAGTCTTGACTCATTGCAAACTCTGCCTCCTGAGTTCAAGTGATTCTCCTGCCTTAGACTCCTGAGTAGCTGGGATTACAGGCACCCACCACCATGCCTGGCAAATTTTTTGTATTTTCAGTAGAGACTGGGTTTCCTTATGTGGCAGTCTGGTCTCAAACTCCTGACCTCAATTGATCTGCGTGCCTTGGCCTCCCAAAGTGCTGGGATTACAGGCTTGAGCCACCACACCCCACCCCTTTTTAAGGCTGAATGCTATTCCATTGTATGTATATACCACAGTTGGCATATCCATTCATCTTTTGATGGGCCCTTGTTGGGTTGCTTCCGTGTTTTAGCTATTATGACAGTTTTATGGGTTTGGACAAATACATAATGTTACCCATCCACCATTACAATATCATAGAGAATAGTTTCCCTGCTGTAAAAGTCTCCTGTACTTCACTTATTCTTCCCTCCCTGCTCTCCCCCTGCAGGTTCCTGGCAACCACTCATCTTTTTCCTGTTTTGCCTTTTCCAGAATGTTATATAGTTAGAATCACATGATATGCAGCCCCAGTAGGTTTTATGACCTAGTCTCAGAGTCAAACAGTATTATTTCTGCCTTATTCTGTTTGTTAGAAGCAATTTCATCCTTCTTTCAGGGGGAGGGTAATTGTGCTTCACTACTTAAAAAGCTGGGGTGGTGGGGAGAGGAGATATCAAAGAATTTTCAGACATGTTTTAAACAACCATAGTTAAGATGACAAGACTAGAAGTCCAAGCATTCACTGGGCATCTATTCTGTGTTGGGCACTGTTCTTTCTTAGTGTTTTATATGTACTATTCATTCAACCCTTACACTAATGCCATGAGGTCACTCTCATATTTATCATCCACATTTTACGGATGAGGAAACTCCTCATCCGTATGTGACTCCCTGAAGCCACATACCTCATAAGTGGCAGAGCCAGGATGCAAACTCAGGTCAGCCTGAAACCAAAGCCTAAGTCTTGAAATTATATCACGCTGTTCCCTTTTAGTGTAAGGGGAAGTCTTAGTCTAAGGCTTAGATTCAGGGGACAAGGTCTGACCAAATACATCAGAAGACATCAATGGGCGATGATGCTAAACATCTTCCAGTTGCCTCTCCAAAGACATTCTTTGTCCTTCCTCAGTGTGTAGTTTCCATTGCTGCTGGAACAAATCATCACAAACTTAATATTGATTTCCTGTTTTAAAGTTCTATAGCTCAGGAACCCAGTGTGTTCTCACTTGCAATCATCAGGGTGTCAGCAGAGCTTCTTACCTTCTGGAGGCCCTAGGAAAGAATCCCTTTCCTTACTTGTTCCAACTTCCTGAGACTGTCGGCATTCCTTGGCTTGTGGCCCCTCCTCCATCTTCAAAGCCAGCAATACGGGCATTTCTGGTCATCTCCACAGTCTCATCTCCTGGACTCTCTCCTACTTTTTTTTTTTTTTTTGAGACAGAGTCTCCCACTGTCGCCAGAGCTGGAGTGCAGTGGTGCCATCTCGGCTGACTGCAACTTCTGCCTCCCAAGTTCAAGTGGTTCTCCTGCCTCAGCCTCCCGAGTAGCTGGGACTACAGGCACACACCACCATGCCCAGTTAATTTTTGTATTTTTAGTAGAGACAGGGTTTCACCGTGTTGGCCAGGATGGTCTCGATCTCTTAACATTGGGATTTGTCCACCTCGGTCTCCCAAAGTGCTGGGATTACAGGCATGAGCCACCGTGCCTGGCCCTTTCTCTTCCATTTCTAAGGTTCTCCGTGATTATACTGGACCTATCCAGATAGTTCGGAATCATCTCCCTATCTTTAGGTCAGCTGCTTAGCAACCGCAATCCATCTGCAAACTTAATTTACACATTTAATTTACAGATATTTACAGGTTTTTGGGAATAGGAGGTAGAGATCTTTGGGAATGTTGATTAAAAAAAGAAACTCTGGAAGATATTTAAAGAGGTTTGTTCTGTGCCGATATGAGTGACCATGGCCTGGGAAACAGTCTCTGGTGGTCCTAAGAAAGCGTGTCTAAGATGACTGGGTTATAGTTTGGTTTTGTACGTTTTAGGGAGACAGAAGTTATAGGCAAAGACAAATCAGTACATGAAAGGTATACATTGGTTCAGCAAAGAAAGGCAGGACATCTTGAAATGGGGGTAAGTAGCCTGCGGCTTACAGATCATAGTTGGATTCAAAGATTTTCTGATTGACAGTTGATTGAAAGAGTTAAGCTTTATCTAAAGACTTGAAGCTGGTAGAAAGAAATGCTTGATTTAAGATAAGGGGGGTTGTGAAAAATAAAATGCTTAGCCAGGCTTGGTGGCATGCACCTGTAGTCCCAGGTACTTGGGAGGCTAAGGCACCAAGAATCGCTTGAACCTGGGAGGCAGAGGTTGTGTTGAGCCGAGATCACATCATTATACTGCAGCCTGGGCGACAGAGCAAGATTGTGTTTCCAGAAAAAAAAAAAAAAAAAAAAAAAAAAAAAAAAAAAAAAAAAAGATAAGGGGCGTTGTGGAAACCAACATCTTGTTACGTAGGTTAAGCTTTCAGATAGCAGGCTTCAGAGGGAATAGATGGTAGATGTCTTGTTTTCAGATCTTAAAAGGTGTCCGTCTCCCACCGAATCTGTGCTAGATCCAGGGAAGTCCTGGCTGCATTCATGGAGGTTCTTCATAGATTCAGAAAAGACAGCTTTGCAGGGTCATTTCAAAATATGTCAAAGAAACATTTTGGGATACAATATTTTGATTTCCTTCAGAGTCTGCTATCTGTCATGCGATGCTATATCAGAGTCAGGTTGGAATTGGGTATCTTATTCCCAAAGAGTCTGTTTTGTCAGTCTAATGATTTCTATTTGAATGCTAATGCTGAAGTCAGTTGTGCCTAAACTCAAAAAGGGAAAGGGCATAAGGAGGTGTGTCTGACCTCCCTTTTGGCGATGGCCAGAAATTTCATGTTTCAGGTTTCCCTTGGCCCAGGGGGAGTCTGTTCAGTCAGTTGAAGAGACATAGGATTTTATTTTAGGTCTCCTGCCTTTCCTGCTCTTTTCCCAGGAAGCCAGTATGGAAGGAGAACTCCAGGGGCTCTTCTGCCCTTTGATTGTCAGCTGAGTTCTGCTTATGGGGAGTTTTGGTGGGAGATTGGAGGGAGGTGGTTAAATGATACCAAGGCTTCTATTGTCCTGTGTCCTTCCTGAGTAGCAGAGAGGACCGGCCTCTGCTTGCTGTCACTAAGCAGCCAGCCTCCTTTCCTTCTGGGACCCTCTAACTTTTCCTTCACCTCAGCCATTTTGGCCCAGGGAAAATAATTTTGCTGCTACTAATTCTAGGTTGCTGCATAGCCTGTGTGGTTTCCCGGTGCTCTGCCTACACCTTTGAAAACAGTATTCTGTAAGTAAGATCTCCTTAACTAATCCTAATTTGAGTATGCCATCTGTTTCTTATCTAGACCTTGACTGATACAGTGACTGAGGGTAGTCATATTTGAAGTTAAAACAGAAAAAAACAAAACAAAACAGGTATGTCTTGAATTAGGCTAGGCTAAATCTTTCAAAGCGTGGGACTTAACCCCTTGCCAGAGATGTTGATGTGAACCCCGAATCCTAAGGTGCTGTGTTGTTTTCAGAAGCCAAGTGAAATTTCCACATGAAAGCAAAGCTTTGTGCGTTCTTAACCAAGAAGGTCCTTAGGATGTATACAGTGTTCTCTCTTTGAGTTCCTCCTGGTGTCTGTTACAACAGATGAGGAATTCAAGAACACTGCCCCTTCCATATTCGCAAGATGTGACAGGCTATTGCCCTTGTCTTAGAAGACCTGTTTTAGGTTAAAAAAAAAAAAAAAAATTCAAACAATTCCACAGGTGAGCTAATGAGCTAATTACAGAGAGTGGTTTCAAAACATTGGCATTCCACAAGTAAACAGCATCTGCCTTTGATTAAGGTGTGAAATTTTAAAAAGGTATGGAAAGATGGCTAGTATCTTCAGGTGGCTTCCTTTATATTTTTTATTTTTTGATTGTGCGGAAACTATTATATAATGGCCTTCTGTGCATTCTCCTGTGAGAACCAGGAAAACCAAATAACACATACCAAGATCCTACAGTGGCATGAGGCGTGAACTCTGAACTGCCTGTCTGGGACACAGCCTGGTCCATTGTCTGCAGAGCTAGGGCTTTCTCATTGTTCCCTCATGTTTCTGTACTGTTCGCTGTTTTACCTTTAGAATGAGAGTTCCCTCTGCATACATGTAGACCAACTTTGTAAAATTTTGAGCTATTTGTGCTATGTCAGTGGCTCTCACTATTGACTGCTCATTAGAATACAGGAAGAAGTTTTAAAAATAGCCATGATGCCTGGGCTGTGGCCCTAGGGACTCTGATTTGATTGGTCTTGGATGGGGCTGTTCTTAAGCATCCAGGGTTCAGACCAACGGAACTAAAGCAGGGCTTCTCAAATTTTAATGAGCGTGCAAATCACCCAAGACTCTTGTTAAAATGCAGATGCTGATTCAGTAAGTCTAGGGTGGGACCTGAGATTCTGAATTTATGATAAACTCCCGAGCGATGCTACTGCTGCTGACCTGTGGAACACACATTGAGTAGTAAGGAGATAGAACATTTGGGTGGGTACAGATACCTTTTAAGGATGGGTGAATGTTAATGCTTGGGTGTTTGGTGATTTGAATCATGACTCCGAGAGTTGAGAGTTCTCTAGGAAGTAGGAAATTTGTAGTCTAATTTGGATGATCGAATTACAGACTCAGTGGGGTCTTGAGTAGCAAAACACAGCCAGACCTCTTCATATGCCATCATTGCCACATTAATGATGAGTCTGTTTATTCATTCATGCATTCATTCATTCATTTGTTCATTCATTCATTCAGTGAATATGTATTGAATACCTGTCAGACACCAGGCATCTTTTCGGTGCTGAGAATAAATCAATGACAAAGATAAATGAGGTTCTTGACCTTGGCTATTCCAGTGAATGGAGTAGAAATAGATTAACTCAACTAAATAAATATGAGTCAACAAGAGCCATACCGATGGTGATATGTACCATCAATGAAATCAAGTACACTGTGTTTCCTTAGGTGGAAGGTGTGGCTACAGAGTTTAATTTGCTATGTCAATGGAGCGGCCAATGGAAGTTTCTTGGAAGAAATGATGTTTTAGTTAAGACACACACACATACACAAAACCCCAGGGAAAGACCATTCCAGGAAAACAGAAAAGCAGGGCAAAGGCCCTGAAGTAGGAAAAAGATTGATTTATTGGGGAACAGAGAAGGGATCAGTGTAGCCTTGGTGTCATGAGTGAGGAGATGAGTTGTGTGGAGAGGTAGGAAGGGAACGTCTCATGCAGAGGATAAGGACTTTGAGTGCTTTTCTAAGCACCATAGGAAGGCGTCTGATGGTTTTACACAAGGAAGAGGAACATTCTGATTTTTGTGTTAAAATGATTACTTTGGCTGCTATGTGGCAGATATATTAGAGATGAAGATGTCAAAAGTGGACACAGGGAAACTGCTTAGTAAACTCACAGAGTAACCCAACTGAATGATGATGATGCCTGGTCCTAGAAAAGTGGCAGTAGGAATGGATATACTTTTTGTGATAACACTGACAGATAGGGGGATGAGGAAAAGGGAGGAAGCATGAATGACTTCTAGCAAATGCAGAAATAGTAATGATTTACTCACATGGGGAGGATAGCTGAAGATCTAATTTGTAGGGTTTGACAAGACCCCAGGGCTCCATTTTAGACAAGTTTGAGATGCCTGTTAAACTTTCAAGTGCGGATTTAAGAATACAATGTATACTCGAGTCTAGAGCTTAGGGAAGAATTCAGGTCTAAAAGTAGGATTTGAGGGGCTATTCCTATATTCATATTAAACATTACCGTATTAAATGAGTTCTCAAGGACAGAGAAAAGTAGATACCAAGGGAATATTGGGGTTTGAAGAAAAATTGGCCCAAGGTTAGGGAGGCAACTTTGGATCCTTCTTGAAATCCATCTTGGCTTTGGATTCTCAGATCTTAGACTCAAGGTAACCTTGCAGAGATTTCAATAATAATTAGTATGTAAACTTTCAGTAAACATTATTTCCCAGACATGGAACATCTGGCCAAAGTCAGTGTGATTTGAAATGAAGTCGGCTTTATCTAGATGTCTCTCCCAGAGGGACACATTGTGAGGAAACAGATATTACATTGGGTGATTATGGAGGGTGGGGAAATAAGCTTGTTGGTTCCTTGGCCAGATGTCTAAGTATATGGTAACGGAGTTAATGGATGTTGGGGAAGAAAGACATGTGCAGAGTTGGCATCCTTTCAGCCAAGCCAGGCAAGGTTGCTGATGAAGGACGCCTGCTGCTGCCATGGAGCTGAAGATATATTCTCGGACCCAAGGAAGAAACACAGAGGATGCATTATCATATGGAATGATTAGTTGGCTAATGAGCCTTGAGGGGCAGGAAAAAATGGACTATAAAACAAATTAAACCAGTACCTGACATCCTAATGTTCTTTGTAAACACATGATGATGTCAGTGTGTGTGTATGTGCGTGTGTTTCCTCCTGCCAGCCCATGAGGTTAGCCAACCCCACACAAATACTCAGAATTAGGCTGACCATCTCCCCATTCCCCAAGTCTGATTCCTGGGCAGGATGCCGTGCATGAGGAAGGTGATTTGGCTTTTAGAGAGATCCTTTCCCTGTGGTTGTTCTTGGTAGAGGATGAAAGATGAGATTTCTCTGAAAAGCTCATCCCTTTGAATTGTGTTCCCGAGGAAAGAGGCCAGATGCTATGTGACCAAAGCTTTAGAAAACTCCAGGATTTTGGGTGATGAGCATGCAATGCCTGGCTGTCTTCCATCTGCAGCAAGGGCAGAGCCAGCAGGGAATGGACAACAATACAGAGAAGAAAAGGAAGCAGGGGGTGAGGGATGACTTGCTCACAGACCAGATTATTTCATCCCCAAATGGAATGGTTCAGAGTGAATGAAATCACCCTGATACGGAGCAGGGGATGCTGATTTAGCTACCATGACAGTGCCATAGCCACTCTTCCTGTATTGACTACTTACTACGTTCAGACTTGTTTTAAAGGTTTTTCACTCATTGACTAATTCCACACCAATCAGAGCAGCATGGAGGGTATACCATGGCTGTGCCTATTTTATGCATGAAAAAAATAAGTGTTTAGAGAGATAAAGTGATTTTCTTACGGTTTCACAGACCGTAAAGCTTGGACTCTAGGATTGGAACTCAGGCAGTGACATGTCTGCATGTTGGAGGCACATTTTGCTACGTTATCAAGGAAATACTCAGTTATTAAAAAGAGAGAAGGAAATGCCTCATGGGAACAAAGGCCAGGATCTAAAATGGTTTTAATTTAAAATAAATACAGCCATTTGTGTTATGTTTAATATGTGCGCAGCATTTTACGGTAAAATTGCCATATCTGATTTGATTTAATCTATATAACAGCTCCATGGGGTAGGTATTATGATCCTCATTGTACATTTGTTGAAGCTGGCTCAGGAAGGATCCTTGGCCAGGGTCAGGCAGTTCAGCTTGGCTGAGCGATAGGATTTGAGTTCAGACCTTTGTCTATTACACATGCCCTTCAAATAGTATTCTAGTCAGATTTCTTTCCAATTATCAGTGCTTCTGCATTATCTATAATCTGGGATGTTTATTTTTACTTCAAGAATCTCTCATAAAGACTGGATACCAGAAACCTTCCAAATTGTGATTTCTCCTGTTCTGCCCCTGAAACTTCATTATTTAATGTTCCCGGTAATAATAATGGACACCCATTTCTGGATTAAAGTACGTGCCTTTTCAAATGATGCATCGTGGAAAGGTTATTATTAATAAAGGTAGCATTAAAACACCACAAATAACTCTGTAACCTTGCTTGGGCTCAATAAATTCCCTGCAGAAAATTTTATTTCCAGCAAACCCTTAAAATTTAGCTCGCTTTTAATATACTGTGACCTTCAGTGGCCCTTATCATTCATTATATACGAGTGACCTTTCCAAAGTTGAGAAGGATAGTTGCAACAGCTTTTGGATATTAAAACCTATAAGAGGTAGGTATGGTTTTCGTTCATTCCTACTGATAATTAATTCATGTACTTTAAAGACATAGCGTTATTCCTTTTATGACACAGGTGGTGATGGTTTCATAAGGGCATGGAATATAAATGGTTATCTTGGCTAAAGTGGGTTTCTGTCCTTTTTAGATGCTGAGTTCTAGCTATAGCATGACTCAGACTGGGGTTTCCCTTGGAAGGAGCAATGTCAAGCTGTTGGAGACTTGATCATCATTTTGATGATCATCCTTGTGCCATTTTGACGATCGACCCCTTACATCTTCTAACAGCTTTTTTTTTTTTTTTTTTTTTCCTTTTTTGAGACAGTCTCACTCTGTCGCCCAGGCTGGAGTGCAATGGCATGATCTCAGCTCACTGCAACCTCGGCTTTCTGGGGTTCAAGTGATTCTCCTGCCTCAGCCTCCCAAGTAGCTGGGATTACAGGTGCCCACCACCATGCCTGGCTAATTTTTGTATTTTTAGTAGAGATGGGGTTTCACCATATTGGTCAGGCTGGTCTCAAACTCCTGACTTCGGGTGATCCACCCACCTCAGTCTCCTTTAAAAAAAAAATTCTTTATTAAATAAAACTTAAAGCATATTTAAAAGTAGAGAGAATAGCCTGAAGAATCACCTTCTTTGAATCACCCAGATTAAATAATTATCAAGGTATTGCTAATCTTACTTTACATATGCCCTGGCCACTCTCCCTCTCTAGTCTCATGCTACTAGTCTTAAGCAAATACCAGATATCATATCATTGTTTTCTTAAATATTTCAGGTTGCATCTCTAAAGGATAAGAAGGTTTTTTTCCTAACACCTGTAATATCTACTAACAATTAACAGTGATTTTATGAATCTCACCACTATTAAATAGTGGTTTAATTTTCCAATTTTTTCAAAAATGTCATTGTTTTCTTATTTCCAATTCTAAAAATAGTCTTTATTTTTTTACAGCAGTTTCAGGTTCAGAGCAAAATTGAGCAGAAGGCACTGAGAATTTGCATTTCCCCTTGCCCCACATTTGCATAGCTTCCTCCTTTAGGAACACCCTTCCCAGTGGTACACTTCCTATGATTGATTTTATGATAGTTTGTTTATTTGAAACAGGATCCAAATAAAGGCAGTACACTGTGATTGATTGATATATCTTTAAAAGGCCATTTTACTCTGTTAAAAAAAAGCTTAAAACGTTTTTTTTTTTTTTTGAGAGTGGAAGTCTTGCTCTGTCGTTCAGGCTGGGGTACAGCGGCGTGATCTCAAAGGCTCACTGCAGCCTCTGACTCCTGGATTCAAGCAATTCTCCTCCCTCAGCTTCCTGAGTAGCTGGAACTGCAGGTGTATGCCACGACGCCTGACTAATTTTTGTACTTTTTAATAGAGATGGGGTTTCACCATAATGGCCAGGCTGGTTTCAAACTCCTGACCTCAAGTGATCTGCCCACCTTGGCCTTCCAAAGTGCTGGGATTACAGCTGTGAGCCACCGTACCCAGCCTGTATTAAGCATCTTTTAATCAGTCTTTCTCCCATATTTTTGTGTGTTTGTTTTAACATTTTTCTTTGTGGTGATTGTTGACCTTGTTGAAGAAAACAGATTGTTTGTCCTGCAGTATTTCTCACAGTCTGGTGTTTGCTGATTGCATCCCTGTGGTGTGATTTCACATGTTCCTGTGTCCTTTGTATTCTTTTAAATTAGTCTAGGTCAGATGCAAGTTCCATTTCTTTGGTCATTTCTTCTTCCAAGAAGAGGTACATTGATCGATTGTCTCCCTTTTTGTGGTGCTATTTAATCTCCATGGGCTAGGTATTATTAGCTTTATTCTACATGTGATGAAGCATCCATTGACCATGGATGCTCAATGCATTTTTCAGGGGTTGCAATTTAGTGACACTGTAATTTTACCCTTCCTTCTTCATGGAGTTACCGGAGTACTTCTTAAAGAGAAATTTCCCAGTCTACTATTAGGATAGTCAGGGGGTATAGTTTATACAGGAAATACAGGAAAAATGCTTGATTTTCTCTTTGTGATTTCAAATATATGAGCTTGTTTATTTGCATACTCTAGTGACTGGAATTTTTGGTTTTACTACAAATGCAGGGATGGAAGTTATTATCTTTGTTGATGCTCAGATTATTCAATCATCAACCGGTGAGAGCTTCCTCCTTCCTCAAGTTTCTGCAGAAGTCATTTTGACATGACTCTGCTTGTCTTTGGTGGCTTTCTTACTATCTAGTATGACTTGATATTCTAGATTCATCTTGTATATTTGCTACCCCACACCTGAAATAATCCATTTCCCCGAGGAGATCTGTTAGGTTGGTACAAAAGTAATTGCAGTTTTTTCCCATTAAAAGTGGTGACAAAACTGCAATTACTTTTGCAGTAATCTAATAGTTCCTAAGGGTATTTCAGGATCATAACCTGGGTACTAGAGGTGTCCCATGAATCTTAAAAGAGTCTTATCATCTGTTCCCCCAAAAACCACCTCCTCCAGTTACCATCATCTTGATAATCGGCCTCTCCATCCATCCTGGTACTCAGGCAAGAGAGTTCAGAGTTTTCTTTCTTTCCTTTTTTTTGAGACAGAGTCTTGCTCTGTTGCCCAGGCTGGAGTACAGCAGCATGATATTGGCTTACTGCAACCTCTGCCTCCTGGGTTCAAGCGATTCTCATGCCTCCACCTTACAAGTAGCTGGAATTACAGGTGCCTTCCACCACACCCAGGTAATTTTTGTATTTTTTAGTAGAGGCGGGGTTTCGCCATGTTGGCCAGGTTGGTCTTGAACTCCTGACCTCAAGTGATCTAGGTCTCCCAAAGTGCTGAGTCTCTGTCACCCAGACTGCTGGGGTGCAATGGCACAATCTTGGCTCATGGCAACCTCTGCCTCTCAGGTTCAAGCAATGTTCCTGCCTCAGCCTCCCAAGTAGCTGAGATTACAGGCTCCTGCCACCATGCCCAGCTAATTTTTGTACTTTTAGTAGAGACAGGGTTTCATCATATTAGTCAGGCTGATCTTGAACCCCTGACCTCAGGTGATCCACCCACCCTGGCCTCCCAAACTGCTGGGATTACAGGCATGAGCCACCATACCTAACCAGCAAGTTTTCTTTTATTTATCTTTCTTCCTTCCAGTCCATCCTTTGATTTTTCTTTCCAGTTCCACTGCCAGAGTCAGAGCCCTACACTCCCTCACCTGGACCGACAAGTTTGACGCCTAATAAAATGGACTTCTAGTCTTGCTCTCTCTAGTCCAGTCCCCATCATGCCAAACAAGCCTGTTTTATGAAAAACAAAACAGAACAGGAAAGCAAAATAAAACCAAAACTGGTCCTGCCATGCCCTTGTTCAGAAATGTTCTGTGGCTTTCTGCTCCCTAGAGAACAATTCAACGCTGCTCCGGTTCTTGGTGTCCCTCCGTTTCCAGTCCCATAACCTGCTTCTTCCTTCCATTTCCTTCATAGTAGGGATTTATCCCTAACTCTTCTTACTTCGTTCCTGCTGCTCCCATGCCTGATGTCCCTGTATTCCTCTTCCCCCATTTTGCCCAAGGTCACGCAGAAATTTATGCCAAGGCTCTCTTCAGATGATTCTTTTTTGTGATGACTTCCACTGACCTTGGCCAGAACTGCTTATTCCCTTGATTTTATTTCTTTAACGCACAGTTTGCTTAGTCAACCTCTATACGCCTTGGTATCCTAATCTGTAAAGTGGGGAACATAATTATAATAATGCCTAGGCCGGGCGCGGTGGCTCACACCTGTAATCCCAGCACTTTGGGAGGCCGAGGCGGGCGGATCACGAGGTCAGGAGATCGACACCATCCTGGCTAACTTGGTGAAACTCTGTCTCTACTAAAAATACAAAAAATTAGACTGGCGCGGTGGCGGGCGCCTGTAGTCCCAGCTACTCGGGAGGCTGAGGCAGGAGAATGGCGTGAACCCGGGAGGCGGAGCTTGCAGTGAGCCGAGATCGCGCCACTGCACTCCAGCCTGGGAGACAGAGCGAGACTCCGTCTCAAAAAATAAATAAAATAAAATATAATAATAATAATAATAATAATAATAATAATATTAATGCCTATGGCCTGGGGTTGTGCAGGTATTAGATGAGATCGCTCAAGTAAAATCCCTAGGAGTAGGGTTGGGCTCCTTTGTGAGCTCTTCATAAATATTAGTTCATCATCTTACTGTTGTTAGCAGTAATAATGTTTGCAGTGGTAACATTTCTTTACATCTCTATTAATATCACCACATCTCAGTAATTTTACCTGGATCTTGCATTTTCTTTAAATTGGGAAGTTTTTCAGGGGAAGGGTCTCATCTTAGCAATTCTTCCTTTTAACACTTGGGGCTGAGCGGTACCTTACACACAGTGAGGCCTCCGCTATTATTTGCAAATTTTTGTGCCATGGATGTAGCAGAAATTATCCGAGGGCTCCTGATGTAACTCCTGCCCCCAATCTTGCATCTTAGCTGGAAACAATAAATAACGGAATAATATTGTCTGGTACCAAAGGGTGTCCCAGAGCAGGAATTGCGCAGAGAGCTTGATGAAGCAGAAAGAAGGAAGAGTGGCTAACACAATTAGTGAGTGTCTGGCCCTGAAGAATGGATTGTATTGGACAGAGGGGAGAAAGGGGATTGTTCTAGGAGGAGAGAGAGTGATAAGGTAAGTATAGAAGTAAGAGGCAGCTGTCACTGCAGTGGCTGAATGTAAACAAAGAAAATCATTTAGTTGAATATTAGTGAGTCAAATCAAGAAAATTCCCATGTAATATAACAAGTTTTAGGAAATGACTATTAGTCACAGTTTTATCTAATGGGGAAAAATACTGTGTTGCGTAAATAGTCATAATCACCACTATTCCAGATAAAGTTAAATAAATAAAACATTTTTCTGCTTGTAATCTTTCCCTACGTACATAAGAGATCTTCAGGTCTTAAATGGCATTTCCAGTGTCTTAGTCTGTGCCTCACTTGTACAATCTTAATGGGACCCCCTTAGGCTGGGCACAGTGGCCTGCCCCATACCTATAATTCTAGCACTTTGGGAGGCTGAGGCAGGAGGATCGCTTGAGCACAGGAGTTCAAGACCAGCCTGGCCAACATGGTGAAACCCTGTCTCTGCAAAAAGTGCACAAAAATTAAGCATGGTGGCATGTACCTGTAGTTCCAGCTACTCAGGAGGCTCAGGTGGGAGGATCGCTTGAGCCCAGGAGGTTGAGGTTACAGTGTTGGTGCCACTGTACTCCAGCCTGCGCAACAGAATGAGACCCTGTTTCAAAAAAGAAAAAAAGAAATTAAATTTAAAGAAAGAAATAAATGGCACCCCTTGAGTGATGGCTGTAATTGAGGAAACTGTCAGTTTGAAGCAGTGGAGGAAGCTAAAGTTATAGTATCTTTCCTAATAGGGTAAATTTTTGTTTCATATTTTATTTCATCCTGCTCTGCTTATTAGG
Source organism: Homo sapiens (assembly GCF_000001405.40). Lineage (NCBI taxonomy): Eukaryota > Metazoa > Chordata > Mammalia > Primates > Hominidae > Homo > Homo sapiens. The sequence goes on from NC_000016.10 coordinate 6,054,226, forward strand.
AAACATAATATAATATGTTTTTTTGGGGAGGCAGGGAAGAATTATAATAATTATGGATAATATTTCAATTTATGTAAATAATAGTTCAACATAAATAATATATAAGTAATATTCTAATTCTGTAATTACAGCAGTGGGTGGTATGTTTTGAGGTTTTATTAAGTATCAACCATTGATTTAAACACATTTTGTTGAATCCCCTAAGATCTCCAGCGTCAGGTTTCCTGTCTTTCCCACTTGACAGACTAACTCCGGCTTTGAGAGTAAATGCGAAGTATATCAGGTCAAATTAAGTCTCAGGTGAGATCTGTCTCCTGAAAGATAAACACTGGGTTGACACCCTGACCATGATTCATATTGGGTCTATGGAGGTGCAAACTGGAGAAAAAAATCATGAGTTTCTTCTTGTTGTCGTTGGTTTAGAATAAGTCACTGTAATGAAAATCCTTCTTCAAATTTTGTGTTTCTGTATGCTGTTGAAGGGAAACTCACAGATTTGCACACATCTTCACATAAGATTCATCGGTGGATGTTATGCTATATTGGCTACTTTTTTTATTATTATTATTATTTTTGAGACAGAGTCTCACTCTGTTACCTGGGCTGGAGTGCAGTGACACAATCTTGGTTCACTGCAACCTCTGCCTCTTGGGTTCAAGTGATTCTCCTGCCTCAGCCTCCCAAGTAGCTGGGACTGCAGGTGTGTGCCACTATGCTTGGCTAATTTTTTGTATTTTTAGTAGAGACGGGGTTTCACCATGTTGGCCAGGATTGTCTTGATTTAATTTTTAGTAAATATTGTCAGGTGTCCAATGCAGAATCATGTCATGTGAGGCTGTTCCTTTGCAGGGGACTTCATGTGAGGGTAGAGTGTTTCTTGTGGCATCTTTTTTGGGATGCAAAACTTATCCTACAGGTCATTTATAGTATTTTGGAATGAGTAAAGGCTTTTTGCTGTCCAACGGAATTATTAAAAAGCACTTATTATCTTTCTCATTAAACGAGTCATCTGTTCTTCTTTCAATGCACTTGTGTCAAGTGAGTATGACATGCAAGGATTTGGAGATACAGAAGTGAACAGGCATTGCTGGGCGCGGTGGCTCACACTTATAATCCCAGCAGTTTTCAAGGCTGAGGAGGGAAGATCACTTGAGGTCAGGAGTTCTAGACCCGCCTGGCCAATATGGTGAGACCCCATCTCTACTAAAAATACAAAAATTAGCGAGGTGTTGTGGTGCGTGCCTTTAATCCCAGCTATTCGGGAGGCTGAGGCAGGAGAATGGCATGAACCCAGGAGGCATTGGTTGCAGTGAGCCAAGATCGCACCACTGCACTCCAGCTTGGGCAACAGAGTGAGACTCCGTCAAAAAAAAAAAAAAAAAAAAAAAAGGACGACGAATTGGACAGGCACAGTTCCTACTCTCATGGAAGTTTGCAGTCTGAGAAGCGAGACAAAAAAAAGTGAAATCATTGCGATAAGGAAGTGTGAAGACTTCAGAAGGAGCGATCACCCAGCACAAAGCTGGAGCAAGGGAATGACCAAAGTAAGATGAGTACAGTAAAATAAATCTAATTTTAGTTTATTATAGAACACTTGGCAAACACAGAAAAGTACAAGGATGCAAATTCCTCAGAATCCCATGGTTACAGTCACCTTGAGCATTTTACTGGATGTTTGATTTTACTAATCCCCTCTTGATGAGCACTTAGGTTATTTCTTTCCTAATATATGAAATATCTCCTAATTTTGAAAATGTTTCCTCTGTCTACTATGTGATAGAATTTGTTTCATTTCTTTGCACTCAATGAGGGTTCTTGGGGTGGGATAGAGGGGCAAAGTGGGTAGTTTGGGTGGAGCTAAACAAATCTAAGTGATGCCAGTATAAACGGCGGGAAAATATCTGTCCATAGCTGCTTGTCATTTTTGTGTCAGCTCCCCAAGGTGTTTGTCAGTGTCTCTAATCTCCTTACACTGTGGTCTCGCCTGAGGATTTGCATATTATGGACAAAGTGAATGTGGGGGAGTGTAGGGATAAAGCAAGGAAATTTGACATTTAGCTGTCAACGATATTGTCTTTCAAGTGAGGTTTTGGAATCTGGTAAGCAAAAGATTCTAATGAGTTTGAATGAACTGATGAGTGTAATACCTGTTTTCCTTTCTCTTTTCCTCGATCTCTCATTCTGTCTCCTCCCTTTCTTCCCCTACCCCTTTTCTCTTTCTGCTTTACCCATTTGTGTTTGAATACTGGATCTTTATCAAGGTCACATTCATATATCTCAAGCAAGGGAAAATAAAAACCTTGTAATTTATTTATGCATGTAATTGCCTGGCCTCATTCCTTTTTTATTTCTCCTCTGCTTACTTCCTAATTCCTGGTGGGTCTATAGCTGTTACCAGGAGAGGAGACTGGCGTGGTCGCTGACCAAATCAATGAAGATACTCCTTTAGAGACAAAGTTTACAGTTCTTAGTTGTGATAAGCATTATGAAAATCTAAATGAAATTGTCTAGGAGAGGTACATTATGAAATCACACTCCCTTTTGAGTGTTAATATGGATCAACAGTGATAAATATTTGAGACACTGGTTGACTGGACATGTGATGAAGACTTAAGACTTTTTTTTTTTTTTCTTTTTTACTCTGGAAGTGAGCTGCATACAGAAAGAACAAAGACGGAGTGCAGATTAATAACCAAAGTCCTGATGTGGCAATTGATTAAACTCTCTTTTTATGATACCTTTCCTCTAGAGTGAAAAGTGAGTTTGTGTTCGTGAATGCCCTGGTGACAAGAGTCTCTTTTTCCCCGAAGAAAGAGATTCACGTATGGCTGAAATTTCCCGGAGAACACAGGAGGGGGGGGAATATTGCAATAAATCAAGTGAGTTTTTGTGATCCCTATAAGCAAAAACATACTTCAGTTATGATGGATTGTGTTAGAGAGTAAATTAGATTGCATGGAGGCTAAGTACTAATGTTGATATTTACAGTGCTTAAATATATTGTCTGCCTCCTCTAAATGCAGCTCATTCATTGGCTTTATGTTGTGGAGGAAATATCAGAATAATGACCTGGGTTTTTTTTTTCTGTCTTTATAGTTTAATATCATGCAACTGTTTATTAATAAGCTCCAAACCCCAAAGGATCCTTCTAATCCTATTCTAATATCAGACTAAATTTAATAAGATGCATTCTTCTCCCCACTGCTTATGCCTCATTCATTCATTTATTCAACCAATATTTATTGAGGGCTTCCCAAAGTGACAGGCCTGGGTTAGGCTTTGGGAATACAATGTTGAAACACGACAGGCTTGGTCTCTGCCAACAAATGGGGACAGACCAAAAGGGAAAAAGAAAAAAAAAGACCAAAGACACTGAGCCAAGAATGCCGCCAGGCGTTTAAGGATGTATATTGTTTCTCTAATGTAATGACTTCGAGATTTTTGGGAGAGATGAGAGTTTAGAATGCTTGAAGATGTTGGTGTCCTTGGAGTGCAAGGATTATCTCCTGGGATAATGGAGGGGAAATTTCTTGCAATTTTCTCATTTTGCCAAGCCCCCACCCCTGGCACTGTTGAAATTTTATGAGGGTTTGCTATGGGTTTTTTTTTTTTTTTTTTTTTTTGAGGCAAACATAACTTTGTTCAGGTTACCAGAAGTAGGCAACCGCTCAGTTGAATTCCAGATTCAGGACAAGATGTCTTGCTGATGGTGAGGTCAAAGATGAGGGGAAATCTTCAGAGAGAAAGCAAGCCTGAAGGCTGCACTTCAGACAAAGGCCTGACCCGGGTTCTTCACACTTGAAAGGATGGCAGAGTTCAAAGGAGGCAGTGCCAAAGGAGCAAACGCAGACACACGGGAAGGCTTGTGAAAAGGGTTTTTATTTGAAGTAGAGTTTTTGAGCACGTGATGGGGTCGGGGGTGGAATGGAGAAATGCAAGTAACATGCTTCTTTATCACAGAAATTCTCATCAAAGTCATTTCCTATCAGAAATATGAGTGTTTATTGGTTTTCATTAATCCCTGCCCCTATTCTCTTTCTAGCCTTCCTTTCCTCCTTCTTTCCCTGCCTTCCTCCCTCCTCTTCTTCCTCCCTCCTCTCCTTCCTCCCTCCTCTCCTTCCTCCCTCTCCTTCTCAGATGTGAATGTGTTAAAGATCCAACCTTTGCTAACTTCTTGCACTGGCCTAGAACCATCTTTTAGACCGTGTCATTGTTTATGCTGGTTTAGATCTTTAAAGATACATCTTTATAAAAAGTTATAACATTCTTGATGACATCGAAGCATTTCCAGAAAATATCGAGATCCGTCTTATATATCTGTTTATTCATCCATGCATCCACCATCCATGTATTCATCCATCTATCTACCCACCCATCCACCCATCCATCCACCCATCCATCTACCCACCCATCCACCCATCCATCCACCCATCCATCCATCCACCCACCATCCACCAATCCATTCACTCATCCATACATTCACCCACCCATCCACCCACCCATCCACCAATCCATCCACCTATCCATTCACTCATCCATTCATTCACCCACCCACCCACCAACTAATTATTTACCCATCCATCCACCCACTTACCCACTCATTTATTTATCCATCCATCCATCCATCCATCCATCCATCCATCCATCCATCCATCCAGCTATCATGTATACAGTAATTAAAACAGCACCATTTTGCAGAGTTGCTTCACTCTAGCTTTCTTTTCTGTGAATCTGGAACAACTAACTCAGACTCTGTAGCTGGAAAACCAAGAAAAATGAATGTGAAAGAATGCCACATCTTTGCAAAAGCAAACACCACCACATGCACTACTATTAATAGACTGCTTTCTCTTTTCATATTCTTCCTGTGACAGTCATAATTTGCATATATAGGGTTAGGTTTGGCAGAAAGGAAGGTAGAAGAGGTGAATAATTCATCTGGACTTGGAGTAAAGGTTTTAATTTTCTCTTGAATTCAAGATGTCTTTTGGAAATGAAGGTGGCTCTGAAGGAAGATCAAAACAAAAGGTGAGCAATTCTGATTTCTTCCCTAAGCAGTGGCCATTATAAAAATAAATTAAACCTGGAGAACTGAACAGGAGTGCGTGGTATCTCTTGTGCAAGAGACTAGAATAGGGTGATTTATATAGAGATGACCTAATCAAAATCTCTTTAATATTATTGCACGCAATATAAACATTTATATAATAATTTATACTAAAGAAAATACATATAACATGTATCTCATATTTTGTTTCACTTTAACCTTCTATTTACTCTGTATATTTAAATGTATTTTTAAGTGAAAATTAGTGTTTTAAAGGGAACTATTCAAAGTTCATTTTCGTCTATAGGGAGGAATGCATGTGTTTAAATGGGTTCTCTGAGTAAATATATTTTTGACACTTGAGGTTATTCAAACTGAGCATCTCTCAGTTTTAGGTCTTAAGTTTCTTCCTTCTTCTATATACTTTGTTTTACTTTTAGAAGCTGAAACAGGGCCTCTACCATCTGTTTATCTATTTCAGCCAAATTCACCATTCAGATAATGTACATTTCACAACTGAAGCCCACTCAGAGATCAATTTTCACCACTTAAAGAGCATTTAGCCATGATTCCAGGAATAGAAAATGTATCCTGAGACCCATAATGACTTGATGAGAGAATAAAGGATCATTTGTTATGCAGCAAGTATAAAATTATAACAACATCCCCCTATGTTTACAGATGAAGGACATTCTGGCTCAGGAAGTGGGGAGGATTCTCCAACTTTCTGACATAAATGATTGGATGCTGTTCTTTCCCACTCTGTTTGTTGTCTTGGAAACAAATATAGGATACATTGTTTAAAAAAATAGGTAACTGGCATCATTTGGCCCTAAAATTAGGATTAGGGTTTTTTTTTTTTTTTTTTTTTTTTTTTTTTTTTTTTACGTATAACAAGAATGGAGAAACATCTTGCTTACTAATTGGAAGGAATAAGTTTGTTGCTACAACGTACTGAGTTTTGGCTCTCAAATTCTCCTCTTCTTAGCCACAATTTGGCTCAGAGGATTTGCACCATTTGTTCATCTGTAAAATGGTGATAATAATAGCAGATACTGTCTAAGTCTTACAGTGAGATTTAAATGAGTTAATAGATATAAAACACTTACAGCAATGCCTAGCACACAGTAAATGTTCTAGAAGGGTTAGCTGTAATTTTTGGTTATTATACTCTTAGGAGAAGCTTCCTACAATAACCTTATGAGACCTGCTCTCCTTGTCATGCTTTTGGTTGACCTTTCACAGAGTGTATTTTCAGGTTCGACCTCTACGTCAGCAGTTCCATATACTTTGATGCTTGCTTCATGCTTTGCCTATGGTGTTGTAAACAGGAGTTCTCCACATGCATGTGTTGCTAAGCAACACAGAATCCTTTGGCTGCAAGTAACTTCAAACCACTCGTACTACCTTAAGACAACAAAATATCCTAGAAGGACTCAGAGCTGTTTCCCAGGATTCAGGGGCAGAGAGTTCAGTCATAGAACCCAAGAGGAGGAAGTTCACACAGTTACCCCAGAAGAACTGAAACCAGGAAGGGAACATCTACAGGAGCAGAGATTACACTGTTTTTCCAGGGCTGCCTGGGGTTGGTGTCTCCTTCTGTCTGTGCCATTACCTTCCTTTTCTCTCTGTAGATTTCTTTCCCACATATGGCACATGGACACACGGGGCTGCCCTGAACCCAGCCCTGCCTACTGCAGTGATTACAATCCATGCATTCATTTACAGTTACTGAGGACAGAACCTGGTTGGTCCAGCCCTGCCCACCACACTGATTACGACCCATGCATTCATTTACACTTACTGACAACAGAACCTGATTGGCCCAGGTCTTTTCAGAAGTCACCCCTAGTCCAATCTGCTGGACCAGAGGAGGGTCATGGTTGCTAACCCACCCGGCAGCAGATACAGGGGTGGATTCTATGAGAAGGACAGGGACCCACTATAGCAATTGATTAATAGATCTAGAAAGTAGTGTGCGAAGTTACCAAACATATATGCCCAAATAACTAAGCTATAATAAGCATGTTCATCACTTCAGAAGACACAACTACAACCAATGGGTGTAAGCGACAAGTGGTCAGATTTCAAGTCTCAAAGAATAAATATCTGAAAATAGATAATTTTCATTATATGTCTATATAATGTTTTGTTATATATCTATATTGTATATGTATAGTCATCATATATGTATACATCTATTTTCATTGTATAACATATAATGGTAATATAGTATATTGTTACAAATATCTGAAAATATATAATGTAATTATTAAATTATATGATTATACTATACACTATAGTATATGTGCTATATTTACTATAATAAAATTAAGTATAGAAAATGAAAATTATTTTCAGAAATTTATTCTTAACAATATAAATAAATCTCTATGGATAAATCTATGTACATAGATTTAAGATATACTATCATACATAGAAAAAAACAGTGTTTTCACTTTACACTCACACTCATATAGCACAGAATACTTCTGTGACCAGATGTGCAGGGTTTTCCCCATCAACAACCAGTTCTCCAGCAGATACCAATGGGGTGTCCTATAATTCAGTGCCATTCTGACATTATCTACCTGGAGATAGCATCAGATCCCACAGATTAAGGATTCTGCCGCCAAGACTGCCCCCACTTTGGACTCCAGTTGGAAGCCTCAGGTTGTGACCTGTGCTTCTGAAGGACTGGTTAGGATTCCCATGTCCCTTCCCTGGGTTTAAGTTGATCGAGTGGCTTATAGAACTCAGGAAAACACTGACGTGCGTTTACTGGTTTATTATAAAGGATATTACAATGGATAGAGATGAACAGCCAAACGAGATGCATGGGGCTGAGCATGTGGATAGGCGTGCAGAGCTTCCTTGCCGTCTCTGGGTGCATCACCTTCTAGGTAGCCCCACTAGTTAAGAAGCTCTCTGAACTGTCCTTTCAGGTTTTTATGGAGGCTTCATTAAATAGGTTTGATTGATTCCATCATTGGCCATTGGTGATCAACTCCATCTTTAGCCCCCCTGCCCTCTCAAGAGGTCAAGAGGTAGGACAGAAAATTCCTACCCTCTAACTAGAAGGTAGGTCCCCCTGGCAACCATCCCCCATCCTGAGGCTATCCAAGGGTCCCAGCCATCAGTCATCTCATTAACATACAAAAGATACCCTTATCACTTTGGAGATCCCAATGGTTTTAGAAGCTGTGCTCCAAGAACCAGGTTCAGCAACCACATACATATTTCTTATAAATCACAATATCAAATTATATATTTGTATCTATATATGTATATATAACATATATATCTATAGAGATTGTATATATGTATATATGTTACATAATATATAAATATATATAACATATACATATATACATATCTATATGTATCTATACATAGATATATATCTATATATGTATATATGTATCTATGCATATATAGTTACATTTATATCACTATCTCAAGACATGTATCTCTTTGACTATCACTGTGTGGAGATATTTACTCTTAGGAATTGTCTCATGTGCTTCTAGGGGCGGCAAATATGAAATTTGTAGGGCAGATTAGCAGGCTGGAAATTCAGATGAGAGTTGATGTTGTAGTCTTGAGTCTGAAATCTGTAGGCCAGCTGGCTGGAAACTCAGGCAGAATTTCTGTGTTACAGTCTTAAGGCACAATTCCTTCTCCAGAAAACCCATCTTTGCCCTGAAGAACTTCAATGGATTCAGTGAAGCCCACCCATATTTTTCAAGGTAATCTCCCTGACATACAGTCAGCTGTGATGATAGATGTCATTCACATCTGTAAAATACTTTCACAGAAACACGTAGATGAATGTTTGAGCAAACAACGGGACACCACCACCTAGACTAGTTAACACATACGCTGACCATCCCAGCATCCTTTATCATCTTGATGAGCTTGATCACTTTGGAGCAGCAAGAGGGAAAGAAAACTATCAAGGCAGAGGCTGCCATGATCACCACATGATATGCCAACTTGCTAAGACATTGAGTTTCAATTGAGTCTCCCAGGCCAGGCTACCTTCCTCATGATGAGGGGAACAGGGAAATCAATATGGGTTCATTAACACTTAATTTAGGTTTTCCAGTGTGGAGCATATCAGGAAGAGAAATGGCAGACATATTACTTGTCTCAAGCATTATCCATCATTAGCGTCTGTTCTCTTTCTCCGACACACACACACACACACACACACACACACACACACACACACCCCCTTATATTTTTCCCCTAGTACCTTCCTCACTGATCATATTGTTCTGTTAACACCCACCACCAAAACTACATCCTGGGTCCTCTCCACACTGCAGCTCTCAAGACGATCGTTTACTCTATTATCAAGCTTACCATTTATTTTATTTTCAGGCGGTTGTATTCATTATAATGCCATTAGCATGAGAAGTGGGGTCCTGTCACCAGGGCAACCAGGAGCACAGAGTGCACATTCCCTCCTTAGCTGATGTCTTGTTCCCTCTTGGGTGGACTCCAACTGTGTCTTTGATTCATTCCATTAGGTGGTCACTGGGATGTAGATGCTTGACAGCCTCCTTGTCCTTAAGTTGTCTGTCTTTATATCCTTTACTGGCCAAGATTTCTCTCTCCAGAATTCATTAATTTATTACCTTTTATTTCTGTAAGCATAACACATATAATATTTCCAAGCATATTTAACCACATGATTATATCTTTACAATTCCTATAACCTCTAACCCTCTAATGTATTATTTTATATTACATATCTTGGTGCATTTCCCTATATATTGTACATATTGTATGCGAGTATGATACATTCCCCTTTTGGTCAGTACTACCAATTAATAACAAGCTCCTTACTACTGAAGGTATTTCAGCTACATGATCATCTGTCTAGGATATTATAGAGCCTATTCTTGCATTATGAAAGGGGTTGAAAGAGATGACCTATACGTTCTTTAAAAATCTGAAGCCCTAGGTTTATTCCATATCTATAACTGTCCTCCATGAATATAATTTTAGCTACAGTGGATCTCTCTAAATGAAGACATCTGGAGCATTCCAAATGCAAGCATGAGTGCAAAATGTCTGCTTGTAGTTTTCTATAACATCCTTCCTACCTCCACAAAATTACTTAGAATTTGTGAATAATTTCATTAAATTTATCTTTGGGGGGATACTTGATTAAGTAGTACTCCAAGTGGGCAATGTAGTAAGCAAATCCATTCCCACATTTTCTTTTCACATAGGCAGAATACATACAATTTTCTTTTTTTTATTATTATTATTTTTTTAGACGGAGTGTCGCTCTGTCACCAGGCTGGAGTGCAGTGGTGCGATCTCGGCTCACTGCAACCTCCGCCTCCCGGGTTCCAGTGATTCTCCTGCCTCAGCCTCCCAAGTAGCTGAGACTACAGGTGCATGCCACCACACCCAGCTAATTTTTTGTATCTTTAGTAGAGACGGGGTTTCACCATATTAGCCAGGATGTATACACACAATTTTCAGAAGGTCTTTTGTGTGTATGCTTTTGAATAATATGCCCCTGGATCTTGCCCCTCCATCAATGATTTCCAAACCTGACATTGTATTTGAATTGCACACACACACTAACTTGGATGTAGAAACATTTCAGATCTCAAGACATGGAGAATCCGAATCAACAGGTCTTGAGTAAGACCCAGTATCTGTAATTAAAAATTAAAAAAAAAACCTCCCTACGTGACTGTTTTTCTATATATTTCTTTTCTTTCTTTCTTTCTTTTTTTTTCTTTTTCTTGAGACAGGGTCTTGTTCTGTCACCCAGGCTAGAGTATAATGGTGTGATCCTGGCTTACTGCAGCCTTGACCTCCCGGGCTCAAGTGATCCTCCCACCTCATCCCCCAGAGTGGCTGAGACTACAGGTGTGTGCCACCATCACCGGCTAATTTTTTTTTTTTTTTTTTTCTGTAGAGACAGGATCTTGCTGTGTTGCCACGGCTGGTCTCAAACTCCTGGTCTCAAGCAATCCTCCCATCTTGGCCTCCCAAAGTGCTGGGATTACAGGTGTGAACCACCGCACGCGGCCCTATGATTCTTATGGATGCCTAGGAACACTGGGGATGTCTGTTTTCATACAGCTGGTGGTCACAGTTTCAGTGCTATTGTGTGTTCTTAGGTGGTTTGCTTTTCTTGCTGGCTTTCTTCATGGTCATAGATCATTTCAAAGCCTCTGATATATCATTGCGGTTTCCACTCAGTCCTCTGTCTGTTTCATTCCTAATTAATTACTTTGACATGCCCGTAACCTGCTCAGAAATCACTGGGGGTTTCTTAGCAGATACAGAAACAAATCTTCATCCTTCAAACTGGATTTCACGAACCTCCAAAGTTTCATTTCTCCTCGTCTTTGAGATGTGATATAATGTGGTTAGAAGACCTGGCTTTGAATTCTGCCCCTTCCTCTGTAGACCTACTAAGTTCCAGACAGTGTCTCTGTATCATCTCATGTAATGCTTATAACAGCCTCATGGGATGAATATCCCCATTTTATAGATGAGAAAACAGAGGCTCACTTAGCTAAAATCACTTAAAGCCTCAGTAGTCCTTGGGGTCTGGATTTTGCCTCCGAGGACTAGGGTTGTCCTCATATGAAGTGATTGCCTGCCAGTGTCAACAGAAGGATTCCTAGTCTTGATAATTTGGAAAGTGCGCTAAGCATGAGATCTTGAGATATATTTCCGACTTCAACACTTTAATGGTAGTATTAAGAGGTATAATTGCTCATGCCTGTAATCCCAGCACTTTGGGAGGCCGAGGAGGGTGGATCATGAGGTTAGGAGATTGAGACCCTGCTGGCCAACACGGTGAAACCCCCTCTCTACTAAAAACACAAAAATTAGCTGGGTGTGGTGGCATGTGCCTGTAGTCCCAGCTACTTGGGAGGCTGTGGCAGGAGAATTGCTTGAACTGGGGGGGTTGGAGGTTGCAGTGATCCAAGATTGTGCCACTGCACTCCAGCCTGACTACAGAGCAAGACTCTGTCTCAAAAAAAAAAAAAAAAAAAAAAAAAAAGGCATAATTCAGACGTGGCAGTTGAGAGGGTAAATAGAAAGCACTAATTAAAAAAAAATCCAATTTCTAAGACTGCAGAGCATCAGCTATTATTGAAAATGTAGACATCAGAAGGGAAAAACCCTTTGTTCAGATACAGTGCTGCTAAGTTAGATGCAGCTGAGAAATGGGAATACATGCAGTAAGGTGGTTATGCAGTATTTTTCAACAGTAGTCCACGGTTGAGCATGGATGCCATTTAAATACATTATCTGGAAAAATGTACATAGAACTTACGATTTTTGACAGCAGGAACTCATTATGCCAGAATTTGGATTCTCAGGATAGCTGAGCAGAAAGGGCAGGTGGAAGTCTCCCGAAATAGATGAGTGTTTGGACAAAAATGGCAGCAGGTATACTGTGCCAAGCATTGGCCTTTGCCCAGGTGCCGGGTACGATGTCAAGGATGCAAGCTGAAGCTGGCCATATGGTTCTCAGAGTCTCTCTGCTCATTCTGCCCTCCACTCAGAGGTAGAGACATGGGCTTTTCTTTATTTGCAGCAGAAGGTAATTGCTTTAGACTTAACAGGCTGCATTTGACCGTTGACTCACCATTATGGTGTATTATGAAATGAAGCCTCAGCCTTGGTCTCCCAGAGTAGGGGGCGGGGGAGGGCGGCAGGGAGAAAGGGTGGTGCCTGAACTATCAACACGGCACAGTTTAAATGTCAGGCTCTGCAATTTACAAGTGATCTGAGATTCATGGGAAATGCAATGGAAAAGTCACTGCCGAGTCCCTCTCCCTCATGTTATAAGATTGAGTGTGTCATAAATTTTGTGCATTGCTAAGTTCATGGTGCTTCTGTAAGAAGACATTAAAAATAGAACTCCTTACGTCCTCGATTCTTACCTACAGGGCATGCAGGCCAAAAGTCTACACACAGAAGTTAAGCTGGTTTTTAATCCTGTTTTTCGTTCTGGGGCTGTACTCTTAAAAGCCAAACACTTTTTCAGAGACATTCTGTGCCCGATATAGCTTCATTTTGTTAATAGCAGAAGTGAATAGAGGCAAAAACAAACCAACCAAACAAACAAACAAACAAACAAACACCCTGAAAATACAAGCGAATGCCTGGATAGGAATTCAAAGTTTCATTGAAAATAAGATAGAAATAAATCACTAACCGTACTTGTCTTACCTGTGTGATGTGGATATTACATAACTTAATATTAGGTAGAATATCCAAACTATTTTGATGAAATATGTTGGGAGAGAGAGATTTTTTGTTTCATCAGAGAGAAGTTTTGCTTTTCCATGAAGGTACAGCCTCAGCTTCCCTAGAGAAATCTTTCTCCATAGAAGGAATTATCTGCAAAGGGTGGGTTGCTGAGGGCTAAATCCATTAAAACCAATTTGAGGAAGAGCTGTTACTTGCTGAGGATGGGAAAAAAATATATAAAAAGCTCATTACCTAGAGCAAAATGATTGCTTTAGGATTAAGAAATTGACAGTTACTGTTTAATTATACCAGCCCACTGAAAACTCACAGACTAAGCTTTCTAGACACTTAAGCATATGTGCATTTGTTATTGTAGCAATTGGGGTAAATTTATGATCATAAATGCCAATAACTTGAACAGTATCCAACTAGCCTTTGTGTGAATAGGTTTATTGTGTTCATTTTACAGGGAAAACACAGTCTTTCTATCAATATGACCAAGATTTCCTCGATTTTCTTTTATTCTCAGAGTTCTGTTTAATTGCCTGCAATCTTTTTGATATTAGGCTCTTCATTCATTTTTTTGTCCATTAGTAGTTTCACTAAGGAAACATGGTTCTGTAGGGATGCGAGGCTGTGTTTCTTATACGTCTGCTCCCCTTTGGGTCTGAGATCATACATACCTGGCTTGTGGTCCAGTGCAAGCTCCCTGGCAGCTTGGGAAATGCGTCTTCAGCAGACTTCAGCCTTACTTTGTTTTCAGGAATGTGGCAGGCCAGGTCGCACTAACACAGCCTTCTGTAACAACTGTCTCAGTGCTGACTGAGTAGTTAAGGTAAATATTAAAAGCTGAGAGAGCCAGTGCCTTTATACAAAGGCTGGAGTGTATCAAAAGCCTACCTAGAGTTGTGCCTAGGCCTTTCCTGGGCCTTGAAGCATGACAAAATAATGAAGGAATTCTTAATAGGAACCGTTTGGGGTTAAACAAGTTTTATTGGGGTTGTGAAGATACTCCCCAGGTATCCACAAACAAGTTTATTCGGGGTTTGAAGGGACTCCCCAAACCTCCATGATTTAGCAGGAGACAAGATAAGGATAATCATCCCAGCACCTGGACCCATTTAGATTAAGTAAATTTACTGAGGCTGCAGAGGAAGGTCTTCAGGACTCAGATCTTATAGATGAGAAGTTAATCACTTACGTCTTTAGAGGAATGCACACTTACAGGTAGACATATAGCTTAGAAGCTGTATAAGCTCTGGAAAACTTTCTAATTTTAAGTTGGTCTGGTGATATTTCCCAGGCCTTCTCCCTGTACCCGGTTACAGGAATAAACTCCCTTGTCTCCCAGTTCACCTGCATCTTATTTTGGGGCAGTGAGAATAAGCATTCCGACACTCAGTTTGGCCCGGGAACAGGAGGGCAAGACAGCTTTTCTTTTGTTTATTGCTTTGTTGCCTGCTACAAAGTAGGCGTTTAATAAACATATTTATAAAAAAAAGAATGAAGGAAGGGAGAAAGGAAGGGAAGGAGAGAAGGAAGAAAGGAAGCAGAAAGAGAGGAAGGAAGGAGCGAGGGAAGAGAAAAAGAAGGGAGAGGCCGGGCACGGCGGCTGACGCATGTAATCCCAGCACTTTGGGAGGCCGAGGCGGATGGATCACCTGAGGTCGGGAGTTGGAGACCAGCCTGACCAATATGGAGAAACCCCGTTTCTACCAAAAATACAAAATTAGCTGGGCGTAGGGGCACATACCTGTAATTCCAACTACTCGGGAGGCTGAGGCAGGAGAATCACTTGAACCTGGAAGGCGGAGGTTGCAGTGAGCCGAGATTGTGCCAGTGCACTCCAGCCTGGGCAACAAGAGCGAAACTCTGCCTCAAAAAAAAAAAAAAAAAAGGGAGGGGATAAAGGGGGAGAGGGAGAGAAGAACCACCCTACTAAGTTGAAGAAAGCTGAGTCCTGCCTTCCCCATGTCATGCCAACAGATTGTGTCTCTTAAAAGAGATAAACAAGATTAATTTTGGCATTCTTTATTCAAAAGGACCTTTAGACTCTTCTTTCTGGAGAATTTCAAGGTCATATAAACCTTCCGCAAACTTAGTTATTTTAGGAAGTAACAGAACATTTCACTGCAATAATGAAGTGGTTATAATCTTACATTAAGTAACTAAGTAGAAGAAAATTGGCTGGGTGAGGTGGCTCGCACCTGTAATCCCAACACTTTGGGAGGCTGAGGTGGGCAGATCACTTGAGTTCAGGAGTTTGAGACCAGCCTGGCCAACATGGTGAAACCCCATCTCTACTAAAAATGCAATAATTAGGCGAGTGTAGTGGTGCATGCCTGTAATCCCAGCTATTCGGGAGGCTGAGGCAGGAGAATCACTTGAACCCAGGAGGCAGAAATTGCAGTGAGCCGAGATCCAACCGCTGCACTCCAGCCTGGGTGACAGAGGGAGATTCTGTCTCAACAAATAAACAATCCCCCCAAAACCAAACAAAAAGTAACTAAGTAGAGTAAAATCTACTTTCATAATTCAAATTCCATAGAATGGTTTTGTTTTTCTTTAAATTCTATTGTTTTAGAAAACTATACATTTTTTAAAGTGTGATTTGACTAGTAATAATATGAGAACTTTGTACAACTAAACTTTTCAGAAACAAAGCTGTTGTACAAAGATATGCCATCATCCCTGGGGAGATTTTGAGTAAATATTCTGTATGTGGCTCCCCCAAAGTATCTAAATTCATCCTAAAAATAATTTCAGGGAAGACGTCATGGGAGTTAATAATTAGGGTTGTTATTAGCTCTTAGCGTTGAGCATTTTAAAAATCCAGTGAGTGCCTGCATTATTTCATACACTTCAGATTATCTGCCTTTTGCAAACACAGCTGAATGTAGTTCATCAAATTTGGGTATTTATAAAGATAAGCATAGCCCAAACTTTCGTGGTTGCTAGGGCACACTCAAATATCCCATTTCAATGAAGTCTGACAAGAAGTCACTCTTGTTTTTAGATTAGCTCTGGTCACAGAAAGTAACACAGAATGATACAAAACAGCCCGAAGAAGCAGCTGGCTATGGAGAGGCAAATTCATAGGTGCCTTTTTTTCCTTGTTAAACTGAGTAATCAAAGTTTAGCTTTTCTAAAAAAAAAATTCCTGGAAACATTTGCTCATATGCTGTATAACACAATTTTGACCCTTTATCATTGCAATTCATAATAAATGTATTTTTTGTCCTCTAGTTTCCCCAAGAAGTTAGCTCCTAGGTAATAAAATTATACACACACACGCTCGCCCCCCCCACACACACATTTGCACTAAACTTCTTTACAAAGAATCATTTGACAGTAGCCGTATAATTTAATGTTTTTCATCTAATGCTCAGAATGAAGCACAATATCAAATTATTTTTGAGGTTTTCATCTTGTTCCTCTGATTTTGATTAGTGAGCATTTTCTATACCCTAGTCACTAAATTGAAAGGGATCACCAAATTTTATACATGCTAAATGGAAATTGGCTGGGTGCGGTGGTTCATGCCTGTAACCCCAGCACTTTGGGAGGCTGAGGCTGGCAGATTGCCTGAGCACAGGAGTTTTCTACCAGCCTGGGTAACATGGTGAAACCTCATCTCTACAAAAATACAAAAATTAGCGGGACGTGTGGCACATGCCTGTAGGACCAGCTGCTTGGGAGGCTGAGATGGGAGGATCGTTTGAGCCCAGGAGGTTGAGGCTGTACTGAGCTGAGATTGCACCATTGCACTCCAGCCTGGATGACAGAGTGAGACCCTGTCTCCAAAACCAACAGGAAACAAACAAAGAAACGGTAATGTAACCTTGACATGTAAAGGGCAGAAAAGAATTTTTACAAAAGATATTTTATTTTAAATAAAAATGGGTACTAGGTCGAATACTTGGGTGACAAGATAATCTGTACAACAAACCCCAATAACATGAGTTTACCGATATAACAAACCTGCATGTGTAGTCCTGAACTTAAAAAAACTGTTTTAAAAATTAATGCTTCATTTGGTAAATCAACCAAGATAGCTGCAAATTAGTCTAGAGTGAAAAATTGATAAACTTAAAAATCGATTAACACATTTTAAGGGCATAATATGATATTGTTGACTATAAGCACTACGTTGTACAGTAGATCTCTAGAACTAATTCATTTCACACAGTGTAACTTCAAGCTAATTGAACAACCACCGATTGTCCCCTCCCCGTGGCTCCTGGTTACCACCATTCTCCCCTCAGCTTCTATGAGCTTGTCTATTGCAGACACTTTGTATAAGTAGAATCATGCAATGTTTATCCTTCTGTGACTGGCTTATTTCACTAGAATAATGTCCTCCAGGTTCATAAATGTACAAATGTCAGGATTTCCTTCTTCTTTAAGGCTGAATAATATTCCATTGTATGTATACACGACATTTTCTTCATTCATTTGTTTTAGTCAGTTCTCACATTGCTAATAAAGACATACCCAAGACTGGGTAACTTACAAAGGAAAAGAGGTTTATAGACTCACAGCTCCACAGGGCTGGGGAGACCTCACAATCATGGCTGAAGGTGAAGGAGGAGCACAGGCACATCTTACATGGCTGCAGGCAAGAGAGCTTGTTCAGGGGAACTGCCCTTTATAACATCATCATCTCATGAGTCTTATTCACTATCAGAGAACAGCATGGGGTAAAACCCACCCCCCCATGATCCAATTACCTCCCACTGCGTCCCTCCCAATACATGTGGGCATAATGGGAGCTCCAATTTAAGGTGAAATTTAGGTGGGGACACAGCCAAACCATATCACTGTTCATCTGTCATTGGACACTTAGGTGGCTTCCATATTTTGGCTATTGTGCTTAATGCTGCAAAAAAACATAGGAGTGCAGATATTTCTTTGCTATCATGACTTCATTTCTTTGTATATGTACCCAGAAGTCGGATTGCTGGATCACCTGGTAATCACATTTTTAAATTTTTTTTTGAGAAACATTTATACTCTTTTTCCATAGTGGCTACATATCTACATTCTATTCAGCAATGGCAAAAGGGTTCCAGTTTTTCCACTTCCAGGCCAACAATTGTTTTTTTTTTTTAATTTTTCATTTTTTTGATAATAGGCATTGTAACAGGTATGGGGTGGTATTTCATTTTGGTTTTGATTTGCATTTCCCTATGTTTAGTGAGCTGTATTATGGGCTTAAAATTTGCTAAGATTTCCCTTTGTTAAGTGTTCTTAACCACCTCCATGTTAAGATCTCATAGTAAATGTTCTTAAACACCCTCTACCCCACTCCACATGTCCAAATAAAGGGAAATTTTTGGATGTGAAAGATAGGTCTGTTCCTATGATTGTGGGGATGGTTTCACAGGCCTATGCTTATGCCCAAGCTCATCAAATTGTATACGTTAAATATGTGCAGTATTTTGTGTGTCAATTATACCTCCATAAAACCATAAAAATCTATAATATTCTTATGTGAAAGGCTAGTGTATTTATGGACATATCTCAGACACATTTTGTGACTAGTTATGATGAGTCAGAATTTGCATCTAATGAATTTCTTTACCAGTGTTGTAAATTCTCAGAATTAGTTACATACCCTAATATCTAATGGGGGTTGGCCACAAGTTGATAACTAAGCCTTCATCCCTTAATATCATCTACTCCACTGACTTCCAGGGCTGAGATGAACTACTCACAGCATGCATATTTAAGACAAAAATGACTCTGATGAGCAGGTATTAGGTTGGTGTAAAAGGAATTGAGGTTTTTGCCAAATATTTTTGCACCAACCTAATAAAATTCTCTCTTGTATCTGGGATGGGTCATGGGCCCCAGAGACACTGTAGGTACTTCTATCTCTTAACTTTGAATTAGTTCAATCTAATGTGGCATTTGGGAACTGAAAAACCAAGGAAGTTCATTACTGCTATTATTATTTTTTCCAAGTGTATGCTAATAGGAAAAACTGCTTAGCCCAAAATACGTGTAGCATGTTGAATTAGCTGAAGCATTTCCCCCGTGTTTGCTTTAGAACGTAATACACTTCCGTTTTGGAAGTAAAATGACAAATTTTTGGTGCACAAACATGTTAAAGGCTATTACAGAAAATATTTAGAATGCATAATCTTCCTGGATTCCTATTTTATTGTAAGTGTATAAATTTTAATAGAGTTTTTATATTAGTTGTTCCTCCCAACTAATTATTTTTAAATTGCTGGAATGTTTTGAAGCAGAACCATAAAAGGTATATATTTTTTTTATTTGATAGGGCTCTTTCAACTGCAGGTGATAGAAAAGCAATTCAGCAAGGTTAAATGAAATAGAAATTGGTGGAGGGCCTGGAGGTGTTACACTATGGGTACTGGCTTAAGGCACAGCATGATCCAGGAGCTCACATCAGTGTAGTGAAGGTTCTTTTCTTTTTCTGAGACAGAGTCTCACTCTGTCGCCCAGAGTGGAGTGCAGGGGTGCAATCTCAGCTCACTGCAAGCTCCACCTCCTGGGTCCCTGCCATTCTCCTGCCTCAGCCTCCCGAGTAGCTGGGACTATAGGCGCCCGCCACCACGCCTGGCTAATTTTTTGTAGTTTTAGTAGAGACAGGATTTCACCATGTTAGCCATCATGGTCTTGACCTTCTGACCTTGTGATCCGCCCGCCTCAGCCTACCAAAGTGCTGGGATTACAGGCATGAGCCACAGCGCCCGGCCATCAAGCTTCTTTCTCTCTCCCCCTCTCTGTTTCTTGCACAGCTGTACAGACTTTTTGTATGTAGTAAGCATGTTTACCTGTGACTAGTAATTCCAGCACAAACATTTCACCCCCTTATAGCTCTGCAGATATTTTCTGGAATGACTGGAGATGGCCTGTCTTCAGTCATGATCCATCCCTGAACCAATCATGATAAAATCTCTTTGGTTGGTTCTACCACATGCATTAATTTCTGCTAGAGCATGGGGGTCCTGTGAAGGAACCAAATATCTATGATGCTTGTTAAAGACAGAATGAAAGACTTTACTCAAGAGGGACTATCGTGATAGGTGAAATGGGGTCTTGCAGTGGGGGAGAAAGATTGGGCTCAATTCTGAACGCAACAACCAAAAGTGGTGATTTATAGCCAGGAAGTCAAGTGAGGGTCAGTGGATGGAGACAGCAGAGGTAAGGGAGGATTCTGAGTAAATGAACTAACAAGGTTCTTGCTAACACTGGACAATGCAGAGGCAGCACAGAAGCTCAAGCGTCAGGCCTCACGGGGAAAAGGATTCAGATGAGTCTGAAATATGCTGAGTTTGGTGGCTTACGTCTGTAATTTCAGTGACTCAGAAGGCTGAGGTGGTAGGACTGCTTGAGGCCAGGACTTTGAGACCAGCCTAGGCAACATAGCAAGACACCATCTCTAAAAAAGATAATTAAAAAAAATAAAAGAAGGGTCTGATTGGAGTCTGGTTAAGGAGAAAATCTTTGTCAGTGCCCACCCTGAATATCTGGAACACGAACCTCCAGAACAGAGAGGGGGTTCTTTCACTAGAGAAGCTGGATGGTCAATAATAAAGAATATCCCTGCTTCTGGTGCTCCCATTTATCACATGCAGGGAATGAAATTTGCAGAAGTGACATGACTTGAACAACGTCAGACACGAAGCATGGAGGTGAAATTAACCAAAAGGTTGAAGTTAAAATGAGTACTTTGCAATGCCATTACCGATGCATAAACTTTGATGAGCTTTGAGAAATAAGATCACCACATTTTCATCTACTTTTCCAGGGAGGTGGAAAATAAATAGAGAAATACTCATTTATTCATCTGTTTAACAAACATCCATTGATATTCTTTATGTGCTAGGTGCTGTGATAAACACTACAGAAATAGCAGAGAACAATACAGAGAAAAAGCCATGTCTTATGAATCTTACATTCTTATACACCATCAGAATAAAATACTGCTTTAGAAAATATACTGTGTACCTTATAATAATAGAACACAATCTGTTGTTTCTGAGATGTGAAAAGTCAATTGTAAGATTTACGCCATAGAACAAAGATGTAATTCTTGTTACACATACACACACACAAAGACACACATTTAATCAGGGCATAAATCAAGATTTTTGTGATATTAATCCAGTGCATTCAATACAGAGTTGGATAATCTGTTGCTATTTCAAATGTAGTTCCTCCCTCCTTAAAATGATTAAATCAAAGTCCCAGAAGGAACTTGGGGAACTTCTAATCGGTCTCCATGTCGTGGACAAAAATTAACTGAATTAACTGTAACTATCTCAAATCAAGACACACAATAATAACCACTGTTTATTCTGTGCCTGCCAGTCACTGTGCAGATAATTTATTGTGCACTGTCTCATTTAATGCTTGTGGCAACCTAATGAGGCAGGTACATTTGATTATTAGTCCCATTTTACAGTAGATGAAACAGAGGCTTATCTTCTGTAAAGAAAATTGCTCTTAAAACACAGCTCTTGGCCGGGCGTGGTGGCTCACGCCTGTAATGTCAGCACTTTGGGAGGCTGAGGAGGGCTAATCACCTGAGTTTGGGGGTTCAAAACCAGCCTGACCAACATGGAGAAATCCCATCTCTAATAAAAATACAAAATTAGCCAGGTGTGGTGGTGCATGCTCTATCATCCCAGCTACTCGGGAGGCTGAGGCAGGAGAATTGCTTGAACCCGGGAGGCGGAAGTTGCAGTGAGCCGAGATTGTGCCATTCCACTCCAGCCTGGGCAACAAGAGCAAAACTCTGTCTCAAAAAAAAAAAACAACAAACGCACAAACACACGCGCACACACACACATACACACACACACACCCCACCTCTTTGGGTTACATATGCTTTTTAACTGTTTGACCTTCGGTAGGTCAGTAGGTTAGCGAGTGCCCATGCAGTGTTTGCCTGAGCTTTTGCATCAGCCTTGCCTGTTTTTTTGTTTTTTGAGTTAGGGTCTTGCTCTGTCACCCAGGCTGGAGGACAGTGGTGCGATCATAGCTCACTGCAGCCTCGATCTCCTGGCCTCAAGTGATCCTCCCACCTCTGCCTCCCAGTCTTGCCTTTTAAGAGCCTTAGGACTCTTAACCTGGGAAATCTATAAAATTTTTTGTTATGTATAAGGAAGAACACAACTTTTCTTCTGTGAGTACTGCTTCAAAGACACAGAGTCCAATGTACATAGGCAGGTGGATAGACAAGCTCGCTGTCAAACTTGTTACATAGATGAAATGGGACAGATGGGGTCATTCATCTAAAGGGTTCTTGGTAAAGGTACAAAAAGCAAAACCATGAGGCCAAAAACGGGAGCAGAAACAGTTGGCACTCAGTGAGTAGGCTCCAAAGCTCTGGCTCAAGGTGGGAACATGGAAGCCAATGGTCAAGTTTGTTGCACAGTGCACTTAATAAGATGAACAGCAGTGCTAGAATCTGGAGGATCATCATCCCTGGAGCTTGACAGCCAATATCTAGCCTGCTTGAGAGTGCAGATGAAGCGCTCGGCAAATGTAGTTTTATTTACAGCTTCGTAAGCCTAGATGGGTAATCCTCTGTGGTGTCCTTTAGAGGGAAACGTAAAATGGGGATGACGACTTTAAATACCTTCCAGAGTTAGATGGCTTTTAGACACCAAAGTTCAGCCTCTTGCAACATATTGCATTTCAGCCCCTGCCACGGTTCTCTGCTGACATTTCAGAGATGGGCAGACACCATGGCATTGCAGTTGACATGGCAGCTTGGCCAGGTAGGAGCTCACATATGGAGCATTTCTTGCTTTAGGTGTTAAAAAACAAGTCATATCTTTAAAAGGTCACCGTGGTTTGTACTAACTATATGACTATTGAAAGGCACAGTTTGGGGCAAGCCTGTTTATTATTTTTCAAATTAGAGAAGTGATATTGCGTCACTGCTGCGAACCAGGAAGGGAGAATGAGAAAGAAAATCACCCATGACCACCACCATCCCTCTTGGAATTGTGTCGTGCTCTCTAGCCTCCTTCCTTTAAGATGATGGTTTCTATGGAAAATTGCTCTTAAAACAAACCTCCTTAAGTTATATATACTTTGCAACTACATGGTCTTCGGTAGGTCAAAAAGTGCCCATGCACTTTTCCCCTGCGCTCTTGCGTCAACCTTGCCTTCTTTTATTTTTACTTATTTATTTATTTATTTATTCATTTATGTATTTATTTATTTTTTGAGTTTGGGTCTTGCTCTGTCACCCAGGCTGGAGTACAGTGGTGCAGTCATAGCTCACTGCAGCCTCGACCTCCTGGCCTCAAGTGACCTCCCACCTCTGCCTCTTAGAGCTTTTGGGAGCTTGCATGATATGACGGTTGTGACTAATGTTAGGAACATCCAAGGAGTAGACATTGGAAGGACTCCTCTCATGCCACCATGAGCTGTTGCCCCCAGGAAATGAGTGAAGTCTCAGTAAAATGGAGAGAACTTTAATTCCCGGGTAGATGTATCTGAATCTGAGACTGAACATTTTGTTGGTAACACACCAGTTATCAGGAGTGTCTTGATCATGCTCATCTTTGTCTAATCTTTAGATTTCTCATCTTTCCGGGGAGGTTAAGAGTTGCTGTGTCCTTTCTCAGTCCCACCACTTGAACATGTGGTAACATGTATGAGGAAATGCTTTGTACATAACAAATCATGTGAAAGTAAAGGATTGTCGTCATTTTTGCCATTGCTATTAATATTATTACACAGGGTTTCTAGTATATTATGTTGGTTAAGAGCAAGCCTCTAGAGCAAGCTTCTCCAGCCCATGTCCCCCACAGGGTGCATGTGGCCCGGGACGGCTTTGAATGTTGTCCAACAATAATTCATAAATTTTCTTACAACCTTATGAGACGTTTTTGGGGGATTTTTTTTTTTAGCTCATCAGCTGTCATTAGTATTAATGTATTTTATGTATGACCTGAGACACTTCTTCTTCCGCCGTGGCTCAGGGAAGCCAAAAGACTGGACACCCCTGTTCTAGAGCCAGTCCTAACTCTACTCATTTCTACCTAGCTGTGTGACCTTGGGCAAGTTAGTTAACCTCTCTGATCATTGGCTTCTCCTTTAGATGCTGCTGCATTTTTACCTCTCTCATAAGATTGCTGTGAGGAGGCTGAGACAAGGCAGGGCATCGTGCTTGCAGCAACACCCTGCACGTAGCAAGGGTACCACAAATGGTAGCTATCAATGTTGTTATTTGATGATCCAGAATATGTATTGCTTTTGTCATCCTTTCCCTAGTCTTTCATCATTCTGGATTTTCCATGTCTTTAAGTTTGTTGCTGTCTTAGAATTAGTAGATTTTCATGGTTCTAAGACTCTATCTGAAAACTGTGCATGGTGGATCTTGTTAATGTGGTAAAAATGTCATCTGTCACAGCATCCCAGTTCATGATTTAATTTATCCTTCCACAGATAGCCTTTATTATATTAGCTTGTAGTGTATATTTAATGAACTAGTGTAAAAGTCATTTTTCTCTGGCTGGGTGCAGTGGCTTACAGTTGTAATCCCAGCACTTTGGGAGGCTGAGGCAGGCAGATCACTTGAGGTCAGGAGTTCAAGACTAACCTGACCAACATGGTGAAACCTCATCTCTACTGAAAATAAAGAAAATTACCAGCCGCATTACATGCCTGTAATCCCAGCTATTCGGGAGGCTGAGGCAGGATAATTGCTTGAACTGGGGAGGTGGAGGTTGTAGTGAGCCAAGATTGTGCCACTGCACTGCAGCCTGGACAACAAAGCGAGACTCTGTCTCAAAATAAAAAATAAAATAAATAGGGAGATAGGGTCTTGCTCTGTTTGCCAGGTTGGAGTGTGGCAGTATGAATATGGCTCACTGCAGCCTTGACCTCCTGGCCTCAAGTGATCTTCCTACTTCAGCCTCCTGAGTAGCTGGGACCACATGTGTGTGCCACCATGCCTGGCTATTTATTTTTATTTGTTTTTTACTTTTTGTAGAGATGAGGTCTTGCTGTGTTGTCCAGGCTGGTCTCAAACTCCTGGGCTCAACTGATCCACCAGCCTCCCAAAATAAGCTACCACTCCTGGCTGTAAAAGTCCTTTTGAAATGGTACAGGAGTTCAAGACCAGCCTGGACAACACAGGGAGACCCCGTTTCTACAAAAAAATAAATAAGTTAGCCAGGTGTGATGGCACACACTTGTGATCCTAGCTACTCAGAAGGCTGAGATGGGAGGATGGCCTGGGCTGAGCAGTTGCAGGCTCGTTGGAGCTGTGATTGTGTTACTGCACTCCAGCCTGGGCAACAAAGCAAGACCCTGTCTCAAGCAAAAAAGAAAAAGCCTTTTTCTTGTAATTTTTAAATAATTCCTTCCAATACAAAATAATAAGTGTCTAGTCCATTGAGAATTAATTTAGAATGCTCATGTGTCTTGGATTGACTTTCAAAACCCTGATTCTTAAACCATTTGTGATTGAGGCTTACAACCATGTAACAATCCTCCTAAGTTCTGGGAGTGAATTTAAGTCTGGTAATGCTATTAAGGAAAGAGAGAAGAGTATGTTTTCTAATGTACAGTGGATATCTTGAAGGGAGCCATGCAGGCATATTTCCACCTTGGTGTGTACTTGATGGGGAGAGGCAAGGAGAGAGCGTGGCAGGTTCAGGGTTTGCCATCCCAATCTTCCCTTGGCGCTGATCCGTGGTTTCCTTCCTGATCCCACAGAATAAGCAATGTTGATCTCGTGTGGATCATCTGTTATGTAAAGGTGGTTAATACCACCATTTTCTGCTTCACATGAATCAGAGAACCTGGGTATCTCTGACCTTCAGGGTTCCAGCTCTCACCTAAGTTCAGCCAGTGTGTGAATCCTCTATTGACCTACTGGGACCACTTGGTAGATTGACCACAGCTCCTGTTATGCACCAAGCATTGGCCTGTGTGCTCTTGCCAGCAAAACAGGTGTGATCCTCAGGGAGCCTCAAGTCTGGAGGGGGAGGCAAACATTGATTGAAGAAACTTACAATGAATGCATAATTAAGATAGGGATATTTACTGCAAAGGAAAAATAAAAAGATTCTTTACATCAAATGACACATAGCACCAACTTGGGCTGAGTTGGAAGTGACTCGTTTATGAACAGGGGTATATATTTTTAAAAGATGTACTCTTCTCTGAATGAATAATTTATTAAATATGAAAAGCAAGAGAAATACTATTAAAAGAATGCCACATTTTTAGGGAAAGTGTTGTTGAGGGTTCGAAACAGACTTTTGGTAACCGGCCAATTCCACAGGCTGGTGCCACATTTTCAGTGCCCTTTGATGTGTGTACGTGAAAAAGCTGCTTGTTTTCCTGTTTAATATCAATCTATTAATTTTAAAGTATTTGAAGAGAAAATCAAAGACATAGTCTGCATTTGGAAACACCCAGAACCACAAATCTAAATCCTAGTACCACCAATTTGAAGACTGTTTGTCATGGCTTGAAGCCTCCTGAGAGGGGAATTTTATTTACTTGACGGAGTCATGTGAGGTTGATTGGTCTAATAAAACTGGATTTTAAATGAATGTGGAGCATGGTGTCCCTTTGCCCTGGGTATTTAAAAATAGACCAATGATTTCTCATAGGGCGTCTTTCAGATACACTTTAGCAGACTGATGAAGGCTGTTCCCGGGACACATTTAAATCTGAAACAAAATGAGAGTTTAACAAGGTGTGTTGGTTCAGGTTAAAAGCGCCTACCCCTTTCAGCTCAGCCAAGATCATCTCTCATTGGACAAGGTTCCCCCAAGACTGGCTGGGCTCGTCCCCTGGGTGCTGAAATGATTAGTATAACATTCCGGAGTTCAGGTCTCTGTTATCTTGTTTCTCTGTCGGATGCCTGGGAATGTGAATTTGCCTACACATTTTGAGACATTTTTACACTAGGATGCTTCTGAGCTGAAGATGAAGGTGGTTGGTTTTCTTCCTCCTCTTCCCCTTTTCAATATTGTAGGGACCAAGTGGTTTGTTGCTCTCTGCTGCCCCCTGTTGCTCATGAATGGGAACAGCTGGTTTTCCACTGAAGGTGATTCTTAACCATTACAAAGAGCTTCCCGTGAGGTTGAACCTGGGGTTCCTAGCTTCATGTGAGGTTGGCTGATTTTATTTATTTATTTATTTTTGAAACTGACTTTTAAATGAAAGTTGAGCTAAATGGGGAAGAAGGTA
Organism: Homo sapiens; assembly: GCF_000001405.40. Classification (NCBI taxonomy): domain Eukaryota; kingdom Metazoa; phylum Chordata; class Mammalia; order Primates; family Hominidae; genus Homo; species Homo sapiens. Next base: position 6,081,725 of record NC_000016.10, read on the forward strand.
TCTAGCAATAGCAGAAGTCCCAAGGTTAATGGAATACCCAAAGAACAAAGTGAACAGCCGTGTGCCTCTCTTTCCATTGTTGGTAGATTCCAGCTACCTGCAGCTACGCTTGGTTTCTTGAGAGTCCTAGTCCTTGTAATTGAGCCCTGGAGTTAAGTCCATTTGAACAAACATCCTCCTAGTCCCAATTTATTCCAGGTCCTGCATGAGTGGCTGGGATTTTCAGGAAGGAGGGATTATAGTCACATGGTGTGTGGTTAATATTTTGAGTGTGGAGTCAAAGCATAGTTTTGAATATGAGCTTCAACTGTTTTCAACCGTATGGCTCTGAGCCTTGGTGTCTGTGTCTGTATAATGAGGATTTTGGTGGTACCTGATTCAGAGGTTGTTGTGGGAACCAATGAGAAATTTAAACAACTTATGATTTGTTGGTCACTTACCAATACCAGTGCTTTTTTTTTTTTTTTTTTTTTTGAGATGGATCCTTACTCTGTCACCCAGGCTGGAGTGTAGTGGTGCAATCTCGGCTCATTGCAACCTCTGCCTCCCAGATTCAAGCGATTCTCCTGCCTCAGCCTCCCAAGTAGCTGGGATTACATGTGCCTGTCACCACACCTGGCTAATTTTTTTTTTTTTTTTTTTTTTTTTTTTGGATTTTTAGTAGTCATGGGGTCTCACCAGGCTGATCTTGAACTCCTGACCTCAGAGTGCTGGGATTACAGGTTTGAGCCACCGTGCCCAGCCTCCAGTGCATTTTAGGCACTATGCTTTTATTAGCTTTTTAATCCTCAGTAGGACAGCAAAGATGCTTGTCTTTTCCCTTTCAAATAGGGCTAAGGGCTAACAGCCCTTAGCAGACCTTCTCTTTATCCCCTTGACCAGGTTTGTATCACATGCCTGTGCCTAAACCAAATGCTGGCAATAGGGACGGAATGATAAGCTTTGCTTTGATTAGTTAGAATGATTCCCAAGGAAGGGACAATGTTCTCTGAGCACACAGAGAATGATCACTCAAATAGAACTAGGGCTGAGGCAGGAAGAGAGAATACCCTGAGGATATCAGTTTGGCTTGTAACTAGCAGGGCCTACCTTACATAGCTGCAAGATGATGCACTTGGACCCAATAGCCCAGATCCCACGGGTGTCATAGGAAGTGCTTATCACGGAGCCTAGCCCATAGCACCCCTGCTCTACAGACTCACCCAATCACTGCTCTCAAGAGGGTCGTGCTGTAATGGGGAAGACTGATCCATCAGCAAATTTTTGTTTGTGTGTTTGTTTGTTTGTTTGTTTTTTAGATGGAGTCTTGCTCTGTCACCCAGGCTGGAGTGCAGTGGCATGATCTCGGCTCACTGCAACCTCCTCCTCCCAGGTTCAAGCGATTCTCCTGCCTCAGCGTCCTGAGTAGCTGGGACCAGAGGCATGCACTACCTTGCCCAGCTAAGTTTTTGTATTTTTAGTGGAGATGGGGTTTCACCATGATGGCCAAGCTGGTTTTGAACTCCTGACCTGAAGTGATCTGCCCGCCTCGGCCTCCCAAAGTTCTAGGATTACAGGCGTGAGCTATTGCTCCCAGCCCAAATGTTTTTATACTAAGGTGGAACATGCTTTATTAGCTGTAGTCACAGACATTTATGGAGACTCAGAAGATCCCTCATATTTAAAACATGTGTTCCTAGATATGCTGTTGAAGTTTATTTCTTTCAACTGCATATCATTACTTGCTTTCATGCTCTCTTTGGTCCATTTTTGGTTTTGGTTTTGGTTTTTGAGATAGGGTCTTGCTTTCTTGCCCAGGCTGGAGGGCAGTGGCACAGTCACAGCTCACTGCAGCCTCAACCTCTTGGGCTCAGATGATCCTCCAGCCTCAGCCTCCCAAGTAGCTTGGACCACAGACGTGCGCCACCACGCCCAGCTAATTTTTTAATTATTTGTAGACACGGGGTCTCACTGTGTTGCCCAGGCTGGACTCAAACTCCCAGGCTCATGCGATCCTCCTACCTTGGCCTCCCAAAGTGCTGAGATTATAAGTGTGAGCCACCAGACCTGGCCCCCCTTCTTTGGTCTCAATCCCTCAACTCCAATATAGCCCTTTTCACCCACCTTCCCATCTTCTCTAACCCCGGGGGACACTGGCAATCTTTAAGCAGAAGAATTGGCTGCCTGAAAGCCTGTAGATTTATTTGGAGGATGGGTCAAGAAGAAGTCTCCCAAAGGAGCTTGGGGGAATTCTCCTTTTGATTTTGTTATTCAAAAATGATGTCAAATTTTAGAAAATGAGAGAAAATTTAGTAGAGTATAACGGTTAAAGAGTCTCAACTTTGCTACTCAACACTTTTTGACCCTGAGCAACTTGCACTTAGGGGCCTGAGCTTTTCAATCTGTAAATACGGCCAATAATAATACCTCCCTCTTAGGGCACTCTGAGCAGTCATTGAGAGAGCACGTGTAAAGTGTTTTTGCACAGTGCCCAGAAATTTGCAGTATTTAATGGTCCTTCCTCCTTATTTATTTTTATTACTTGTTTTTGTTTTTTTGAGACAGTGTCTTGCTCTGTCGCCCAGGCTGGAGAGCAGTGATATTATCGTGACTCACGGCAGCCTCGACCTCCCAGACTCAGGTGATCCCTTCACCTCAGCCTCCCAGGCAGCTGGGACCATAGCTATGAACAAACACGTCCAGCTATGTTTTGTATTTTTTGTGAAGACGGAGTCTCACCATGTTGCCCAGGCTGATCTCCAACTCCCAGGCTGAAGCAATTCCTCAGCCTCTGCCTCCCAAAATGTTGAGATTGCAGACAAAAACCACTGCACCTGGCCCCTTCCTCATTCTTTTTGAAGTATTTTAGCTTTCAAAAGGTCAAGGACCCTTTATAACGGTTTGCTAGTTTAGAAAGAAAAAAAAACAGTGACATGGTGAAAAAGTAAGCCTGCTCTCTCTCTCGTTTTCTATGATGCTCTATCGGGATTCCTTGGTTAGGAGATAAGGTCAGGCATTCTAGGGTATTCAGAGGGCCCACCTCTTCATGGGGAAGCCCAGGCTTGCTTGTTCTTATGTTTTGCAGGACAAACGTCTTAGAACTCCACAGATGGGGAGTCTGAGACCCTGAGTGATTAAGTAATTTTGACCTTGAGCTATCTATTTGACTTGAAGTGGCTAATGGCCAGATAAGTGCTCTGAGATGATATCTCAGTTTCTGCTATTTTTCTTGTGAGGAAAAGGAAAAAAAGAGCTTGATAGTGATCAGAGTTCATTTGCAGAAGTGGTTTCCTTTTCCCCAATCAACTTGTGAGAATTCACTTCTGTCCTCAGCGTGCGTGCTTCATTCATTCACTCATCCAAAGCTGTCTCAGGCAGAGTGCTGGGGACTGGGTGAGGGCGGGGAGTCTTTCCTTCAGGGGCTTATTTCTGCTACTGTGCATGTTCTTCCTCCACAACTTGCAGATCCAGACCTCTCCTCCTGGCAAGACTTTCTCATTTCTTTCACGTGACTTTTGGTTAGAAACATTGGCCTGACTTTGAGGCTTACACCCAGCTTTCTTTGTTTGTGTTTTGTTTTGTTTTTGAGACGCGGTTTCGCTCTTGTTGCCCAGGCTGAAGTGCAGTGGTACGATCTTGGCTCACTGCAACCTCTGCCTAGCGGGTTCAAGCGATTCTCCTGCCTCAGCCTCCCGAGTAGCTGGGAGTACAGGTATGCGCCGCTATGCCCAGCTAATTTTGTATTTTTATAGAGAGGGGGTTTCACCATGTTGATCTGGCTGGTCTCGAACTCCCGACTTCAGGTGATCTGCCCGCCTCGGCCTCCCGGTGTTGGGATTACAGGCGTGAGCCACTGTGCCCGACCCTCACACCCAGGTTTTTAGGATACCCTTGGTTCTATGCCCCTGATGACCTGAAGGCAGGCAGGAGAAGTAGCAGTGTGTGTTTGTGTGTGTGTGTGTGTGTCTGTGTGTGTGCATGCGCGCACGCACATGCACGTAAGGGGATGATGCAGCCCGTGGCGCTTAAATTCTACCCTCCCCAAGAGTTGGGTCCCTTCACCAAACATTAATTTTTTCCGAACTCCATCTTATCTCTGTAAAATAGAAGTGCTGATTCTTTTTTTTTGTTTAAGTTCTGGGATACATGTGCCAAACATGCAGGTTTGTTACATAGGTAAACGTGTGCTGTGGTGGTTTGCTGCACCTATTAACCCGTCACCTAGGCATTAAGCCCCACATGCATTAGCCATTTATCCTGATGCTCTCTCTTCCCCCAGCCCCCTACAGACCCCACTGTGTGATGTTCCCCTCCCTGTGTCCATGTCTTCTCATTGTTCAGCTACTACTTATGAGTGAGAACATGTGGTGTTTGGTTTTCTGTTCCTGTATTAGTTTTCTGAGGACGGTGGCTCCCAGCTTCATCCATGTCCTTGCAAAGGACGTGATTTCATTCCTTTTTATGGCTGCATAGTATTCCATGGTGTATAGGTACCACTTACCTAGTAATAGACAAGCACATGCATTGGGTTTGAATTTTGCAAGTGAGTTGTTGGAAGGGAACCCCTAGATGTCATTTGCATGCTAAGTGCTTTCCCCGACTGTGTTATTTGCTGTTCACCCAGCCCCGTGCATTCCATCTCTCACATTTTTCATGCGAGTGTTCTGCTGCCCAAAGTTACTCTGTATAGTGTTTAATCCACTCTGAGTCAGTTCTGCAGAGCAGTCGGTGGTAAAGTCCTTTCACCAGCACTGTCTGAGAGTTCCTGTGACAACAGCATCCCCGTTCATTGAGGCCTGAGTGTTCTTTTAGATTCCTGCTTAAACATAAACCAGCAGTGAACGAAGAATCTTTAGTACCTGACGTGAAATGGAGCCCAAGTCTATACTGCTGACTGGGCTGGGGGCGCATGCTTGGTTGGGGTTCATTATATCTGAACTCATATCAGGGAGATGATTTACTGTTTCTCAATAAAAGATGGAGTTTTGAAGAATACCTTCTTTTGTGTGGGATGGAAACATGTGGCTAAGCCTATTGCATCACCTTGTACAAAAGAGATATTCAGCAGGTATTTATTAAGCTAAACTGAATCATGCTCAAAGACGCTCCTCTTCCCTAAGCACCATTCAGTTGAATGTAACATGAAAGAGACAATGCATCATGTTCATTCTGGTTTAGGGTCTTTCCTTGTTGAAGGCTTTCTGCTGTTTAGAGAAAGACCAAGTATAGCAGCCAGAAAAACACAGAGCTGGCAACTGAGTCACAAAGCTGTAGCAACACATCACTCAAGAGGAACCCTTCTCACAATGGGTAGATATACATTGAGTGGTGATGTGGAGTGAGACGGATTGATATCCACAATGTCCCAAAAGGAAAAGAGACAAATTTGACAGTAATCCAATTTCCGTCAGCAAATTTAGATGATGAGATGAAAAGTTAGATTTATGAGGATAGATTCATTCTCACTAGGTATTATGACGTTAGAACGCCTGCCAGGTGAAAAGTGGCACATTTTTAGGGGAATTTAGGTCCAACGAAAAGGTGTTTCCTTAGGCAGAAATTGAAACATGATCTGTCTGTCCAGAGTTTTGTGCCTTCGAGCACACATGTGCATGCAAGCTTTTAATTAACCAAGAAGTTCTTCTTTAACGTTTATATATATATATATGTATATGTATCTACAGAAATAGGATAAAAAGAAGTTCAGAATTCAACTGTGATTCCAATATCCATAGATAACTATTGCTAACACTTTCTAGCCTTTTTTCTCTATGTGTATACACATATTTGGAAATTTGGAATCACTGTAACCTGCTTTGTCTTAAGATAGCATGAGAATTTCTTCATGCTATAAATGTCCTTCCGAAGTGTAATACTTTAAATAACTATATACTGTTCCATTGTATGGATGCAGCATAGGAAACTCATTCCCCTTGGCTGGATATTTATCTTACTTTTTTTTTTTTTTTGAGATGGAGTCTTGCTCTTTCACCAGGCTGGGTGCCGTGGCGTGATCTCGGCTCACTGCACCCTGTGTCTCCTGGGTTCAAGCAATTCTCCTGCCTCAGCCTCCCAAGAAGCTGGGGCTATAGGCGAGCACCACCACACCCAGTTAATTTTTGTACTTTTAGTAGAGATGGGGTTTCCCCATGGTGGCCAGAATGGTCTCGATCTCTTGACCTTGTGATCCACCTGCCTCGGCCTCCCAAAATGCTGGGATTACAGGCGTCAGCCACCACACCCAGCCTTATCTTATTTCTTGTATAAAAACTCCTGCGTGTGTGTGTTTGTGTGTGTGTGTAAAACTTTTATTCTAATCAAGCATATTTTCACAATTTCTACAGCAGCCACAACAAACTTTCTACAAGGTGAATTTTAGAGAGAAGAGGTTCACCGTCTCGTTATTTCAACCTCATCATCTGTAACGGTGGCCATAGAACCTATTCTGATTTACTCTACCAGAAAACTTACCCTCTTAGTTACTTTTTTTCTTTCATTTTTTTTTTCTCAGCTGTATTGCCTCAGTTGGATCATATCTGTTTTTCCTCAGGAATGTTTCTGAAACTATGAACAATATGGAACATGTTGTCAATAAGGGTATTTTCACAGATGCGTTTTTGTCACACAGTGTTTATTGCCAGAGAAGTATGATTAGTCATGTTCTCTGATGTGATTTAGTAATTGTCATTTGTCTATTATTAGGTGAAATTTTCTAGCTGAATTTTTCCAAAGATGAATAAACAAATTAATCATTCACTTTCCTATCCACCATTCAACCATCCATGCATCCTCCCTCCCTTCCTTCCTCCCCCTTCCCTTTCCTTTTCTCCTTCCTTCCTTCCTTCTGCATTTATTAAATACCAACTCTGTGTTAGGCAGTATGTTGCATGCCAAAGACAAATGTATAAACTAGATAGAATGGTGGAATGCTTTCCTTCTGAGCACTCACATTTTAATGCTGGGAATTTTATGCTGAGGTTCAGTGCTTTTCAGGGAGCCATGAACCCCCTGCAATGACTTGCAGACTGTAGGTATTACATGTAAAACTTGTGTGAGTAATTTCCTGAAGAAGGGGTTTCATTCTTCAGATCCTCAAAAAGATCTATGATCCGGCCAGGCGCGGTGGCTCATGCCTGTAATCCCAGCACTTTGGGAGACCAAGGCGGGCATATCAGGAGGTCAGGAGATCAATACCATCCTCGCTAACACAGTGAAATCCCATCTCTACTAAAAATACAAAAAATTAGCTGGGTGTGGTGGCGCATGCCTGTAATCCCAGCTACTCGAGAGGCCGAGGCAGGACAACAGCTTGAACCCAGGAGGCGGAGGTTGCAGTGAGCCAACAGAGTGAAACTCTGTCTCAAAAAAAAAAAAAATATATATATATATATATGATCCTAAAAAGACATTGATATTAAAGAGTAATGATGGGGAAGGACCACCAAGTGATCATTTATAAGATGCTGCGAGAATTGCTAAAGTTGAGGGATGGATTCTGCATTCCAGGAGAACAAAGGAGGTAGATCCCGATTAACTGAGTAGCAGGATATTGAGGGAAGCTTCTTGTAATGATTCAGCTGAGTCTTACACAATGAATGAGACTTGGATAGATGAACATGCATTAGGAGACATCAGTTCTGGTCAGAGGAAACAGCAAATGCAAAGGCCCAGAGCCATAAGAGATTCAGATGCACTAAAGAAATATCCCATCATTTAGGATGGTCGGCATATACACAGAGGGCCTATAAGGAAGGAGAAGAAACTGAGGTTGTAGAAGCTGGTAGGGACTGCATGCTGAAAGGCATTGTAAATCTTAGACTAAAATCTGTGGGAGACTTTGAACAACCTAAAGATTTTAAGCAGAGTGATGCAATGCATTTGTCTTTTGAATGCAAATATTGCTGGGGCGGGTCTTTTGTGTTATCAGCTAATGATTTAGTTGGTGGTTACCTGAGTACGGGGTCAGGTGTATGTTCTTAGCTGGTGGAGGCCTTGGGGATGTAGAAGCACAAACGGGTAAGTCACTGGAAAGGTAGGTGAAAGATTGGCCAATATTAGAGGTGGGTGTTTATAGAAATGAATGACAATGACCACTGAGTAGTTCCTAAGACACCATCGCTTTGCATAAATCATGTCATTGAATCCTCTTAAGAACACACAAACTCAAATATTGTGTATTAGTTTCCCATGGCTGCTGTAATAAATGATCACATTCTTAGTGGCTTGAAAGAATATGGATTTAGTATCTTACAGTTCTGGAGGTCAGAAGTCCTAAGTGGGTCTAACTGGGCTAACATCACGAGGTAGGCAGCAATAAGAAACTAATCTTTTGGTGGCTTTGGGTACAGTCCCTTTCCTTGCCTTTTATAGCCACTAGAGGCCTCCTGCATGCCTTGGCTCGTGGCCCCTTCTTCCATCTTCAAAGCCAGCATTGGTGAGTTGAGTCCTTTTTCACATCATGTCACTCCATTCTTCTGCCTCCCTCTTCTAGGTTTTAAGGAGACTTGTGACTACATTGGGCCCACAGAGATAATCCAGAATAGTCTCCCTATTTTGAGGTCAGATGATTAGTAACTTTAATTCCACCTATTCCCTTAATTCCCTGTTGCCCTGTAAGGTAAAATATATTCACAGGTTCCAGGTATCATGACATGCACATCTTTAAGAGGCTGCTATTCTGCAGATCACATATCATCATCTCCACTCTTCTGAGTGTAGCAGCAAGCAGTCTTTTAGGTTAATGTGCTACAGCTATAGAAAGTTGAAACCAAGATATGAACCATGATGCTTTTGGCTCCAAAGTCAGCAGGTTCTAAAAGGTAAACCTTGGTCCCCAATTAATGATCAAAGGCAGTGGGAAAAATCTAACATTCTGATGACTTTGTAGATCAATGAGTTTTGTTTCACAAGTCTAATGCATTACGTTACCATATTGATCTTTACTCTTCAGATTCTGAACACACCTGTGAAAGCAGGGTTTACTGTTCTTTTGACAACCTGCCATCTCTAATTAGCTCCAGGGCCCCTTAGTGCAGTAAACAAATCCGCTGAATGACTCAGTCCTCTTTCTCTTTTCTTATTGTTGGATCCGTTAAGCTGTACAAATGTAGTCTATGGTGGAGGGAGGGGTGAGAGCAGAGGGGAAGAGAAGGGGTGCACAGTTGGTCACTACATTATCCTGCTTCTGCTCCAAGAATAAAAGCAAAACTTAAAAAAAGTATTGATTCATATGGTTTGTTCATATGTATGGGAAGCATGTGATATTTTGGTACATCCCATGCATGTGCAATGGTCAAGTTAGGGTATTTAAGATATTCATCGCTTTGAACATTGATCAATTCTTTCTGTTGGCAACTTTTCAAATCTTCTTTTCTAGCTATTCTTAAATATATAATACATTACTGTTAACTATTGTCACCTTACTGTGCTGTGGAACATTAAAACTCACTTCTCCTATCTAACTGTAGGTTTGCACCCATTAACCGATTTGTCTTCATTTCCCACTCCACCCCCACACCCTTCCCAGCCTTAGTCACCATAACCCTATTCTCTTACATCTATGATACCCACTTATGAACTCCTTTCTCCTGGTCCATGAAGTCTTTAAAAGCTATTTCGTCAGAAGAAGATTTGTCTGACCCCCTTCCCTATGTAAATGCAGCACATTGTCATACTCTCTCAACACACTCTTATTTCTCTTTATAGAGGTCACCAGATTTTTAACTCCTTTACAGGATTTTCTACTTTTTTATAGGGTGAGCGGTCTATATCTATTTTATTGTCACTTTATCCTTTCACTCCTCAACTGACTACATGGTAGGTATTCAAAAAAAACATTTGTTGAGGCCGAGTGTCATGGCTCACGCCTGTAATCCCAGGACTTTTGAAGGCTGAGGCAGGCGGATCACCTGAGGTCATGAGTTCGAGACCAGCCTGGCCAACATGGGGAAACCCCATCTTTACTAAAAATATAAAAATTAGCCAGGTGTGGTGTCAGGAGCCTGGAATCCCAGCTACCTGGGAGACCGAGGCTGGGAGAATTGCTTGAACCTGGGAGTTGGAGGTTGCAGAGAGCCAAGATTGCGCCACTGCACTCCACCCTGTATGACACAGTGAGACTCTGTCTCAAAAAAACAAAACAAAACAAAACAAATTGTTGAATAAATGGTCCTCTAGTGTTTTAATGGCTTTTACTTTTGCTTCTGCTACTGGTCCTTATTCATCCATCTACCTCCCCATCTATCTGTCCATCTACCCATGCATCTATGTGTCTGTCCATTCATCCACTCATTCCTCCATCTATCTACCTACCTGTTCACACATCCACCTATCCATCCGTCCTCCTTGAAGACATACTTAAGAGTACCTAGCAATCCTTCTGGAGTTCCACATTCTCCTCTCTATTTTCTTCAGCCTGAAGTCCCAACTGGTACATGGGCTTGGTGTGAGGGAACTAATAAATGCTTATCATGAGAATAATAAAAGCTAAGATTTATTTATTGAGTGCTAGTCACATGGCAGCCAAGCTCTAAATGCTTCACATGCATTAAGTTAGTAAGTGTAGGAAGCCCTCTGCAGTAGGCATTTGTAATATCCCCACCCTGAGGATGGTGAAACTGAGAGACAGCAACCATGGGAACACAGGGAGTAAGGCTGGGATGAATCCCTGGCAAGCGAACTGTTAATTCTATGTCTCCTACCTTCTTGTTTTCCCTAGCCTGCTGCAAGTCCAGCTTAAAGGAAGGAAAGTTCTAATAAATTGAAAATGTTAACTCTGTGGACTAGACATCTTCACGTGCTTCGTGTTCAACATGTTATAACTTCACCATAATACAAATTACCATCATGAGTTTATTTTTGTATATGGTGTAAGGAAGAGGTCCAGTTACAGTCTTCTGCATATGGCTAGTCAGTTATCCCAGTACCATTTATTGAATAGGGAATCCTTTCCCCATTGCTTATTTTTGTCAACTTTGTCGAAGATCAGATGGTTATTGGTGTGTGGCATTATTTCTGGGCCCTCTGTTCTGTTCCATTGGTCTTTGTGTCTGTTTTTGTATCAGTAGTGCCATGCTGTTTTGGTTACTGTAGCCTTGTAGTATAGTTTGAAGTTGGGTAACTTGATGGTTAGAATGTTCTATTTGCTTAGGATTGCCTTGACTATTCAGGCTCTTTTTTGGTTCTATATGAATTTAAAAATAGTGTTTTTTAATTCCTATGGTGGGAAGAAAGTGTGGATAAAAAACTGCCTATCAGATGCTATGTTTATCACCTGGGTGACAGAATAATCTATACACCAAAACCATGTGAGATGCAATTTACCTGTATGACAAACCTGCACATGTACCACTGACCCTAAAATAAAAGTTTAAAAATATTACCCTTTTGTTTGCTTCATTTTGCAAGAAAACTGGTTGGCTATCCCCAAAAAGATGCAATTACTGTCATCTTCACTGAGTGGTCTGTAGGTAAACAAGCATCTGGAGATGAGTTTAAGTCCTCATGGTTTAGGATTTTAATATATACTAATTAAAACGAGCAACATGTTATTATTCAATAAAGAATAGAAGCAATTGATTTTAAATCATAGCCAGGTGCAGTGGCTCGCACCTGTAGGCACATCTACTTGGAAGGTTGAGGTGGGAAGATCTGTTGAGACCAAGAATTCAAGGTCAGCCTAGGTATAGTGAGACGCCATCTCTTAAAAAATTAATAATAATAAAATCATAGTATATAATCATGCTTAGAGTAAAGATCTGGAAGGATACTCAATATACTAGGATTTCCAGGTTAGAGGGGCAATGGGGGTTAAGGATAGTGATCACATGCAACTTTAATCTTGTCTACAATTTTTCTAACAAAAGGTATTTATGTATTGTGTAATTAAGGGCATGGGACGGTCTGTGAATTCTGTAATCTTTTCCTTTTCTTTTCTTGCAGCACAGTCTCACTCTGTCACCCAGGCTAGAGTGCAGTGGCTCAAGTGTAGCTCCCTGCAGCCTTAACCTCCTAGGCTCAAGCGATCCTTTCTCCTCAGCCTCCTAAATAGCTGGGACCACAGGTGCATTCCAGCATGCCCCACTCATTTTTTTTTTTGTAAAGATGGGGGTCTCACTGTGTTGCCCAGGCTGATCTCAAACTCCTAGGCTCAAGCAATTCTCCCTCCTCCGCCTCCCAAAGTTCTGAGATTACAGACTGGAGCCCCTGTGCCCTGCCTGTATATTGTTTGAGAAGTCATATTCTTCCTCTTCTGCCCGCCCCTGCTGGCTTTCGCAAAAGAGAAATCATGCCGCTTTTTTAGGTAATCTGTGTTCTGTGGAGGGTTTCTAATTTACTTTTAAAGTTAGTGGTCCTCGACATGACTTGTCCCAGTTTTGCCATTGAAAAGACCCCAAATGTGCATGAGAAACCTACTGTGAAATAGATTTCCAGTTTTGACCTGAGCTTTGTCCCAAGGACTCATCTGTGTCAGAGGAGGAGATCCTCCCAAAATGTGCTTTCCATGGATGAGGAAGACCAGCCATTTCCCTTTGACGGCCTCCTTGCATTTTATCATTCCCTGAGCCACCGTTCCAAAGGAAGAGAGACCATTGGGGAAATGATTTTGAGAAGAGGTCTATCAACTATTCCATTTCTTTTGAACCCCAGGTGGCACTTCTCAGCAACAAGGAGGCATTTAGGCAAAGAGGGAACAGTTTCTATGTAAAACCTAAAACGCTTGGACTCACAGAGAAAGGCAGAATTAATCACTCTCTAAAGTCACCAAGAGAGAAACTGACATGCTCACTAGACATTAGAATACCAACAGTAGCAAGCATTCCACTGGAAGCTTGAAAGGAGTTATTTTAGGAGAAATAAAAGAAAGGGCTAGTTTTGAAGCAGGTAGGTCATAGATAAGAGCTCTGGAATTCAGCTCCTTCTAGTTTTTATTCCAAGTTCTCCAGTGCTGGGAGTTTAAGATCACAGGCATTGCATCTTATCCTATGACTCAGTTTCCTCATCTGCACATTGGAAATAATGACAGTATCAACCTCATAGTGTTGTTGTGAGGATTAAATTAAATTATACCTATAGGAGGGGCTGGCCATGGTGGCTCACGCCTGTAATCCCAACACCTTGGGAGGCTGAGGCGGATCACCTGAGGTCATAAGTTTGAGACCAGCCTGGCCAACATGATGAAACCCTGTCTCTACTAAAAATGCAAAAGTTACTAAGGGATGGTGGTGCATGCCTGTAGTCCCAGCTACTCGAGAGGCTGAGGCAGGAGAATCGCTGGAACCCGGGAGGCAAAGTTTGCAGTGACTTGAGATGGCACCACTGCACTCCAGCCTGGGCAACAGAGTGATACTCCATCTCAAGAAAAACAAAACAAATAAAATGAAACACACATGAAACCCAGTGGATTCCTTAGCACCTAATAAGTATGGGCCCATACATATATCATCATCCTCAGCATTACTGGAGGTTATTAACAGAAATTGGTGTTAATAAAGTTTAAATAAACAGGTGGATTTGGAATTCCTTTCCAAGTAAAACATTTAAAGTAACTTTGAGGGTGAATATACAAATAAGTGAAGTCAAGATGCTAAATCCTTCATGGGTTTGTAAGTGACCAGGGGATATTTAGGACATCTCCCTTATTTCTAAGAGTAGGAGCTCATGAAACTCCAACACCTCACTCTTTTTACGGCCTGTGTCTGTGCACTTTCTGTGGAGCTGATTGGACCCTTGGGGGATGGCCTTGCAGGTCAGACAGTCCCAGCATCTTCTTTTCACTCTTTCTCTTTCAGTTTCTGGGTTTTCACAGCCAAGGGAAAGGTAGGCAGAACTGGAAGCAAGTGGAAATGCTCGGTCTGCCATTCATCTAGGAAGGCAGACGCCTCTAACAAGTTTGAACCTGATAAAGCCTCTGCCTGTGCAAAGAACTTGGGAAGCAGCCAGCACCGTGCTTTTTTACCTCTGATTAGTTCTTCTTCCATTCTCTCTTCTGCGATGGAAAGAAAAAGAAAAAAAAAAAAAGACATGGAGTTGAGACAGCAGAGAAAGTCCAAAACTGGGTAATTCAGAGGGGCAGGCTAATGACCCACCTGAGTCTGGGATCGTTACCAACAGTGCCTGGTTTTCACTGTGACAAATATGAAGGTAGGCCCACAGTTAGTGAGAGAGTTGCCTTGTCTATCTCCTGGCGTGCCTTCCCACAGGCTCCCAGTGGAGTCTGGTCATCAGTCTTCTCCCTTTGGAGCTTGGGCCCAGATCTCAGCCACCCAGGCCACGATGGGGAAGAGCCTGGCCTGCCCCAAAGGTGGCCCTTTCAGAGTTTAAGACGATGGAGATACAATGGAAGTCTCATCATGTGTCACTTTGCCTTTGACTCCGTGTTGCCATGGAAACAGAACATGGCTTGTTCATGGTAAACGACCTTGTCATTGATTTTTGTATATGCTCTTAATTATTGTGGCATAGTTATTTATAACCTGATGGGGAAGGAAATCCCAGGAGAAGAGCATTGTCCTGCTGAATTATTCCATAGTGGGAAGGAGAAAAGTTCTGTCCCAAAGAAAAGAGGAGAAAAGGAAAGGAAACGAAGATGAAATTTTCAAATATAAATAAGTCCTTCAGGAAAATCGTTCCCCAGATGCATTATTGCATTATTTAGGACCATGTGCACCCCACTATGTTTGCTCTCGACATTTATTTTGGGGGGTTTTGTGTAGCCGTGACAGCATTTCCTCACATCTCTTTAGGACTGCTGATGCCCTGCATATCCCCTGTAGAACTTTGCGGATAGTTCATATTTTAGCAATGATTTTGGAATTCCTGGCTGAAATAAGAGGCTTTGTGAATTCTCTACTCCTATGATGGCCTTTGAGGAAATTCTGGATCTTTGGTTTGGAAGTTTTGGGATTCTGTGAACCAACACTTTCTTTTCATTGGGTTTGATACAGTGGCATCAATCTTACAGTTTATCATGTACCGATGTTTAAAACTCTAACCATTGGTTATCTGGTTACCATCATTGTCACTACGAAATAAAGGATTAGAGCTATAAAAATACTAAAATAGATAATACCCTTGATTATCTACCCTGTGTCAAATACATGAACCCAACTGCTCAAACTGTCATTCATTGGCCAGGTCATCAGCCTCCGCTGGGAAGGAGTTGGCACTGCCAAGTCCCAGACCCTTCCTCAGACCTACTGAACCACCTGTTGCATTTTAATGACGGCTCACCCCTCTGCACTCCTGGTATGGTTTGGCTGTGTCCCACCCAAATCTTATCTTGAATTGTAGCTCCCATAATTCCCATGTGTTGTGTGAGGGACTTCGTGGGAGATAACTGAATCATGGGGGTGGTTTCCCCCATACTGTTGTCATGGTGGTGAGTAAGTCTTACTAGATCTGATGGTTTGATAAGGGGAAATCGCTTTCACTTCGTTCTTATATTCTTTCCTGTCTGCTGCCTTGTAAGACGTGACTTTCGCTTTCTGCCATGATTGTGAGGCCTCCGTAGCCATGTGGAACTGTGAGTCCATTAAACTTCTTTTTGTTTATAAATTACTCAGTCTCATGTATGTCTTTATCAGCAGCATAAAAACAGACTAACATAACCCCCCTTTCTTCCTACCCCTGTGATTTGGGTGGATATTAAAATTTTGCAAGCCGCCACTCTAGAGAAGTACCACTCAAACCATGGTCTGCAGACTACCAGCATTAGCAAGGCCTGGGAGTTTGTGAGAGATGCAGATTCTTGGTGCCCATCCAAACCTACAGAAGCAGAATCTCTGGTGGCAGGAACCAGCAATCTGTGCTTTCAACAAGCTCTCTGAGTGCTTCTTCTGAATGTTAAAGTATAAGAACCTCTGCTGCACAGGGAGACCTCACTTTCATTATTCTCATTTCACAGATGAGAAAAATGAGTCAGTAGGAGGAAAAGTGATTGACTCAAGTGCTTAATAAGTGTCTAAGCTAGGATTTGACCCTAGGGCTTGTGAATCTGGAGCCCATAGACTCAACTCCTGTGCTATACTGCCTCTGTGTCTTTGGTCTGTGTTCTCTTCTTTTTTTTTTTTTCTTACCACCCTCCAAAATTCTTATTTATTTATTTTCTATCACCGTACTTACTGGTGGAGTGGAAGTCCCTTGGAAGTGGGGGACGTGTCTGATTTGTGCATGGCTATTTTGCGATTTGCCATTGCTGGAATATTTAGCAAGCATCAATGAGTCCTGGAGGGCTTTTAAACCATAGATGATCAGGGCCCCTGCTTGGTCTAGGATGGAGCCTGCAATTTTGCATTTGTGACAAGCTCCCACGGATGCTGGTGCTCACTTGGCATAGCAAGGGGTTATGCTATTTTTCAAAGGCAAGAGAAGTGTGCATGTACTTGAGAGGAGAAGGGGTCGGTCACCATTTACTTTGTGCCTCTTGCTACCCTTCGTTGCCTGGAGTTCTACACACTTTGCAAACTTTACCTCATTAATCTTCCCCACCCTGGGAGGGCCTGTGTGACAGGCACTGGTACCTTTATTTCACAGATGGAGAGGCAGCAGTGCCAAGGGGCTGTGACAGGCCCAAGGTCACCTGGCAAGTCCCTTGCATGGACCCAGAATAGAAACGCCACCGCCTGCCACAAACCCCTCTCCTCTGGCTCCTGTGAACCTTTGAGCCCCCAAGCCTGTTAAGCCTCTTCCTGTCCTCTCTATCAATGCCCACTTGCACTGCCTCCTAAATTAGCTTTGTGTCTTTAACCCCAGCCTCGGGAGGCCCAGGTTCAAGGTTAGCACTAAGCACCTTTTGAGTTCCTTGTAAGTTGGACGCTGGAATAATTCTAAGTCAAGAGCAATTAATTATAGAAGCATTAGTCCTGCAGAAACCCTGCTTCAGTCTTTTGTTTCTGGCTGCTGCCAAGGGCCATGCACATTCTCTGTATTATCTTTCTCTGCATGCCTTCAGAGTTTATACATTCATTTCCACCAAAAAGCTCATCATCTGAGACCCTTACTACGGGTACAGATGTCCAGACACCACATCCAGCTAAAAATCCAGAATCAATCACTGTTTTACTAACAAGTTCCTCAGGGGACTCTGAGACACACCCATCCCGGAAAATTCCTAAGTGGAGCCAGGTGCATCAGTTTCCAGGAGCACTAAGTGTCCAACCCTGATTGGCTGGTAAATAATTGGGAGGGATGTGGCTTGGGTTGAGGGATGTGGCTTCGTTGAAGGACGGCCTGGACTGCACTTCGTAAGCCACCTTCTGTAGTTCTGATACTATTAATTCATGATTCATATCAACAGAGGATGGGCTGGGTAGTCGAGTTCCTGGTTCTTTATTAGGCAGAGAATGTTTCTCCATCTGGTTGAGAGTCTGTCATGTTGTATGAGTCCAGGGGGCGACACATTTTAGAATTTGAAAATAGGTCGAACCCGATTTGCTTTCTTTATTAGGCAGCACTCACCTGGGGGAATGGATAACTCCATTTGGTTCAGTCAAAATGAAAATTGGCCAAAGAAAGTGTTAAGAGGGCCTGCCATTTGTGTGAGTTGAGCCATAAACATTGGCCTGCTTTTTAGCTTGTGGTTCATTGGTGTATAGATGATTTCATGATGACGTCAGTAAAGGGTCTATGAGAACACAAACTACACCGAAATTGACATCTGATAGGGTCCTGTTGTCTATGTAGCCACAGGAGGTTAGTTCTGAGTGTCTTCATGGTTAAAGAAGAATTCAGTCAATTGATTATGTGATTCTATTTTTATAAAATATCCAGAGGAATTAAATCCATAGAGGCAGAATGCTGATTGCTGATTGCCAGGGTCTGAGGGGATGGGGAAGTGAGAGCAATTGCCTAATGGTTGTGGGGTTTTCTTTTGGTGTGATGAAAATATTTTGGAACTTGATAGAGGTAGTGGCTGTACAACAAGCTGTCACTGAAGTATTCACTTTAGCATAGTACATTTTGTGACTGTCACTTCACAAACAGAGTCACAAACAAAATTCATGACTGTCCTTGATTTTGAGAGGAGACTGTATACAGGAAAGTGCTCTGTGACTTTTACGAAATAAGACAAATAAAATAAACCCTAACCCAACTCCGGGCATCCTTCCCTTTTCTCAAAGACCTCACCCTAATTTAAGAGAACATGAATAACAAATATTTTACTTCCATATTAAAGGAGTTCTTTTCTCTGTATGTCATTTATCATAGCAAACAATAAAATGGGTATGAATCATCATCTTTACAAGAAGGTGGTGTAACAGCCTCATTCTGAATCCAGGAGCCATCTCTAGATAAAACAAGATGCATGGAAGATGTGACTTAGGAATGTTGAGCACATATTATTCTTTTTATAAAATAGCAGAGTTGAATGTTGGGGATGCTCTAAAGTAGTCAACTTCAGCTTAATTGAAATGTGATGCAGGCTTATTGCATTATTGTTTTTTTTGTTGTTGTTTTTTTTTGTTGTTGTTGTTTTTTGAGACGGAGTCTTGCTCTGTCACCCAGGCTGGAGTGCAGTGGCCCGATCTCGGCTCACTGCAAGCTCCGCCTTCTGGGTTCACGCCATTCTCCTGCCTCAGCCTCCCGAGGAGCTGGGACTACAGGCGCCCGCCATTACGCCTGGCTAATGTTTTGTATTTTTAGTAGAGACGGGGTTTCACCATGTTAGCCAGGATGGTCTCGATTTCCTGACCGCGTGATCCGCCCGCCGCGGCCTCCCAAAGTGCTGGGATTACAGGCATGAGCCACCGCGCCCGGCCGGCTTATTGCTTTATTCTAATGTGATGCTTTGGTAGACCTGAGCTTCCTCCACACACTAAACACAAACCTTGCACTTAATAGACTTTGATTGAAGGTGCATTCAAAGTTCAAGATGATCAGTTTGGATTCTCTTTTTTTGTCACATAATAACGAATATTTATTGAGTTGCTATAGTAGGGTCCATACTTTCCATACATTGATCTATCTAACATTACAGCAACACCTTAATATAGAGACTATTATTGTTTCTGTGTTTTAAAAGAAGAATCCCGGTCCATCAATCTTAATTAACTTGCCCAGGTTAACAGTGTTTGTCAAAATAGCAAAGTTGGGATTTGAACCCTGGGTGGCCTGAACACCAAAGCCTGTACTGTTACCATCACCCTCTTATAGGAATGTTCCTTAAGTGTTCTTATGTGTAAGAAGAGTCTGAGATGAAGAGTTTCAGAGGGATGACTGTGTGGCCAATCTTCCCTACAGGCACAAAGGGATTTTTTTCCGTCTCGAAATTGTCAGCCTCCTATTCTAAAGGTACAGGTTCCTCCTATAGAGTTTTAGGGTCAGATGTCAGTTTTACCCCAAGTCCACCACTAGCTAGCAGTTTGACCTTTGCCAAGCTCCAAAAACCATCTGTGTCCATTTTCTTCCTCTGTAAAATGGGTATAATACTGACTTCTGAGAAAGGCTGTTACAAGCTTTCAAAGAAATGGTATTTATGAGAACATCTAAAGGCTGGAGTCTCCGGACCCACTCTCTCACTTTCCCCTTCTCTGTCCTCAAAACAGCATGCACCTTCAGTGGGTGTAGGCCTCTGGGTCTCCATCCTTTCCCCACCAAATAATCACATGCAGACAGTTGTAAAAACCACAGAGCATTTTCCTGTACACGATGTCCTCATACTGAACCAAGTCGTTAGCATCCATGTGTGGCTTTATTTTTTCTCACAAGGCAGCCTGGAAAGAACAAATTTATTTGGGTGTGATGGTTTTGTATCTTCTACTTTTTAAATTATTATTATTATTTTATTATTTTTATTTTTTTGAGACAGAGTTTCGCTCTTGTTGCCTAGGCTGGAGTGCAATGATGTGATCTTGGCACACTGCAACCTCCACCTCCCAGGTTCAAGTGATACTCCTGCCTCACCCTCCGGAGTAGCTGGGATTACAGGCACTGGCCACCAGGCCCAGCGTGGCTCATACCTGTAATCCCAGCAATTTGGGAAGCTGAGGTGGGTGGATCACCTGAGGTCAGGAATTTGAGACCAGCCTGGCCAACGTGGTGAAACCTGTCTGTACTAAAAATATAAATTATTTTTATTGTCCTGGAACACTCCTACCCCTGCCCAAATCCTGCACATATCCACAGCTGCCCTTGCCCTCATCTGCCGGGGCAGCTGTAGTGGGAATCTGTGGGGCCAGATTGTCCGTTCCTGGGAGGTGATTATTTGGCCAGTCCACGAATAGTGCACTGCAGTAGGCCTGGCTCTCGGAGGCCCAGGGTGGGAGCTGATTGCTTTGGCTTGATCACATTTCTTGAGAGTTTCACATTCTAATAATTAAAACCCAAAATGGTGTGACTGTTGCATTGGCTGCATTTTGTTTCCTATGTGTGTAGCAGGGTGGTCTGATTTCCTTCCTTATAATTCAAGTATTCTGAACAGCAGTATGAGTTTCGGCCTGAAGGAATTTATTAGGGTAATCTTCCCTCTTTCAGCCAAAAAAAAAAAAAAAAAATGCACCCAGAAATGCATTTAGTGGAAACCTCTAGTGACAAGCAATATTCTTTCTTCCTTTCTCCTTTCTTCCCTCTCACTATCTTTCCTTCTTAGAAAGAATGTTGTGACATCATTAGGTCTGTAGTAAGAGTTTGTTAATTTTTCTAAGAAATTATCTTTAACACTGTATAAACCCAGTTTTTATTTCATATGATCAGATTTAAGTTGGTGCTTCAGTCTCTAAGTCTTACAACGGTGTCATTTGCAACAACATCAATCATTGAATTGCACGTCAACGGCTGAGGACATCTTTCTCTGCACAGGAAAAGTTTCCTTTCAGGCAGGTTGATCTGGATGTTAGTTTCAGGATAATTCTCTCTCTCTCTCCACCCTCCCACCCCTTCCAGCAGCTCACGCCACGTCTTCCCTCTCCCTCTCCTTTTATCTACCTCTCATTTTTATGTAAAGCATTGTCTTTCAGATAATATTGTTCCCTTGTGAATTTTATAGAACGGTTATTGAATCATTTTCGCCTCGATTTCCAAGTGTGTTACCTTTACCTTGACTTGGTGAATCACAGCTGTTAAACTGTGTCTCGTGATTTTCATTTTAGAGTAGGTCCTGGTTTTTATTATAGAATATGCTCATCTTTTCTAAGCCTTGTGTCCTGGCTTGTAGGACAGGGTTGGGGTTGGAAGTAACTTGGGGTCATTTGGGGTTTTTTTTAGAAGAAAGTGATGGAGTCTGGGAATTTCTCTGCAGGCTTCTTAGAGTGTTCAGGGCCATTCTAATGCTTTCCCTTGGTTCAGTCTTGCAAGACTTTCATAATTGTGAGCAACCACAGTGTCTTCCCCTCTTTTGGACAATTAAGGGATTTAAAATATAGATCGAAGTTGGACACTTGTTGGTGATTTAGGAGATGAACAGTAGCACTGTGTGTCAGATATCTGAGAACATGCAATATTTGCTCAGTGGGTAGTGGGATAAGCCAGTTCCATCCAAGTCATGCAGCCTAAGAATGAAGAGGAGGCTTGGGGTCTGAACCCTGTGGGTTTAATTCTGTCTCTGACAGTTACCAGTTTTGTGACTGTGAGCTATTACTTTCATTCTGCAGTACTCATATGACAAAAGATGGGAGAAGTGATAATGGTATTCCCTTCATAAGTATTTTTGTGAAAGTTAAATTAGATGACATATGTAAGATATCTAACATATGTCTGATGTATCACGGTCACACAATAATATTATAACTTATTAAATTTATTATTACTGTTGTTGTCAGTCAGGCTAGGTTGATGCTGTAACAAACATCCCCCAACTTTTCAGGTACTTAACAGCATCAAAGTTGATGCCTTATTCATACAAAGCCATGAACAAGTTTTCTAGATCAAGTGATAACAAGCAGATTCAGGCTCCTTCCATCTTGTGACTCTGCTGTTTCCTGGCTTCAGTCACCCTTGAATCATCCAACCAAGAGACAGAAGCAAGAGCCACTGAGCTAAGGATCTGGGGGTGGGAAATGTGGAGGTCAAGTCTGGAGTGGACATTCCTCACTTCCACCTGCATGCCATTGGCCAGAACCAGTCATGTGACCTCCATTTCACCACAGAGTAGCATGGGAAAGAGTCTCCCTGGGGCCCTAGAAAGATGAAACAGGATTGGTGAGGTCCACCCGCCACAGGGTTACTTTTTGGTACCTGAAATTCCCCTTTTTTGCTCTGTTCCAATTTGGAAGAAACTTTTCTTTTGACTCTGGGCTATTACTTCGCCCTAGCCATTGGGGCTCAGCCTCTGTGGTCTCAGCTTATTGTCCTCTTCCTCTGTTCCCAGTTCTTGCCTTGACCCTAGAGAATTTCAACACTCTGGTCCTCAGCCTAGCAGGATTGTCCACTCTATCCTGAATAGCAACAGTCATAGCCTTCTAATTAGGGACATCATAGGTTTCTCCCAGTTGAAACACACACACACACACACACACACACAATATTATTTTTAATTGACAGACAATAATTGTATATGTTTGTAGGATACAATGTGATGTTTTGCTATCTGTATGCAATGGGCAGTGATTAATGGTTCCATTTAAAATACGCTTCTTAAGTATAAGGAGAATATCCTTCATCAGTACTCTTTATATTGCAATATTAAGGGAAACCTTTAGAACTTAAAGAATAAATACCTTCTTCCAAGAGTCAAGTGACACTATCTTGGAAATAAGGTAATATTCAAAGTAGGTTTTTAAAATGGTTTTATAGAGGTATAATTTATATAACATAAAATCCACCTTTTTCAATTTTACAATTCAATTATCTTTAGAAAATTTACAGTCTAATTTTAGAACACTGTCCTCTCCTTAAAGAGAGCTCGCCTCCAAGCCCATCTTGCAGTCAATCTCTGTTCCCACCCTCAGCCCCAGGCAACCACTAATCTATCGTGTTCCTAGCAGCATAATTCAAAATAGCCCAGAAGTGTAAGCAGTCAAAATGTCCATCAACTGGTGAGTCAACAAAACTTGCTATATTCAAATACTGTAATACACTTTAGCCAAAACAAACAAAGAGATAAAACAAAAAAACAGAATACAAATAGAAGCTACACCACATAGATGAACCTCGGAAAACATTATGCACATATTATGCAAAGTGAAGGAAGTGAGCTGCAAAAGACTACTTATTATGAGATTCCTGTTTATGAAATGTCCAGAAAAGGCAAACCTAACGTTGATTTTGATTGCAATTTTCCATTAGGCAAATACCTAGAACTTTCTTTTCTAGGAGCCTGAACTACTCACATGCCTTGGGCCTTTGGGGCTAATTCTCTTTAACATAAGAATGGCTAATTTGTTGCTTCTTAGATTTGCTTTGTCATTTTGTCTACCAAGGGAAGAAATTCAGAAGCCAAGAAGGAGATGGTGACTTTGCCAGAGCCATATTAAAAAGGAAACCATCTTACAGCTCATCATTCCTCTCTCACCTGAATCTTGTTTGATTTCTCAAAGCCCATGTGGGACCACCCTCCATTTTTAAGTTACTGTTTTGGAGAATATGTACAGTGTCTACTGGCACCTGGTGGCAGGCAGGAATGTTTAAGCTGATCATTTGTTTTAAACGTAATCCATTTGTAACGCATGATTCATCTATTGCTAGAAGGTACTTGGCATCCTTTGCATATACCGTGACTCAAACTGTGACAATGTTTATAGCTCAGAAGGTAAAAAAAAAAATCAGAGTTTTGTTCATCAGAATTATCACAAATTCCACATTTTTGGAATTGAAGATAATGCCATCTTAGCCTATTTAAGACTGGCATTCTAGAAAGAGGCATGCTGATGCAAGCAAAGCAAAGACAATCCCAAAAATTAACCTGTTTTAGAAATGAGCAGCCAAATGTCTCCTAAACTTCTATGGTTATTTTCATGGACACTACCTTTTATTTTATTTTATTTTTTTGTTTTTCTGCTTATAAAATACTATGTACTAATTGAGAAAAACTTGGAAAGTAGAAAAAAAATATATATATATATATAAATTAATTCCCTTGTCATTCCTGTGTCTAGAATAGTTAATAACATCATTCTGATGGATTTACCTTTTATTTATGTTTTCCTGTATGTATGTGAGAACTCAGGCACTTAATTGGGCTTAAGCTGTATATGTTCCATACCCTGCTATTGTTGCTTGACATTTTATTATGGATATTTTCCTCCATGTCATTAAATATTCTTCAAAAAGATAAACTTAATGGTCATAGTAACCCAACATTTTTGGATACACCATCCCACTTGCCACCCCCCAGCTCTTTACACTAATATTGCTTTAGTCTTTTTTTTTTCCATCCTAGTTAAAAGCTGAGATGAAAATTTGTAAGTAGAGATGGCTGAGCACTTCTCCATTTTCCTTCAATGGCTCTTAAAAGTAAAATAATTGGCTCCAGGTATAGACAATATTAAGGATTGAAATTGTCTGTATTGACTTCTTTATCAAGAATCAGGTAGTTTTGGCCGGGCCCAGTAGCTCCTGCCTGTAATTCCAGCACTTTGGGAGGTCTAGGCAGGCTGAATCACCTGAGGTCAGGCATTCCAGACTACCCTGGCCAACATGGCAAAACCCCATCTCTAGTAAAAATACAAAAAAAATTAGTCAGGCTTGATGACAGGTGTCTGTAATATCAGCTACTCCACTAGGGAGGCTGAGGCAGGAGAATTGCTTGACCCCTGGAGTGGGAGGTTGTAGTAAGCCAAGATCGTGCCACTGTACTCCAGCCTGGGCAAAAAGAGTGAGTATCTGTCTCAAAAATAAAAAAAAAAAAAGGTAGTTCCATGCTCTTATAAATAAAGAATAGTACTGCGTTAGCACATAAAAATGGGTTGACCTTCAATGAGACGGTCATGGACTTTCGTTCAGAAAGACTTTAGGAAAGTCTCTTCATTGCCAAGGGGTATGGTCCATCTCTTATGGAAGTATGCATATCATAAGGAATTAAAATGACTCTCCTTCTTTTCCTTTTTTTGAGACGGAGTGTCGCTCTGTTGCCCAGGGTGGAGTGCAGTGGCCTGATCTCAGCTCACTGCAAGCTCTGCCTCCCGGGTTCATGCCATCCTTCTGCCTCAGCCTCCCAAGTAGCTGGGACCACAGATGCCCATCACCATGCCTGGCTAATTTTTTTTTCGGATTTCTAGTAGAGACGGGGTTTCACTGTGTTAGCCAGGATGGTCTCAATCTCCTGACCTCGTGATCTGCCCTCCTTGGCCTCCCAAAGGGCTGGGATTACAGGCGTGAGCCACCATGCCTGGCCACCCCTCCTTCTTTTAAAAAATTCCTGCAGTCACTCTGAAGAATGCCATTTAGAACATTCGAGTGAACCAAACATAATCAGCAGCCCAGAGAAGACCTCTTTTACCTGCCTCCTCTTATGTTGCTGCTGAGATGAACACAGTCCTTGGAAAGTGGTGGTTGTGCCTTTGCTTTTTTGTTTTTTTGTTTTTTTAGTTATGGGCCTTGCCATTGGTTTCTTCTGGGTCCCCATCTGTGGCCTCTTTGCTTATCATGGCCTGGTGACCCCCTAGTACCTGATGATATCTATAGTAGGTCTGCTAGGAAAGGCTTGGAGTCTTCCTTTCACTACCCATGAAATGACCCTCCAGGCAAGTCACTTTCCTAACACAGCATTAATAGGTGTTGCTTCTTTGAGATAACCTCTTTCTTATCCACATGCTCAGGGTACATATCTTTGTGTTTTTGTTTAGTAAGACACACTCCTCTGAAGCTAAACTTAATCTGCGGAGATGTCGGATGATAAATTTGTCCCCTACTGTAGTGTCATAATATATCCTCTATGTATTAATTAAAATGAAGTTAGATATTGCTTTTCAGACAACATTAGTTCAAGATGCTTTCAGTACAGGATTAATACATGTATGGATGCACGGATGGATGGATACATAGATGAATGGGTGAATGAATTGGTGGACGGATGAAAGGATGACTAGATGCATGGGTGGATGGATAGGTGGGTGGGTGGGTGAGTGGATGGATGGATGGATTTGTGGGTGGGTGGGTGGGTGGATGGATGGATGGGTGTTTGGATGGGTGGGTGGATGGATGGATGGGTGGATGAATAGCAATTTCTAGATCTTACTGTCTATACCTTACTTTGAGCACTGAGAAGGAAATAATTAATAGTTGATTCTATTAATTTATGCTTCCACCAGTTTCCTGGAAATTGAATTTCAGAGTTTTAGCCATGTTTCCTCCAAAAAAATCATTGCCTTTCTTGCCTTATCAATTAAGATTAGTCTTGAAAAAAATCCCACCTGTGATGTCACACACAGCTACCTTTTGCTGTTAATTCTGGTGAAAATATTAGGCTCACTATTAATATCAATACTTAATGGATCATAAGAATCAAATATCAAATGAAGAGACCAACATACATGTATTACTTCTTAAAAAAATCTTTAATGACTAGGAATGTATTTTAATATTGGTGATACCTAAATTTAATGCAATATACATGTCTCTGTTGTTTTTTAGACCCAAGCTTTTTCTCCTTGAGATAAAGAATGATGCTCAGGGTAGTGTAGCAGAGTGGTTATAGAAGAGGGCCCCGGAATCAGCTTTCTGAGTTCTGACAGCTCTGTCATTTGGTACTCGTGTGACAATGGATCTCTGTTTCCTATTCTGTGAAATAGAGATACTAACACTTGTAAGGTGGTTGTGATATGAGGGTGAAAGAATGCAACATAGCTATGTGTTTAATGGAGTGCCTGTCACACAGTAAATGCTGCTACAGGGTAGGTGGTGCTGTGCTATTATGTGGCATTATCATCATTTCCTTTATTATTAAATAGCAGAAGTTGGGATGGATTAGGAAGCAGACACTCAGAAAATATGGTGAGCTTATAAATGTTCTTTGGTGCAATAAATTGTCACACAGTTGGTGGCTTAGCACGACATTTATTCTTTCACAGTTCTAGATGACAGAACTCTGAAGTCACATAGAGGTGCTACTGGGCCTATCTCCTTCTCAAGGTCCTGGGGGAGTGTCTCCTCCTTCCTCTTCTAGCTTCTGGTGGGTGCTGCCCTTGACTGGCTTGTGGCCACATCCCTGACTCCTTCCAATCTATGTCCCCATCTTCACATCACCTTTTCCTCTTCTGTACACGTCTGATCTCCCTCTGCTCTCTCTTATAGGGACGCTTGTGATTGTATTAATATTTCGGACCCACCTAGATAATCCAGAATAATCACCCCATCTGAAGATCATTAATTGAATCTCATCTACAAAGACCCTTTTCTCTCACAAGTTAACATGTACAGACTACAGGGATTAGGACCTGATATCTTCGGGTGGCGATTATTCAGCTTAATACAGTGGGTTAGAAATAAAACTTGATTTTCCATTGTACAAGAATGGGGGTTTAGTCTTAATGGTTTTATCATGCCATGTACATAACCACTGTCAGTATCAGTGGGGGCGTTTTCTGAATCGTGGCTTTTGTTTTCTGTGAGCTCATTGCCCCCTTTCCCCTTTAATATTCTAGTAAAGCTTATTTTACAAAGAAAAATGCCTGCAGTGAAAAGCATTTCTTGATCATCTTTGGATCAATATGTAATATTTATATTTCACTGAATCTTCATGCCGTGTTTCAGGTTTAGCTTCTGTGTCAATTTTGAAATGATCTGTGGTAAATTCCATATTGGAAAGACATGGGTCTCCTCTACTGACTTATTTTCTTCTTATTCCCTGAAAAGCCTTTCTTATCACCCCAGGAATTGTGGAGATAAATTTTTTCACTCATGAGGCATAATATAGTTAGTCGATGATATATTTGTTGTAAAAAACTCTTTTTCCATTGTAGTCCAAACTTAAATTTCCCTAGTGTTCATTTGCTTTCTCTATTTTCTAGTGCACTTAAAAATACATTTGCAGTCACGATTGCCTGGGTAAGTTATAAATCCTAGATATTAGAATTTTTATGCTTTAGAAATAATAAATGAGGGCTTACCAATTAAAGATAAAAAATTACTTGACTGGGGATAGTAGAATATTTTATCAGTATTATTAAAATTTAAGGGCAGCTGAAATGCCACAGGAATCCTTGTACAACATTTTGGTTTAAAAAGTTGGCTTAAGGATAAGTTACATTCTTTTCTTCAATTTTACATCAAATAGGATATTATATAAATTTCTTAAAACAGAGCAGAAATCTTGTTGAACTGAATCAAATGCAGAGCTTTTCTCCAGTTGTAGCCCTGTGGTTTTACTTTTTATGTTTGGAAATCACTTTTTTATGTATCTTGGGTCTCTAATAATTACCATTATTACTTTATCAAAATAATGTTAATACCACACATGGAATAAATAACCTCATGTGATTTATTGTAAAACCAAGGATTTAAACAATTAATATATTTAATCCATCAGCACATCTACTGTCTATGGATAAGTACATCTATTTTGTGGATGATCACAACAGGTTTTTCACTCTAATTTTTGGTTTTCTGTATTTTCTTCTTCTTTTTTTTTTTTTTTTAGTTCATTATTCTTTTAGCTCTCTGGTACCCTGGCTTCTTCTTTGTAGGTCATTGTGACTTCTTTGCAGCATCATCACAATTCTCTATAGCTTGATAAATAACCTCTCTGGAAATTGATGATTGCTAGAGAATAGCACAGAATTCTAGGTAGGCACTGAAAAAATTATAAAATAAAATAAAAGATTGCCTTTTCAGAAGATGATCCTATTAGGAGAAGCAGAATTCTGTATCCTGCACAAACACAATTGATACCTAAGTAGTGTGCATTTTTAAGCAGTCATTTGTGAAATGATGTGGACTTAATGGCAGATTAAAACAACTACCCGCTGGGCTGTTTCAAAAAACAAAACCCTCCAATTAAGATGGATCCATGAGAATGTGAAATCAATCTGCCCTAACATTGAGCACTTTCTGTGTGAAGGACACTCCACGAGTGGCATGAAATAGGAACGGAGGAGTTGAATATCATCTCAGTCCTCAAGAACTGTATAATCCAGAGCAGTGGTTCTCAATGGGGGACAGTTTTGCCCCCCGCCAGAGGACACTAGGCCATGCCTTGAGACCTATTTCACTGCTGCAACCAGGGAGGCAGTGCTGCTGGCATTAGTGGGTAGAGGCCAGAGACGGTGCTAATAATTCTCCAGTGCACAGCACCAGCCCCCACCACAAAGAATTACCTGGCTCAAAATGTCAATAGTGTTGAGATTGCAAAATGCTAGTGTGGAGTAAAGGGAAAAGCATGTGCAGAAAACAGTATTTCAAGGAAGTCATGATAGGTACCAGCATATTTATGAGGGTTCAGTGGAAGGAAGAGATTCTCATGGGTTATACAGGGGTGGAATGGGGAGGTCAGACCTCATGCTAGACTTAGGAAGTGTGATTTGCCTTGAAGGATGGGCGAGAGAGGGAGATCATGAGGGCATTTCATAAAGAAAAATGGCAATACAAGAATGATATTCATAATTCTTAATGAAAAGTACGCCACATACACTGACTTGCTGGAACAGACGTCTCATCAGTCAGAACAGAAATGCAATGTCACCCCATTGTTGGACATACAGGTCTCATATCAGCCTTGTGACAACCACTCTGTCTCAAGACTCAATCAGCTATCTTGTTAGAACTAGTTTTATGGTGAACTGGGATGGGCTTATTTTCTTGAAGCCCTTCAATAAGAAAATTGGACTTTCCTGATACACAGAGTGGGCTGTGAAACCACCAACACCTTTTGAGTTAAGGAGTTTCCAAGAAAGTTTGTCATTCTACTTCCACCCACTTTGTCAGTGAATTTCTTAAAAGGATATTAAGTGTGTGATGGAATCTTATAGGCATGTCCCATTGGAGTTACAGAGCAAAGCCCCAGGACTATGGCTTTTGACAAATGTGTCATCAAAATAAACTGGGTATTTCTAATGTGAGTCATTGGCGGTAACAGGATAGGAGAAGACTGTGATGATGAAGGCAGTATTTCAAGGAGTTTAATTCTGGGGCAAAATGCAGCATGATTTGGAATGAGAAGAAACCAAGGAAGACTTTTGAAAATTGTTTGGGTATAGGTAGTGGGGTCAGAAATTCAGACATACATTAGTGGTATGATTACTAAAGAATCAGTACCATCTAAACTCTCTCATCTTCTTTTAAGTGATTTGACAAAAAGGGGTAAGTGTATGGATTGATATAAATAATCCATATACAATACTTGGCTCAGAGGATAAGTGGTTTTGGACTTAAGAAACATATGCTAAAGGTGTGATTATTAAAGGATCGCTAAAACTTAATCTGTCTCATTTTCCATTTAGTGATCTGATAAAAAAAAAGTAGGTGATGTTATAGATTGAATGAAGTATTTCACATGAAACACTTGGCCCAGTGTAAGAGTGGTTTGGAAGCCAATAACTGGTATATTCCAGACCAATTAGCTAGCTGGAGCCAATTAACCATTAAGTTCTTCATTGTTATGAAGAAGGTAATACATTCTGTGGACTTTAAGAACTTCTGCTATAAGGGTTATAGGATGAAATGCAGGTAGGAATTGAGAACAGTGTCTGGAATCTTGTCAGTGTTAAATAAATGAATATAGTAAATGGTCCTTCAAATGTTTATCCGATATGTGCATTCTAATAGAGAAATCAAAGTTTACCTTGACATGTTGAGTAGTAGTCACTTGAGTAATAAAGGTTCGTTAAAGAAGTCCGAGGCTGGGCACGGTGACTCACGCCTGTAATCCCAGCACTTTGGGAGGCCAAGATGGGCGGATCACCTGAGGTTGGGAGTTTAAGACCAGCCTGGCCAACATGGAGAAACCCCGTCTCTACTAAAAATACAAAAGTTAGCTGTGCATGGTGGTGCATGCCTGTAATCCCAGCTACCTGAGAGGCTGAGGCAGGATAATCGTTTGAACCCAGGAGCCGGAGGTTGCGGTGAGCTGAGATCGTGCCATTGCACTCCAGCCTGGGCAACAAGAGCAAAACTCCGTCTCAAAAAAACACCTGGAGCAAGTTCTGAGGTGAGAGATGGAGTGGAATCGTTTTCACATGCCCAGAGTTTGATATAAAGAAGGGACATGTCTGAGTGAAATACTTAGCGGGCATTTGGAGGATTTTGTATCTGAGAGATCAGAGTAGGATTGACTGGTTTGGAAATCTTTGTAGAGGGGAGTTGGAAAGTGTTGGAAAGTAATTTGCTACATCAGCTTTTAAGTATCTCCTGTTTATTGTTTGCATTTTTAACTTCATTTGGGCCTAGAAATGGCAAGGAAGCACCATTGAAGCCAAGAAAAATGTATCAGACAGCTATTGCCACCATGGTTCTGTGTAACAAACCATCCTAAAGCATAGTTCCTCAGATAACTTTGCTTACTCCTGAGTCTGTGGATAAGCAGGCATGTGAGTGCTATGTGGCTAGTCCGGACTGGATTGTAGACTCCAAGATGCAAGTTGAGTTCACATCTGCCCTGGTGTCTTTCATCCTCCTTAGACCAGAGACTTCTTTGGACATTTTCTTCTCTTGGTGAATTACAGATGGACAAGAGGGTGAGGCCGATTGCAAAAGGGCATTTTAAGCTTCTGCTCACATCACTTCCTCTCACCTCTCATTGGCCAAAGCAAGTTATGTGGCCAAATCCAAGGTTAAGCATCAACATAGCCACCATTAGGCTATGATACTGATGTGTTTTTTAATACTACTTCAGGGAAGTAAAGAGCCAGAAGAACCACAGCGACATAAAAGGAAATTTTTCTGGGTGATGAAAAGTGCAAGATTTTGTGTGGACTTGTTGATGGTACTGTGGCAGCCATCCTGTGGGCATGATGAGATGGCCAGGAGCATCACAGAGACACAGCTCTTGAAGCAAAGGCAGAAATTGCCTGTCTCCGCATTTGTTGATATTGAAGCCGTGAAGTCATGCTCTCTGTTCCTCACAGTGAAGGGCAAGACTAAGGACACCAGAGGGGTATGAGGAGGGAGAAAAGAAGAAGCTGAAACTGGACCTTGGGCTTCACCCACATTTGGAGTTATGGGAGTGGCAGAATGCCTAGCATGTAACATACACTCTAGAAATGTTTGTTGTCTTGAATTGATTTGAAGGCGTCAGACAGGCCGTGGTCTCTGTGTCTTTTTACATCTGTTATTCCACTGCCAGGCCGTTCTCCTTTGCTCCCATCCCAGAGAAACCTGTATCACCACCGGCATAATAATGACATTTCATTATTACGATCTGATACTCTAGGGCTGGTATCCAGCTGTTCTAAATAGAGCAGGTTTCTGTCAAAGAGGTTTCACTTAGGACTAAGCATGACTATTCAAACTACTGCCACCTGGGGAGAAATTATTTACCGTTCTTCCTAGTTGTCAATCTCTAGATAGGTATGTTCTCATTATTTTTTTTCTCCCTTCATCTTCTCTCATATTCACAAAGAAAAAAGTTTTGTGTTATTACAGAATGATCTGATTTTAGCAATGAACTTCTTCTCTTGTTGGTTATTTTACAGTTAGATTCTTGGATGAATATTATTTCCATCTTATGCAATTAAGAGTGATCTCTCATCTGATTTCAGTGAGGAAATTCTTCTGTCGTTGACCATTTTACGGTTACAGTCTTTGAGGAATTTTATTTCCATCTTATGCAATTAAGAATAATATCTCATGCGGCATTAAATTGTTGGACTGTCTTTGAAATTGAAGACAATGAGAAAATTCTAGCATGAGCATCACCTTTTTGTGTGTACGTAGCTTTTTGGATCTCATTACTTACAGTATAAAAAGGCAATAGTTGCTGCAGTTATATTTATAGTTGTTTATTCCTCATTTTTCTAATGGAACTTGTCAATTAGAATCAATGGCATAAAAGTTTTCTTGGAGGGGGCGTAACTTATGGACTACTAACACTGCCTTTAGTTCAGTCTTTCTGATACTGTTTTTATGAGACAAACAATGATATGCTTGCCTTGTCTGTTGGCACCAAACCCCTTTGAAATGTATGTTAGAATGTATTAAGGTTTAGGATGACTAATGGCTAGTGATGCAGGACGGGCAAGTCCAAAAGTTGGGGCTTAGCCTGGGAGGATTATTGGCTTCACCTGCAAAAGAATTCATGTGCAAGCAGATGGTGTTAGACAGCAGTCTTCTATTGAATGATATGGCTCCTTGCAGAGGAGGGCTAACTCATAGGCACTGAGCCCAGAGTTGGCAACATACGGGCTATTCACAACTATATTTACACTGACTTAGACCATTTTCAGTTACATGCAAATTAAGGGACAAGTTAATGCAAACTGAGGGGTGGGTTATTTAGAACTTTCCAGGAAAGGAACAGTAGCTTCCAGGTTGTTGTCATGGAAAGGGGTAGTAACTTCCAGGTGATTGCCATGGCATTTGTAAACTATCATAACACTAGTGTCTTCTGCTAACGAGCCGTGAGGGTATCTGGGTATTGCTTTTATCACCATTTACTAGTTCCTGCCATTTTATTTTTACTTCATCCTGTCAGGACCCAGAAATATGTCCTGCCAGTCTCCTACCTAACTAGGATTCTTGTAAGAAATAGTTGGCATAATGTGGAGTATAAACTTTAAGTTTTAGGATTTCACTGCCCCTTAGAATGTAACAAGTACAAATTAAAGGGCTTGCATAGGATTGCATGCTTTAAATTTTTCCAGAGAAAAGGCAAAAAGAGGTCTTTATTATTATGATAATTTTATAAAATAAAGTGAATTGAAGCCATATGCAGTAGTGAGGATGTCTTAACAGAGTAGCCCTTTAATAGATTTGTGCATATTGGCTGGCCCAAGGGGTGGGCTATAGTGAGATCTGTACTTGTCTGCATAACGTCTGTTTTTTTTCCCCTCTGTCCTTGCATGGCAGCCAGGTGGTATAAGATTGCTGAGATAAATTCCAAGTATAGCATATCTTTACTCTAAGCTAGTGGTCAGCAAACTTTTTCTAGAAAGACCCAGGATTTTTGTGTTGTGGGCCGAACAGTCTTTCTTGCAACTACTTATTGTTTATTTGTGAAGTTTATTTACCAAGCTACACAGTGGGCTAGGTTTGCCTTGTGGTCATAATTCCCCAATCCCTGGTCTACATTACATATGATAATCTCCAGGGACTCAGGCCTCTGCTCTCCTGAGCTGTGGTATTCTCCTGACCCACACAGATTTGTTAAGGAATAGGAAAGTAATACTATGTGCACTAGTGAGGTATAAATATCTCTAGTACCCAAAGGATTATAAATCACTCTACTATAAAGACACATGCACATGTATATTTGTTGTAGCACTGTTCACAATAGCAGAAACTTGGAACCAACCCAAATGCCCATCAGTGATAGACTTGATAAAGAAAATGTGGCACATATACACCATAGAATGCTATGCAGCCATAAAAAAGGATGAGTTCATGTCTTTTTAGGGACATGGGTGAAGCTGGAAACCATCATTCTCAGCAAACTAACACAGGAACAGAAAACCGAACACCGTATGTCCTCACTCATAAAGGGGAGTTGAACAATGAGAACACATGGACACAGGGAGGGGAACATCACACACCAGGGCCTGTCAGGGGGTGGGGGGCAGGGGAGGCATAGCATTAGAAGAGATCCCTAATGTAGATGACAGGTTGATGGGTGCAGCAAACCACCATGGCATGTGTATACCTTTCTGACAAACCTGCACATTCTGCACATGTATCCCATAACTTAAAGTATAATAATAATTTTTAAAAAGCTGTTAATCAAAGTTTTCTTATTACCAAGAAGGCTGTAGGAAGATACTACCATGCATTGCAGTGGAGATTTTCTTACATGAATATGATAACCACAACTGCTGCAGCCACTTACCCACCTGCTTGGAGATGAAGCCAGTGCAGGTGAGGAGAGGAGCAGAGTGAAGAGGAACTTCTGAAGCTAAAAATATCTGCTAGCTTGTATAAATGCTAGAGTGCCCAGGGTTTCCTGTTATGTGCGACAGCATCTTTCATTGCCGTTTAATCAAGTCTGAGTTGGGCTTCTTGTTATTTGCAAGTACACATACCTCAGCTGATAGGGGAGAAAACAGAACTCCCGTGAATAAGATATTACTAGGAATTTAGAGACATGGGACAGCAGAGAAGAGATGAGATGAAATTGGGAGACAGAGGGAGAGAGAGGCTGGTGGCTGTACAGTAAAGGTATTGAGAAGAGATAAGATGAAATTGGGAGACAGAGGGAGAGAGATGCTGGAGGCTCTACAGTAAAGGTATTGGGATAATCTCCGTTGGCAGATACTAGAAGTCCTTTCAAGAGCTAGAGTATTAAACATCTAGTTCTGAATAGGGTGTGTGTCCAAGATTTAAAATTCCTCTGCAACTCCAAACTTCATTAAAGTCTGATGCCCTCACCAAAGCCTTCTTGGAGTAGTTGTAGATAAATAAAGGCTGAGATGCTGAGTTCCATTCTTGGGTAAGCCAGACCCAAATGAACGGGATTCCCTGTGAAAAGGGTGAGAGTTCAGGGGGTAAAGAATTAAAGCCACAAATTACTATGAGTGTGTAAATTCCTAGGAATTTGTGGACATGTTTGGAAGTATGCTAAACGTACAAAAAAAAATATGCATGACAATTACCTTTAAAACTCAGAAGACAGCTTCACCTTCGTTTCCAAGTTCATTATGCATTTCAAATGATCAGAACTAATAACAATTATGTTCACCATACAATATTAGATCACCTTTCATGGTTTGAATGGTTCCGCTCCAAAATTCTGGTGTTGCCGATGTGATAGGATTAAGAGGTGTGGCCATTCAGATGCCATTAGGCCAGAATGGCTCCTCCCTCATAAATGAGATTAAGCCCATTGTACAAAGAGGCTTCTGGTAGCATTTGGCTCTCTTGGCCTTCTGCCTTTTGCCGTGTGAAGACACAGCATTCCTCTCCTCTGGAGGATGTAGCTTTCACTCAACAACTGAGCCTGCTGGCACCTAGGTCTTGAACTTCCCAGCCTCCAGAACTGTGAGAAATACGTTTCTGTTCTTTATAAATTGCCCATTCTCAGTTATTTTGTTATAGCTGCACAAAATGGAGTAAGACGCTATCTAAGATGAGTTATCTTTAAAATATTTGGAAAAAAGACATAGTCAAGTTTTCTTTAAGATTTTTTATGTATTCTACTTCCCCTAATGATCTAGTTTCCTTCCCACCACCATGATTAAATATTTTCTTCTAAACACAGTGAAAGCAGTAATTTTGTTGGTGATAAAGCGAAATATTTCTAGTAAGAACACAAGATGGACATCTGTAACTTTTGAAGTAGCAGCTGTAAATAATTTAAAAATTTTTTGAGATAATTTTGCACTTTCATAAGAGTTGCAAAAGTAGTCCAGAGAATTTCTGTATAGTCTTCACCCATCTTCTCTGAGTATTAACATTTTATATCACCATAATACAATAATAGAAACTAATAAGTTAGCATTAAGACCATGCTGTTAACTGAAATATATACTTCATTGAGTTTACAAGATTTTACTCCAGTTCTTTTACTCTTTTTCTCTTCCAGGATCCAATCCATTATTCCACATTGTTTTTAGTTGCCATATCACCTTATGTCTCAGTCCACTCAGGCTCCTATTATGCTATTACAAAATACCTTACATTGGGTAGATTTTTTAAAAAGAAATTTATTTCTTATAGTTATGGAGGATGGAAAGTCCAAAATCAAAGCACCAGCAGATTCAATGTTTGGTGAGTGCTGGTTTCCAGAATCATAGATGGCATCTTGTTGCCATGTCATCACACGGTGTAAGGGTCAAGGTAGCTGTCTTGGATGGCGGCAGTGGCTGCTGCTGCCGCCGCCTCCGCCTCCTCCTTGTTCTCTTCCTTTCTCTTTCTCTTTCTCTCTCTCCTTCTCTCCCTCTCTTTCTCTGTCTCTCTTGCTCTCCTCCCTCCCTCTCTCCCTCTCTTTCTTTCTCTTTCCCTCTCCTTCCTTCCTTCCTTCTTCCTTCCTTCCTTTCTTCCTTCCTTCCTTCTTTGTTTCTCC
Source organism: Homo sapiens (assembly GCF_000001405.40). NCBI lineage: Eukaryota > Metazoa > Chordata > Mammalia > Primates > Hominidae > Homo > Homo sapiens. Next base: position 6,118,719 of record NC_000016.10, read on the forward strand.
CTCTTTCTCTCTCTCTCTCTGTCCTTCCTTCCTTCCTTCTCTCTTTCTCCCTCTCTTTCTCCCTCTCTTTCTCTCTCTCCTTCCTTCCTTCCTTCCTTCCCTCCTTCCTCTTTCTCTCTTTCCCCATCTTCTTCACTAATCCTGCACATGAGGGCTCTTGTCCCATGACCTAATCATCTCCCAATACCATCACATTAGTGATTAGGTTTCAACATGTGAATATGGGGAGGGCACTAACATTCAGACCATTTTACCTTAGTTCCCTCCAGTCTGTGAATCTGTGACAATTCCTCAGGTTTTTTTTTTTTTTGATCTTTCATGACTTTGATACGTTTGATCTTGCTTGCCATGGGATCTTGGGTGGGTCATATAATATGTCCGAGTGTCAGTTTCCACATAGGTTTTACAGATATAATGGCATTACCTACACCATGTTTCTTAGATGGGGATTATATAAAGAAATCATTTTGGCTCAATGAATATGAGCTGTTTATAATAATTATTGTTATTAATTATTAATATTAATTTTAGAATTTTTAAGGGGATATTTCTCAGCTCAGATTATCTGCTGTTTGACCCTGAGTAGAATGAATTTATGTGTTCTTGGAAGGGATGCCACAAAAGTGATGTGTCCTTAGCAGATCACAATGGAGGGTCAACGATGTCTTTATATCTTATTACTAGTGATATTAGCCTTGATCACTTAGTTGAGAAGGCATTTGCCAAGTTTCTTCATGGTAAGATTGTTTTTAACCTTTGAACTTAAAAGTACACTAATTTATTACTTTGATGGCCCAATGGTGATTTTCAATTTCCTCTCATGCCCTGTACATGTATTCATTGGAACACTTGTGTAAGGAAGCATTTTTCATTCTCCTCCATTTATTCAGTATTTATATCATTATTGACTCAACATTTATTTTGAAGGTGAGCTATAATCTAAAACTGTCATTATTTATTTTTGTGGCTCAAATCATTCCACAGGGTATCCACAGGCTGGTTTCAGACTCGTGACCCTAAGCAATCCTCCCTCAGCCTCCTGAAACACTAGGAGTAGAGGCACAAGTCTCCATGTCTGGCCCCATTAACCTTTTTAGAGTGCACATTTCAGTGGAATTTAGCACATTCGTAATGTTATGCAACCGCTACCTCTATCCAGTTCTAAGACATTTTTATCACCCTAGAAGGAGACCCTGTATCCAGTAAGCAGTCACTCTTATTCCTTCTCCTCTGCCCCAGCCCTTAGCAATCACTAATCTGCTTTCTCTATGTATAGATTTTCCTTTTCTGGATATTTTGTGTAAACAGAATCATACAGTATGTGGCTGTTTGTGTCCAACTTCTTACATTTAGTATAGAGTTTTTTTGAAGTTGAGCCATGTGGTAGCACACATCAGTGCTTCATTCCCTTTTATGGCTGAATAACGTTCCACTGTATGGATAGACTATGTATTTATCCGTTGATTAGCATTTGCGTTGTTTTCATTATTTCCTTGACGTAAATAGCTGCTATGAATATTTATGGAGAAGTATTTGTTTGAGTACATGTTTTCAGTTCTTTTGGGCACATACCTAGGAGTGGAATTGCTGGATCATGCAGTAGCTCTATGTTCAACTTACTGAGGCATCAGCAAGCTGTTTCCCACAGCAGCCACCCCATTTTACATTTCCATCAGCAATGTTGGAGGATTCCATTCTCTTTGTAAACAAATTTCCTATGTTGTGCTTTCCTAAGGGGGCACTGGAGTGAATGGCATCCTCTCCACCATCTTGCTTGTCATGGGATCTTGGGTGGGTCGTATAATTTGTCTCAGTCTCAGTTTCCACATGGGTTTTATAGGTACACTGGTAATACCTACCCCGTGTTTGTTATATGAGGATTATATAAAGAAATCATCTTGGCTCAGTGAATATATTAGCTGCTTATAATAATTATTGTTATTAATTATTAATATTAATTTTCCCTTTCCTTCTCAGGCTCTTTTATGTTCTTGCTTGTGGCTCTGAATTCAGATGTCTGAGTAACCTTTTAGCAACTCAGATCTGTCCCTGCGTTTCTCCTCTTTGTAAGACGTCAGTTCTGGTGCTGCTAACATTCACTGCAGCCCCTCACTCTCTTTTTTATCCAAACATTTCTGGTGTACAGAACACATGCTTCTGGATTTATGGTGGGGGCTGGTGAAGAGAAGAGAGGAGAACGAAGTCTGGGGCTGTTGTGTGAAACAGCTTGTTCTTCCTGCAGATTTATTTCTATTATTTCCTAGAGTTTTCACACTTGATCTTACATGAATGCATTTTGTAATTTTACATTCTACTTTATGATTTATTCATGTGTGTCCTAATATTACAATCAACCATATCTTGATAACAAATCTTCCTGTCCAACTGGCCTGTTGGGAGTGTGCACCTGGTGTGTCCTGTATGTCCAGGCACAGCCCTGCCAACCCATCAAAATACATGCACTGCAGGTTTATGGGAACTTCAGTGTGTACAAGACACGCCTGAAGAGCTGGTCAAAACATGAGACTCTAGACTCTGCTTTGAGACACAGACTTAATGTGTCTGTGAGGGCCTCAGGAGTCTGTATTCTTTACAAGGTGCCCCAGTGGGTGTGATACAAGCTGGCCTGTCTACATGGTGGGCCACCTGTAGTGTGCTGAGTGTGCTGTGGACCACCTTTGGAGAAACACCAGGGAAAGTGATGATGCTTGAAATCCTTGATCCTACCTGCTTCTCTTCATCTCAGGCCACTGCCCGTACCCAGTACCCCCAAATTCTAGCCTCCAGGAATGATCCAGCCACATTAACCTTTTTGTTTTTGCTGTGTCTGACTGTGTCACTCCATTTGCTTGTACACTGTGCCTGCCTTGTCTAAGGGAGCATTCCTGCTCATCCTTCTGAGGCTCAACTCAGTGGGGACATCTGTTCCTCTGGGAGCTTAGTGTAGCATGGTGGTTAACAGGTGGGGAGCTCTTAAGGTCAAGGGTGTCAGGGCTAGTCTGCTTTCTACATTTACCAGCTGGGTGAAGGTGAACAAGTTCATTGATCTCTCTCAGACTGTTTCCTCCTCTGTAAAAGAAGGAATAACTAATGGTACCTATCTTTAAAGGATGACTGTGGGATTAAGTGAGGCAATACCTGTAAAATGCCTAAGACAGAGTTAGTAGTCAATGACTCTTTTTGTTATTTTATTTTATTTTTGAGACAGAGTCTCATTCACTGTCTCACCCAGGCTGGAGTGCAGTGGCATGATCTCTGCTCACTGCAACCCCTGCCTCCGGGGTTCAAGCAATTCTCCTGCCTCAGCCTCCTGCGTAGCTGGGACTACAGGCATGCACCACCATGTCCAGCTAATTTTAGTGTTTTTAGTAGAGATGGGGTTTCACCGTGTTGGCAAGGCTGGTCTCGAACTCCTGGCCTCAGATGATCCGCCCACCTTGGTCTTCTAAAGTGCTGGGATTACAGGCGTGAGCCACTGTGCCTGGCCCTTTTTGTTATTTTTTAATGTTTTTATTTTCTTTTAATTAACGTCCTGATTGTCTCATCTGCTAGTCTGTGAGCCTCTTGACAGTGGGGAACAGTCCTCAATAATTTGTGTATTTCTGTTATTTATAACAGAACCTTGTGTCTAAAAGATAAACACACACACACACACACACACACACACACACACACACATTTTTAAAGGAGCTTTCAACCTGCTGGGAATTCTTGAATGAACAAATGCACTTTATGAATTCCCTAATCCTTTTCTTTGCTATTTTCACCACTTTCTCATTCGAGTTAATCTCTGAAGACATAATACCCTGCCATGGAGCCTCATCCCTGCATGGGCTATTTGTCACATCCAGGCTTATATTGTGCTGACTAGGCCTTCCGTGTGACACCCGCTCCCCATTAATGATTGACTGACAGTGGGTGGCCAATGTGCTGAGTCAGCACCCTGGGGCTCACTGGCTCTTCCCTTATTGAAGGGGAAAGGAGTAACTTTATCTTTTCAGTTAATGGGAAAAAAAAGCCACGGGACCTTTGTCATCCATTCTGCTGGGTTGCGGAATATGATCTGTGTGGCTATGTGTGTGTATGTGTGTGTGTGTGTGTGTGTGTGTGTGTATAAAATATACTCTCTGATTAAAGCACCAAAGTTACTGCCAATAAGCTTCAGGATAAGTAGAAAAGATATTAGTTTAAAAGACTGAAATACCACCAGTAGAAAAATAAAACAATTTTTCAGCAAACCATAAAAAAAAAAACTATTGGAAATATGTAAACTGCTGTTCTCTGGAGAATATTAGCATTTTAACACACATGGCTATCAGAAGAAAATCTTTGCATAACTTAGGGAGGTACTTAGGAACATTGCAAAATTTTAGGAGATCCCTCAAAAGGCTACACCTAAAATTGCCTTATGATGCAGCATTTCCATTCCTATGAATACACACAAAGGAACTGAAAATAGAATCTTGCACAGATACTTGTATACCAGTGTTTATTGTAGAATTATTTGCAATAGCCAAAAGGTGGAAACAACCCAAATGTCCATCCATGGATGAATGAATAAATAAGATGTGGTACATATATACAGTGGAAAATCATTTGTCCATTATAACATAATAAAATTCTGACATGTGCTATAATATGGATGAACCTTGCAAACATTATGCTAAGTGAAAGAAACCAGATATAAAGGGACAAATACTATATGGTTCTACTTCTAGGGATACTAAAGTAGTCAAATACTTAGAAACTGAAAGTAGAATAGAGGTTACCAGGGGCTGAAATGTGAGGAATAAGGAGTTATTGTTTAGTGAATTCAGAGTCTCAGTATGGGAAGATGATAAAATTATGGAAAAGGGTAGCAGCGATGGTTGTATAACATTGTGAATGTACTCAATGCCACTGAACTATTCACTTAAAAATAGTTAAAAGTAATTTCAGCACTTTGGGAGGCTGAGGTGGGTGGATCATTTCAGCTCAGAAGTCCAAGACCAGCCTGGGCAACATGGCAAAATCCCGTCTTTACAAAATATACAAAAATTAGCCCGGCATGTTGGCACATGCCTGTAATCCCAGCTCCTCAGGAGGCTGAGGTCCAGGGATGTCTTGACCCTGGGAAGTGGAGGTTGCAGTGAGCTGAGAATGTACCACTGCCTGGGCAACAGAGCGAGACTCCCTCAAAAAAAGAATAGCTAAAAGGTAAATTTTATGTTAGGCATATTATATCACAAGAAAAAAATACAAGGAGAAAAGCATATACCGCTTAAAAAAATGAAGTCTTGCTTGGCCACAAAGGTTCATTCCCTTCATGGGGGGCTCATTGGTTTCTAGCTGCCCTCGAGTGTGAGACATAGGCTGGAGACTGGTAACTCGTGGGCTGGAACTCACCCTTCTGGGTGTTTTGTTTGCACCACACAGTTTGTATTATTTGTCAGCATTTCACTAAGAGGTATTTGGCATCAAAAACTGAAACTGGATTCCCTTTTATGTTGGATGGTTTGTCCATGCTGGGTCCACATTCTCCTTTGCTACCCAGCTCCCTCTAAAGAGAGTCTTCAGTCTCCATGGGCACCTGGGCCCTACAGAAGCTTGCAGTTATAGCCCCAGCGTGAAAGTTTTCACTCTGTCTCAGAGCTGACCCTCTGCTATTGGAGTCATTGCCTTTGTATTGTAGGATTTGATTATTGTAATGTAAATGAGCCTAAGATGACCCCTAGGGATTGACCCCTGGGTTATTTCTTCACTCCAGACTGGGACCTGGTAGCTGGAAAGCCCATTGTTGCCTAACTCAATTTTTTCTTTTTTTTGAGACAGTCTCCCTCTGTTGCCCAGACTGGGGTGCAGTGGCATAATCTCGGCTCATTTAAACCTCCACCTCCCAGGTTCAAGCAATCCTCCCACTTCAGCCTTCCGAGTAGTGAGGATTACAGGCATGCACCAGCATGCCCGGCTAGTTGTTGTTGTTGTTTTTTGTTTGTTTGTTTGTATTTTCAGTAGAGACGGGGTTTCACCATGTTGGCCAGGCTGGTCTCAAACTCCTGACCTCAAGTGATCTGCCCGCCTTGGCCTTCCAAAATGGTAGGATTACAGGCATGAGTCACCGTGCCTGGCGCCAATTCAATTTTTTAATACATCCAATTATTTTTTAAAAATAGCCCAAACAAGCAGATTTTTAACCATCTACAACCAGCCTGCTTTCCATATTTCACAGTGCCTCACCAGCCTTACCATTTGGTGAAATAGGTCTTTGTAGTTACAAGGCTCCAAGTTGAGCCAACGCTTTGGAAGCCTCCAACCCAGAGACTCCCCAAGGGGCTGCTGAATGACATCACCTAGACAAGTGATCCCCTCCTCAGAGTTCCCCATCCTCCACATCCACTGCTGGATGATGACTTGCTCACACAAGCCTCTGGATGGTCTCATACTGTAAGGGACATTGTGCAGCTCCCTGTGCATGTGTTACCTCCTCTTACAGTCATATCTTTGTCAAGCCCCCAAATCCTTAAGTTCCCTACAATTATTACAATGTTTTTTTCTTATATGAAATTATAAATAATAAGTCACTAGATGGAGGAGGATAGAGATGGAGGAGAAGAAGAGGTGGGTCTACTTAAGAGGGCCTTTTTCTCCCCTGTTGAGATAGGAAAAGCAATAGAATAGGTGTTGGGAATGCTCTTGTTTGCCAGGGCCAGGAGAGAGCATCTTGTTTGTCTGCTTTGGGTACATGGCTAGGCCTTCCAAGAGTCAGCCTCATACACATTTGCTCTTTGATGTTTTACAAGGGGCCCTAAACTGAGGATAACCCTTGGAGAGTTAAACAATGTGAATGCCATATGCCTGGAGTGCACTTCTCATTGGTCAAGGATTAAATTCATGGGAATCGTGTACCCAAAGCAGATGCAGCCTCATTGTAGGTTCTGAATCCAGGGTGAAAAGGCCTTGGGAGCTGACTGCAGTCAGCAGAAATGCGTGTCTAACCTGGATTGATGGTTCTGGTTGATCAGGATTTGCAGGAAATAGAGTAATGCAATTACCATCCTTGGCTCGCTCTCTGTGGGATGTTCTCACAGATCAGTGGCAAAGGGTTGGTAGGCTATTTTCCTCCCATTGTATTGTGAGATGTACAAACCTTCCTACTGATACTGCCGGGGAGAGATTTTCTGAAGGATTATGAGGCTGCTATTTAAAAAAGTGATTTCCAGTTAAATACCTTTCAGTATTAAAATGGTAAAGCTATAAGGAATGGGGGGATAGTCTTCCATAATAATTGCTTCTCAAGGAGCTTAGTCTGATTGTCTTATTAACAACTTTAACTTCATCCTTTTCCTATGACAAATGAGAAAAGAATTCTGTGATTCATTGAACAGTCAGATTTCCAATATGGTGTTTACTTGCATTTTCGTTTCCACTTCAGCCAGGAAATCAAATCCGAGGGATTAAATACCCCATTTGAAATGTAATGGAGAATTACACCAAAAAAGGAAAATTCACCCACAAACTAGAGCAACTTCATTCAAAATTTCAGATAGTCAAGAGCGCCAGCGCATCGAGGAACAGTGACCTAACCTTCGCAGGCCGTTGGTGTTAGCCCTCTCTTACCTTCCTACTGGTGCCATGAAATTCACTTTCTGGCAGTCATCATAGCTAATAGTGGCCATGCATTGAATGCGCACTATGTGCCAAGTCTGGTGATTCTTATTTTTTTTTAATTTAAATTTTACAACTCTGTGAAGTAGATACTTCCAGTGTCCCATTTTAGAAGAAGGAATCAGACAAAGATAGTTATGTAATATGCCGAAGATCACAGACATAGTACATGGTAAAGTCAAGTTCCAAACTATCTTCCATATGGCTTTAGACTGTAATCCAAGTCAGCATTTATGTGCATGCTACCAGGTCAGGTATGATGGGATGCCTCTTTTTACTTAATATGTATATTCTGGGGGTCTGGCTCCTCCCCTGGTTTTCACTAGAGCAGGTTTTGTTCTTTTTTTACACCAGAACTCTCTAAAACCCAAAGGCATAACATTCACATAATAGTCAACATGTATGTATCTCAAGGGTCTACTAGAGACCAGGTAATGAGCTAGGAGCTGGAGGAAGGAAAAGACATTAAAAACAATGGTCCTGCCTTCATGAGGCTTACACTCTCCTGAGAAGCCAGCTTACAAAGAAGCAAACAGCTCAGAAACAGGTTATGCCTTATGCCAGGTACTAGGAAAAAAATCAATGTGGTTGTGAGATAAAAAACAAGGAGGGTTTCATCGATATAGGATGGTCGGGGAAGGCTCTCTGAAAAGACGGTGTTTCCACTAAGGCTTAGAGAGGGGGAAGGAATCAAGCTGGACCCACATCCATGGGAAGAACATCTCAGAGGTAGCAGCAAGTGCATAGGCCTCAGGTTAGGAACAAATGTGACCTGTTGGAGAAACTGGAAGGATGTCAACATGGGTTGAATGGAGTAAGAGGGTAATGAGGAGGACTGCCCTAGATGGAGTCAAAGGTTTGGGTTTAAACAGCAGAACAAACCTATTCCATATCTCAGATTATTTTGTCTCTCTCTTTTTTTAAAAAAAAAAAAAATTGTTTTCCAGTATTGTTTTTCTCCTGTTTCACCTTATTCAAGCACCTGCTCTAGTTCCCATTATTTTTTTTTAAAAATTGCTCTCTGTTCATGTGGACCTTTTAATTCAAGAAATGTTTGAGCATTATATGCCAAGCCCTGACGTAGGCAAGGCAGGGATTTGAAAGATGTGAAGTGATGTGTCTGTGGGCCTTAGAAACACGTAGCTTTGAATTCCGAAAGTGAGAATTAAGTTGACCTTGCAGAAATGAATTGCAGGTTAGGTGGTGGTAAGTCTCTAAAGAAGATTCATGTGGGACCTTTTCAAATAATTCTGTTCTCCAGTCAATTTTAAACCACCCTGCGTCCCAGCAAGGACAGTTTATGGCTTTGTTCACATCATAGATTTAGAAATCAAGACCTAAGAAAGGTCACACCATTAAATAAATGTTCAACACTCCGGGAAAAATGGGATGTTAATAACAAATTCTCAGTTGAGTGACATTGACTTGCTACTTTTGTAACAGCTACTTTGGTTTGCATTTGTAAAACCTAAAAAAAATTTTTTTCTTTACTTTTGTTGGAGAAAAGGGAAGTTTTTGACCTGAGCATTTTCTCACTTCAGAGAATTGAATAAGGGAAGCGTGCATTGATTAATATTCTTGGGGGTGCTAGAAATGTATCTGAAAACCTCTCCAGTCTAGTGTTTCTCAAATTTTAATGTGCTTAAAGATATCTGGAGCTGTGCTGTGAAGTCACTAGGCACATGTGACTTCTCAGTACTTCTGAATACTTGAAATGTAGCTAGATGAAATTGAGGCATATCTCTAAAATGCACACATTTGAAGAGTTACTATGAAAATAAATGTAAAATATCTTGACAATTTTTGTATCAATTATTCAATAGAATAAACTTTTGATATATTGGGTTAAATTCAATATATTATTTAATCAATTTCATTTATTTGTTTTCACTTTTTAAATAAAATGCAGCTATTAGAAAATTTAAAATCGTATATATCTTACATTATGTTTTTATTTTACCCTATTACTCTAAGAAGACTTCTGTGTCCAGCCATGATGCTACAACTGATACCAGGTTGGTCCTCAGACTGAAAGCAATGAAATACCTAAGGCTACTCTTTTTAAGCATTGATCAAAAGGCAGCTCTGTGATCTTGGAGAGAAGGGAGACACCTAAGGTGAGCCTCATGAAAGCTCTGGCTTTCTGTCCAGGAGCCCTTTTCTGCTGCAAGGCAGGTAGTTGGTGCCAAGCACTGTGACGTTCTCACTGAGCTGAAGATTTGAAGAGTAGAGTTCTGGGATTCTGAAGTGGAATCGTTTTGGGGTCAGGTGCCACAAAAGAGGAATATGTGCAGGGGGAATGCTCATAAGTCTGCATGGAATTTTACAGCTGGTCCTTGGCTGACTATCCATGTCCAGGGTGACAGACTTCACCGGAGATCAGAGATCAGTTGATGCAGTGCTCTGAGCTAGATGGTAAAACAAGAATCTGTGCAGTGCTGGGGCACTTGGGATCCAAGCAACCCAGAGTTGGGAGACCTTATGCAACACCTTGTGCAATCAAGTGGAAACCCCAGAATGCCCATGCTGAGGACTAAGTTCCAGTTTCACTAGAATAAGACCATGCCTGTTGACTAAGTTCAAGATGGAAACAGACCCACCTGACAAAGGATAAAACCTAGCACAACAGGATCAAATGACACTCTAGTCATTTAACCACTTGCATGAACAAAATTCAGCACCTTTCAGAAGAAAACATTATTAGCACAATCTGGATTTCTATAATGCATTATGCATCTTGTTCAACATACCACAAAATTTATTAAACATATGAATAAACAGGATCATGTGACCTATAGCAAGATACAAAATAAAGCAAACAGAAACAGACCCTGATGTGTCATGGATATTAGAATAATCAGAAATGACTTTAAAACCACAATTGTAAATATGTTGAAGACTTAAAGAGAAGATTGTGTTACTTAAATGAATAAACAAGGGATCCCAGGAAAAAAAATGGAAGTCATAAAAAGGAATCAAATGGAAAGTTTAGAAAGGAAATGTAAAATATTTGAAATAAGCAAGGCACTTGAACAGTTTAACAGTAGATTGAAGACTATAGAAGAAAGGACTAGTGAATTTGAAGACAGAACAGAAAATTATTCAATCTGAAGAATACAAAAGGAAACAAAGGTAGTAAAATAAACAGAGTCAGAGATCTGTGGGAGAGTATCAAGTAGTCTGATATATCTGTGATTGAAAGCATAGAGGTAGGGAGGAGAGAGAGAATAGGATAGAAAAAACAGTTGAAGTAAGCGGTGAAAATTTTCCAAAGTTAATGAAAAACATCCATTTACAGGTCCAAGAAGATTAGTAGATCAGGTTAAATACAGGTAGAATTAAAAAAAAAAAAAAGAACTAAACTCAGACATCAGTCATATTGACGAAAAAAAAAAACCATAGATAATATTGAAAACAGCCAGTGAAAAAGGAAATATAAAATGCAGGGGATGAATGGTACAAACAGTAACTGATTTCTCATAGAAACTGTGGAGGCCAGAAGACAATCATATGACATCTTTAAAGTTCAGAAAGAAACAAAACAAAACACTGTCAACACAGAATTGTATGACTGGCAAAAATATTCTTAAAAATTAGGTGAAATAAACACATTTTCATCTAAAGGACAGTAGAGGGAATGTGTCAGCAGCACAAGAAATGCAAGGGACATGATCAAATATGAAAGGAAATGAGAGCAGAAGGAAGCTCTGATATAATGAAGTAAAAATAGTTGAAATGGTAGACACATAGGTCTACCATAGGTATATTAATGTATATGCTTTCACTTCTCTTAATTTATTTGGGGAAAACAGATAGTTTACAATAAAAATGATACAGTTTTATTCTTGGGTTTGTTAAGTATACACATGTAAGATTTATGACTACTGTGCAAATGTATGATGCTGAGTAGGAAATACAGTTTTATTATAGTTTTTATATTTTAACAGAAGCCACATAATATGAACTGTAAAAAGATTCTGATAAGTTATGGATACATATTGTTTATCCTACCATGCCTAAAAATGAATAGAATATAGCTTTAAAAATAAATGTATATGTAATGCAAAAAGGATTTGCTTAATAAAAAAGAAGTCAAGAAATAAGGAATAAAATGAAACATATGGATGTGAAAACTAGAAGGCAAAAGCTTGAAAGACAACCATAGAAATAATTTCACCAAGTGCAAGTGGACTAAACACTCCACTTAAAGAGCAGAGATTGTCAGACTATAATAAAAAGCAAGAATCCGTTATTTGCTGACTACAAGAGACTCGTCTTAAATACAGAGACACAGTTAGATTGAGTAAAAGAGTGGAAAACTATATCCCATATGAATAGTAAGGATAAGAAAGCTGGTGTGTCTGTATTACTGTCAAAGTTGACTTCAGGGGAAGAAGTATTAGCAAAGTGGAAAAGAGACATTTCAGAATGATCAAATGGTTAATTCATGAGGAAGATATAACAGCCCTAAATATGTATGCTGCTAATAAACAGCTTCAAAATACATCAAGCAGAAGTTGACAAAACTAAAGCCAGTAATAGATAAATCTGCAGTCATAGTTGTAGACAAATTTGCAATCAACAACTCTCTCTGATTGAAAAAACATTCATAACCAGATCAGCAGTGATGTATGCACTGATGTGGATGAATCTCATATACATTATAAAGAGCGTAAGAGGCCAGATAGGCATGCATACTCTATGTTTCCATTTATATGATGCTCAAGAGTAGAAAAAACAAATTTATGGTGAGAAAGTTCAGAACACTCATTCCTTTAGAGCTTTGGGTTCTGACTAGGAAGGGGCACCAGAGGACTACCTAGTGTGATGGAAATACTCTGTGTTTGATCGGAGTGTTAGTTATATGTGTGTACACATTTATCAAAAGTCTTTAAATCTTTATTAGCCTAAGCCCCATGTATTGCCACTTGTTTTTGTAAACAAAATGTTATTGGTACTTTGCTGTACTGATTTATCTACGTATTGTCAAAGGCTGCTTTTGCACTAAGGTAACAGTTGAGTAGTGGAGATAGAGACTATGGCAGAAAAAACCTAAAATATTTATGATCTAGCCCTTTCTAGAAAGCTTACTACCCCTTGCTCTAGAGTCACTTATTTAAATGCAGCTTCTGAAAGTCACCCTCTAAGATTCTGATCCAGAACATCTGGAACAGAGGGAAGCATCTCCAATCTATTCCACTCCCCAGATGACTCTCAAGTTTATAAAACTGTGTGGACAGAAGTTGCGGAATTGCTCCTTTCAAGATTCACCATATCAACATAGTAGCTACTCTCTTTGGTCATAAAGGTATTTTACTGACTAATCTCATTGAATCACTCTGGAGTTATAAAAGCCCATTTCCTCCCCACTGGCCTTCCTTGGAAAGTGAGAAAAATTCCTTCTCATCATAGTTATGTAATCATCCTTCATAAATGTGGAGAGGCTCACATGTGCTGCTGGTGGTAACACATTCTCCTGCCACTCTCTGGCTCTCTGTAGGCGGCTGTTTGAGAGGTTAAAGATAGGATGAAGGAAAAATTCACAAAACACTTTGTATGCACGTCTGGCGGATAATGACACTTAAGAAGCTTTGCTTAAAACTGATCTGCCTTCGTGATGATTTGAGCTTGCTCTTTAATTAGCTTTTAGGAGCATATATTGTTTAGTATGATTATTTTATTTTGCCAAATAGAAGCTTAACACGCTTTAGTTCACAAAGGAGCGAGATCTACTTTATACCAGCTTTTAACGACCAATTGAGAGAGAAGAAAATGTCTGACTGCCCTGGAACCTTTTTCCCCATGGGTGGTATGTGACTTTAAGATTTCACGATCATGGGGGACACTTTCGGCAGCAACAGCAATGCTCAGCAAGTATTCCCTTGGCTCTTCTCTATTTCCAGCCCCCTGGCAGTTAGGTGGAGCTCTGTGACTAGTTTTGCTCACTGAAATGTGTGACTTGTCCATTGTTTCTTCTAGCATAGAATCATGCGAATGCATGATGCAGTTACCACAGCATGTAGATACCACAGATACGGTTACCACAGGTGTGACATGAAGCAGCTTGAATTCCTGAGCTAGTTTTACTGAGCAGGAAATTGATGTTTGTTGCGTTCATTTATCGAAGTCTTGGAGTCACTTGTTAGTATGGTATAGCCTTCTCTTTCCTGACCAGTACGGTACCTACTGCCATAAGTTCAGTTACTCACTGGGGAACATAGTCCAGGAGTACACGTGAAGCTAGTAAAAAGGCACCATTTCAAATTAGCGAAGGTGGCATGGACTGTGAGTTAACAGAGGAAGGAAAAGTGACTGTATATTTGGGAGGAAAAAGTGAGATCTCTTTCTTCAACTATGTAAAAATAAGTTATATCCCAGCACTTTGGGAGGCTGAGGCAGGCGGATCAGTAGGTCAGGAGTTCAAGACCAGCCTGGCCAACATAGGAAAATCCTGTCTCTACTAAAAATACCAAAATTAGCTGGGCATGGTGGCGCATGCCTGTAGTCCCAGCTACTCACTTGAACCCAGGAGGCAGAGGTCGCAGTGAGCCGAGATCATGCCACTGCACTCCATCCTGGGCAACAGAACGAGACTCTGTCTCAAAAAAAAAAAAAAGAAAAGAAAAAAAAGACTATTGCTTTTCAAAAGGTCTCTGCTGTGCATTATGTTGTGTAATTTTTTTTTTTTTCTGAGAGACTGCCTCAAAGGATGCAAGTTATTCGTCTCCATGTCATTTTAAAAATGTCTTCTCTGGAGGTATCTGGATGGAAGAGAAAACTTCTGTGATGCTGGGGCTCAATTCTCTTGGGGCTCTCTATAAGACAGGCCATTATATCAATTGCTACATCTAGCATCTCCTGTGCTGACAAAAGTCCCCTGATTGCTCCACTGCCCTGCAGAGTTGATTGTGCTATCTTCCTCGCTTGCCTGATACTGGCTTCCACGTTGCTCTCTCTAGCATGTGGACTTCAGAGGCAGAGCCTGCGTTCTTCATTTTTAGTGCCTATCAGGCATGTGGCTGGCACTGAACACAGGGTTCTGAATGAATAAATAAATGAAATGCTTCTACCACTTACATTCCCTGCCTCTTGGGATGGCACCATGCCCAGTGCACCACCCTGATTTAAGTTAGTGTCAGTCAACCCTGCCTTGATTCCTGCGATCACGCTATGTTTACTGTTACCCCTCCCCATTAGTTCTTTCACTGAAGTCAGGGAAGATCTGTTTAAAATCCATATCTTATTTCACTCCCTACCTAAAACCCTTTGGTGGCTTCCCATTGCTCTTTGAATAAAGGCCCAAGTCTTTAATGTGCCACATAGGACGCCATCTCTGCATCCTCACCTTGCTCACACCTGGTAGTCAGGAAAGATTTATTCCTTACAGTTGCTGAAACACACCCTGGTCTATCCTGCCACAGGGTCTTTGCCTGTGCTGTGCTTCATGCCTCATGTGCCCCAAGCAATAGTACACACACACACACGTTTGCTTACCTAGTCTACTTCTAAATTACTGTTTAGACCCCAGCTCAAATTAGGGGACATTCCTCTTTTATATAATTTGTAATTTCTTTCTTTTCTTTTTTTTTTTGGAATTGGAGTCTCATTCTGTCACCCAGGGTCAAGTGCAGTGGCGCAGTCTCGGTTCAGTGCAACCTCTGCCTCCTGGGTTCAAGTGATTCTCCTGCCTCAGCCCCCCAGGTAACTGAGATTACAGATGTATGCCACCATGCCCAGCTAAGTTTTGTATTTTTAGGAGAGACAGGGTTTCACCATGTTGGCCAGGCTGGTCTCGAACTCCTGACCTCAGGTGATCCACCCACCTCAGCCTCCCAAAGTGTTGGGATTACAGGCGTGAGCCACCACACCCAGCCTAATTTCTTTCTTATAGTATTCAGCACCCCTTGTTTGCAGCAGATATTGTGGTTGCAGTTTTACGTATATTTTTACGGTTATTGGATTCAGGTCTGCAAGCACAAAAGAGGATTTGTCTGGTTTCAGTGTAATCTTGCACCCCAAGAACCGATTACAGGATCTGATGGATATCCACTCAACAAATAATCTTGTGTAAATGAATGTCTTGTTAGGGGTATTGTACTAGTTCCCTGCCATCCAGGGATGCATAGTAAATCTGCCTGATCCTGTGAGCTCGGGGAAACCTAAAGCTTTCTGCGGGAGTGGTAGGTACCAAAGACATGACATTAGTTCTGCCCTACTCAGAAGGTATGGGCTGGGACAGGCAGTGAGGGGGTGAAGGAGACTAACCGTGAACTGTCAGTGCCCCCTGTGGCCCAGCAATCTTTGTGCTTGAACTCAGAGTATTTTTTTTTTTTGAAATGGAGTCTCACTCTGTCACCCAGGCTGGAGTGCAGTGGTGTGATGTCGGCTCACTGCAATCTCCGCCTCCCGGGTTCACGCCATAAACTCAGAGTATTTCTTATGTGAGGGGTCCATTCTCTAGCATCTTACCCCAGGCAGGCCATTTTTTTTTTATTATTATACTTTAAGTTCTAGGGTACATATGCACAACGTGCAGGGTTGTTACATATGTATGCATGTGCCATGTTGGTGTGCTGCACCCATTAACTCATCGTTTAACATTAGGTATATCTCCAACTGCTGTCCGTCCCCCCTCCCCTGACCCCACTACAGGCCCCGGTGTATGATGTTCCCCTTCCTGTGTCCAAGTGTTCTCGTTGTTCAATTCCCACCTGTGAGTGAGAACATGTGGTGTTTGGTATTTTGTCCTTGCGATAGTTTGCTGAGAATGATGGTTATGGTAGTAGGTTTTCAGAAGCCATGCTTCAGTTCTGACTGGCTAAGCATTCAGAAATGGGTCCTAAACAGCAAAATATAGATGGCATTCCAATGCACCCACAGAAGAGGTTTTCAGCTGCAGAACAGGCATTCTGAGTTAAAATATCTGGTTGTTTTCTATTGGAAAGCATTGGCTGTACTTTGAAACTCTTTAGGCTTCATTCTGATAAGAGAATGAGATGACAAGGTACCATAGAATTCAGTGCAGGTATTATTATTATTTACATTTTGCATTTAGCTTGTTTTAATGAGGAAGAGTGGTGGGAGTGTATAAAATTTTGCCACTTGTCCTGAATCCCATCATCATTTTGAGGCAAATTGGAGGGATCACAGATTCAACAGGGTCAGGTGTGAATATGGGGGGTATTCATTGGATATTTGAATGAAAACATTGGTCTGTTTATTTAGGGTTTAAAAGTATGACTTAAATCATTGCATTTAAGTGTAGGTAAATCAGAATGTCTGAAAAAAAACCATGAACACTAATAGTTAATGGAACAATGACTAATCATAAGGAATAAAAAGTGGGAGTAGATTTAAACAACAAAAATCTCAAGTGTGGCTGAAGGTGGCAGGGGAATTCCTGGAGATGGCACTCGTTTCGACTTTTTTTTTTTTTTTTTTTTTTTTTTTGAGACACAGTCTTGCTCTGTCGCCCAGGCTGGAGTGCAGTGGCACGATCTCAGCTCACTGTACCCTCTGCCTCCCAGGCTCAAGTGATTCTCCTGCCTCAGCCTCCCCAGTAGCTGGGAGTATAGGTGCCCGCCACCATACCCAGCTAATTTTTGTATTTTTAGTAGAGATGGGTTTTCACCATGTCGGCCAGGCTGGTCTCGAACTCCTGACCTCAAGTGATCTGCTTGCCTTGGCCTCCCAACGTGCTGGGATTACAGGCTTGAGCCTCTGTGCCTGGCCTGTTTTGACCTTTTTGCCATTGACTTTAGGTACTTTGTTAGACCATTGCTAAGCTCGCGATGATAACACCTATTAGAGGAAGTCTTCTGAAAGTAAGACCTGGAGATTCGGAGGCGATGTGTACTTGCTTCCCCAGCAGTCCAAGGTGTATGTCCTGCCCTCCTCCGGCAGGGCCACTACCATGCTGGCTCCCCTTGGTTTAGGCTTGACTTTGCCTTTGATACAACCTTCCCCCAAGGCACCCTGTAATCGCAGTTGAGCCGTATTCCAGATACGTGTGAGCCATATGTCTCAGGTGTTGCAGAGTAGGAAACAAGTTGAGACATACTGAGGCAATTACAGAAAAAAAGAAAGCATGGAGAATTGCGGTGATAAGGGCTTACGCTTCATTTTTTATGCTGTCTCTTTTCTGACCATATTTTAGATTTCCTAGAAACTACCCATTATTATGAATGCCTGAGTTCTGTGCATTTCTTCAGAGCTCAAGTCTAAACTAATTTAATGTAAATTATACATTTGCAAGTAATATTCCAGAAAAACCTTTATGGGGCCCACAAAGACAAAATGCACAAAAGGAAATGATGATGTGTTTTATTCATAAGGAAGCATTTCTCTTCAAAATTCTTCTACAGCCCCCCAAAATACCTAATGCATCACAAGCCGACATTTGTACTGCTGGCTTTCCATACACAGAGAAGTACTGTTCCTTTTAATCAAGTAAGTTTATTTTGCTGTGAAACCCTTTGTATAATATTGAAAAATAGTTGTGTTCCTTGGAAGCTATTTCAGTTTTCTGAAATGATCATTTTTAATCAGTCTCCTAGCAAAACAATTTACCAAGCAGTGGAGGATAACGAACCATAAAGTTTAATTTGCCTTTTTTAATTGAGTTGTTAATTATCACCCCTCCACCGCTGGAAACTCCCAACTTGCTTTTTTGTTTTGCTTCTGATCCGAGACGTTTTCAAGAATCTAATCTATCATATTTCCTCTGTCCAGGTACTTTCATGAATCACATCAATAGGTGATTATTTTCTAAATCTGTTAAAGCTTCCACAGTTGCGTACAAATTTTGTCAGTGGTAAATAATTAGATAGAAAACATCCAGTGGTGGTAAGTTGATAAAGATATCTGCCATTTATTGAATTCCTACTATGTGCCAGATGCTGATCTAACTTCTTAACATATATTATTTATCTTTCACAGCATTTTTGTTTGTTTTGTTTTGAGATGGAGTTTTGCTCTTATCGCCCAGGGTGGAGTGTAGTGGCGTGATCCCGGCTCACTGCAGCTGCCTTCTCCCAGGTTCAAGTGATTCTCCTGCCTCAGTTTCCTGAGTAGCTGGGATTACAGGCACTGGCCACCACGCCTGGGTAATTTTTTGTGTTTTTAGTAGACACGGGGTTTCACCATGTTGGTCAGGCTGGTCTCGAGCTCCTGACCTCAGGTGATCCGCCCACCTCGGCCTCCCAAAGTGCTGGGATTATAGGTGTGAGGCACTGCGCCTGGTCATTTTTTTTTTTTTTTTTTTTTTTTTTTGACAGGGTCTGACTCTGTTGCCCAGACTAGAGTGAAGTGACACAATCATGGCTTACTACAGCCTCAACTTCTGGGGCTCAAGTAATCCTGCCACCTCAGCCTCTCAAGTAGTTGGATGTATGCACCATCACACCTGGCTAATTTTTAAAATTTTTTGTAGAGACAGGTTCCCACTATGTTGTCCAGGCTGCTCTTGAAACTCCGGGGCTCCAGTAATCCTCCTGCCTCAATCTCCCAAAGTGTTGGGATCACAGACATGAACCCGTACACCAGGCCTTCACAGCATTTTGAGGTACAAACAGTTATCTCCATTTTATATGCAACTAAACTGAGGTTCAGTTATGTTAAGTACCTTTTCCATCACAATCCAACTTATCAGGACTGGAGCAACGCTTCAATCCTAGGTGGTCTGGCTAGTGGCCTCACAGGTTATTTGTTTAACCCTAAGCTGTATTTTTGAGATCCCTGATGTCAAACAAACCTGCATTTGAATTCTAGTTCTATCGTTAATATTGATATTAAATTAACAGAATATGACTTAGGGCCCATTTGATGGGTGTGCGGTCTGGGCCCCTGCCCAGCCACACCCTGCACTTGGTTTGATGTTCTGCTGTTGCCTTTCTGGCAACTCTAAATCATTTTGAACAAGGGGGCCCCATGTTTTTATTTTGTATTGGGTCATATGTAACATAGGTAGCCAGTTCCAATACCATTATTGTTTTAACATCTTTAGAGGCTCATAAGGCTGAAGTCAACGTGTCAGCCTGGTTGGGTTCACATATGGTGGCTTAACTGGTATAGATCTACTTCCCTGCTCATATGGTAACATTCAGTTCCTTGCAGTCATAGGATTTGTGGCATGTTTGCCTTTTTAAAGCCAGGAAGGGGAGAGAGAACGACCAGGGCAAATCTGCTGGGAAGATGGAATCTTATGTCAGATAACATAATAATAGGAGCACCATGGTGGCTCACACCTGTATTCCCAGCACTTTCGGAGGCTGAGGCGGACAGATCACGAGGTCAGGAGATCGACACCATCCTGGCTAACATGGTGAAACCCCGTCTCTACTGAAAATACAAAAAATTAGCAAGGGTTGGTGGCAGGCACCTGTAGTCCCAGGTACTTGGGAGGCTGAGGCAGGAGAATCGCTGGAACCCAGGACACAGAGGTTGCAGTGAGCCGAGATTGCGCCGCTGCACTCCAGCCTGGGCGACAGAGTGAGGCTCCGTCTCAAATAAATAAATACGTAAAAGAGCAGCATCCAATCACCTTCGCTATATTTTATTGGTTAGAAGCAAATTACAGGACTTGCCCACACTGAAGAGGAGGGAGTCATACAAATGTGTGAACATCAGGAGGCAGAGATTGTGGGGCACCATCTTGAAGTCTGTTACCTGCAATTATTATTATTACTATATACAGTTATTAGTGTTGTTTTTATTACCGCTATTGTTATTGATAGCAGTTCTATAGAGTACTGTGTCCCAGGCTCTGCTGTGTGAGCTTTATGTGAATTAAAGCTTTCTGTGTTCAGCAGGGACCATGGTCCTGAGGACTGAATCCAAGGACATCCCCTCTCTGCCCACTGAAATCAGTAGTTTTCAGGCCAACTAAGCATGAGGCAACTGTTATTTTCCTGAGTGATACGATCGTTTCAGGAAGTATAAGGAGGTGGAAACACAGAATTCTGCATCACACAGACCAAGGTGAGGTCCCAACTCTGCTGCTTTCTGGCTGTGTGGTCTTGCCCAAGTCACTTTCTCCATGTGGGATGTTCCAGGAGACTTTTGACCACCCGCTGCAAGAGAAATCTCTTACAACCTGCCCATTCAGCACAGTTCAGCCTGAAGAGAGTCATGTGTTTGTATTTAAGATACTATTACCCTGCTCAATCCCAAGAGCCCACTGGTCTCAGGCTCTGCATGGTGTTTGAAACAAAAAAACACAATGAAGAAATGGAAAAGTTATCCCCCAAATTGTCAGCACCCATGTAACTGCTTTCTCCTCTCCTCTGTGATTGTCCATGAATATAGATTGGCTTGGCCATGCCATCTTTTCTCTACTAGCCTCTTTCTTGCTCTCTTCCTCACTCTTTCTGTTTCTTGGTCGTTTTTTTCTTGATTTCTCCTTATGTATCTGTTTTTGTTTCTCCTTCTCCTGTCCTGTTCCCCATTTTTATCCAAATGCCATGTCAGTGATTCTCCCTTCTCAGGAGGAAGGAAGCAGAAAAGGGTGGACAAAGGAAATAATTGAATAGAATTCCATCAGTCTCTCTTAGCAGGTGTATCTCTGAAGCTCTTCAAAGATGGTCTTGATGAGAGCAGAGGAAGGAACTGCTCCTCTCAAGATTCAGCTGGAAAAAATACGGAATATTGTGTTAATTTGTCTTACCAAATGCTCTTCTCCCCACGTTTTCCCTTTGATTTCTCTGAATGTTTGGGAGGCATGCATTTTGCTGCAGAAGAGAATCAAGTCTTCTTACACCATCTTTGTTAAGATACTACTGTCTGATAATTCGTAAACTTCTAAGGTTTTTTTTCCACTGGAAATGACTTTTTTTTTTTTTTTTCTTTTGAGACGGAGTTTCATGCTTCTCACCCAGGCTGGAGTGCAGTGACTCAATCTTGGCTCACTGCAGCCTCCACCTCCTGGGTTCAAGCGATTGTCCTGCTTCAGCCCCATGAGTAGCTGGGATTACAGGCATGTGCCATCATGCATGGCTAATTTTTTAATATTTTTTTTGTAGACACGAGGTCTTGCTGTGTTGGCCAGGCTAGCCTCGAATTCCTGGATTGAAGTGATCCACCCATCTTGGCCTCCCAAACTGCTGGGATTACAGGTGTGAGCCCCTGTGCCCAGCCAGAAATGCTTCTACTTTCTCCTGTAGGGTGGCCTGTAGCAGGATCATCCATTCACATTCCCAAGTATCCTCTGTTCATTCACCTGGGCAATGAGAGGAGCAACAATTAAGCCAGAAAAGATTTGCTGCCTCCCTGTCTTGATCCCAACTCCTTCCCTCCTGTCTGTGTAACTTGGATCTCTTACTTGTCCCCTTTGTCAAGGATAGAGTCAATCCCATTCCTTCTAGTAGATCTTCCCTTCTGGCCCAGGAGTACCTCATCCTATAAGCAAAACATCTTTAGCATCTTTCATTTCTTCAAGCTGTGTTTCCTTCTCACTTCTGAAAAAAGAGCAATCTGTGGTTTGGTTTCTTATCTCTGGTCACCCATTTACTACCCTTTTAATCTGAGTGCTGTGCAAATAACCATCTCACAGGTGACCAAGGGACACTCCAGTGGTCAATGTGTAGTCTCAGCTCGTATTCTCCCCAAGCTCTCTGCAGCGTCAGAGGACACTGACCCACACTGTGACTTGACTCTCTGCCCTCCCACATTGTTGTGAGACTGGAGCTCTGCGTCATTTTCATCCTCTTAATTCTCTGTGTCCATCCCCATGTCTTCTCTCTCAGGCACAGGCTAAATGGAGGTGGTGCTCCTGAACTTGACCCTCCTTTGTCTTTTTGCATTTCCCTGCAGTACCTTAGCCCATCACCATGGCCGCTGCTTTTGGAGCACCTTCTAAATGTCAGCCTCTTTTCTCAGTGCCCTCCATATGTAAACCCTTCTAATCCTCCCTAACACTTTATGAGATAAAAATGAGGGTTGTTCTTTTACAAGGGCGATACGGAAGAGCTGAGAGGCTATTCCTTTCTTTCAGATCTCTGGGCATAACCCTGACTGCTCTCTTAGATTGTCTTTGATTTCTGCTTGTCGCTTGTCTCCTCCCCCTGGGTTATCTGTTAGGGACCACACTCAAAACCAAACTCACCTCCATTTCTCTTCCAACTATGTTCATCCTCTGCGTCCTGTGGTTTTGTTCATATACTGCTCTAAGTTCCATTCAACACTTCCTACATCATTTTTGTGACTTCCTGTCTTTCCCTGCTTGTCCAATCCACCACTAAGCTGTGTTTATTTCACTCCCAAATATTTTCCTTTCTAATTTCTTCCAAATTCCAAAATATTCTTTTCAGCCCTCTTTAATTCTCTTACTGTAATATTACAATAAGTTTCTTTTAAAATTAATTTCATTTTTCTCCATTGTGTAATTATTGTATGCTGATCTATTTGGAGAAAAGGTGAAAGAACTCTTTTTTAAAAATCTGTAATCTCAGCACACTTTGGGAGGGTGAGGCAGGCATAACACTTGAGGTCAGGAGTTCAAGACCAACCTGACCAACATGGTGAAACCCCATCTCTACTAAAAATATAAAAATTAGCCAGGTATGGTGGCTCATGCCTGTAGTCCCAGCTGCTCGGGAGGCTGAGGCAGAAGAATGGTTTCAACCTGGGAGGTGGAGGTTGCAGTGAGCTGAGATCATGCCACTGCAGTCCAGCCTGGGTGAGCTCAAAAGAAAAAAAAAATCTATAATCTCATCACCTGGAATACTGCTTCTTGCTTCTGGCCTGTCTTACTTCTCGATCCCTGATTAATTTCTCTAAAAAATCAGCTTTTCTATATAACCCCCTTCAGAGATCCTTGTTGCTGCTGCTGCAAAAAAAAAAAAAAAAAAAAAAAAAAATCCAACTCTTTTTTTTTTTTTTGGAGACGGAGTCTTGCTCTGTCACCCAGGCTGGAGTGAAATGGCGTGATCTTGGCTCACTGCAAGCTCCACCTCCTGAGTTCACGCCATTCTCCTGTCTCAGCCTCCCGAGTAGCTGGGACTACAGGCGCCCGCCTCCGCACGTGGCTAATTTTTTGTATTTTTAGTAGAGATGGGGTTTCACCATGTTAGCCAGGATGGTCTCGATCTCCTGACCTTGTGATTCGCCCGCCTCGGCCTCCCAAAGCGCTGGGATTACAGGCGTGAGCCACCATGCCTGGCCAAAAAAATCCAACTCTTTAGAAAAACACTCAGAACATTCCAAGTTCCCCTAGAAGATAACTTTCAGGAAGGCAATGGCTCTGCCTTTTGACCAGCACATAGATGAATGCCAGAAACAGAGTGAGTACTGATTGGTTGAATGAATGAGTGAATGAAGGAATGAGTGAATGAGGAATCCATTTACCTTCTCTAATCTCTGGCTTCATCTAGACCAAATTACTGCCTTCTCCTAAATTGTTCCATATTTTCCACTTCTTCTCACTTACTGTTAGTAGCTGAGATCTCCTCCTGTCCATCTCCTTTTTGTTTGTAGATCGTCTCTGTCATTCAAGACTCAACTCATTCTTCGGGGCTTCCTCAAAATTCCCCTGATGTTCTCTGACTGCAAGGAGCTCTTCCCTCTCTTCCCTCCTCTGTTACTCCTGAAGCAGTTTTTAGTTTTCATTCTAATTCCTTTCTCCCAGCTCCTGAGCAAGGTAATAGTATTTTTTCAGCTCGGCTCTTGGTAGATATTTAATATTTGTTAAGTGCATGAGTTCATGAAATAAATATTTGGGATAATGGAGCTGAAGTTAAAACCAGTAAGCTCCACTTACTTCTGTGTCTGGGCCACACTTTGTCCAAAGATTTCCCTCTTAACGTTTTTGTTTACAAATGCTCTTCAGGAATAACTTGTAAGAGAAAGGAGCTGTCATTGAGTGCCTTGAAAAGTGGAATTGCATGTTTCTATGGAAACAGAGTTGAGAGCTGAGTTTTCTGTACATGATGTTTTAATGAAAACATATTCTTAGCCATTATAGATGGGTTTGTGTACCAGATGAGAAGTGCTTTATCTTAATTGACCATTATGTTCATAAGTCAGATTGATGGTCTCAAGTATTATTTCATCAAATCACAATGCATTACTGTGGTTTCCTTTCAGGAGGTGATCCCAATGCTCACAAAATGAAGGCTGTCCTTGTTTGTGGAGGAAAATGTTTCTATAGACTTGCTGTTCTTCCCTTTGCTATTGAGAAGTGGCCTCTTTATTTATAGCTAAAGGACACTTACCATAAGCATCCAAGTGATTCTGTTCTCTCTTGGAGGATGATAATTGCCCCAAATCATGCATGTATCTTATATCATATGAACAATTGTTAAGCAGTTTTAGGGACTCCAGGATGGTGGTAGCAGCGGTAGTGGTGGTGGTGATGTGGGAAAGCTCAAAGTTTGCTCCCAAACTCTTAAGTAGAAGACTACCTGTGCACCTGATACTTTTGCTTTTCACTTGTGTGTTTGTTGGTTTTGTTTTTTAGAGACAGGGTCTTGCTCTTTTGCCTAGGCTGGAGTACAGTGGTGCATTCACTGCTCACTGCAGCCTCAAACTCCTGGGCTCAAGCGATCTTCCCACATCAGTGTCCTCAGTAGCTGGGACTGCAGGTGTGCAACACCATACTCAGCTATATATATATATATATATATATCTCTACCTACCTACCTATGTTGTCCAGGCTGGTTTCGAACTCCTGGCCTCCAGTGATCCTCTTGCCTCAGCCTCCCAAAATGTTGGGATTACAGGTGTGAGCCACTGTGTGTGGTCACACCTACCATTTTTGGTTTGTACTAGTTCTGAAGCATGTATTCCTATAGCATGGATCAACAAATTAGACTCTACAGATTATATCCATTAGAATGCCATGGACTATAAGTGCTGGGATCATAATTAGAAAATTATTCTCTTTTTAATTTTCTGTTAATGATAATTTATTAGGCATATTGTTCCTATCCAGAGATGGGCTTCCTGCTTCAGTTTGTGGCAAATTTAGGGTACCATTTTGCTTACCTCTTGGAGATCTCTTTTAATGCAGAGATCTAACACATCATTCTCCTCAAGTACCTTTTAATAGGAAATTTCCCAATAAACCTATTAAAAGCATAATGAAAACCTCATTCAGTCTTCTGTCAGGCTTTGGAGCTATAAGTGGCTTCTAATTTGCACAAGATCGGAATAGCATTGAAGAATTACAGTAACTAAGTGAAACATGCATTGGATTTTCAATTTTCTGATAGCATCCCATGTAATTTCTTGTAATGCATCTGTAGCCAAGGGAGGTGACACATGTCAAGGCTCACGCTGCAGCTTCTGCCCACATCAGTCTTCCGTGGAGAAGCACGATGCTGTCAGCTTTTCTCATGAGCA
The DNA here is from genome assembly GCF_000001405.40 of Homo sapiens. Classification (NCBI taxonomy): domain Eukaryota; kingdom Metazoa; phylum Chordata; class Mammalia; order Primates; family Hominidae; genus Homo; species Homo sapiens. Next base: position 6,144,699 of record NC_000016.10, read on the forward strand.
GGGGCCAGATAGGTGTCTTTGTTTAGCCTTGATGGATATTCCATTATGCACAGTCCTCTGAGCAATAGCCACATAATTTAAAAACAGCTCAGATAGATGTTTTTGATGCTTGACATTTGACTTCACATATTTATTGGAACAAACTGTGAATCATCCCTCTTATGCAAGTGCTTGACAGAATAGTTTGTCCACCTGTGGTCTGTTGTACCTGTGGAGTCTATTTGTATTCTGGAAAATGAATTCCCTCTAGGAAAAGCCAAGAGAAGTCCTGGACATCATGGCTACAAGCCAGTGAGATAAGACCCTGCATTTTATTTTTTTTAATCATAGTATCTCTTTTTTTTTTAACTTTAAAGTTCATGGGCACAAGTGCAGGTTTGTTACACAGGTAAACTTGTGTCATGGGGGTTTGTTGTAAAGATAATTTCATCACCTAGGTATTAAGCCTACTGCCCATTAGTTATATTTCCTGATCCTCTCCCATTTCCCACCCTCCACCCTAGGAAAGGCCCTGGGTGTGTTGTTCCCCTCTATGTGTCCATGCATTCTCATCATTTAGCTCCCACTTATAAGTGAGAGCATGCAGTATTTGGTTTTCTGTTCCTCCATTAGTTTGCTAAGGATAAAGGCCTCCAACTCCATCCATGTCCCTGCAAAAGACACAATCTTGTTTTTTTTAATGGCTGCATAGTATTCCATGGTGTATATGTACCATATTTTCTTTATTCCATCTGTCATTGATGGGCATTTAGGTTGATTCCATGTCTTTGCTATTGTGAATAGTGCTACAGTGAACATATGTGTGCGTGTGTCTTTGTATTATAATGATTTCTTTTTTGGGGAGTATATACCCAGTAATGGGATTGCTGAAAATCCTATATTTCCTTTGGCATATTTCATTTTATCCAGATGAAATTATCCACTTTCCCTCTTAGAGAGCCTAAATGTTTGTTTTTAACCTGAAAGAGGGAGTCTCTTGTACCTTACCTGTAGTATTTTCAATGTTTATGGCATACGTCCATTATTTAAAACCTCAGGAGGAGAAAAGCCAGTAGTATATTTAAAAATAGACTAATCACAGTTTGCAAAGGAAAAAAAGAAAAAAGAAGCCAACCAGACTTTGTAATCATTAAAATAATTAATGGTGTTGCTTTTCTTGTATGTGGCCTTGACAAGACTCTCTCACTCCTGGGGCAGGTATTTTGACTGATTTTTCACCTGACTGAGGATGAATTTGCACTAATCCAGCTCTATACTCTCCCAGGATCTCCTTTGTGACCAAAGGCATTTATTTGCAAGGTAGCAGTGTGGAGGTTAAGATGATAATCTAAGGCCAGAGACAGCGTCCAGCTAATTGGCTTTACATGGGGATCCAAGCTGTGTTCTAACTATGGTGCTTACGTAGCCTGAAGCACCTTTCTGACCCTTTATATCACCCCGAAAACAGCAAACATTTGTTGAATTCCCATGGGTCTGGTGCTGTGGGAGGGGGTGGAGGCAGGAGAAGCCAGGAGAGACTCAGCTTGGCACAGCAGGAGCTTCTTGGGTGCTCACAGCAGATAGGAATCCACGCTTCTTTTTAAAATACACTGAAGAAAATATTATTTGAGTCTTTCCATTTTTAGCTGTTCAATGGGTGATAATGGAAAGTAAGTCCAGATTAGCCTCCAAAATTGTAGATCAGCTGTTTTCAACCTCAACACTATTGACATTTGGGGCTAGATGATTTTCACTGTGGGAGCTGTCCTGTACATTGTAGGATGGTTGGCAGCCGTAGATGCTGGTAAAACCCCCTCTAGTTATGACAACCAAAGAGTGCCTTGGCTGAGAACCCCTCCTCTGGATGGCTTCCCAGTGGCTACTGATACTGGCATTTTCTGCTTTTAGAGAGAGTAGGTGACTGTTTTCACAAGTGTAAAATATAAAGTCCTTAGGACGATGCTGGGCATGGAATAGGATTCAAAAGTAAAAGGGCAAACTTTTCACTATACTGAATCAAGCTGTTATTTTTTTGAAAGTGATATCATCATCTTTGCTGTTCATTATACCTTTACTGAACCTTCCGGAGTGTCCCTGTCTTAATAAAGAAGTGAGCATCGTCTAAGTACTGTTTTGAGCTTTAAGTGGCGATTCAAGCTCCACCTCGTTGCAGAAACATGGGCAGTAAAACTGTTAGTATCTGAGAGGCATCAAGAAATGGTAGACGATTCTGAAGCATGGCATCACGTGGCTCTTCATGTTTATCTCGCCACAACATCCTTAGCTCCTCCTCCTCCCACTGGTCGTGCATTAAAGCTTCACCACCCCAAGGGCCATCTGTAGACTCACTGCATCAGCATCGCCTTGGGAGCTTGTTAGAGATACAGAGACTCAGGCCCCAGCTTCCACCCACGGAATCAGAATTTGCATGGATAGAGAGCCAGAGAAATACTTTGTTGAAGGGCCTTTTCCATCCCACTCCAACTGTTACCTAAAAGGACCTCTTCAGAGCCTCCTTTCATAGATATTCTGTCTTGCTGGCTGCATGCTCTCTTAGCGTCCTCTGCTGGCCGCTGTTGATGGTGGTGATTGTTTTTCATACTTTTCCTTCCTTACCATTCTGTGCTCTCATAAGTACAGGCCAGTTTTGCTTTTCTGTGATCCCAAGCTATGACCTAACACAACCCTTTCCCATACAGATCCAGTCCCAAGCACCCGGGAGCATTCCAGGGTCCCTGGACATGGTTCTGCAAAACTCCTAGCTACTCAGCATGCCAGAATTCTAATTCACTCATGGGTCAAAGCCAGAGAGGCTGTGTGTCCACCTCTACACATATGTACCCATGTTGAATTTAAAGGTCCCCAATAGGAGCTACCTCAAAAACACCCAACAATTAAAACTAGAGGGGATGGGGGCAAGAAAGATGAAAAGAAATTGATTTTCAAGATGCCATCAAGGTTGGGGAAAAAAAGAAAAAAACAAGGAATGGAAGGGACATCAGACTTAATGCCTCCTTGAACATGTTACGTTCAACTCAAAAGCCTCCCCAGTCCTCGCACCAAAATCTTTCCCAAGTTTGTAATTGGTGTCACCATCCACTCAGTTGCTGAAATTAAAACCTAGGCATTATGATTGATTCCTTCTTTCTCCTTTCAGTCTATCAACAAATTGTATGTTTCTACCTTCAAAATAAGAATCTCAAATCCCCCCACTTCTAGTCATCTCCATTGCTATGACCTTGCCTTCAGTCCCAGCTCTCAAGGGTCTCCTACAGCCTTCTCCTAAATTGATCTTCCTGATCCACTGTTGCCATTCTCAGACCCTCCCTTTGGCAGAAGCCAAAGGCTGGTTTCTAAACTGGCAGTGTAGACTGGGCACGGTGGCTCAAGCCTGTAATCCCAGCACTTCGGGAGGCCGAGGCGGGTGGATCACCTGAGGTCAGGAGTTCGACACCAGCCCGGCAAACATGGTGAAACCCGTCTCTACTAAAATACAGAAATTAGCCGAGTGTGGTGGCATGTACCTGTAATCCCAGCTACTTGGGAGGCTGAGGCAGGGGAATTGCTTGAATCTGGGAGGTAGAGGTTGCAGTGAGCCAAGATAGCGCCACTGCACTCCAGCCTGGGCGACGGAGTGAGACTCCGTCTCAAAATAAGCAAACAAACAAACTGCCAATGTGCTGGTCATACTTCCTTGTTCATTTTGTTTCACTTTTCTATTTCTCAAACTCCTCAAGCTCATTCTAGTCTTAGAATTTTGTTCTGCTCCCACCTCCTGGAACACTCATCCCCCAGCTACTGGCATGGATGGCTCATTCTTCTTTGAGTCTCAGGTTGAATCTCACCACCCTCAAGGCAGGAAAACCTTATCAAATTAGGACCAATAAGAGTCATGTTCCTGGCACCTAGGTAGTAGATGAATCCCCTTTGACTAAGGCTACCTCACCGAGTGACTGTGTTCTCTAAAATGCTGGTGATGTAGAACAGGCAGGACACAGTTAGCATGGGAGACCCAGCTAGAAAAAGCTGGAGAGATCCAGAGTAAAGTTCATTTGCCATACTTCGCTTTATCTAATAGTGAGAAAGATTGCCTATCAATTAAAACCACAAGGGTGGAGTGGGGATGTTTTCCCTAGAGATTTGAAGTAGTTTCATCTAATGTGGAGCAGTTTTAGAATTCAATAATGCAATCAGGTTTTAGTATTTCCACCCCCCTCCCTGCCACGTAATGATTCATGTGCCTTGAAATTTTTTCATTAAAAAATTCCAAGGCTCACAACGTAGAAGAAAAAAAAGAAAAGGGGGCCTCACACCTCATTTGTTCAGCCATCTCATCGAGGCCCCAAATGTAGATCATTGAAATGGAGCCTTGGAATTTTAAATCAAGTTTTACTTTGCAAATTTAATGAAATGCAAACAAATACTTAGCAGTTCTAAAGGGCATGAAGTCATTAAGGTTTCTCATTTTGTTAGGCGCTTTGGGGGCCTCCTTAATTTTTGGAGTAAAATCAATTAAGTTCTTTGTGTGTGTATGTGTGTGTGTGCGCGCGCGTGCGCGGATGTGTGTGGCTGCTTGTGTAGCCAGTAAATAGACGAGGTGTACTTTGGATTTGAATGTCTGTTGTTCCCTTTACCAGATGTGTGTCCTTGGGCAAGTAACTTAATCTTGCCTCCTATGTAACATGAGGAACATTGAAGTTTTGCTAGGAGGATTCATTGCAGACGCACAGGTTTCTGTTCTTAGAAGTACCCGTGTATGCTTTAATGCTTTGCTTTTACCATCTTGAAATTCTTAGTAATTATTCCGTGATGGGACATGCATTTTCATTTTTACATAAGGCCCCAGAAATTCTGCAGCTGGTGCTGACTGGGTGAAATAATGTGAGTAAGGTGCCTGTGAGCATCCCTTAGATGAGGCAGATGCTAGATATGCATTGGGTCTTTTTCTTCCAGGTTTGAATAGCTGTGTCTTGCTGCTTTCCTGGGTTGGGCAAAATGTAGAATACTGACACTTTATACAGCCACCCCCATAAGAGATGCAGGTTATCTGTTGATTACCTTTAAGACTGGAGAAAGATAGTCGATTCTCTTACCTGCACTTTAGCAATGTTGGGAGGATAGAACTTATTTGGAGAACGTTTATGGCCTAATAGCTTGGTAAAATGTGAATCTTCATGAAAGTGGTTTGCCAACTCTAAATTGCTATACAAATAAGTCCTGATTATGTGCACTGAACAAAAGGCTTATTGAGCAGTAACTGATTCAGATGGAGGTAAGAAAATATGCCAAACTCTTAGGGGATCGCAGACATTCAAAATCATAGCTCCTGAAATGTGAGCATTTCTCTGTCAATTCAGCAGATGTAGAGCGCGATTCTATGCACTGTGGGGCAAGGTGTTGGAATGGTAGATGATGAAAAATCATGGCTTTTGGTCATAGGAAATTATGTGATGTTAGCAGCCTAGAGCTCACAGCTGAGGCTGCTGGAGGTAATGCTGAGAGGAAGCATATCGTGAGACCAGAGAGGGTTGAAGAGAGGATCTTGAGATCTGTGTGCACCTGAGGTCCTCAATTTTGGATTAACAGAATCCCCAGGAAGTTTACCCAGATTGTTATGACTTTTACCCAGAGTGAGAACCATCATTGATTAACACTTAAAGGGCCTGGCAGAGAACCAGGAGAGAAGAGTTGAAGTTGTGAGGATCTATCTCAAGGCATGTGTAAACAACAGTGCCCAGGTGAGAAGTGGAGCTCTACTTCTGGAAATTCTTTCCTTTCTGTTTTCCATTAAAAAAAAAATAAGATAAAATTAGTGCCTATGTTGACCAGCTCTGTTCTCTATGTTTTCCTTCCCAAATGAACCAAATGAATGCTAGCTCTTGCAAGGCCAACATCACAGAGAGGTGTTATTCCTGTCCCCCTTTATTTTCTCTGCATATTCTGTTTATTTCACCCACAGCATGACACACTTACGGAAATTATCTCATTGCTGGTCCTAATGATCTTTTCCCTTCCTCTTTCCACGGCTGGAATCTAAACCGCATGAGAGCTGGGGAATGGGTCTTGTTTATCTATCTCTCTATCCCTAAGAGCTAGATTTGTGCCTAGGACATCAGAAGCCTCCACATATTTCTTGAATGAATGAATGAGCCAGTTTTCCTCACCTGAGACCATTTGCAGCATGTCAGGTTGTCTTGACGTGCAGCTGAATTATTTACATTTTCCGGCAATTCATTGATTGACACCTTGGGCGCCCTACATTTGTGCTAGCCTCTTGGTATTTTTTCTCCCAGCTTAGATGTTCCTGCTGTTCTCCAGGATGGGTCCTTCTTCCTTACAGATTCAGAAAGGAGAATCTTCTATGAAATCTACAAGATCCTACTAGAACGTCAGGTCTGAAGGGCAGGACTATGACTATGGTTTCCTTATTCATCATCCCTCCATAAATACATATTTGCTGAATCTCTTTTCCTCCCTTACTCTTCCTGTATATAGAAGAGGAGGTGGACATCTATTTGGGGTGTTCTCCCAAGTTTGTGGCCAGGCTTAAGGAACCCCGCGACACCATTTGTTTTCAGGAATTGCATAATTCCTGTTGCATAATTAGTTGTTTTTTTTCTTTTTTTGAGACGGAGTCTCACTCTGTCACCCAGGCTGGAGTGCAGTGGCACGATCTCGGCTCACTGCAACCTCTGCCTCCCGGATTCAAGCAATTCTGCTGCCTCAGCCTCCCAAGTAGCTGGGATTACAGGCGCGCTTCACCACACCCGGCTAATTTTTGTATTTTTAGTAGAGATGGGGTTTCACCATGTTGGCCAGGCTGGTGTTGAATTCCTGACTTCAGGTTATCCACCTGCCTTAGCCTCCCAAAGTGCTGGGGTTACAGGAGTGAGCCACTGCAACTGGCCTATAATCAGTCTTTTATGTCATTCTCCATCTTCATGCATTTAATAGATTACAGCCCAAATATCACAATCGTAATTGAAACAGATTTGTTTGTTAGAAGAGGGGGAGGTATTAATGAGGCTACACAGGCACTGCTGTGAACCAGGAAAACTACACAGTGTGGGTATGAGGGAGTGAAGAATACATTTATGTTTTAGGTCTCACTTCTTTCTTTGCCTGTATTAAGTAGTAAGGGGGAGAACTAACAAGGTACCTCTGCATTTAATGGTTCTTTTGCAGTTTGGCTGAACTGTGTCTTGAAATCCTTGAAGAGCATTACTAAGATGGTATAGAAGTTACTTGCTTAAAAGGAGAAAAGAAAAAGCTTTAATATAGACAACTCAATAGCTGAACTACTCTTGCAATGTGAATAGCCATTCCTTGGGTTTCTAAATGATTTTCACACTTCCCACACTTGTTTAAATTTGTAATATCCTTTATGGTTTTCCTTTATTGGCCAGGAGAAGAAAAACACCCTGAAGATCTAGGTATCCATCAAAGCTGATGGAATACACTAATAAAATCCTGTGTCATATTAAAATGTAAAATATATGCTGGCATAATATTGTCTGAGTCAATCCAATGGAATAACATAATTAATAGTGGCTTTGATAATTAATTTATAGGAGGAAGAAGCTGAGGACAGCTTAGTTCTTTCTGTCTCTGTATTCCTCCCACCCCCTCATCTTTTCTCCTGCTCTCTGTCTTTCTCTCTCTCTCTCTTTTTAACTAGCTGCTGTTTGCTTCATCCAAATATGCATGGAAAAGTTTTAAGTGGTTGTTGAAACTCCCAGAGGCCTGTTTACTTCAAGGTAGAAGCAGGAAAGCTGCCATAATTCAGAAAGCAGCTTCTGGCATGAGATGAAAGTCAGATCAGCTCAAGTTGGGGTCAGAATTTAGAGGCCCCACTGGAGTGTTTATGCTTGTATCTGTAGTCCAGATAAGTTAGTGGAAGAAATTGTTCCCTGTGGCAGGTCATGAATCTAATTACACTAGAAATATTACTACAAGCGCTTCATTGAAAATTGCTAAGCAATGTATGCTATCTATGGCTTTCGTACCTTCAAATCACATATGATATGTGGAACACATCTTCCACGTGGGCCCACAGACCCATAACTCAAGCCATGGTTTCTCAGCAGAAAACAGACCCCAGAGAGCTCCTGTTCCTGAACATCTGTCTAAAAAAATGCCCTCTTAGAGATGAGAGAAACAGAGACCTTACTTGAACAAAGAGAGAGGAGCACTGAAGTCTCAGGAGCTGATCAGGAAACACAGAAAGGAAATAAGTCGATGGTTTTAAGAGCTAGCTCAGTGCCACCCATGTTGCAATGTAGGTTCTGGATCTAGGCCTTTTTCCTGTTTTATGACTATTGGATATCTCTCTTAAAAGGGGCATAGTTATTTTCTGTTTTTTTTTTTTTTTTGTTAATTTTATGTATTTTTTATTTCCATAGGTTTTGGGGGAACAAGTGGTGTTTGGTTACATGAGTGAGTTCTTGAGTGGTGACTCCTGAGACTTTGGTGTACCCATCACCAGAGCAGTATACCCTGAATCCGATTTGTAGAAACACTAAGCAAAAGAAGTTCCAGAACAGAATTAAAACTATGCAGCATTCCTATTTCCTCCAATAAAAATTTATAATTGACCCTTGTTAGCAAAAATTTTCAACAATGGAAACATTGAGAATATTCAGTAAAACAAAAAACAAAACCATTTTGAATATTAAATATAAAATATTGTTCCTTGCTAATTGAATTCTTTTTTAAATATGGAAACACACAATTGCTTTTTATTACCCTTTCATTTTTTTACATTGTTTTGTATTTGTTCTTATATTCAAATGAACAGGCTATTTTCAAGTTAACACACAGTCCCACTCCTTCCTCCAAGTTCCCAAAGTCCATTGTACGTTTTTTTTTTCCCCCTTGGGATGGAGTCTCCCTCTGTTGCCCAGGCTGAAGTATAGTGGCATGATCTCGGCTCACTGCAACCTCTGCCTCCCGGGTTCAAGTGATTCTCCTGTCTCAGCCTTCCTAGTAGCTGGGATTACAGGTGCCCACCACCATGCCTGGCTAATTTTTGTATTTTTAGTAGAGACAGGGTTTCACCATGTTGGCCAGGCTGGTCTCAAACTCCTGACCTCAGGTGATCTGCCCACCTCTTCCTCCCAAAGTGCTGGGATTACAGGTGTGAGCCACCATGCCCGGCCCATTATATCATCTTAGGCTTCGCATTCTTGTAGCTTAGCTCTCACTGATGAGTGAGAACATACAATGTTTTGTTTTCCATTCCTGAGGTAAGGTGACCTCGTTCTAATTTTATCAAATACAGTATGTCAAGCAACAACACAATAAAACAAATGGGTATAGTTATATCTGGTTTGAATAGAGGCTGTGGGTTCAAAATGAGGATAAGTCCAGACCTCATGGAAACCTCCACTGGCATAGCCTGGTGATTCACACAGGAAGGGTTTTGAAATCAGATGTTCCTGCGTCATAATCTCACGCTGACGCTTACTAAGCCTGTAACATCATGCAAGCCAGTTATCTCTCAGCCTGGACTTGGTCATCTGCAAAATGGGTAACTGTCACATTACTTGCCTTGCAAGGTTATCAGGTTGGTACAAAAGTAATTACGGTTTTTGCTTTTAAAGGTAATGGCAAAGATTGCAGTCACTTTTGCACCAAGTTAGTATAAAGATAATGGTATAAGCAAGGTTATGAATAAGTATTTTCTATGTTGATAATTCTAGATCAGGGTATTGTATGACATGTAGGCATTGTAACTGTAAAATAACTATGACGTAGGCAGGGTATTGCATCTGAATAAGCCAGGTAGTGAATCTATTATCCTACAGGTAGATTCTTTTTTTCTGTAAGGTCTTTGAGGTAAGGTAGGAATAAGGATAGTGGGAGCCAGCGGTGATGAGGATGACAAGATGGTCTAAATCTTCTCCCTCTCTGGCATTATTGCTGTTTATTTCCTTGGAGAGAGAATCTACTCTTGGTATTGGAATCAGAAGCAGGGAAACTAAGGGAATGAATATGAATGTCAAAGAAGAAATGGGATGCGGGTTTGAGCAAAGAAAATATTAGTTAATGAATGTTTTAGGAAATTTGCAATGTCTGGAAGGTAAACGTCTTTCTCATTACTAATGTGACTACAGGTCGTACTGTGTGTTAATTTGAAAATAGCCTGTTCATTTGAATATAAGAACAAATACAAAACAATGTAAAAAAATGAAAGGGTAATAAAAAGCAATTGTGTGTTTCCATATTTGAAAAAGAATTCAATTAGCAAGCAACTATATTTTATATTTAATATTCAAAATGGTTTTGTTTTTTGTTTTACTGAATATTCTCAATGCTTCCATTGTTGAAAATTTTTGCTAACAAGGGTCAATTATATAAATTTTTATTGGAGGAAATAGGAATGCTGCATAGTTTTAATTCTGTTCTGGAACTTCTTTTGTTTAGTGTTTCTATATACATTTTCTAGGTAGAATAAAATCCATTGTACATATTTTAAAAAGGAAAAAGTAGTCCGGAGTGAGTCCTTCCCATTGACTGCTTTGGACATTACAATCTGCCATCTCTTCCTCTGGGGCATCCAGGAGACAAGCCCTAGGAGACTGAGACATGGAATGGTGATTTCATAATAAAACAAGAGACAACAGGGCAATTCAGTGTTCAGCGCCGTGGAGCTGTGCACTGTTGAGGAACACATCAGGGCAGCCTGGCCCACAGATTTAGAAACAGAGTGAGACTAGAAGGGCCATCTGCTGAGTAAGTAGAGACCTCAAGATGTACAGCGTGTGTTTTATGATCCGGAAGGTAGATTTTCCCCCCGTTCATGTAAAGCACTTCAAGGACTTGGTAATGGGACAAGGAGCTTTTAACCTCCAGGTTACTGGTTAAGAAATGTCCCACATCGATAGTGACCAGAAGGCATTGCCGTCTGCTGGCTGCGCAGTGGCCTATGTAAATGACTTTAAGGTCTCAAAGCAAACCATTATGGGCCGACTTTCTATCCCACCAACTCTTAACTCCGAGTACAATGACCCAGACTCAGACTCCTTGAAGTAGTCCCCGTGGAGCCTGATGGGAGGACGGCAGGTGGCTAACAGCGGCGGCTTCCATGTGGGACTCTGCTGTGGCAATGTTTTTTTTTGGAACTCACTTATTTTTATAGTTTAAAAGAACACACTTTATTTTTCACTCTGGTGAGAGACTTTTTAATTATGTCTTTTGCTGAGCATTTCAAGATGGTATCAGCATCTGACATTTGAAATGCCTTCTTTGCCAGGCACTCTGATAAGTGCTTAACCTGTAGGGTATCATTTAATCCTCCCCACTCTTCGTGAGTTAGAACTCTGTTTCTTGTTTTATAAAGTAGGAGACTGGGGCAGAGAAAAATGAGGAGATCTGCCTGAAGCCACAGAAGCAGGGTAGGATTCAAGACCTCCCCTTTGTTTAGCTAGGATTCATGTTCATTTCTTTATTCCATCCAATTTTCTAAAACATTTTTAAGAATCAGTGTCCCTTTATGTTTTTCCTAATAGAGGTTTCTGTGACCTCTTAGCACACATGAACTAATGCAGGAATGTGCAGACACTGTCCGTCACCTTCCTCACAGTTACCTCTCCTGCTTCCCCCACAGCTAATGGAACATTGATTTTGTTAAAGGATTGGGAAGCCATTTGTTTCACAGGGGCCTTTTCTAGCCCCACCCAGTGAATCATGGTTGGCTTTGACTGATCGTAAAATGCTTTGACCAACAATAAAACATTTCCTTGCCAGTGATTTGTCTTGGATGAACATGCCCATGTATGTGAAGAGCTCAGATGGGGCATGCCCTTGAGAAGGTTTCTTGATCTTCACAGAGCTATAGAAAAGAGAATGCTTATTTTCTTTCTTTTGGCAAAGTTGTGTGGGGAGCTGTTGAGTCCAACATGTAACAGTGAGACGAGGTGGCCAGCTTGGCCACCTGTGGGACAATGCTGAGGGTTGTGGGGGGATCCAAGAGGACTTCCCTCCCCACTTCCCAGTGGCCAACTCTGCCACTGACCTGAGTTGTTTTCCTTCCTTGTGTGGTAGCATGGGTGAAACCAGAGACGTGCTTATTTCAGTCCATTGGGGGCTCTTGTGTTACTCGTAACTGGGCATTCTTGCTGAAATGGGTAGTCTGTATACTATGTTTATTTAAATGTATTTTATTTCTTATTATTTTAAGAGACAGGGTCTTCTTACGTCACCCAGACTGGATGGCAGGGGCATGATTATGGTTCACCATAGCCCCGAACTCCTGAGCTCACGTGATCCTCCCACCTTTGCTTCTCAAGTTGCTGGGACTGTAGGTGGGCAGTGACTAATTGTTTTTCGCATTTTTTTGTAGAGATGGGGTCTTGCTATGTTGCCTAGGCTGCTCTCTCACTCCTGGTCTCCAGTGATCCTCCACCATGGCCTCCCAAAGCGCTGGGATTAGAGGTGTGAGCCAACACCCCTCTAATATAAATAAATCATTTTATAAATTATTTATAAAAATTTATTTTTATGATTTGATTTATTTATATTCCCTTTAAAGTGTACAAATAAAAGAGACATAAATGTAGAGGTGATGATACAACTTTCAGTGTACACAGCAAACAGGTGGCCAAGGTAAGCCCAGAAACCATTTGCCCTACTTCTCTGGGCAAATGGTTGCCAGATACAACACAGGATGCCCAGCTAAATTTGAATTTCAGAGAGTCAATGAATATTTTTCCTTAGTATCAGTATGGCCTAAATATTTCATGAAGGCCTACTTACACCAGTCATTTCAGTTGTTTATCTGAAGTGCAAATTTAGCTAGACTTTCTGTATTTTTATTTGCTAACTGTGGTAATCCTATTCTGCCAGGACTACATGCTTTTTATCATTTGTCTTCCTATTTTTGGACTCTTATTTGAAAATACTAAATACCCAGCCACCACTAACTTAAGCCAAAGAAGTTTATTTGTAAGCTTAATTTCTAGGTGTAATTTATATGCATATATAAATACAAGTTATATATATATGCCCATATATAAAATGCATACATAATTATATTGTAATTATATGATGCAAAATTGAATGTATAGGTTTAAATAATTTATAGGCTTATGTAACTCTGCTCTCTGTTATATTTCTTGCCAAGTGGATTTTGCTAAGATAATTATCAGCAATGTTAGACTTATGTCCTATCATCTTTGTGAACTCCAGTGAAAAGAAAGCTACCTTTTTTCCAAGAGTTGAAAGCACCAAGATTAGATCCTATTGGATGGATTTAAGTCATATGTTGATTCCTAAACTAATTACTATGAGCAGAAAGATGAGATATACTAATTGGCTGAACCTGGTCATGTGACCACATTTGAAGATGGAGGATAATGATACAGCAAATCATATCCAAACCAATGGAAACTAGGAGCGGGGAGATTCCCCGAGATAAAACCCGAACGCTTTTACAAAATGAAAGTGGAGTGGCTTCTGGGCAACCAATAATGATGTCCACTTTAGTCACTAGGTATCAGACACAATGCTGGTCTGAAGAATGTGATGCTTGCAACTGTCCGGCGGGGCCTTGGACTTGTCTGAATCGGTATTTTGCTGAAAGTGGGTGGAGGGAAGTGAAGGTTCTGCATCACAGGCGATGCACCTACAGCAATCAGATATTTGTGAACAAGGCTGTTTTGTTCTGTGTCAGAAGTTCAGTGGGGTTCAGCTTGTTAGTCAATAGTGAAGGAAATAATGGCAGCCCGTTCCAGTCTCGCCGTGCCTGTGAGGCCTCCTTTGATTTTTCCCTCGTAAAGAATCTCATTTGATTTTTATATAAAACTCAGATTTGAATTTTATTGGAGTACTTATACATGATTGCCTTTCAGTGAAACTTACTGTCATTTTAGCCGTAATGTTCTAGCAAATGGAGTGGTGTTTTTTAGTTTCTTTTAAATTGTTTCATTAAGCAAATATTTATTGACCACTGCACATGAGTTAGGCATTGCGGATGACAGAGAAAAAGTCAGACAAAAGTCCATGTCTTGGAGAGCTTACCTGAAGACATTTTGCTGTGTGTATGACAGAAGTAAACGGTCCAAGTTTCTGCATTTAAATATTATGTTCTCTACAATTATATTGCTCTGGGAAACTGGGGAGAGGGCACGTCTGGGAATTTGAATTCTAAGAGAGAATAGACAGGCACCTATTAAAAGTGAAGTTGGTTTTCTAGCTTTTTCTGACTAGGTGAAATTTCTCTGTCATAGGTTTGTTTTTTTTTTTTGAGACAGTCTCTCTCTGTTGCCCAGGCTGGAGTACAGTAGTGCACTCTCGGCTCACTGCAACCTCCACCTCCTGGGTTCAAGCAATTCTCCTGCCTCAGCCTCCCAAGGAGCTGGGATTATAGGCACCGACCACCATGCCCAGCTAATTTTTTATTTTTATTTTTTATTTTTGAGATGGAGTCTCATTCTGTCACCTAGGCTGGAGTTCATTGGCGTGATCTCAGCTCACTGCAACCTCTGCCTCCCAGGTTCAAGCGACTCTCCTGCCTCGGCCTCCCGAGTAGATGGGTCTATAGACGCACACCACCACACCCAGCTAATTTTTGTATTTTTAGTAGACACGGGGTTTCACCATGTTGGCCAAGTTGGTCTTGAACTCCTGACCTCAGGTGATCTGCCCGCCTCGGCCTCCCAAAGTGCTGGGATTACAGGCGTGAGCCACCGCACACGGCCTCTGTCATAGGTTTTTGGGGGGAGAAGCTCCTTTCTTCTTAGTGGTTGGAATAGTTGTGAGCAAAGAATGCTCAAAGATGGGCATTCTTTGAGGACATTTGTGTTCACCAGAGGACAGCAAGTGCTTGAAGGCAGAAGCCATCCAGTTCCAGTGCACACAGCACAGGGTCTGCCCTAAATGGAGAACCCAATAAAGACTTGTTGAATGGAGGAAAGTTTGCCTTCCCCTCCTGCTTTTTTCACTCTGGCCATTGACCTTCCCACGTCTCAGACAGATGAGGAAATGTCATGTTAATATCAAGAAGTATGTACAGTGAATGTGCTCTTAACCTCATTTTTCTGCAGCTTCATTCTATGTTTCCTTAAAGATTTCGCAGGGATGTGATTTGGTTCCACCCATTGCCCACATGTACAAAAATGACAGAAGACTGACTTGAAGTGGGCATGCAAAGTAACATTGCTTTTCCAAAGTGCCAAGAGGAGGATATTCGGTATTAAATCAGTATCTCCTTAAATTTGTGCTGCTCTTTTCTTTTGCCAGCCTTAAGGTGCTTTAATAACTGTGAGACATAGTAGCCAGGTGCTTCCTAAGGGAACCTGAGACTTACTTAAACCTCTTCCCACCACAGGTCAATAGAATATACCTGTGATTGTTCTTACCTTCAGTGAAGATGCTTATGCCTTATTGAGGCATTTACTGATACAAAAAAATGCCAGGCCAGTCTGACATCTTAACCTAAATCTACAGGGTTTATAAGGTAATGTGTACCTGCAGGAATATTTTTTCCTAACCTTAATTAAATGCAAGGGGAACAATTGTAATAGGAGTGCCATTTTAGGGAGGAAGTAGGAGGTCTGATTTATGGCTGTCAATTGTTGCCTCTGTTTTTTTCTTAATGTGTATATTTGAGGTGTATGCAACATGATATTGTAGGATATATATAGATAGTAAAGTGGTTATGATAGAGAAGCAGATTAAGATATTTATCATCTCACAAACTTTTTTTCTGTGACAAAAGCAGCTAAAATATACTTGTCTAAAATAGGGAAGTCAACCTTGATGCTTCACTTCCCTTTTGTATCTGGGGCTTGCTCACCTCTTGGCCCCTCCAGCACCATCACCCTGGGCAAACACCGTCATCTTTGAGTCATTACCACCAGAGCCTCATACACAGATCCTGCATCTAGATTCTCCTCCATCCAGCCCGAGTCATGCTTTAAATGCACGCATCTTCTCCTGTCTGTTCCCAGTGGCTTTATCACACAATGGTTTTGTGAGAACAAAGCTGGAGGTCCTCATCCTTGCTTGCAAGGCTCTGCATAACCTGGTACCTGGCACCACTCCCATCTTGCCTCCTGCAACTGCAGTCGTTCCTCTAGGAGCCATCCTTATTCCATCCCGTCTTGGGCCTTTGCACTTGCTGATCTCTCTTGATCCTCTCAAGATCAGCTCTGTTGTCCCATGAATGCCTTAATCTCGAGTGTCCTTTCCTCAGACAGCCTTTTCTGAGATTGCCCTCATCGCTCTCCGCACACGATCCTGCTTTATCATATCATGACTAGAACATTCGCCCCTTGTTCATTTGTGTTCTATCTCTCCTTCTTCCTACCGACAATGGAATGCGAGCTCCATGAGCACAGTGGTGTTTCCCAGCTTTATTCTGCAGCCCTGCCCCTTGAACAGGCTTTAATAAATCATTGTTAAATAAATAAATGGAGAAGTGATCACTGGCTGGGCACAGTGACTCATGCTTGTCATCCCAGCACTTGGGGAGGCCGAGGCGGGCAGATCACTTGAGGTCAGGAGTTGGAGACCAGCCTGGCCAACATGGTGAAACCGTGTCTGTACTAAAAATACCAAAATTAGCTTGGCATGGTGGTGCACGCCTGTAATCCCAGCTACTCAGGGGGCTAAGGCAGGAGAATCGCTTGAGCCTGGGAGGCAAAGGTTGCAGTGAGCGAAGATTGTGCCACTGCACTCCAGCCTGGGCGATAGAGTGAGACTCTGTCTTAAAAAAAAAAAAAAAAAGGATTGATTAGTTCGTCAGTAAATTATCTTACTCTCTCTCCATCCCATTGGCTGGGGCAGCTGACTAACAAAATAGCCCACACAAGGGAAGCAGGGGTTTT
This sequence comes from Homo sapiens, assembly GCF_000001405.40. NCBI lineage: Eukaryota > Metazoa > Chordata > Mammalia > Primates > Hominidae > Homo > Homo sapiens. The sequence goes on from NC_000016.10 coordinate 6,161,507, forward strand.
GTCCTGCAGAGAAAACCTCATAGAATTTAACATCCGCATCCAAACATAAACACTCAGGAAATATGTCTGGAAAGGAATTGCATGGCATCTGCTTCCTTCCATGGTGACTTTCAAATGACAAATGCCCAACATCATTTAGGGTGGTAGAGCCCCTTTGAAAGAGCTGGAGCTGATTGCTTCTATCATGCCCAGAAAAAGTCATTGTCATCTACACACACCTGGCTTACATTTGGAGAAAATGAGCTTCTGGTTTCTGTCTTGCTCCAAGATTGAAATTTCCGTGCTTTGTGTTACTATTACCAACAGATACTTTTCTTTTGTGAAGCGTCTAGCCAGCTCCCTAATCACTGGGAACAAACTTTGAGTAGGTTGAACCAAAGGAGGTGTCAGAGTACATGCTTTCCAGCCAAATAAACCTTCAGAAACTGCAGGGGCTGGAGGCCCTCTCAGTCCTTCACAGCCAACTAAGGGTACTTATTTTTGAAAGTTGGACTTTTTTTCTTAGTTATTAACCAGCATTAGCTGCAAAAGCATTATAGGAAAGAAAACGCCTTTTCTATGAAGGTCAGATTCACACAATGCAGATTTCCAAAGAACAGGATTTCTGTATTTTTAATTGTTTGGTTTTGGAGACTGGGCGTCACTCTGTCACCCAGGCTGGAGTGCAGTGGTGTCATCTTGGCTCACTGCAACTTCCGCCTTCCAGGTTCAAGCAATTCACCTGTGTCAGCCTCCCTAGTAGCTGGGATTACAGGCACACCACTACATCCATGTAATTCTTGTATTTTTAGTAGAGACGGGGTTTCACCATGTTGGCAGGCCAGTCTCAAACTCCTGGCCTTATGTGATCCACCTGCTTCCGCCTTCCAAACTGCTGGGATTACTGTCGTGAGCCACTGCACCTGGCCCAGATTTCTGTATTTTAACAGGAAGTGCCAGGCATGCTTATGGCTTGATTTTTAAGTGGGTGGTGCATCTATATAAAATGTGACAACTATTATCTGTTTAAGGAACGAAATGCAGGGCCAGTGAAACATAGATGACTCTCAGTGAAATACTGCAGAAGGTGGTTCTTCCTTCACCCAACAACAGTGGTAACAGTGTTTCCAAGGAAAGAACAACTCAAGGGAGACATTTAACCCCCAAAGAAAGTTCATAATGTTATATGTTACAAGATGTTGGTAAACCACACATGGAGGGGAATGGGCATACAATGTGCTTTTGCCTTTGTGTGTGCGTGTGTTTGAGATGGAGTCTTGCTCTGTCACCCAGGCTAAACTGTAGTGACATGATCTCGGCTCACTGCAGCCTCCACCTCCCAGGTTCAAGCAATTCTCCTGCTTCACCCAACCGAGTAGCTGGGACTACAGGCGTGCACCACCATGCCAGGCTAATTTTTGTATTTTTAGTAGAGACGAGGTTTTGCCATGTTGGTCAGGCTGGTCTCGAACTCCTGACCTCAGGTGATCCACCTGCCTCACCTTCCCAAAGTGCTGGGGTTGCATGTGCCAACCACTGTGCCTATCCCACAACGTGCTTTTGAGCAACAGCAATAACTCCAGACAAAATGAGACCCAGAGAAGGTTAATTGTGAATCACCCTTTAGACACAGCACTGAAGGAAGGGTTGTGGTGTAAGTAGATACCTAGAATGGGATGCATATTGCCTGAAAAGATAATTTCTGGAAATGATGAGACTGGGATAAGGCCAAGGGGACTCACCTGGCCAAAATACAAATAGAGTGTTTCATACGTTACTTTTGCGGGGAGGTAAAGACCAGAGAATGAGTGTCAAGGCACTTATTTTTTGAGAAATGATGAAAGATGAACAGCTTTTGGGAGCATGTTAAAACAGATTTCATCTGGGAATTTCATTTTGCACAAAGGAATCCTGTTTGAGCATAAGCGATTGGTAAGTTCATTGTTGTTATAGCCCTTGGTTATGCTAAATACGTTAGTAGCTGAAAGTTTCCAGGACTTGACAAATCAGATAAATCATGGAGTTTTTCTTTTCTAGTTTTTACCTGATTTTGGATGTTAATTTGTTGTTCATTGACAGTGGGATTTTCATGCAAATGTTGGGTGTTCTGTAAGCCTGAGAAGTCTCTTGGTGTCTTAGCCTCAAGATAGCAGAGACTTTACTGGTTATTGTTATTTGTTCTTTCCAAAATGTTTCCGCAGATCATATTTTTAAATAAATTGTAAAACCAGTGATTTGTAAAAATGCCAGGTCAGTCTGACACTGCAACCTAAATCTTCAGTATTTATAAGGTGATGTGTACCTATAGGAATATTTTTTTTGCCCAATCTTAATTAAATGCAAGGGGAACAATTAGAAAGGCCCATATAGGGAGGAAATAAGAGGTCCAATTCTTGGTTGTCAGACGTTGCCTCTGTGTTTTCTTATTGAGTATATTTGAGGTTTACAATGTGATGTTATGGGATACATATAGTAAGGTGGTTATAATAGAGACACAGATTAACATATTGTCACAGAGTTACATTTTTGTGACGAGAGTAGTTGAAATCTTCTTATTTAACAAAAATTGCTGATAGAATTTTATTAACTTTAGTCCTCACGCTGTACTCAATGTTGCCTCTTTTGTTGTGTTTTATATTCTGTGACCATACGTTTTGTAACATTAATCATCATCCAAAGACTACACTGCAGAAGGAATTGTTTACTTGGACATTAGTCTACATATGCAAAATCAGGCAGATATTTGTACTTCTGTATCTTTGAATTATATGTAATGTCAATTGCTAGATTTTTAAAAATATAAGCCTGATAATACTATAAATAATTATAAATTAAACTACATTTCTGAAAGCTAACTCTTCAAGTGATAGGATTGTTCTTTGCATACCTATTTGTATCCTGAGGAATCTTGCATTTCCAAAATATATATATATTAGTTAGAAGTGATGTTTTCCACAGAGTTCTTTTTTGCATTGTTATATTGATTTTTTTTTTTTTTTGAGATGTAGTCTTGTTTCATTGCCCAGGATGGAGTGCAGTGGTGCTATCTCGGCCCACTGCAACCTCTGCCTCTCAGATTCAAGCGATTCTCATGCCTCAGCCTCCCAAGTAGCTGGGACTATAGGTGTGAACCACCACACCTGGTAAATTTTTGTTTTGTTTTGTTTTTTTTTAGTAGAAATGGAGTTTTGCTATTTGGCCGGGCTGGTCTCGAATTTCTGACCTCTGGTGATCCACCCCCCTTGGCCTTCCAAAGTGCTGGTGTGACCCACCGTGCCCAGCCTATATGGAAATATTTTAATTGCCTGTAAACACACTCAGTGGAGCTCGTTACAAGAAGACTGTCGATGTACTTGAAAAGTTTACTTCTGCATAATGCTAAATACCATGTCAGAAATCACAGAATCCTACGAAGTTGAATTTTTCATTAAAGGATCATAAGTAAAGTTTGGGGGGAAAGTGTGCAGTTCAATAGATCTCAATATGAAATGGCATATTATTGTTATTTATATGTATATTTAATATTATATAAAACACTTTTGTTTTAACTTAAGCATTTGGATTCTGATTCTTTGAGGCGTGATTATGGTTTTGTCATTCACAGCTTAGCTATGTCATCTCAGATAAATTAATGAAATGTCCAAGCCTCAGCTTTGGCAGTTTTTAAGTGGGAGTAATAGTATTAATACCCACCTGACAAGATTACCCTGTAGACGGAACAAGATAATGTAAAATGATGAATGAAAGGCTTTACATACAGCAAGTGCTTAATAAATGACAGCTCATTATCATTATTGTTTTTATATTTACTTTTTTTTGGTTGAAAATATTAATCTTCTGAACTACCCTTACCAGTGCCAAAACAACCGTAAAGAAACAATCGTGCAGTCCTGTTATCCACGTGGCATGAGTTACAGGGTTCATTATACTGAAGACAATAAAAACCAAAAAGAAAGCAGCACCTAGGAAGGAGCTATTTGCAGAAGTCTCACTCAAAAGAGTTCAAAATGAGAGTTCCAAACCTAATAAAGATAACACGTTTGCCCTCTGGTGGACATTCATTTTGAGTTAGAATTTTCTCTGCTAAGACTAGAGATTTTTCAACCTCCCTAAAATGTCAGGGTGTTGTAGCTGGAGTAGCAAACAGTTCTGCCTGCTTCGTTTGAATTTTGTCTGATAAATGTGCAGGTGAACGTCTAAACGCACAACATGCATGGGCAAATGAAATGTTTTATGGCTACAGCGTAATGCTCTCCTCATTTTTGTTCAGCTCCTTCAGGAGTTAACAATTGCTAAGGGTTATTTACAAGAAATCTGAGCTGTCTGATCACTCAACTGTGGAAGGTAAATGAGATTTTTAAGGTGAAGGGAAAAGGAGAGGCAAATGGTAAAATGGGCCAATGCATGAAAAAGAGGGAGACGTCAAACTTAGGTACTGGAATTGCCGGGATGTTGTCATCAACGATTTGATTTGATGGGAAAGGGATGCTTAATGTTTCTTCTGTGAGGTGTGTGCCTGTACCACACACATGTACACATACAGTGGAGTGGAAAGTATTCCTGCAAAGGGCCGCAATTCTCAGAGTGTAGTCTTTTCTCTTCCTACTCGAATTGGTAAAAATAAATAATCAAGACTGTTTTGGTGGCTTCTGGTTCCCCAAGTAGAAAGCATCTTAGTTGGCAATTCAGTCACTGACCTTGAAATAGGACACCAGACCTATTGCTAAAACGTCTTCCACCTCACAGGCCTTCCCTGCCTGCTGTCCTGGTGAACTTGTTGACTCTATGCACATAAGGACTCTCTGGGGTCCAAATGACGGGGACCAAGCTCGCACACATCATTCAGCGAATAGGCTGGCTCAGCTAACCAAAGGTTCCATGGGCTCATCTAGCTTAAGGTGGCTGTATTCCTTGGGGCGGGGTTGGGGGGGAATGAAAATAAGGTCATCAAGGTGTCTCTCTCTTTCTCTCTGACTCTCTATTTCTCTCTCCTTCTCCCTCCTTCCATCACATATCTCTGTTTTCTTTTTCCATGTTGGTTTCATTCTCAGGTAGACAGTCTTCGTGTGGTGACAAGGGTGACCTGAGACTCCAAACCTCTGTCTTCATCACTGCCTTTGTTTTCAGGAAAAGGAGAGACTCTTACTCTGAGCATAACGCCGGTCCCTGAATAAGGACAGCATCTCTCTGTCTGTATCATAAGCCCACTTTCACACCAGTTACCTCTTTGGTGGGAGTGGGTTACTCTGAAGAGCCTCAGTCATGTGCCCAGCCCCGTGGGGTTTTTGTTTTGTTTTGTTTTTTTTGAGATGGAGTCTCACTCTGTTGCCCAGGATGGAGTGCAGTGCCTCCATTTCGGCTCACTGCAACCTCCACCTCCCGGGTTCAAGCAATTCTTCCGCCTCAGCCTCCCAAGTAGCTGGGACTACAGGCCTGTACCACCACACCTAGCTAATTTTTTTTATTTTTAATAGAGTCGGGGTTTCACTATATTGGCTAGGCTGGTCTCAAACTCCTGACCTCATGTTCTGCCTGCCTCAGCCTCCCAAAGTACTGGGATTACAGGCATAAGCCATCCTGCCCTGCCTTGCCTGTGTTTTGGGAGTCAAGGCGAGATGATGAGAAGGGAGGGTATTTGCTGACGAATAGTGGCGTTGTGTTGCTAAAAGAAGGGCAAAGGGTGTTGGATGGGAAGAGCCGAAACACGCATGCGTGATGTTCAGGGCCCTTAGTCCTTGTTCTTTTTGTCTCTGCAAGTTTGCCGAAGTTGCTCTTTGATAATCTTTCTTACCTTTCCAAATTGCACCTACCCTTTGACGTATAGCTCAAGTTGTACTTTCTCTGTGGACTTTTTCTCCCAGCCTGGCTTCAGCTTGCCTTCGATTTTAAGCTGAGAGCACTTACCTGGTGTACCCACTGGCTGTTTAAGTGCTAACGGTAGCTCCTGCTGTTATTGTTATCTCTTATTCCAGCCTTCTAACATTTTTTCCACTGTTTCATTTTGTTTTTTGTTTAACGGTTTTATTACTCTTTGTTTTGGGGACTGACAAATTTTTGGATGCCCATCTTATCTAACACAGTCAGTACTGCCTCTTTTGATGATAGTGAGATAGGAATTTCAGGAGACCAAAAGAAAGAGCTTGCTCAAATATTATAACTTGCCCTTTAGTCACTTTTAAAATGCAATGTCCAACCAACCTTTTAGTTCTTAATGGAACTCTTGTCAGCAATCTGCTTGAAGGTCAGCCTCATCATTCTTGGATGTGGTCCTGGGGCCTCAGAGTGGGCATTGTTCCCTTAGGGAGTGGAGGCCAGAAGATGTAGGGTGCCCCATAGCAGGCATCTAAGGCTTTGGGTGCTCCAAGCACTGCTCCGGGATGGGGTCAAGGAGGAGAAGTTGCTTGTCCTTTTAAAAATTTTTGCCTATGCTGCAAAGATTATGGGTCAAAGTGAAGGTCATTTATAAACTCCACCCATGGCAAAATCCAATTATAAACTTTAACCTTAGTGAAATGTCATTAGAGCTTGGCTTGGCTTTATTTGGGATGGAGACTGACAGTTTTGTCTGTGATATATTCAGGGAGACATATCTATTAAAGCTAGTCTAACAATGGGGGCACACGCAGATTTGCATTTTAATTCGTTTTCCCTCAGTGCTGATATGCGGCTTATCTTTCAAGAACAGGCTCACATCAACCCTGATATACGTTGCTTAAGAATAATGCTCATAATCTATTAGTTTAATCTGTTCACATGAGAAAGAAAGAAGAAATCGTGCATGGTGCGGAGGGTTTCAGGCCCCAGTGGGCGATTTTTTGGAGGATTTCCCATTACAACTGTTTTCAACTTGTGCTTGTTTTCCTTTCTCTAGCTTAAGTATGAACAGCTTAAGGAGAGGTCATGTCTTCCTTCTACGTAGAGCCAGGCAAGCTCACATTACAGTCAGGCTCCCAAAGATGTTGGTTATATGCAGACTTCTGAACTTGGGTTCCAGTTTCATGATCTGCAATGAGCCTATAGCAATTCAACCTTGAAAATGGGTTTTGATCATTACCGATTATGTATAAAAATGACCCATCAGAGGACCCGTCAGATAACAGATAATCAATATTTTTATTTTTCTGGAAGTAAGATCGCTGCTAAGACCTTTAGAACTTTCTGATACCTGCAATACTTTGTGCTTTTTCTCTCACCTCTGCCACTCCTGGGGGAGGGAAGGGGTCTTTTCTTTGCAAAGTGTGTTTAATATTGGAAGGAGTTGTGTTTAACTCTAAGAGTTCTATCTCACTTTGCCCAGTGTTCTGCATTTTCACTGGTTCTTTCACTTTTTTACTTTTTTTTTTTTTAAACACTCTCCCAGTGGATTCTCTCTGGGGTCCAGTGACCTTGATGTTTTTCGTCCAGGGAAGATGGCTGAGGCATCCCAGCAGGGAGTCAGGAGTAGGAAGAAGGTCTCTGTAACAGAGAAGTTTTGGAATTGCCGTGGGGTGCTACAGCATGAATTTAGAGTTGGGCAAAAGTGCCTGAAAAGCAGGCCTTCTCATTTCATAATGAGCGTCATATAAACCATGTTTATCACTTCGTTTAGCCACATTCGGATTTGTAGAAAAATGGATAGAAGGGATGACTCCAGGCAGATTAGCAAGGGGATTGCATTGATCTTGGGGTCATTGGAGTAAAGCAAAACATGATCACTGACCTTTAGCTCTAGGGTCATTGACTTGGTAGATGGAACTTGAAAGCAAGAGTAGAACTCGGCAAATGTGGAAGTTAAAGATAAAATGTGGCCTGGAGAGTCTAATGGACCACTAAGGATTAATGCACTTTGTTATCACGTTGGGGAAAGACGAGAAGGAGTGGAGAGAAAAGAAAATTTCGGGATTTGAATTCTTATACATGGAAGAGTTCAGAGAGGTTATGTCCCTAGAAGGCTGAGATAGAGAAGGAGGTTTCTGATGAAAAAAAAAGCTTCAGCCAAATTAAATTTAAAGGAGTTAATTGAACAATGAACGATTCCTGAATCAGGCAGCCCCCAGAATCAGGGCAGATTCAGAGAGACTCCAGCACAGCCACGTGGTGGAAGATGTATAGACAAAAAAAGGGAAATGAGGTACAGAAATTAGAAGTGAGGTACAGAACTGAGCTAGATTGGTTACAGCTCCGCGTTTGCCTAATTTGAACATAGTTTCAACACTCAGCAGTGTATGAGTGATTGAGGTGCAGCCACTAGGATTGGCCAAGACTCAGTTGTTGTTACAGGCACATGCTCCTAAGTTAGGTTTTCTTATTTATTTATTTAGGTGGAGTCTCCCTCTATCACCCAGGCTGGAGTGCAGTGGTGCAATCTCAGCTCACTGCAACCTCTGCCACCTGGGTTCAAGTGATTCTCTGGCCTCAGCCTCCCAAGTAGCTGGGATTACAGGCATGCGCCACCACACCTGACTAGTTTTTGTATTTTTTTTTAGTAGATAGGGTGTTTTACCATGTTGGCCAGGCTGGTCTCAAATGCCTGACCTTAAGCGATCCACCCACTTCGGCCTCCCAAAGTGCTAGATTACAGGCATGATCTTATCGACCTATTAAGTTAGGTTGCGGTTTGTCCACAAGGACTCAAATATAGAAGTGGGGAGTCCTTCTCAGGCCACATTTAGTTTGCTTTAACACAGCTGAATTATATGTGTGAGGCTATGGCATGAGGAAGGGTATCATGAAGAGGTTGAAGTCCATGAGGTAATGAGAGACTATGAAAGCCGTGTTCATGTCCAGTATTTGCCATTTGCTTGTTTGTTTTCTTACCCGCTGGGTTCCACTGTAGTGTTAAGTCCTACGAGACCCTGGTCTGTCCTGCTCTCTGCTCTTTTTCCAATGCCTTTGACAGTTCTTAGCATGTAATCAATCTGCAGTAAACAGCTGCTGAATGAGGGAATTAATAAAGTCACCAAGGAATTGTGGGCTCCTCTTCTGCTCTGAGCCCCGTGGATGCATTGTTATGCGTAATAAGTGTGAAATGAGCATTTGTTGATTGTATTCCATGTCAAAGCAAAAAATAAAAATAAAATAAATGTCAGAATACACTCATGGTGCTATTAATTATGATGTAGAGCTTTTTTTCAAACTTTTATTTTAGGCTCAGGGGTGCATAAGCAGTTTTTTTATTTAGGTAAACCCGTGTCACGGGGGTTTGTTGTACAAATTATTTCATCACCCAAGTACTAAGCTTAGTACCCAATAGCTATTTTTCTGCTTCTCTCCCTCCTCCCACCCTCTATCCTCAAGCAGGCCCCACTGTCTCTTGTTTCCTTATCTGTGTCCCTGTGTTCTCTTTAGTACCGTTTATTAGTGAGAACATGCGGTATTTGGTTTTCTGTTCCTGCCTTAGTTTGCTAAATATAATGGCCTCCAGCTCCATCCAGGTCTCTGCAAAGGACATGATGTCTTTCTTTTTTGTAGTTGCATAGTATTCCATGGTATATATGTACCACATTTTCTGTATCTTGTCTGTGATTGATGGGCATTTAGGTTGATGCCATGTCTTTGCTATTGTGAATAGTGCTGCAGTGAACATTTGCATGCATGTGTCTTTATGATAGAATGATTTAAATTCTTCTGGGTATATACCCAGTGATGGGATCGCTAGATCAAATGGTAGTTCTGTTTTTAGGTAGAGCTTGTCAGGATCTCTTCTTCCCTCTCTCCTTCTTTGTCTATATATGCAGGTATAACAGGTAAAACATATGTGGGATGATTCTACATATTTTGTAAATATTTTCCATGTCAACATATCAATCTATAACACCAATTTCAAGGTTTTGTAGTCCAGCCGCACCACAACAGGTTTTCATGCATCCCCTATTGTTGAGCATTTAGGTTGTTCTCAATTCTTTCCACTTTCAATGCATAAGGAGTTCAAGACTCGATTTAGAGAATGCCTCAAAGGTAGCCTTTGGCCAAATCTAGAACTAGAGCTCAACAGTGCCACAGCCTAAAAGATGAAATTTAGACACATTCCTGGAGTTTGGTGGGATATTTGGCTCATTGGCTTGTTGGACCAGCAGTTAGATTTGGAGTGGTTCTGCAAATGTCTTGCCATGAACATATGATATAATGCTTAGAGGGTTAAAAAGCATACCTGGATTTTCAAGGGTTAAAAGTAGACCTGGATTTTAGGTCCCAGCCTGGCCTAGAGCATAAGTGACTTGTGGACATCCTGAAAAAGAAACCCATTCTTTGGAATAGCAGAAAAGCGGCATACATCTTCAGATGAATAGTAAGAGTGATTGTGAACCAAAGGGTCTGGGTGACTTGGCTGTTTTTATCTTATTTTTATTTTATTTATTTATTTATTTATTCTTTTAAGACAGAGTCTCGCTCTGTCACCCAGGTTGGAGTGCAGTGGCATGATTTCCGCTCACTGTGACCTCTGCCTCCTGGGTTCAAGTGATTGTCCTGCCTCAGCCTCCTGAGTAGCTGGGATTACAGGTGCATGCCTCCACGCTTGGGTAATTTTTTGTATTTTTAGTAGAGATGGGGTTTCACTGTGTTAGGCAGGATAGTCTCGATCTCCTGACCTCATGATATGCCTGCCTCTGCCTCCCAAAGTGCTGGTATTACAGGCATGAGCCACCGAGCCCAGCTAGCTGTTTTTTTATCATTGGTCAAGGATGTCACACTGCATGGTGGTGGACAAACCAGTGCTGAGAATGAGGCCTTGCAGCCAAGTGTGTCACTTTGCAGCCTGTGAGCTAAGATGTCACTTGCAATCGTGTAGGGAGAGTGGGCCCCGGACAGCGGGGAGATACAACGTCCTCATCTTCTGCAAGTTGCTCTGGTGGGAAAGAAGGGAAAGCAGGAATGAGTAAGGGAAACAGAGGAAACTGAGCTCTGAAGCCCAACCTCTGCTTCATCTCTCGTTTACAGTTCCATCCCTGTGAGCAAACCCTTGGTGTCTGGAGAGCAGAACCATCACTTCCCATCTTCCTTGGCTGTCAACCAAAAATTGCCCCTGTGGCCCCCTGTAGTGCCCCTCAACTTCATGTCCTACAGTAGAAAGTCCTCTGTAAGCTCTTCAGGATGCACAGTCTAGAATAATGGATGTGATGCAGCCTCAGTGGTGGACTTCCTGAGTTCAAGTTCTGTCCCTCTGGATTATTCAATGTAGAAACTTCATCACATTGTTTAACCTTCCTAGATGTGTTTGCTATTCTTCACAATCAGGATCACACATATAGAGTACATCACAAACAATGTAAGCTGCAGGACAGAAGGGTTTTGTGTTTTCCAATGCTGCATTTATTTTTTTATTGCTGCTATAACAGATTACTGCAGACTTGGTGGATACAACAACACAGATTTATTCTTTTACAGTTTGAGTGGTCAGAACTCGACACTAGTCTCACAGTGCGGGCAGAGCTGCACTCCTTTCTGGAGGCTGATGTGGAGAATCTTAGCCTTTTCCAGCTTCCTGAGGCATCCTGCAGACCTTAGCTCATGGCCCCTTTCTCCATCTTCGAAGCCAGGGATGTAGCCCTTCTCCATGCATTTCTTTGATAGTAACAGCAAGAAAAGGTTCTCAGATTTTAAGGACTGATACGATGATATTAGGCCCACCTGGATAATTAAGACTAATTTTTCCCATTTCAAGATCCTTAACTTAGTCTCATCTGCAAAGTCCCTTTGCCATGTACGGTAACATAGTCACAGGTTCCCAGGATTACAGCGGCGTGGACACTTCTGAGGGGTGGGGTAGGCATTGTTCTGTGTACTATGACTGCCAACACCCAGAATAGTGCTTGACAGGAAAACAGATCTCAAATATTTGCCATAGGAATTAACGGTGATTATTGAAGAGATCCAATGTCTTTAAAGTGCCTAGTGGGATACCTGGCACATGGGTGAGACCTTGGTTAGTGTTACGTGTTATTTGCAGTCATATGCATCACTCAAAGGAAAATTTACAAACACACATGTGTGCATGTGCACACATAGACACACACACACTCCACTCACCAGTGGATATTGTTTCTAGATGCTTACTCCCTGTCTACCCAAATCGATTGTTCCTGCTGCAGGGGCAGGAGACAAAGCTATTGAATTGTATGGAGTGGACACTGACCACTCCCTTTTTTTTTTTTTTTTTTTTTTTGAGATAGAGTCTCATTCTGTCACTCAGGCTGGAGTGCAGTGGCACAATGTCAGCTCACTGCAACCTCTGCCTCTCGGGTTCAAGTGATTCTCCCGCCTGAACCTCCAGAGTAGCTGGGGCTATAGGCGTATGGCACCATGCCCAGCTAATTTTTATATTTTCAGTAGAGATGGGTTTTTGCCATGTTGGCCAGGCTGGTCTTGAACTCCTGGCCTGAAGTGATCTGCCTGCCTTGGCCTCCCAAAGTGCTGTTTTGTTTGTTTGTTTGTTTGTTTTTTTTACTAATTATGAGTCAGAGGAAAGAGCTGTCCCTTTTGAAGTCATTAAAGTTACAGAGTCCTTCACAGTGATCTCGAAACCTTGGAGAACTTTGAAAATAACCCAAATTCTCAACTCTGTAGTAGCAGACTCCCAAGACACTGCATATACTTTTTTATTCCCTTGAGTTCATCACCCTGTGGTTGAGAGGCAACTTAACAGGTTACTGGAGCTGTCTGACTTGGTTTGCACTTCTATGAGTCGGCGTCATGTTGGGTACACTTTGCCTTTATTCCTCGAATTTGCTGGTTTTTTGGTTTCAGACTGAGTGGTGGAGAGGAGGCAAGATCAATACCTCATTGTCCTCACTGTTGCGCTGTCATCAGAAAGCAAAGTGTGTGTCTCCTGTTGAGAATACAAAAGTTAGGGCCGGGCACGGTGGCTCATGCCTGTCATCTGAACACTTTGGGAGGCCAAGGAGGGCAGATCACCTGAGGCCAGGAGTTCAAGACTAGCCTGGCCAACATGGCAAAACCCCGTCTTTACTAAAAATACAAAAGTTAGCTGGGCATGGAGGTGCGTGCCTGTAGTCCCAACTATTGGGGAGGCTGAGGCACAAGAGTCGCTTGAACCCAGGAGGTGGAGGCTTCAGTGAGCTGTGATCATGCCACTGCACTCCAGCCTGGGTGACAGAGTGAGAGCCTATCTCCAAAAAATAAAAATAAAAATAAAAAAATAAAGAAAAGAAAAATATAAAAGTTAGGATATCAGCACAAGAACTTCAGTGTTGTAGATCTGCTCTGATTCTTCATTCTTTTCAAGACATGATTTGGATGTTCTGCACCTACGTCTCATGCTGGATGGTGAACTTCAGTGCATATGCTAGGATTTGTGCTCCTTTTGCATCCTGTGGCTAAAAGTTCAGGCTGATCAGCTAAGCTTTCTCTATGTGCCAATCTAAGGATGCCTTTGAGAATAGTTGGGAGGTCATTTGACACCCTTTCCAATAGTCTACTGCTTAAAAGGAAGGCTCTGGTGGCAGATGGCCAGAGCTAAGCTCCTGTATCCACTGCTCACTAGCTGTGTGACCTTGAGCAAGGTGCTTAAGTCATCTCTCTTCCTCAGTTTCTTTAACCATAGTGTGGTAATAGAAACCATACGTATCTCCCAGAGTTGTTATAAAGATAAAATGAGTTATCACAGTGTAAGCACTTAGAACTATATCTCATATACATAGTAAATGCTTGTTAAAGGCTTACTGTGAGTCCGTGACTACAGCTTATATTCATATTCATAAGCAAATAGCAAAGCAATAGAACCTGACTATGAAAAAAGGTAGCCATGAGGGAAAGAAAAAGGATGGTCTCCTTTGGATAAACATTTTCCGTAATACGTCCCTAGGAACACATTGTCCACAAAAGATGTTAATAGGAGTGCTGAGTTACAGGGTACCACAGTCATAAATATTTGGGAAATTTCTTCTCCTGGAGATTTATGATGCGCATTAGTATGTTAACATTACACGTTCTGCTAGAGCTCAGAGTAGAGACACTAATTTTGGCTTTATTTAATCCAGTTGGTCCCAGATGTGTTTGACCACCCGGTTTTTCTGTAGGTCGGGGGGGTGGGGGCGAGAGGATGGGCTTAGAGGTGGTTGTAATGGTTGCGCTTTTGTTGTGCATAGCACCTAGTAATAGCTGTAGGAACTAGTGTTTCCTCTCAAGGGCACGCTGTAGGATAGTACTAGAATTTAAAGTGCATATAGGGATCTGAGTAAAATATAGATTTGGATTCAGTCTGGCATGGGGCCTGAGATCCTGGATTTCTAAGTGGTTCCCCATTGGTGCCGCTGCTGCTGGTTGTACTGGTCTGTGGACTGCACTTTGAGTAGCCAGACTTTCGGGAGCAGTCTCTTGGTGATAAGAAGAGGACCCACACGGGGACAATCAGAAATGTTAGCAATTGTGCAGTAAGGAGAGAGGAGAGCCTGAGGCAGAGGTTTGCAACCTTGACTGCCTGTTAGAAGCACCTGGGAGAATTCAGAAAGCTGCTGTTTGGACTCCACCCCCAGATATGTTAACTTCAAAGGTTTGGAGATGAGTCCTAGGTATTGGTATTTCTTTTTCCCACAAGCTTTCCAGGGGAGGCTAATGGACCACCAGGCTGCAAAACTATTGGTTTCATAGTGATGGGCTTAATTTCTTAAGTCAGAGAGCCTGTTTCTAATCCCAGCCCTAAATTACTACACATCATTAGTAATTTATTTATTTTTTATTTGAGACCTAGTCTTGCTCTGTCACCCACGTTGGAGTGCAGTGGTGTGATCTTGGCTCACTTGCAACCTCGGCCTCCCCAGTTCAAGTAATTCTCCTGCCTCAGCCTCCCGAGTAGCTGGGATTACAGGTGCCCACCGCCATGCCTGACCAAATTTTTTTTTTTTTTTTTTTTTTTTTAGTAGATATGGGGTTTCGCCATGTTGGCCAGGCTGGTCTCAAACTCCTGACCTCAGGTCATCCGCCCGCCTCAGCCTCCCAAAGTGCTGGGATTACAGGCATGAGCTACTGTGCCCAGCCTCAGGATTGAGGAATTTAGTTAAAGTTGCTGTGCCTCCTTTCTTCTCATTGTAAGAGGAGGCAATCAGGGTACTTAAACTTCAAAGAGTCTTGATGGAGATTTGATGATACCATGTTTGCATCCCAAAAGACTGGTGTCTAACACATGGTAAGGGTGCAGTAAATGTCAGTTGTAATAACAATTATTGTTATGAGTATTATTGTTATTATTTGCTAACAACCATTCTTAGGTCATTTTTTTTTTTCTTTTCCAATCTGACCAAGATATTGTATTGGTTACAAGCTAAAACCAGATAAACATGTATTTAATTTTCTTAATAAGTGGAGAATTGTGTTAAATGTCTTTTGGGTACATGTGTCCTTACTGGGGGAGTGCTTGCTTCTAGCCTAAGTTGCCTCCAGCAAGCATTCATGGAGGCTGTGATTGCCGTGAGAACAGGTCAAAAACTGTTTTTGTTTACTGTGACAACCCCAGTGCCTGGACATAGTGGTTCAACCTGTCTTGGTTGTTGGCGTTGAATAAATGGATGGTAACCATTCCAAGTGGAGATATGTCAGCTCCTGTCTGCATCCATTCATTTATTTCAGCAACTGAAAACAACGTAATAGTCATTTAAAAAACTGAGGAATACCATATTTTGGATTATTTGTTGTTCCGGTGATTTTGCCAAGTGTGGATTTCCTTTGCTAATTATGGAAGTAGACAACCAAATCTCATTTCTTGTTTGTTTTTTTTTTTTTTTTCCTTTCTAGAAGCAGCTGTGTTCCTTGCCCTCTGCCACCATCCCACTCATACACTGTCTAAAATAAATAGCTTTTTCTTTTTCTGCCCTGTCTTGTTTCTTTCTCCCTTTGCCCTCCACCCAATTTCCTCTTCCCAGTGAAGTCTGTAATAATGTATCAGTTTACTTAATGCAATTCCCAGCCCTAGCTTTCATTGATTTTTTTCTTATTTGACTATTGGCTTATGATTTGTGGGGTAGAGGAGGTGGTGTGCATATCATGTGAATGGAAAGGCTTAATAATTTTCATACTGTTTCATAACAAATATATATTGTATTCAGGTTCAGTGACTGCCTTTATAGAATCATGTCAGAAAGTGGATTTCTATCCTGTTTCATCTTCTATGAAAAACGGAAAACAAGACCTTTTCCCCTCACTGTCATCCCAGCAAGATATAAAGATGCTCAAATGAACATTTGTGGAAGGACTTGACAGGTGCCCTTGGAAAGGAAGCAGGATTTTACTCACTGATATTTTGAATATCATGAGAGTTAGAATTACGAATGAGTACACCCAAGCACGCAGTCGGTTAAGGAGACTTTCATACTCATTGTGGACACTGCTCACAGGCAAAATTGATTGTGCGGCTCCAGTTGCTAGAGCCACGGGGATTTGAGACCACAGCTACATCCATCTAATTCAGGAAGAACTTGAAATAGCTCCTGCATTTTCAGTGGGGGTAAAAAAAAAAAAAAAGAGCCTTTTCACATTTATCCTGAAGATGGAGCCATTTAACATTTTGGATACTTTCTGATTTTTAAATTTATAACTTTAAATTGACTTTGTTTTGAGACATTAGTGTTTCAGGATTTTATTTTTCCCTAAAATATGATTGCTTCCTAACCAACAGAAGGAAGAGTAGTGTGAATATTTGGTTATGGTCATGGACACCTGGGGACCAGCCTGTGTCCTTGCCCATATTTCCAAAGGTCACTCTTTTTTTTTTTTTTTTTTTTTTTTTTGGAGACAGAGTGTTGCTCTATTCCCCAGGCTGGAGTACAGTGGTGAGATCTCGGTTCACTGCAACCTCTGTCTCCCAGGTTCAAGTGATTCTCCTGCCTCAGCCTCCCAAGTAGCTGGGATTACAGGCACGCGCCACCATGCCTAACTTTTTGGTATTTTTAGTATAGATGGGGTTTTGCCATGTTGACCAGGCTGGACTCAAACTCCTGACCTCGTGATCTGCCCACCTCAGCCTCCCAAAGTGCTGGGATAAGGTCACTCTTTCTTGTTTACCTGTTTCTGCCCATATCTGTAGACTCAGAAATTATTTACTAAGCATTTCTAAAATGTGTTTAGAATTCCCATCACTGATGGCTTACTATGAAGGAGAGCATATTTTTAAAGCCATATAAAAGAAGGAATGTGTTTAGTTCTGTTACTCTTGTATTAATCCCTTGGTTATTGAATCTAGAATCTTTGAGCCCGGATGATCCTAGAGGGTATCTAGTCTACCTTCTCATCTCGTTCTTCAAGACTTGTATTTATGTAGCTAGTTGTCATGGCTGGATTAAAATATCTGTGTTTACTTATGTAACTCTCAAAACTCACTTTAATTGATCTTTTTAGCAAGGGCCTGTTTTTCACTTGCAAATGAAGGTGAAGTAAATACAGATTGGCATTTTCTGTCCTAAACAGCCACCAGCTCCCATAGCTGAATACTCTCATATAAGGAAGACAAAAGCAACAACAAATTAGGGGCCAAAATTCCTTACTTAGAAGATGAGTTGTCTCAATTGGGAAGGATTTAAAAAATATTTGTATACCACTCAACAAGCCATCTGGAGACCATCATGGGCTGAACTCAGGTGAGACATCTTGATAAGGTACTGGAAGAACAGCTGTCTTACCACAGGGAGGGTGGATGTGGAAAGAAATCTAGAAACCCAAATATAACAAGGAGCCCTTAAAGCAGTTGTGGGCAACTCCTGCATGCTTGAGATGAGCAGTGGAGACGACAGTGGGGCTGTCTTCTCCCTTTAACTATCCAACGCCGAGGGTCCCAGGCTCTGTGATGATGATGTAGGCAATTTCTTAAGAACAAGTATTGTTTTTGGTAGCTTTACTTTCTAGAAGGCTGGATCTCAGTTCTCTCTCCCATATCACCTGTGTCCGCAGGTGGGGAGATTGATGTTTAGAGCTAGGTTTATCTGTATAAAGGAATAATTCTGATCGTAGAAAAACTCGAAGTACTGGAGACCTGACCCCATGTTGGGACTCTCTGATGCCTTGAACATAGATCATCTTCTGGGGGCTGGGCTGTAGCATCACCCTCATCTCACAGTCTGAAGTCCTGGCTTGGAGCCCTACTGGGCTCAGAGACTGTGGTCCGCAGCCCACTAGTGTTATCAATCCCATCAGCATGGATGCCTACAGCAACAAGAACCAGAACACCCAACAGCACCTGCTGCTGCCTCTCCTTCTCCTCTTCTTTCCCCACCCTTTCCTATTATTATTGTTGTTATTGTTAATATTTATACATCTATTGGTATAAGGAAAATTAGGCCAAAACTTAGTGTATCAAGATCAAAACACATTATCTTTCATAGTTTCTGTGGGTTGAGAATTTGGGAGCAGCGTAGTTGGGTTTCACCATTTAGTGTGATACCAGCTGTAGTATTTTGTAGATGCCCTTTATAAAGTTAAGGAAGTTCTTTCTATTCCTCGGTTGTGAGGGTGTATTTTGTCATGAAAGGGTCTTGACTTTTGTCAAATTCTTTTTCTGCATCTGTTGAGATGATCATATGGTGTATGTCAGGGTTTAAAGTTTTTTCCATGTGTGGCTGCATTTGGTTTGCCAGTATCTTCTTGAAGATGTTTGCATCTATATTTATAAAATATGTAGATCTGCAGTATTCTTTCCTTTTGATTTTTTGTCTGGTTTTGATATGAGGATAACAGTAGTCTCAGATTTCTTCCTCTTCTATTCTTTTGGAAGGTATTTCGAGGTGTTAGTAATAATTCTTCTTTGAAATTTTGGTAAAATTCACCAGTAGAGGCACTGGGGTCTGGGTTTTTCTTTATGTGAAGTTTTTTTTGCCTACTAATTCATTCTCTTTGCTTGGTATAGGCTTATTCAGATTTTCTATTTCCTCTTGAAATTTTGGTAGTTTGTGTCTTTCCAGAAATATTTTTTTCATTTTATCTAGGTTATCTATTATTTTTGGCCTAAAATTGTCCATAAGATACCCTTATAATCCTTTCTATTCTATAAAATTGGTAGTAATGTCCCCTCTTTAATTTCTGATTTTGGTAATTTGAGTTTTCTTTTTTTTTTTCTTGGTCATTCTCGTCTCTCTGTTTCATTTTTGTTGTTATTGTCATTCTTCTTTTTTCTTTTTTGAGATGGAGTTTCGCTTTGTCACCCAGGCTGGAGTGCAGTGTTACGATCTCGGCTCACTGCAATCTCCACCTCCTGGGTTCAAGTGATTCTCCTGCCTCAGCCTCCTGAGTAGCTGGGATTACAGGCACCCGCCACCACACCCAGCTAATTTTTGTGTTTTTAGTAGAGATGGGGTTTCACCGGGTTGGCCAGGCTGGTCTCGAACTCCTGACCTCAAGTAATCTACCTGCCTCGGCCTCCCAACATGCTGGGATTACAGGTGTGAGCCACTGCACCTGGCCTCTTTTGTTTTTAATCTTCATTTCTGAAAGTTTTTATATTATCTATATAGCTTAAAGACCAGCCAAAAATCAGCTAAGATTGTGTTCAGACACCTTGAGCACTAAGAAGTCTCCTGTCCTCTACTGATGGGTTTGTGTGTATGTGGAGGTGTGCATTGAAATTTCAGGCCATTTTCAAATCTTTCCAAGTATTTAGACTCTACTGGTTCCTTTGGTATCACCTCTGCATCTGCACACTGCTTCAGGATTAATCTGAAATGTATGGGCTGGTAAAGTCATTGGCTCTCTCCAGTTTTCCATCACTGAGAATATAATCACTTCTACCAATAATGCTGCTGGATATGGTCACGGCCTTCTACCTGAAAACACATGAGCTCCTTTTGGACCATGGCAACTGAGCTGCCAGTACTCATAGCCTACTCTACCCAGGCAGAGCCTTTGTGTTAACTAGGGATGAAGCCCTCATCTAGAATACCAAAGAGTCCCACTGTTCTTGCCTAAACTCCAGTCGATTTTTGGTGAATACTTGTTACATTATTGGAATTCTTTGGTTGATTTTTAGAGTGCTGAAATTTTGGGGGGGTCAGTTTTGTCCACAAGGATTATTGCTATTTGGAGAGAGGAATGTCTGACTTCCTCACTCAGCCATAGCTGGTAGTCCCAAATATTTTTCACGTGAACTTGCATCCTATTAGCCAGGAAAGGGCACAACGCATTGGGAAAACTTGTTTTAAAACAGTAACCGTAGTCTATTCCTGTGGTGGGGGGGAGGAGGGTCCCCACATATTCACATTAGAAGTCTTACGTGAAGCCATTGGGGATTTTCCTCAAACTTTACCCACAGCACTATGGTTCTACAGGATAAGATCCTGTCATCTATTAGTGGGTATGGAGAACATTATGTGCATGCAGTTGACCCACAAAATCTCAGTGATGCCGTATAATTAAGATGTATTTCTTCCTTTCATCATGGTCTGATGTGAATTGGGTCTCTCTCTGGTTGTAGGTTCCTTCCAGCCGTGGCAATATCATCTTGCAACATTTTGGCTCAGTTTCCATCGATGGGGATGCCGAGATCATTGGCAATTACGGAGGATGTTTCCAGAAAGCATTTTATATCATTTCTGATCATACTGTATTAGCCAGAGTTCAGTCACATGGTCCCACTAAAATACAAGGAAGACTGGGAAATGTAGTATTCCTGTGTGCCCAGGGAAAATACAAAAGCAAACATTTGGTGAATATAGTGCATTCTGTTTGCCACTCATTCTTTGGAGATCCTATCACATTATTAAGCTTATTCTCTGGGAAAGAAAATTGGGATGCAGAAATCGTGAATGACTTAAGATGTGTTGTTTTAAGTAAGTTACTGGAAGATTAGGAACTGGAAATATTTATTGGCTTCTAATTTAGTTTTTTCCCCCAATTTTACTCTGTTCTCTCTCACTTTCATAAAGTGTTGCTTCTTAATTGACATAAATAATACGACCTACCACAGCCACTTTAGAATAAGAATCATTCCTAATTCCACCAGTTTAAGATTAATGTATGCATGTTTTCTTTACAGATGTACGTTTATATAATCAAACAGCTAATATGCATTTGTTTTTTATTGTGTTTGCCAACACGCACATAGTCTTCATATGTCTACATTCTTATTGTAATTACTATTTTTATTGCCACATAACTTTGTATTGAATTGGTCTAATATTTACTTACCCCTTCCTCCTATTATTAGACATATAGTTGTTTCAATTCATTTTAACCTATATAACACATTGTGATTTTAAATATGTTTTAAAATATATTTTTGCAACAAATGCTGATTAAATTGCATATTCTGACCACCTGTGGACATTTAGGAACGCTGTAGTTAAATAGGGTACCTCTAACTTACATCCTTTATGCTCTTACTGAAACATATGTGAATATAGTATAGTACTATTTTTACATAATTCTTTTTTAATGAAAATATTTAGCTTGTGAAGAATAGAACACATTCTCAAGAGTTGAATGAACCTGTTAATGTACTTTTATCAGCTTTGTAATGCAGTATTTCATTAAAATGTGTTTATACTAATTTAGTAGTATGGGGCGAAGGATGAAAAGAAACCCAGAAATGTCAGATCATATACATTAATTCACTGACAAATGTTTTTGAGTGTTTACTAAGTTCCAGGCAGTCTTTTAGAAACTAAATATATAGCATGAAGAAAAATCTTTCTCTCAGGAAATTTGTGTTCTATTGGGTGTCAGGTGGCATGTGAGGATACAATGTTTGTATTAAAAACAATGTATTAATCGCCATGAAGAAGAATAATAAAGGTAAGGAGGGCTGGGTTCAATGGCCTACACCTGTAATCCCAGCACTTTGGGAGGCCAAGGCGGGCAGATCAGGAGGTCAGGAGATCGAGACCATCCTGGGTAACAAGGTGAAACCCTGTCTCTACTAAAAATACAAAAAATTAGCCAGGTGCGGTGCCATACTCCTGTAATCCCAGCTACTCTGGAGGCTGAGGCAGGATAATAGCTTGAACTCGGGAGGTGGAGGTTGCAGTGAGCCGAGATCGCGCCATTGTGCTCCAGTCTGGGTGACAGAGCAAGGCTCCATCTAAAAAAATTAAATAAATAAATAAATAAATAAATAAATAAATAAATAAATGTAAGGAGAATAGGATATGTTCGATTGGGTAAGGGATGCTGTTATATATGAGAGAGGGGTCTGGGAATACATCTCTGATGTGTAACATTTGTGCAGAAACATGGAGGTGGTGAGGAAAAGATTCACGTGGATGTCTAGAAGATCAGAAAGAAGGAACGGCCGGTGTAAAGACACCTGGCTGCAGACTTCTTGTCATATCCACAGCAAGGAGTTTAGTGTGGCTGGAGCCTGGGGTAGGGGAGAAAAAGAGACAAGAGTGGTACCACATGAGGTGAGTGTTAGCTGGGGTAGAAGCTAGGAGGGGACTGGAGCATGTAGGGCTTTGAAGGTCATAGTATGGACCTGGGATTTAGCTTTGAGCAGGAAAAGAAGCCATTGGAGGATGTATTAGTCCATTTTCACACTGCTGGTAAAGACATACCTGAGAGTGGGTCATTTATAAAGAAAAAAGTGGTTTAATGGACTTCCAGTTCCACATGGCTGGGGAGACCGCACAATCGTGCCAGAAGGCAAAAGGCATGTTTTACATGGTGGCAGGCAAGAGAAAGAGACAAAGGAAAGGGATTTCCCCTTATAAAACCATCCTATCTCATGAGAGTTATTCACTACCATGAAAACAGTATGGGGGAAACTGCCCCCATGATTCAGTTACCTCCCATCCGGCTTCTCCCATAACATATGGGAATTATGGGAACTACAGTTCAAGATGAGATTTGGGTGGGGACACAGCCAAACCATATCAGAGGATGTTGAGCACATGAGCAACATGACATCATGCCCATTTAAAATAAATACTCTGGCTGCTGGGTGGAGAATAGGTGTGGGAAAGGATGGAACCAGGGAATCCAGAAGGAGACATTACACTCATGGGGGTGAGAAGTCGTGGTAAATGGAACAGAACTTGCAGGTGTGAGAAGTGGTCAGAGTTTGGATATATTTCCAAAGCAAAGACTATATGATCGTATGCTTAGGTAATGGTTTGAACGTGAGATGTGAAAGAGAGAGAGGGGTCAGTGTTTACTATGGGAATTTTTATTATTCTTATTATTTTAGACAGAGTCTCGCTCTTTTGCCCAGGCTGGAGTGCAGTGGTGCGATCTCAGTTCACTGCAACCTCCGCCTCCCGGGTTCAAGCAATTCTCCTGCCTCACCGTCTCGAGTAGCTGGGATTACAGGTGGCTGCCACCATGCCTGGCTCATTTTTTTTTTTTTTGTATTTTTAGTAGAGACGGGGTTTCGCCATGTTGGCCAGGATGGCCTTGATCTCTTGACCTCGTGATCCACCCGCCTCAGCCTTCCAAAGTGCTGGGATTATAGGCATGAGCCACCGCTTCTGGTCTACTACAGGAATTTAAGCTTGAGCATTCAGAAAATTGAAGTGCTAGTTCCAAGATGGATTGCAAGAGAAGCAGCTGTTCAGGGAAAGAGAGAGAGAAGAAGGAAGAGGAATTGCAGGTTTACACTTGTGTGAATTCGGCATGAGGTGCCCATTGGATTTCCAAGGAGAGATGTCAAGGAGACAGCTCTGTGCGTCTGTAGAACAAGGAAGAGGTTTGATATGGAGATATAGATTTAGGACTTTCCTTCTTATGGATGGCATTAGACACCTTTAGACAGGACCAGCTCACATCCTTCACCATGTGCACAGGCTCTAATATATTCAACATTTAAAAAAATTACCCTGTGACTCTATTTCCTCTCCATCTGTCACTCTCTTTCTCTGATTTCCTTTACAAAACTCTGAAATAAAACTTGTCTATATTTGCTATAATTTCTTTTCCTTCCATTCTCTCTTGAATTCATTCCAACAAGGCTTCCCTCCTGCCCACCTTCGAGGTGATCTTATCCTGTTTCAAGGCGTTCAATACCGACAATAAGCTGATTATCTCCATTTTACAATGAAGAAACCGAAGTTCAGAGGGGTTAAAGCCACTTGAGTATTCAATAGCAGAACTCAAACCAGAGCCTTGCTTTCCTTTCCTATCCCCAGCCTGTCTCTTTCCACTGCATCCTTGTTCACGATGAAATCGTGTTTGCAAACAAGGGCTTGGAAGGTGATCAGCGTGGGTTTAAGTACCAATGTACACAGAGCATTTAAAAAATTCCTCATAGCTAAATAGAATATAATATTTCACCCCTATACACTTGTGGGTCTAAATTGTTAATGTCTGTTTTCTTACAAGAAATAAAACTTGGAGAAAGACTGTGGACTTGTTCCTTAAAACACTATAATTTCATGTAAATCATTAAATTTTTTAAAAGTCTGTGATAATGACATGGTTGATGAGCGTGAGAGTAGGAGACAGGAGGAGAGTTGGATCTTCTTTCCTTGACATCCTAAAGAAGAAGGAAGACAGGAACCTTTCAGAGCATAGCAACAGGGTGTGTTACCCTCCTTAGAGCTAAGGACAGGCAGACCCACATCTTCTTTCTTACCTAAATAGCTATGACTTAAAGTCAATCTTGTACTGCTGTGGCATTATTATTTCTCTATTCTCCTTGGATGTGTGTTTCTTGCAACGGAAGTAGGAGGATTGTCCAGAGGATTTGAAAAATATTTTTTTCTGACATGATTATATCTGTATATGAATTCATTTTTTTGGCTGTGATCTGTAAACTCAACAAAACAATGCCAAAAAAATCAAATGTGGTGAAGTGCTTTTTTTAACTCCTGGGTTCGTCATCATCAGTCTAAAACTCAGTCATTTATAGACTGATTCATGAAGAAATATACAACTGATGACTCTGGGTTAGAGTGTTGTTCCAGGGGATGATTTTTCTGTGCAAGGGAATTTGGAGTGAGTTTGAAGAAGGAGAGGTTATGAATTAGTAAAGATAAATAGAGAGGATCATCTGCATATGGGGAATGTTCCATGCCGAGGTGTGAGCACAAGAATGAATACATTGTTCATAAGGGTCTGTAAAGATACTTGCTTGGTTAGAGAGTAGACTGCAGAAACAGATAACTAAGAATGGAGATGGATATAGTGAGGAGAGGGGCGGGGAGGAGTGTGAGGTCAGGGAAAAGAACTGGACATTGCCCTAGCTTCACGTTGAAAGCAGAGATAGGGAGAGTGTGGCTTGGTGTGGACCATGCCATAGGCTGTATTTGGATGGATTATGGGTTAGTGTGAGGAAAGACTGAAGTCAGGAAACAAGATGGAAGCTCCATAGCAATGGGCATGTCTGGAGATGACGTTGACCTTGCCTCTAGGAGGGGAGCAGTGAACATGGCAACATTGGTGCCAATGGGGAGTGAAAAGGAGATGGAAGAAGAGGTCAATCCTCCATGTGGGCAGTATTGGGCATAGCAGAATATGCAGAGAATGTAGGGTCACACTGGTGAACAAAGGCCCCCGAGTTGGGAGAAATCTAATCTTCGCTCAATACTCTCGTGGTTCAAGATCCTCACAAGTCATTGGATGTTTCTGAAGCTCCATTGATCTCTTTATTTGGGTATATTTATCTGTGTATCTAGTCAGTGATACTGTTGAACTGTAATGATTTGATATCCATTTGGCATGTTTTTGAGCATCAGTTATCATGGACCAGTAGAGGGGATGCAACACTATATCAGAGAGACACTTTTATCGTAGATGTATAGTTAGAAAGTTATTGTCATGCTTGGCCCTATCATACAAAGCCCTGATGCTTTCATGGGGGAAACAGGAACCCTTTGGATGACCTGTATCAGGTCATAGAAAGCATTCTGCCTTCTAGGGAAGTGAGTTGGGATGACGATCGATGTTTTCTTGGAGAGATGCTTTGGTCTAAGCCATGAGAGGAGGAAAGAGTAGAGGAGGGATATTTTAAGCTAAGGTGATAACAGCATGCACAACACCCCTAGATGTGACGAGGCTGAGAAACTAGAGGAAGGGTCAGGGCAGAGATAACAGGGATAAAAGATTGGGAATTTAGGCGGAAGTCAGACAGCTCAGCATTTTCTAAGCTTTTCTAATGATGGGGAATTTAAGAATTACTGTAACCAAAAATAACTAGCTCTCACAAGTATTGTGTAAGGTGTCTCTGGAAAACAGATTGGAGAAGACCCAGCTGGAACCAAGGATATCAGTTAGGAGATTTTCATATTAATCCAGGCTGGAGATCAGGATACAGGTGGTTCCAGTGGGAACTGAGCAAGTAGGTAGTTTTAATCAAAATTTAGAAGGAAAAATGCACCTTACTTGGTAACTGCTTGGATTTGATGGCAAAGTGGGATGTAGAGAGTGGGAGACGGAGGGGCAGGCTAGGATAACATTAACAAACGTTTGCCAGACACCCAGAGCAAAGTCAGCTTTCCTCTCTGGCTCTGATACGAATGTGACCATTGTTAACTGTTTGGCACATGTGTTAACCTTAGAATGTTACCAGTGTTAACTGTTTTGCACATGTGCGTGCATATGTGTGCACATGAATGTGTGTATTTAATCTCAACTATTCTTATTTTGCCATGAAATTATTTAACACACATGTGCTGTGTGTATGTATATGTGTATACACTCATCCCTCAGTGTCCACGAAGGATCCTCACTAATACCAAAATTCTGGCTTTGTGGGATCCACGTATACAAAAAGTTTTCCCTCTATATTTGTAAGTTTTGCATCCCATGAAAACTGTATCTTCTATGTATGCTCAGTTGGATAAAAAATCCATATATAAGTAAGCCTGTTCAGTTCAAACTGGCGTGATCCAAGGGTCAATAGTTTACGTCTACCCACACATTAACTAGTGGCTGTTTCAAGGAGGCAGACTGAGTGATTTATTTTCATGCTTCCTTCAATTTTTTCTAAGTTTTTACCATGAGAAAAAAAAAAATTTTCTCCAGAAGACCAAGAAACAATTAGAGCTTTGAGAAGAAATTTATCTGCTGTTATTGATTTTGTTTTAGCCAAAAAAAAAAAAAAAAAAAGGCTAAACATAAAATACAGTGTTCGTAAACCTGGCTGGCAACCTTTCTCTGATGTTATTGTCTATTTCAGACAACGCAAAGAGGTGTATGAAACCAGAAACCTTCAGCTATGAGGAAAACAAAATAACAATCAATATATTTTGTTTCTGCTTACATTTTCTGCTAACTCCTTGTTTCCCAGCTACCAGAGAGCTGTCAACTTCAGGAATTAAATTAAAAAGTATAAAGCTGTGAATGAAAAAATCTTGGAAGTAATGAGACTACACTGAATGAAGTGGAGGCGAAAAAATGGAACACAGTAAATGGGCACCTGTATCAGTGTCATCTTTAAATGCAAATGAAAATGTCCCAAACCTTCCTACCGCTGATACTTTGAAGCACATACAGTTCATTTTTAGCCAGGTGTATCAGTTTTGCATTGCCAAAAGTAGTAGTGGACTAAAACACCAGTCTGCTTTTCTTTTATTAAGAGATCTGTAATAAGAGAGGTTGAAAGAAATTTTGCAGTGCCAAATGAGACTCCAAGTGCAGTGCAAGATGAAGCTAGTCAATTCTGAAATATTTGAACATGTTTATTTATCTAACCCTCTATGAACCTGGGCACAGATGCTAAGTCTTCCATGTTTTATGTGGTTTCAGATGACCTCTGAAAATTACCTGTGCCATTCTAAACCACCAAATGGTTCCATTTTCCATCTGTTGTCATGCAATTGTTTTGCTTACCAGCAGCTGTCAGATGGATATTACAATGAATGCTTTCATAGCAAATGTTACAACATCAAACATAACAAGCATTGAGGATGAAGCTGATGGCACAGGGAGATACAGAGAGCTTACCAAAGGACTGGAAAGGGGGCCCTGGAGTCCGCATCAGGACACTGAGTGCCATTCCCGGAGTGCATTCAAGAGTCTAGTGCGCGCTGGTTCACAGGTGTCTCTTTTTGCCAACTCATCATAAACTCCTCAGCTGTTAATGCAGAGTCGCTTGCTGCAACAGTGACAGAGAACTGTTGGGTTGCCGGGGCTAATTGCTATTTAGCTCTTTCAGAAGGGTTAAATGCATTGGTTAGCTTGCTGAAGGTTTGGGAGATAGCTTAGGTGCGGGAGCACTCAAACCACAGGGACGTGGCTGTCCCACCTGCTCTCGTTGTTGGGGGCATTTTAACTCATCACCTGATGCTATTGGAAGTAGCTATAAAGGACAGCTGGTGGTTGCATTTATTTGGAGTCTTAATTCACCTGTTGTCTCTCTCCAGTTGTGGTTGAGGTTAGAACACTCTGACTCCTAGAATTCGTACATTCCACTAAACAAGTAATATATGATATTTTTTAAAAAAATTATTCCATGGATATTTTCTCCCTTTCTGTGGTTTGTCTTTTCACATGGTTAAACATATATTTTGTTGTGTAGAAGCTTTTTCACTTGATGTGATCCCAATTGTCCATGTTTGCTTTGGTTGCCTGTGCTTGAGGGGTATTGCTAAAGAAAATCTTTGCCCAGACTAATGTCCTGGAGATTTTCCCCAATGTTTTCTTGTAGTAGTTTCATAGTTTGAGGTCTTAGATTGAAATTTCAGTGAAAGAGATAAACATTTTGTGAAGTTATCTATGTTTGTATATGTGTGAATTCAGGTGTGCAGTTTTATTATTTTTTGCTCAAAGTGGAATACTATTTTGATTAGTACCCTCAAACCGAAATAGTATTTATGAAGTCCTTAGTGCATACTCCTGTGCTTCAAATTCTGTAGATGTTCAATAAGTATTTAAATCAATGAATGAATGAAGGGCAGTTATTTGAATGACTCCATTTTGGCTTCATGTCTTGTTTGGGGATGTTGAGTTCAAAGTTATTACATCCAAACCAACACTAAGTAGTAATGTTAGGATGTGTCCTATAGACGTTGTTCTGTATATAGTATCAACAGAATTATGTAGTGTCAGGTATGTAGCATCCGGGGTCCTACAGCCTATGTTTGAATCCTGGCTTTATGCAACAGACTAGGCAACCTGGAATGGAATGAACTACTTAGTTTTCTAATCCTGTGTTGATTATTTCAGAAAATTAGGATAATAAAAGGACTTACTCCATAGGATTGTTATGAAGTTGAATGAGAAAAATCGACTTAAATCTTTCAGCACTGCCTGTAACATATAAGCACTTGATATATCGTCGATGGTACTATTATTATTTGCCTAACATTTTGCTTTTGGGGAACACACAGCCACCAATTTCCCCTCTCAGAGATGCCACTTGACTTAGTCTCTGTTGGTCCCACCCTTAAAATTATTGAACCACGTGCTATCAGGCATATTGCAGCAAAATATGGTGCTCAGAATATCATGGCTTATGTATTTTATCTTGCTGGCAAAGAATTCTAAAAGGTTTAAAGCTTAAATTAGAGCCCACATTTAAACCGAGTTGGGAGAAATGTACCATATGCCTCTCCATCTTGTGTGTGGTGTGACTGTAAGTGAGAGTGAATGACAACACGCCGGGGGCTCCAGCCAAAACTTGAGGCCGGCAGTCTAAATCCAGATCGGGCAGCCTCCCAGCCTCTCCCGATTCTGTCTGCTTGTGCATTTGACCTTGACAGCCAAGGTCTGTGTGGTTCCTCTTTGCTTTCTGTCATTAATCAGTCCTGAAGCATCTTCTAGACAGACAGCTTGGTTGGATTGAATAATGCGTCTGTGGTTTTTTTTTTTTTTTTTCTTCATCTGATACAGGCATGAGTTAAACTACAGTCGCCTCCATTGCTGAACTTGGCTATTGGGCTGGGCAGTATTTTCAAGCGGTGTTTTACCTGAAAATGTTCTATAAATGAGTTCTGAATGTTGTCTTCTCCCTGTCATAGTGCCTGTGATTATGATAACCCACCCTTGTAAGCTTTCTCCTATAGCAGAAATTGTTGCCAGAGGAAGGGGAGGGATGGCATGTCCTTTCACTGGCAAGTGAGGCCAGATTTTGACTTTGAGTCACTCTTGAGAATTTAGGGGGTGGTCACATGGTACTGTGCAACAGGAAGTGATATTTATCATGATAAGTGATGTTTACCATGCCCCACTTTACAACTGCCGTGTATCTCAAATGTTATGAGTATACCACTGAATGCATTCTTTATTGGAGAGAAAAAAAGTTAGCACCGTATAGAGAAATATATAGTTGCTAGAACTGAGAAAGGGTAAGAAAACAAGAGTAATCTGTAATTTTTTTGTTGCATGGTCCAAAAGGCAATTTCTGTTGCCTTTTTATGGTGATTTGGAGTTTTTAAGATGTTTTGACTTATTTAACAAGCTGGAAACTCATGGCAGAGAGAATGTTTATGACTTACCGAAAATCTTATGGAAGTTCACCACAGAGCTTTCCTTGGAATGCAGGTATCGAGACTTGATTTTCAGAATTTTGCACTAGATTTCCTAACAGAAACCTCGTGATTTGAAGGGGGGAGAATCATCTCTGCAATTATGTCACTGCTAAGCTGACATAGTAACCAAGGGGTTAGTATCAGCCTTGGAATTCTGTAAATATGTCTTGGGACAAAGTGGTATGGAACTACATCTAGTAGATTGAGGAAGAAGGTCATGGAATTAGAACATTTCTGTTACTTCTAGGCATAATTTTCAGGACTAAGGAATTCAGCATGAGCTGCATCTGCCTCCTGCTACCTCCTGCTCTCTCCCCTGTATCAATAACTATTAATTCTGTTTCCTTCCCCATCGCAATTTAGTTTGGAAGATGTCAGTGCTATTTAACGCAGCGAGATCTCCCCAGCACACCCCTCGGGACCAGTCCTTGGGTGTTGGGAGGGCATTCTACCCTATTATCTGTAGGGTGGCTGTGCTTGTTCTCATGCCACATCAAAATTGGCATTGGTAGCTCGCTAATGAGTAGGTAGAGATGGGCTTGGCATTTTGTCTTCTGAAGGAACGGCAGATAAGATGAATAATGTCATTCTTAGTTCTAGTTTTGTCTCTTCTTACTGTCTTTATTTGAGCCCCTCTACCTCCCTCATTTCTTCTTCCTTCCCTCTCCATTTTCCCCTTCCTTCCTCCCAACACCCCCATACACATGCACAGCTCACACACCGTTTTACCTATCTCTTAACTGACAGCTTTAATAAGGATGGTCACTAAGCATCTTCTTATAATTTATGATAGAAAATGGTATGCAAACTTCAGAGATACGGTGGTGGAGATCCAAGTTTATATCTTGAGTCTACCATGTAACTCTCAATATGTGCTCTAGACGCTCTGTGTCTGTTTGGTTATCTATAAATCAGCAATGATAATTGTACTGACCTCATAAGGTTGTTGGGATGAGTCAGTAAGATTATGCATGTGAAATGCTTAGCACAGGTTGTCATGCACTAAAAGATTTCCGTAAACATTGTTTATTATCATTAATAAAAAGCATCTTTATTGAGATCCATCTCATAAGATGCAACACCAAAGCTAATATTTCATAACAGACAAGCACTCTTTGAGTGATATATTATGTCGAAATTCAATTAAATGTCCCAACTCAGTGTGTTGGAACTGGTAGCCTGAAAAAGTCCCATTCATCTGATGGCTGTGAAATAATGAGAATGTTTATCTTTGTTCCATGAAGAAATGTATAATTAAAGCAGTTTGTGACGTACCTCCCGAAGATTCATCTCTAACTCTGTAATACATTTAGTGATTTCAATGCAAATGAATCGTGTTGGTGAGGCAATGTGTTCATCCTATGTCCTTATCTGTTCTTTGAAAACCTCATCCAAGGCTCTGGGGACTCTCGCAGCAGATTGAAAATCCCCTTGCTGGCAACAGCTGATTAGACTGAGGAGAGACATGCATGGGGCTGGCCAATCAGATTATCTCTTCGTGGGAGTTAAGAAATTTGACACAGCCCCAGTGTCCATATTCTTTACATATATATACATTATATATATATATATATATACATTATATATATATACTATATATATATATATATATATATATATATATATAAAATTCAGTGAGAAGGTTAGTAGGAAATGAACTCTAGGAGGACAAGAGTTGGATAGACATTATCATTTACTGGCTAAGTGACCTAGAGCAAGTCACATAACCCTGGGAACCTCGGTTTCATCAATGGCAAAGCAAAGATGCTAATAGGGGCTACTTTTAAAAAATAAAGAATAAACACAATAAAACAGGCAAAGCATTCAGTGACTTGGGCAGCAGTGAGTGTGCAGTAAATGCTAAACATTTTGAATTGTATTCAGCCTTCATTTTTCAGCCTGATTTTTACCTTGATTCTCACATTGAAACTGCCCATTTCTTTGGGTATTTTGGGTCTTTTCCTGTTTTACCCTCCCCACTGGGTTTGTCACTGCACATCCCTCCTTCCTTTTGAAAGCTCTGTTCTTCCTTCATTCTCCTGGTAAACTTGCCGAGTCTCTGCCTCATTGTTTTCTGGCTTTTTGCATTGCCTCATCTTCCTGTGTTCACACCTAAGCGAAGTTGCTCTCCAAGGTTCTGACCTCCGCCTCTTGGCTTTCCATTGTGTTTTCTCATGGGTGACCTAATTCACACAACATGCCTCTAAGCTGATGAAGCCTAGAATCTCATTCCTGTATACTAACTGCCTCTTGGATGTGTCTTCCTGGAACTCACACATTCTAAGTAAGTGGAATTCCACATCTGGTCATCATTTCATACCGTTCCTTCCCTCATCCTCTCTCAGTTGATGGCCCTCAGGTCCTCAGTTTAGAAACTTGTTGTTCAGGCTCTGCAGCTCCCCCATCTCAACCTGAGGTCCTGCATTACCTCCTGAAGAGCCACAGAATCCAGCATTTGCCTTATTCTCACTGTTCTTTGTGACCAGTTCACCTCTCACCCAGGCTGCTGCAACGAGCTTCTAATTGGCATTTCTTCTCTTTCCCCTTCAAATCCCTCATGCTTGAAAATAAAAATTTGGTCATGCCTTTCCCCTGTTTAAGTGTTTTCAGGATTATGACCAAGCTTAGTAACGTGACTTGTTCCTCTCTGCTCTCAGGAACACTCCTTGTTTCTCTCTTTCAAGAACAGCCTATTTACAGTTCAGTGCACGTAATGAGCCTGTACTCATTTCTCTGTCTTTATGTATGCTGCTCCCTGGACCCACCCCATTCCCTTCTACTATCTTGGCCTGAAAATGTCTACTTATCTTCTAACTCTCGATTCAGAGGCAGCCTTCCTCCAGGCATTCTTTCCCTGAGTGCCACTGGCTCTTTGTCTCATTTTCTGGGTTAGGGTTTCTTACATTCATGGGCACTCCAAATACTCTATCCCTATACATCTATCTTGATGCATAATTGTAAATACTGTTTATCTGTCCATTTTCAACTTTACGTTTCGTGTACCTTCCCTTGAGGGCAAGAGCTTTATGTTTATCTCTATCCTTAGTGATTAATATGGTATGTCATGTGTACTAGGTGCTTAATATCTGAGTGACTACTAGAATGAATGAGTGAGTAGATATGAATAGTTTTCAAGATTTTTAGGAAACCAACCCTATTTAACTTACTCTGTGATGAATCTTTTAGTTCATTCTTTTTTAATTCATGAAGTCTGCATTACTCTAGGCCAGTTTTTCCTTGCCCCCAAATCTTTCAGATACGGAATCAGAGAAACATAAGATGTTAGGGTTCACAGTTTTGCAAAATGCTGATGTAAAATACCCAGGAGCAAACAGATGGCTTAAGAAAGGTATTAATCATACGACATATTTTCCTTTATAAAATGCCTTCTTACCTACCGCCTTTTTATCCCCATTATAGGTTTTCTTTCATCTTGGCAATGTTTAGAGTCCGCCATCTTGCCTTGTAAGCCAGTCTTATTATAGCATTTGTGCTGTGCCTCCATTTTAACTCTTGACTTTTGTTGCTCCCACCACACGTTCCTTAAAAGTCAATCAGGAGTTTATGTATCTTTCCGTCTTCTGGACTGAGAAAAATTTATGGCCTTTAGTAGATGCTCGTTAGGTTTGTAGAATGGGCCGGGCGCAGTGGCTCATGCCTGTAATTCCAGGACTTTGAGAGGCCAAGGCGGGCCAATCACCTGAGGTCGGGATTTCGAGACCAGCCTGACCAACATGGAGAAACCCCATGTCTACTAAAAATACAAAAAATTAGCCAGGCGTGGTGGCACGTGCCTGTAGTCCCAGCTACTTGGGAGGCTGAGGCAGGAGAATCACTTGAACCCGGGTGGTGGAGGTTGCAGTGAGCCGAGATTGCACCATTGCACTCCAGCCTGGGAAACAAGGGAGAAACTCTGTCTTTAAAAAAGAAAAAAAAAAAAAGGTTTGTAGAATGGATATGTGCTCTCTCTGAGGTCATGGGGTGAGCAGGGATGCCAAAATATGCTTACTTTGAGTCACGGAAGCAGTAGCCATTTAAGAGCCTTCAAAGGGCCAGATTGAGTTTATGTGATTTAGGAATCATGATCCTAACACATCTCCAGAAAGAGATAAACGGGCTTGAGAAGAAGCAGAGCCATGCTGGGAAATAGATTGGGTGGAATTTAAATAGAAGTCTGGATTTGAAGTAAGAATCATAAAGACTAGGAGTACTTGTAATATTCATAATAAAAATAAATCCTATGAGAACCATTAATTACCATACACAGTATGCTTACTATGGGCCTGGTACTGGGTCAAGTGCTTTGCATTCATTCTCACTTAGTGCTTCAAATAGTTCTACAAGTTAGGCTTCATTGTCTCCCTTTTCAGATGCAGAAACTGAGGCCTCAAAGAGTTAATTCAGCCATTTAAGGTAACAAAGCTACCAGGAGTTTGAATTCAGGATTCCTAAGCTCGTGCTTTTTTTACCCCTGCACCAGAGGAAGTTGTGTGCAGGTCTCTGCATCTGTCAAGTTACTGGATATGTTATTTTGAGCGAGTGACCTAACAGGGCTTCAGTTTCATCATCTATGAAATTGACAGGATAACATTATCTTTCAGATTTTTTGTAGGTAATTTAAATAATTTGCAGAAAACGTTTAACACATTGCATGGGATACAGTAGACAATAAATCTGGACTTTTATTAACGATAAATAATTAGCTTCCCATTCTGAAATATTTCAATATGGATGCGTGGCTGCGACTTAAAAAGCCAAATCCACCCCCCAAATGTGAATTATTGCCTAACTCGGTCCCTGAAACTGGAAATAGAGAAATAACATGCAATTCCAGCAGTATCAACATTATTATTTTCATTTTTTTCCTGATGCTGTCAGCTTGTTATTTGTGCTATTTCTTTGAATAATAGAATTTATTCAGGCAATTTATCCTTAATACAAGCGATATAAATGGGGCTATGCAATCCTTATATATCATGCTAATAATGTCTGGTTCATCTTTTTTTTTTTTCTCCCTGTTTACATATGGAGACATTGATTTCCTACTCCGTCCTGTCTTTTATTACATTTTCTGCATCGAGGTCATCTCTGTCCGCTGCCTACACTGGATTCCAGTAGCTGAAGTTGTGTAACATCATTCAGTGACATTCTTAAAGCATCTACTATGTGCTTTCTTCAAAAATGTGTGTATTAGAGTGGAATAAAAAAGAAGAAAGACATATATAATTGCTGTCCTCAGATATATGTTAAATCCATTAGTTAAAAATGTCCACCTAGCCAGTGATTTAAGGACAAATAGAAAGCTTTATATTGGGAGGTTCTGAAATAGTGTCAGTTAAATGCATGCATGTCACCAGAGGCTGTGGATACTATGCATACGTCTTATTTCTTCTTCCTCTGCACCCTCCCTCTGGTGGCCCCCAAGCATCTCTTGGTGACTCCCCAAACTGAGATTTCTAGTTCCAGTGTTTTTCTTTTTTTTTCCAAGCTTGAGACTCATATTTTATCATCCGTATCTCCCACTGACCCCTGGACACCCTTCATTCGTTGTGTCTCAAACTGAAATCAATACCCCTCCACCCCATCCGCAATCTGCACCATGGTGAATCACATGTGGTTTCAGCTTACCCATGTTGGGGACCTGCAAGCCAACACTGGGTTGCTTGTTCTATCATCCCTGCTCCACCTGAGCACAATTAATGGTTAATTCCCATCAACTAACTTCTCTATAATTTCTTGAACTCAACCTGGTGCTTCTGTTTCCCGCAAAGACAAAACCAGATAATAGGAACAGTAGAGGACCAGGATCACCTGTTTGGTGCACAATGAGTTTCTTTTTTTTTTTTTAATTTTTATTTAAGATTCAGGGGTTCATATGTTGTTTTCTTATATAGATAAAGTCATGTCATGGGGATTCGTTGTACAGATTATTGCGTCACCCAGGTATTAAGCCCGGTATCCAATAATTATTTTTTTCTGCTCCTCTCCCTCCTCCCACCCTCCATCCTCCACCCTCAAGTAGGACTCAGTGTCTGTTGTTCCCTTCGTGTCCATGAGTTTCCATCATTTAGCTTCCACTTGTAAGTGAGAAAAAGTGGCATTTGGTTTTCTGTCCCTGCATTAGTTTGCTAAAGACGATGGCCTCTATCTACATCCATGTTGCTGCAAAGGACATGCTTTCATTTGTGGCTTTTCTAACACATTGGACCAAAAGGTCTTTAATCTCTTTCATAATAATGGCATTGAATTAACTAATACTTACCTGACGCAGATAATTTAACTTGTCTACATATTCACCTGGTCCTGTGCATTTCAGACTTTTGGGGGAAGGATGAGGGGGGTGACAGGTGAGTTCTCATCATTTGGCAGCCACTTATAAGTGAAAACACAAGGATGATTTTTATCATGCTTCAGACAGACCTTCTGAGGTTAGCGCCAAGACAAGGGTATTGAATGTGCACACAGAAAAAGAAAAGCTAATTTGAGTAGATAAAAAGGAGAAAGAATCAGCAAGACTTGATGACAAGATACATTCAAGGGAATAACACATAGGCAGGAATGCTCTCTAAACATAATCAGCATATTACATGTTTTGTCTATGACTTTGTGAATGAAGCCCACGGGAGACCTTCTTAAAGAAAATAAAGAGGGAGACTCTTTTTAAGATGTTAAAATAGAGGACAATGAATGCTTTTGCGATGAGTTATCTCTGTGGAACTGTGTGACCTTGAGCATGTCAGTAACCTCTGTGGGACTTAATTCATCTTCTGAAAACAAGAGATTGGATTAGATAATTCCTAACATTCCATGCTTTTAAATAGACTTTTATGATTAGGAATTTGGCAGGTAGAGGGGTGGAAGCATAACATTTAAAAGTTGGTGGTGATTGAGTCGAGTTAGAAGTGGGTTGAATTATTTTTGGAACTAAAGTGTACCCTTGCTGAAATATAGAATAATAATGAGTCTAGTATTAATATAGCCTGGCTTAAGTATAATACTAATATAAACAAAATTATATTGAGGGAAAATGATGTTTATAGAGTACACCATCAAGATGAGCTCTAGAAAAAGGAAACTAAACCTTCTCTAAACAGGTTTTTTTTTCCCTATCATCCGCTTCTTTTTACATTATCATTATGTTTTCCAGGCTGGCAGATGAATATCAAATCTGCTTTTGACTGAACATTTTTTAAATCTCTCTGATAGAATATATATATTTTTTCATTTATGAAAAGCAAATAGGTCACGTGTTTTCTCTTCTGCAGCAAAGAAATATAGCAAAAGTTTCTATGCTCCGTTCCATTTTCTTATTGAAAAAAATATTTAATATAAATGAAAAATATTCATTTACTTTTTGAACAAAGTTTCATCACAGATCTCTTACTCGGGAGTAAATACTGGTTAAAACAAGCTAAATGCACATTCTTAATAATTTAAAGTCAGAGAACCAGCCATGTGTAAAATAGGTGTATGTTCACATAATTGACTACAGTATTTTGCTACATGGTTAAATGCATGATTTCCCCTAATAGAATGCCATTGTGGTCTACATCACATTTTCTAGTTCATGAAAGTCAAATGAGCTGTGACCATAGTCTCCCAAACTTAATGGGAAGTTCATTTTGTGACTTCTGAGTTTAAATTGTGTCTTTCCAGGATGAATCAGTAGATCTAAAGCACATTAATGGATCACGTCACCAAAAGGTCTAATCCTGAGTGACTAAAATGGTAGTTCTAATTCAGATTTAGTGCTTTTCTAGCACATTGGACCAAAGGTCTTTAATCTGTTTAATAATATATTGGTTTTGTATTAACTAAATAATACTTACCTGATGCAGATAATTTAAGTTGTCTACATATTCACCTGGTACCGTGCATTTCAAACTTCTTTGGGGAGAGATGAGGGGGTAGCAGATGAGTTTTATCTGTGAAAACCAGTAAAGAAGTAGAACTTTATAGACAGGGGCTCACAGTATATATTTTTAAAAATCTGTATGGGATGCTTGTTAGCACAACAAATTTACACACTGCTCTGCCAACACTCTCAGCCACAGCTACCTATCAGAAGGTTATGAAGACTAGAAGAAAAACACATAAGTTATGTCCTGGACTGTGCGAACACTCATGAGCACAGCCAGAAACTACAGCTGGATGTTCACCGACAGCCAGCTATCCAAGGTTTTTGACCTTGGACAATGAGCAGGGGTTGATGGAGATAGCCAGGCCTAGAGATGGCACCATTTGGAAGATACAAATGGAGATGTCTAGAGGGTGCTGGCAGTAAGCTTCTGCAAGGACCCCATTGGAAAGGGAGCCAAATTGTTTCTGTTATCTCAGGGAACACCTTGATTCTGAAAGACAGTGAGAGAGCATAAGGCTACCTAAGACTTCTGGAAAGATGAATACAACTATTAATATCAGAGCTGCGGCCTCAAGAACAGCCGGGATTCTCCCTAATGACAAGAGGGTGGACGGTCTCTCTGCATCCCTTTCCTCAAGCCTTTTGTTCAACGCTTTTCATTGTATGCCCCGAAAGAGAGCAGTTTTAAGCATCTGCGATGTAGTAGGGTCACCTGATGTGAGTGAGAGAGAGAGAGAGAGAAAGAGAGAAATGAAATCAAATGGTGTGGGTGATTCCAGTTGCCTTCTTGTTAGCAAGAGTGTATACCATCAGTTTTGCGATAACACAACATATGTGTTCCTAAAAATCACCACTCTGTGTAAAATCACACAATATAAACCATGGGACTTAAGGGGAAAATGGGATTAAAAGCACCACACTAAAAAGTTTCATCAGTGACACATTTAAAAAAATACAGTTTTACACACGTTAAATGATTAAGAAATACATAAATACTACAGGAGAGATAACCCTTTACCTTGAAGAAGTTCACAAGTTTGCTTGGGGAAGGACACGTCTGAAGGGTTGTGTCTTGTGTGTTATTGTGATGGGATAGACAAGGGGACTTACCTGAAACCAGATGGTAAATGGTAACACCAGATGTGGGTGGGTATGACTCAGGAACACATGCTGTGAATTGACGTAGCAGGTAAGTGTTT
Organism: Homo sapiens; assembly: GCF_000001405.40. Taxonomy (NCBI): domain Eukaryota; kingdom Metazoa; phylum Chordata; class Mammalia; order Primates; family Hominidae; genus Homo; species Homo sapiens. The sequence goes on from NC_000016.10 coordinate 6,200,860, forward strand.
GAGGTGTGTGCTTGTGTGTGTGTATTTGTGTATTTTTATGCAGCTCATTTTTGCTGGATAGAGTTTTCGGTGTTAACTTAGTGAGGTTTTTTTTTTTTTTTAAGTGAAATCGAGCATGAGCAAATGTGAAATCCGCATTATGCTCAAATCGTTCCCTAGTTTTTTTAGCTCCCACATATGAGTGAGAACATGTGATATTTGTCTTTCTGTGTCTGGCTTATTTCGCTTAACATAATGTCCCTCCAGTTCCACCCATGTTGTTGCAAATGACAGGATTTCATTCTTTGTGTAGCTGAATAATATTCCATTGTATCTATGGTACCACAGTGGCTTTCTTCATTCCTCCGTTAGTGGACATGAAGGTGGCTTCCATTCCTTGGCTATTGTGAGCAGTGCTGCAATGAACATAGAGGTGCAGACCTCTTCTTTATAAGGGTTTTCTTTTCTTTGGGAGAGAGCCAGCAGAAGGATTGCTGGATCATATGGTAGTTTTATTTTTAGTTTTCCGAGGAACCTCCATACTGTTCCCCAGAGTGGCTATACTAATTTGCATTCTCAACAACAGCGTATAAGGATTCCCCTTTCTCCACATCCTGGCCAGTATTCATTATTGGACTTACAGAGATAGAGTGGAATGATGGTTGCCAGAGGCTGAGAAGGGTAGCCCGGAGTGGGGAGAGATTGGGGATGGTTAATGGGTGTAAAAATACAGTTGATAGAATGAATGAGGTCTAATGTTTGGTGTCATAATAGGGTGAGTATAGTTAACTATATTTTAGTGTATTTTCTAAAATAACTAAAAGAGTGGAATTAGAATGTTCCTAACACAAAGAAATGGTAAACGCTTGAGGTGATGGATACCCCAGTTACCTTAATTTGATCCTTACACATTGCCTGCCTGTATCAAAACATCACATGTACCCCGTACATATGTACATCTATTTTGTGTCCATGATAATTAAAAATAAAGAAAATTTTTAAAATTGTTCCATACTCTGTCAACTCATGGACATACATTTGCATGTTCAAAACAAGCATTATGGAATTGACTACAACTTAGAGCATGAGATGGGGCATAAATATTGAGGGTCCCCTAGGTCAACTCAGGTCCCCATTGTGAACATGTCAGAGTATTGGAAGAGACCACAGTTCCCCTCTACCTTGAATGCAAACCAGCCCCTTCATCATGTGCCCAACTGCATTAAAAACAAAACAAAACAAACAAAAAAACATACCTTGAGTTGGGAGAAACACATAGCTATGTCAGATCATTAACCAGTTTCTAACGGAGCAACTTCCTAGGGAAGGGTATGTTTGAATCCACTGGATGTTTTTGCTTTACACATTTATTTAGAGCCTAATTTTCACATGGCTGTGTCTCTACTGTTCTCTTATCTCAGGTATCGATGCCCTGAGATAACTTCATTCCAACAATCAAAACTTGTCTAGGAAGACCTGATTGCTCTGAGAGATTTGCCTTGTGATTTGATCATTTCTTGCCATCCCCATTGACTGGCGATCTTCATGGCAGCTTTAAAGGTGCTTTGAGGTTATTCAATCCATCTTCTTTCTTTTAGAAAGGAGGACACCGAGGCTTGGAGGGAAAAAAAGACTTCACTCAAGAACTTAAGACAAAGGCTGTTTCACAGATAACTCATGCACCTCTAGAGTTTTCTTATGGAAATGCTTAACAGTATCCCTGTTGGGTCAGTTTCTTTCTTTTATGCTGAAAAAAAAATCACTTTATTGAGGTATAATTGGTATTAAAAAGCTGTAGATGTTTAACGTATACAGCTTGATAAATTCGGAGGTAACTATACATCCAGGAAACCATCACCATAATCAATGCTGTATATTTGTATTTATCCATCACCTCCAAAAGCCTCCTCCCACGTTCTTTATGTAATTTATTTTTTAGTATTGATTTTTCTTTTCATTTTGTTTCTGAGACAGGATCTCATTCTGTTGCCCAGGCTGGAGTGCAGTGGCACAATCAGAGCTCACGGCAGCTCAAATATTCCTCCTGCCTCAGCCTCCCAAGTAGCTGGGACTACAGGTGCATGCCACCATGCCTGGATAATTTTTCATATTTTTTTGTAGAGATGGGGTTCTCACTTTGTTGCCAAGGCTGGTCTTGAAATCCTGGGTTCAAGTGATCCTCCTGCTTCAGCTTCCCAGAGTGCTGAGATTATAGGTGTGAGCCACCGTGCCCAGCTTAATGTTGATTTTCCTTTTGTGGTAAGAGCACTTGAAAAAAAAAATCCAGCCTCATAGCAAATTTTTAAGTCTACAACACAGTATAATTAACCATAGGCCTTACATTATACAGGAGTTCTCCAGAGCTTATTGCATTACTGGAGCTTTGTACCCTTTGACTGACACTTCTGTACTTCCCCCTTCTCCAACCCATGGCAACCACGGTTGTACTTTGTGGTTCTGTGAGTTTTGATGATTTCAGATTCCTCCTAATAATGGGATCATGTAGTATTTGTCCTTCTGTGTCTGGCTTATTTCATTCAGCATTATGACCTCTGGGTCTGTCCAAGTAAATCCAAAAAGGATTTACTTCCTTTTTAAGACTGAGTAATATCACTGCATGTATGCCATTTTCTTTATCCATTCATTGTTGATGGACATTTATGTTGTTTCCATATATTGGCTATTGTGAATAGCGGTGCAATGAACATGGAAATGCATATATCTCATGGAGATTCTGACTTCAGTTCCCTTAGATACATACCATCATGGGAATGCAATCAAAACCACAACAGGAGGTCACCGCACACTTATTGGGAGGGCTGTTATAGAAACAAACAAACCCCCCAAACAGATGATAACAAGCGTTGGTGAAGATGTGGAAAGAAGTGAACCCTTGTCTCTTGTGTGTTCATAGAAACATAAATTGGTGCAGCCACAATGGAAAGCAGTTTGGAGGTGGCTCAAAAACTTAAAAATAGAAATACATCTGATGCAGCAGTCTCACTTCTGGGTCTGCTTCTTTCATCTATTGTGTATCTCAAGGCAAAGCAACCTGCCTATGCCTGATCCCTGCATACACAAACACAGAGAAATCATATTAACTCTCAACCTGTTGGTGGCTCTGCCAGTTCTGTTTTGTTTCTTTTTTTTTTTTTTTCGTGAATGACTAACAATCTACCATCAGAAATGACATTCATAAAATTATTTCTTTCTACAGTTATTTCTTTGTTTCTTTTCATCTCTAAACATGTCTTATTAAGTACAGGGTGGGGAGAACACAGTTATTCCTATTACCACTGATGTTGTTGATACTCAACTTTGGAATCTTCCCTTTTCCTCCCCTACCCTCACCTCATCTTTCACCAAATTCTTCACAAGGAGAGTTTTACAAGCTTTAAACTGCTTCCATTTTACAGTGGGGAAAATGGGAATACAAAATTTGGACATGGATTGGTAATTTCATGAGTCAATGTTGCGACAAGATTGACAGCAGCTTCTGTGACCACTCATCCAGATGTATTACTGAAAACATGAGGGTGCAATGTTGTGGGGAATCCACCTTTGTTATGTTTTTTTCTAGAAGGGCCTAGAAGCTTCTGAACTTGCTAGGCACTTGGGAGAAAATTGATTAAATAAAAATAATGAAATCCATCCCACCAACAAAAATAGACTGAATTATTGTTTAACAGAAATTGGAACTAATGTTCTAGGGAGGTTATTTGAACCCAGGCATAGAAGTGGGAGCATCATGATGGTCAGGGAAGAAAGCAGGTGACATTAGAGACTAATTTGTAGGCACATATACAGTGTCCTTAAAATGAGCCATTTATGGGGTAAAGAAAAGCTGATCAAATTGAGATATTTTAGAAAGTATGCAGTGTGAAGGGGTTGATTTCTTTATAATGTTTTTAATTGAGTTGGATGACCTTATTGACAATGGATGCCTTTTGTCAGCACGTTGTGTGTGTGTGCCTGCATGTGTGTTCCTCATAAACCCGTAGCTTTCTGCAAAAAGGGCATTCCAAAAGAAAGAGGTGAAAGAAAAATGCATAAATGCACGATAACACACGATTAAGTTTTGACCCCATAGATTGTTAACCTTCAAAGCTAACTCTGCAGTAGCACAATATTATTAGCAATAAAAGGAATTTGCTTTGCCCTTTTTTAAATTACCATAAACCGATTGACTGAGACAGAATGATGTTAATATTTAAGAAGTAGGACACTAGATTCTATTATCTCAGAAGCTCTGTCACCAGGCCCTCTCTGTAGTCCTGTTATCTAATTATTGGGCTTAAATTGCATTAGTGTGCTAGCAATTTGTCTACCATTGGAAAAGTAATTGACATTTGGGTTACTGCTTCATATATGGGAGACTTGCTAGCTAGTTCCGAAGAGTCCTCTTCTGTCAGGGCAGATTAGCTTAATGTTGCCTAGAAGAAAGGGAAGCTCTGTGTTTTAAGGTATGCTGCCTCTGTAGCTGGTTGCAATTTGGTATTAAAATTTCAGTTCTGCATCAAAGCTGATAAGTCACCTGAGATGAAATTGAACAAGGTTGTCGTGACAAAGTAATTAATGGCATTTTTTGACTTTCAGATGACTTTAGGGGAAGCACACTTCTTCTCTGCGTCTGCTTCTGCTGCCATGTTTATAAATATGTATGCACATTTACAAAACATCTTTAACTGTTGTCAGATGTTTCTGCAGGCTCCAGATTTATGGTTCCCCTGAATTAAATAGCACCAGGTACATTTGGTGTACAGCAGTGATCTGGCATTGACGGTAAAGGCTGTGAGTCTTCATAATATTTCAATCATATTTTGCTTCTCCTGACACCACACATCACTGATAGGCACTCTCTCTTTTTTCTATTTCTTTGTATAAAAATGGAAAGTGGTGTGTTTGGTTATTCTATTTCTAGACTTTTTTTCTGCTCAACTGGTTTTGGTTTGTTTAAGAGAAGACTTTAAGTACATTCACAAATATTTTGCATTTCCCTTTGAACAAGAGCCTACGAGATCATACTTTTTTTTTTTTTTTTTTGGCTATGTGGAGAGCGTACCTGGAAAACAGATGATTTTGATGTTTTTGATAGCCAGTGCACCTGAAAGTCACAGGCTTCTTTCACTTAGATCTGGAGTATATGTATTCTAGGGTCATCTAAAGAGCAGAACATAGAGATAGCCAGCCACTATTTTCTTTAATGTGCAAACTGAAGATGAGGCTGAAAAGTATTCAGAAATTGATTTTAAAAGTTGATGTTTCTGTCTTTTAAGGCACAGGTCAAATCTGACTCAGGAAGAAAACTTCTTACTATGATTTGAGCCTCCTCTCTTGCCTCTCTCCCCTGGCTCACTTTAGCGTTCTTGGCTTCCTTTCAGTTCTATGGGCAAGCCAGGCTCTTTCCCGCTGCCAGGACGTTGTGTGTGCTGTTCCTGTTACCTGGGCCGCTCTTTCCTGCTTACTTTGCCAAGCTAGTTACCTCCTATCCTTCAGGAATCTGCTGAAGCATCATGTCCTTAGAGGTCTGGTTACTTCCTGCTCTGCTCCAGTTGTTCTCAATCTCAGTGTGATTGCTTCCTTCTCAATTCTTGCTATGATAAACAACTAATGTATTTACTCATTTTTTGTCATCCGCTTTCCTCACCAAAACACAGGCTCCCTGATGGCAGAGGTATCATCTGTCCTCCTTGTCCCTATATCTCCAGGAGCTGGCGATATTAAATGTTCAATGTTTGTTGAATATATTAAATTAAACCTTTCCCAAATTTCCACCACAATACATTTTTTAACTTTTCATTTTGAAATAATTATACACTCATCAGAAGTTGCAAAGATAATACAAATGAGTCCCATATACTCATCACCCAGCTTCCCCTGTTGTAACCTCTTACATCAGACTAGCACAATATTAATACCAGAAGGTGCAGCAGGCTCTCCCTCCCTTTTACTTTAATGGTGGGTGATTTCAACAGGCAACTGTTATTTGCTTAATGTAATCCTTCGCTATTTTATATTTTGGGACATTTTATCTCCCCTTTTCTGATGCTTCCTTCAAGGACAACATCAGCTTTTTCAGCACATGGTGAGCACCTTGTAATACACTTAATTCTTAAGATAGTGAACTGGAATGTGATCAGAAAGCTACTTTTTTTTTTTTTCAGGTGCACTTGCTTAAAAAAAAATTAAAAGGTAAACAGTCTCAAGTTTTATTTGGAGTTGCTGAGAAGTTTACCCAGCACACATTTTAGCTATGACCCCCTGCATTCCTGCCAAGCAGGCTCCTGACTTGGGTCACCCATGACAGTGATCAAAATTAACCCTGCTGCTGCTGGACTCTTTCGTTTCCCTGTCTTTTCCCTTTAGCTTTCTAGTGCTGTTAGTGGCTTCTGAGACTCTCCTTGTTCAGTGAAGCATTTTGCATAAGGCACACTTTATCTTTTATCTCCAAAGAAATGGCAGTTAATGCAATCTATAGAAAGCCATAAATGAGGCTGATAAAATTATCTAGCAGCCAAAAGGTTGCTGCACTCATTTATCTCTGCATAATTCAGAAGCTAAACGACAAGATTAGGAAGAGGCAATCCGTTTGACAGAGGTGTTACTGGAATGATGAAAATCAAGGTGGTTTTTGTTTTTTCCCTCTTACATTTTGTGGGGAGGTGGTTAAGAGAGGGCTGAAGAAGAAGAGATTCAAGGAGAACTCGGTTTCTAAAATTTTTCTCTTGGGCCCAAAACATACCTAAGAAACAGATTGCCATATATTAATTTAATTATTTGCCTATTGAATAATAATGCCCTTCCCATTTGATGTGCAGATTGTAGAAAGGTGACAGTAGACATTTTATTTTATTTTATTTATTTTTTGAGACAGGGCCTCACTCTGTCACTCAGGCTGGAGTGCAGTGGTGCGCATGTAAGTAACTGTAGCCTCAAAGCCCTGGGCTCAGGGGATCCTCCTACCTCAGCCTGTTGCGTAGCTGGGACTACAGATGTATGGCACCACATCCAGCTAATTAAAAAAAAATTTTTTTCAGAGACAGCCTGTTGCCTAGGCTGAGTGATGAAATTTTAAAATGTGACTCCAAATTATCGGTTTACTTCAGAATTTTTTTTAACATTAGGGAGATGTTGTAGTGATTAATCTCCCTTAAAATTTTTATGTGTGTATATGTGTATATATGTGTGTGTATACATATATATGTGTATATATATGTGTGTATATATATAGTCTGGCGGTCAACAGTTCCTTTAATTTCTCTGCATAAAAACTAAATGATAGTATATAATGAAGTGTAACATTATAATTATATATGTTATGTTTTATATAATGTAGAGTATGATCCATTTTTTGTAAAACTATAAGTTTAAAAAAATACTGATTACTGATAATGAGTGATACATATTTCTGGGTGATGGGATATGGAATTTTTTTTTAACTTTTGCTTTATACATGTGTGCTTTGTTTAATTTTTTTGTTGAAAGCAAACACCTATTGCATTGAGGGAATATATTACAATCATTGGGAAGAGTATTTTGTCAGGGGTAGAAGCCGTTTATTTATTCATTCAGCAAGCATGTGCTTAGTGTAAGGTGTGTCTGAAGTTGAGTAGACATTTAGTGGAGGGTAAGCCCAAAGAGTCCCTGCCCCTTTGGAGGTCAAGGCTTTGTCTGTCCCCATCTGGGAACAGGGACTCTTACAGACACAATTCTCTCCCCTTTATCTTACAAAGTGCCTGATGTAGATCAATCAACCCATGTCCGCTGACGGTGTTGTGAAGAAATACGTAGCGCTGCACAGTGGCCATGTTTTAATCGTTCTGCAATTTAGAAATTCAAATGAATGGCCACTGCTTTAAAGAGTCAGAACCTTCCATATTTAAAAAAAAATATGCATTTCTGGTTCTTCTTGGAAAATTGGAGTCTGGCCAAACACTGCATTCCCTTCCTATCAAGGCAAGGATTGATGTGAAGTAGTGGCTTCTGTCTTCGCATGAGGTATAGCCTATGTGGTTTTCCCCAGTCCCCACCACTTCCTAGAGTGTTCCCCCTACAAGGAGGCTAAGTATCTGTTTATCTTCAGGCCATATATTGTGTTACACTTGCTCACTTCCCCCATTTTTTTTTTGTGACCCAACTGGGTCTTTGAAGCATTTATGCTTTTTGTCCTGTATCTTACAACCTTGAAGGATAATTTTGAAAATGTTTGTGTTATAAAATTGGAAACTTTGCACTGTTTTGAGAAGAGGAGAGGACAACATAGAAAGCAGGACAAACCTGTGACAGGAGAAGTCTCAGCATTTACTTTAAAGGTGAAATCTGAGCCCTTACTCCTCAAGTAGGGAGTTTGGTTGGTGTGAAGCTGCTGGAGAATGTGAAGGCATCTTCACAAACAAGCAAAACACCAGGGAAGAGGGGCCACGTTTTGTGGAATTAACCTAACTTTTCAGCTGTCTTTAGCAGTTGGGGTTACATTATGTTCCCCTGGGTTGTGTGTGTTTCTTCTGCATCAGGAGAGATCCCTGCCCACCTTCAGAGAAACTTAATAATAAACAAAGAATGTACATCCAAACTTCCAAACTTCCTTGTTAATCCGTCTATTTCCTTAGTTGAGGTTGAGCTTAATGCCGTCTCATCTAATACACGTAACCTCTCCGGTATCAGGGGCCAAGGCCAAGCAGGCAATTTGCAGATAAAGTCAAACATAATTAAGCAGTAAAAACTCTGACCATACAGGTGGAATGAATGAATCCACCAATTGTGATCCTGCCACCATCCTCCTGCCCTAAAACTCAACTTGCTTTTCTCCTGAGACCTTCTGAATAGCAGGAAAGCTAAGCACAGACTGTCTGATCTTCAGAAAGGGAGGGGCAAGCCATTGTCACTGGATGATTGAATTATTCCTTGTCTGGAAGCAGGTCGTGAACCAGATGATGTCTCAGGTTCTTCCAGCCTGAGAGGTTTTAGCTGCTTGTCCTACAGTGAGGCAGAGGGAATCGATAGAAACATGGTATGAAGGTCTATGCTCAGTTTCTTATTAGTTTCATTGCTTAATTCCTGCTTAAGCATCTGCTGCTATTATTGGTGACAAGAGCTTGTATTTCTGTCTCTAGACTTTTTGTTTGTTTTTTTACTTTAAAAGATTTTATATTTCTTCTCCATCTAGGAACATGACAAAGTTAGAAATCTTACAAAGGGGCCAGGCATGATGGCTCATGCCTGTAGTCACAGCACTTTGGGAGGCTGAGACCGGTGGATCACCTGAGGTCAGGAGTTCGAGACCAGCCTGGCCAACATGGTGAAACCCCATCTCTACCAAAAATACAAAACTTAGCTAGGCATGGTGGTGGGCGCCTTTAATCCCAGCTACTTGGGAGGCTGAGGCAGGAGAATCAACTGCACCCAGGAGGTAGAAATTGCAGTAAGCTGAGATCACGCATTGCATTCCGGCCTGGGTGACAAGAGTGCAATTCTGTCTGAAAAAAAAAAACAAAAAAACAAAAAAACAAAAAAAAAAAACACCAAAAAAAAAAAAAAAAAGAGAAAGGAAGGAAGGAAAGAAGGAAGGGGAAAGAAAGGAAAGGAAGGAAGAAAGAAATCTTACAAAGGGATCAGACACAGTGGCTCACTCCTATAATCCCAGCACTTTAAGAAGCTGAGACAAGAGGATCACTTGAGCCCAGGAGTTTGAGACCAGGCTGGGTAATGTAGCGAGACCCTGTCTCTACAAAAAATTAGCTGGGTGAGATGGTGCATGTCTGTGGTCCCAACTACTTGGTAGGCTGAGCTGGGAGGATCACTTGAACCCTGGAAGGTTGAGGCTGCATTGAGCTGTGATTGTGCCACTGCACTCCAGTGCCTGGGTGACACAGTGAGACTCCCTCTCAACAAAAAAAAAGAAAAGAAAAGAAAAGAAAAAAATTAAAAAAGGAATCTTATGAAGATCTCGTAATAATGCCTGATTCTTCAAAGACATGGGCACAGACTTGTCAGCTCCAGGCAGTCCTTAAGTGAACGGTGCAATAGCCCTAGAGGTGTCAGCTCAGCTGATACCACTTTCTCTTAGGAAAACACAAGGTCTTTTTTTGTGTTTTCTTTGAGGGGGCCTTGCATTCCAAGTGTGCAGTTGAGAAACTGAACGTTACAGGATCAGCTGAACCAAGTAGAGGGAAGAAACCCTTTGGTTTTGACACTGAAGAAAACACACATAGCACTGGGGCAAACTACTGATGGAAAACATCAAGAAAGATCTTAGACCCTTACTCCAGGGGATGTGGCCTAACGGCAGACTGGACAGTAACCATGAGACAGAGTGTTTTTGCTTCCATGAGACAGAGTGTTTTCTTCTTCTTTTTTTTTTTTTTTGGTTAGTGCCTGAAATCTAGTTAACTTTTTTTTTTTTTTTTTTGGGATGGAGTCTCGCTTTGTCGCCCAGGCTGGAGGGCAGTGGCACGATCTCCGCTCACTGCAAGCTCCACCTCCTGGGTTCATGCCATTCTTCTACCTCAGCCTCCCAGGTAGCTGAGACTACAGGTGCCCACCACCACACCCGGCTAATTTTTTGTACATTTAGTAGAGACAGGGTTTCTTCGTGTTAGCCAGGATGGTCTTGATCTCCTGACCACGTGATCCACCCGCCTCTGCCTCCCAAAGTGCTGGGATTACAGGCGTGAGCCACCTCGCCCAGCCAATCTAGTTAACTCTTGGTCTTCTACATGTGTTAGAATGGTTTTAGCTTTATTGACAGAAAATTTGAATAAGGGTAGCTTCAGCAATATGTCAGGTCCCCGTTTGTAAAGCAAGCTGAGAGAAGTACCTCTTTTCTCTCTAGGTATGGCCTTTCCTATCTTTGAGTTTAGGATAGCTATTAAAAATGGAAAGTTACACTGGGTCTTGTAATTGTGCTTCTAAGAATTGATTTTGTACATAAATGTGAAACCTATCAAATAAATAACATTCCATCCACTTAAAGGAATACATCTTTTATTTATTTATTTATTTATTTATTTATTTATTTATTTATTTATTTTTAACAGAGTCTCGCTCTGTCACTCAGGCTGGAGTGAAGTGGCATGGTCTCAGCTCACTGCAACCTCTGCCTCCCAGGTTCAAGTAATTCTCATGTCTCAGCCTCCAGAGTAGCTAGGATTACAGGCACACAGCGCCATGCCTGGCTAAGTTTTTGTATTTTTCTTTTTTAGTAGAGATGGAGTTTTGCCATGTTGGCCAGGCTAGTCTTGAACTCTTGGCCTCAAGTGATCTGCCAACCTCGGCCTCCCAATGTGTTGAGATTACAGGTATGAGCCACTGTCCTCGGCCAATATGCTGTTAAGAATGAAACAAAAATCTTTATATGGTATTGACGTTGAAAAATACCTAATATACATTGTTAATTGGTGAAAAAAGTTGTATAATAGTATATATACTATGATTACTTTTATGTAAAAGAATTGTATATAGACACATTTGTATAGGTAACATACTATATATTTTTAAAATATGCAATACATATGCTATACAATATTTAAAATTACAGATAGGTACACATATATGTGTATGTATGCATTTATAAAGCATATATCCACGGCTGGGTGTTTTGGCTCACCCCTGTAATCCCAGCACTTTGGGAGGCCGAGGTGGGCAGATCACTTGAGGTCAGGAGATCAAGACCATCCTGGCTAATATGGTGAAACCCTGTCTCTACTAAAAATACAAAAAATTAGTTGGGCATGGTGGTGGGCGCCTGTAGTCCCAGCTACTTGGGAGGCTGAGGCTGGAGAATGGCGTGAACCCGGGAGGTGGAGCTTGCAGTGAGCTGAGATCGTGCCACTGCACTCCAGCCTGGGTGACAGAGTGAGAGTCTGTCAAAAAAACAAACAAACAAACAAACAAAAAAAAAACCCACTAATATGATAATGGAGTAATCTGCGTTTTTATAATTGAAGATTTCCATAGATAAGACATACTCTTTAATTTTTTCTCCAAGACATATGTACCCTATTTGTAACCTGAAAAAGGTAAGAAGAAGAGACCAATAGTAAAAAAAAGTCTGTTATTAACGAAGAATTGAAGGGCCACCTACTTAGAATAGTCGTTTTACATAAAGAGGCAGACCTGAACGGCCTTTTCCCTTAATAAGTGAAGTATGTTAATTTTATATTCACTGTTGTGGTCACCTGGAGACATCCCTGCGTTGTAACCTTGTAGGCTTTTAAAAAGTTAAGTCACATCTTCTGTGCCAAAAAGTACCTCATTTTGAACTAAAACCTTCAAAATGGAAGTCTTGTTATTGAGTTTGATGTCTATTTATTGCTATATATTTGCATTTAAATACAGAAACTATATATTTTTTTCTTTTTTATGACCCAGTGTGTCTTTGGGGATAGCTTTATGAGCTCTTTCTTGAACGCTTAATTATTTCTTTCTAGGTGGCTTTGTCATAGGCTGTCATGCTTCATTGAGGTATCAGCTCAGCTGATCTGTTCCACTTTCTCTTAGGAAAGGCACCATTTTGGGGCCTTCAGTGGGTAACAGATTTCTGAAGCTTCTCTTAGCCCCATTCTGGCAACACTGGGCTGATTTACAACCGGCAATATGGAAAACCTCCTAGACAGCTGCCTCAGCTGCATTTGAACTACTGCCTGAGAGTCTCTGGCTGCCTTGACACTCTAACAGACCCTGGCGGCAAGGCAGGTACCGCCTTCTGCTATGCTGCTGATCATTGCTGAAAAGTTGCGTAAGTCATGCCAATTGTTTATAACATGTATTTAAGCCGTGTATGAACCTGGGAGTCATGAGTCTGTGCTCTTATTTCAATGTAATAAAGAGAAGAAGAAATACTGGATGGTTTAAATCATTCTGTGCTTAAGAGCAAAGCTGAGAACCACCCCAACTTGTATCCCTCTCCATCCCTTTGTCTACTGAGCGAAAGCGCATTCACCATGCTCAGTCTCTCACTCTAAGCCAGGGTTCTCAACCTCATCACTGTTGACATTTGGAACTGGACAGTTCTTTGTTATGGGAGGGGATGGGGTCAGGGGATGTCCCATGAATTATTGGATGCTTAGCAGCATCCCAGCTCTCTACACTCTAGATGCCAGTACAACCCACTCTCCTAATCATGAGAACCAAAATGGCTCTAGATATTGACAAATGTCCCCTGGGAAGCATAATCACCTCTGCTTGAGAATCACTGCTCTGTCAGATGTCCCACCCATCTCTCATACTCAAATAAGTGTTTCTTTCACTCCAAGAGCATGAGTGGGTGCCTTGTTCCTAGTTCCTCAAATGAGACAAACCCGTTGTCATTGAGACGTTGCATGTGTACCTCTCTCCTTCTCTCCCACTGTCTCCATCTCTCTCATGTTTCCCTTCTTGTACCCACCAGCCCTACATTGATGTCTTGTTCTTCAGAATCTTTAATATGCTAGTATGCATTAGGAATCTCCAAGGATGAAAGAGTAGGAGGGAGAGGGAGAAGGAGAGAGAGAGGGGGAGAGGGAGAAGGGGAGATGGAGAAAGAGAGTGAGGGAGAAAGAGTGAGAGTGAGAGGGAGAGGGACAGGAAGAGAGGGAGTGGGGAGAGGGAGAGAGGGAGAAGGACAGAGAAGGTGAGAGGGAGAGCGACAGGGAGAAAAGGAGAGGGGGAGAGGGAGACAGGGAGAGAGGGAAAAGTGGAGAGGAAGAGAGGGAGATGGGGAGAAGGAGACAGGGAGAGGGGGAGAGGGAGGGGGGAGAGGCAAAGTGGGAGAAGGAGGGAGAAGGTGAGAGGGAGAAGGAGAGGGAGAAAGACAGGGAGAGGGAGAGGGACAGGGAGAGAGGGAGAAGGAGAGAGGGAGAAGGGGAGAGGGAGAAGGAAAGGGGGAGAGGGAAAGAGGGAGAAGGAGAGAGGGAGAAGGAGAGGGAGAAGGAGAAGGGGAGAGAGAAGGAGAGAGAGAGAGAGGGAGAAGGGGAGGGAGAGGGAGAGGGACAGGGAGAGGGGGAGAGGGGGAGAGGGGGAGGGGGACAGGGAAAGAGAAAGAAGGAGGGAGAAGGCGAGGGGAGAAGGAGAGGGAGTGGGACCGGGAGAGAAGGAGAGGGGGAGAGGGAGAGGGAGAGGGACAGGGAGAGAGGGAGAGAGGGAGAGGGAGAAGGAGGGAGAAGGAGAGAGGAAGAGGGACAGGGAAAGAGGGAGAAGGGGAGAGGTAAAAGGAAATGGAGAGGGAGAGGGGAGAAGGAGAGGGAGAGGGACGGGGAGATGGGGAGAGAGAAGGAGAGGAGAAGGAGAGGGAGAGGAGTAGAGGGGAAGAGAGAAGGAGAAGAGAAGAAGGAGAGGGAGAGGGACAGTGAGAGAGGGAGAGGGGGAGAGAGAAGGAGAGGAGGATAAGGAGAGGGAGAGGGGGAGAGACAAAGAGGGGAAGAAGGAGAGGGAAGGGAGAGAGAGAAGGGCAGAGGGAGAGAGGGAAAAGGAGAGGGAGAGGGAGAGAGGGAGAGGTAGAGAGAGACAGAGAGGGGAGGGGGAGAAGGAAAGGGAGAGGGACAGGGAGAGAAGGAGAAGGGGAGAGCAGGAGAGACAGAAGAAAACAGGCAGAGAGGGAGGAGGAGAGGGAGAGGGACAGGGAGAGAAGGAGAGAAAGGAAGAGAGGGAGAGGGGGAGAGGGAGAGAAGGAGACAGAGTGTGCATGCCCATATTTTTTTCTGAGTTTGTTTATTTCCCATGAACGCTCCCCCAAATCCCTTGGGACTAGCAGTTGTAAACACACCATTGAGAACATTGCATTCCTTTCTTTTCTTCTAGATACTTTTCCTCCATTAACCTTGTCTTTTTCCTTCCTGTAGATTTTTGCAGCACATTTTGTCTCTCCCTCCCTTATGGATTGTTTATCCTGGGTGATGATCTGTGGGCACATCTCATTCCCTAGGTGCACACAGCTCTTCGAAAGCAAGTATTCTGTGGTATTTAACCCAGCCTGTTTTCTTACATGGAGAAAGGACTGCATAAACATCCCAATGGGTTGAATGTGTTTATAACCCAGTATGAATCAACTCGCCACATGCCCACTGAAAGGATCCACAAGATGGTTGCAGTGGAGTAAAAGGCAGTGATAACTCTCTAACTGGGAAGATCACAGCCGTAAAAAGAATGAGATCATGTCCTTTGCAGGGACATGGATGGAGCTGGAGTCCATTGTCCTTAGCAAACTAACACAGGAACTGAAAACCAAATACTGCATGTTCTCGCTTGTAAGAGAGAGTTAAATGATAAGAACACATGGGCACATGGAGGGGAATAACGCACACCGGGGCCTTTTGGAGGGTGGGGAGTTGGAAGAGGGAGAGCATCATGAAAAATAACTAATGGGTACTGGGCTTAATACCTGGGTGCTGAAATAATCTGAACAACAACCCCCCATGACACAAGTTTACCTATGGAACAAACCTGCACATATACCCCTGAACGTAAAATAAAAGTATAAAAACCCCATACAGATTTTAACCATCTACTAGACAGAGGTGATTTCTTTTATTAGGCTGTATTCCCTCTGGGTCCTCACAGAGAAACAGGCATGAGACCATCACGATGGCTGAAAGAACAGATTCTAGTTAATAGTTTTGCCTTTTGCCAACACCATTAGCTCCCCCTCTTAATCCGAACTGCTGTATCGCTGAAGAGAGTGACCCTCTGTATTTGGCTTGATTTTGTTGTCCTGAGTAGCCTCTGCTAGAAATATCCACAAGCCACAGCTTCAGCCTTCGAGTGAGCAAAAGCAAAGTATCCAACAAACTCAAATGGTAACTCAATCCTGAAATGCTGTAACTTTGATTTGTATTTTCCTTCTTTCTTTATTTTTTATTTTTTCGCTTAGACAGATATCCCCTTCTAGCTGTGCTCTCTGATCCCACTTTTGTTTGTCTCTTTATTTCCTCTGCCTACTCTGCCTGAAAACTAAAAAGCAAATTCTTTTATTTCTCACGTATATGCCTCCGAATGATTTATTTTTTAAAATGCAGCTTCACTTGAATGTTGACTTTTTGAAAACTTTCCCTATTTCACTTTTTTTTTTTCCGCTCTCCCTTGGAAGCTCTTCTTTGATAATCAGGCTGGTCTTCTGTTCTTTCTACTTTTCTTCTGATCGTTCACCTTTTGCCCACTTAAACTGAAGCCCTTTGGTGTATGCTTGGAATTTCGGCAGTTCAAGTTCAAAAGAAAGCCCTCTTCAGGTAACCTGTTCTGACATATCCGCATCTTAACACAAAGCTTTGCTAGATTAATGGGTTGGCTAAAAACGTCTCTTTGCTTCAGTCATAGTCACCTCTGTGTATGAGGGTAGCCTCGTGTCTATTCATTTAGGGGATTCTTTTTTTTTTTTTTTTTTGTAGAATTCGTCTGAATCTAGAAGCAAATGTTATTTTATTGAATGTCCCACTTTCAGAGATATATTTGAGAACAAAAATGTTGCCAAAAATGTCTGAATACTACCGTATTTCCTTTATTGGAGCATGCATGTGTTTTCTGTATTTTAACTTTTCTGAAAAGAGGGAAGCTGAAAAAAAGGGGAGGATGTCTCCTACAGTCTCAGTGATCTCTCAGAATTGAGAAAACGTGATAATCAAACATTTCAGTATTATCGGGACCTTCCTGGGACTGAGCACACGTGTTGAGGGGAGTACCAGGGAAATAAGGAGCATGGTGAGGAGTTAATTTGCAGTTTGATTCCCCCTGCTCCTTTGCATCCAGAAGAAGACTGTGCGCCTCCTGTCCCAGGCCCCTGGGTGTACCCACATCGTGGTGCATCACTTTGCATGTTGACGGGCTGAGTAACCTGCTTGTCTCTTGGGACCACTTCATTTCTCACTGTGCTTCAGTATCGCACAGACACCTGACACCTAGTAGGCCCTCACAAATATGTTGCATAGGCTGGGCACAGTGGCTCGTGCCTGTAATCCCAGCACTTTGGGAGGCTAAGGCGGGTGGATCACTTGAGACCAAGGGTTTGAGACCAGCCGGGCGAACATGGCAAAACTCTGTATCTAGTAAAACTACAAACATTAGCCTGGTATGGTGGCGCATGATTGTTAATCCGAGCTACTCAGGAAGCTGAGGCATGAGAATCACTTAAACCGGGGAGGTGGAGGTTGTAGTGAGCTGGGATCCTGCCACTGCATTCTAGCCTGGAAGGCAGAGTGAGATTCTGTCTCAAAAATAATAAAATAAAAACGTTGCATGAATGAAAAGTTGTGTAATCAGTTCTGAAAGAAATTTTAAAAGGAATGTGTCCTTCCCTTTGGTGCTGTTAGAATGAGTCCCATACACATTATTTTTAACCAGATCATTTGTTGAGCCCACGTGCATTTTCAGTAGAATAATATTAAAAATGCCTGCCCATTCTCCTTGAGTATGCCAGGTGAATTCTAGAGTCATTCATTGAGCTAAGACTATAAACAGGACTAGTGAAGTCTTTTTATTTATTTATTTATTTATTTATTTACTTATTTATTTATTGTTTTTTGAGACACAGTCTCACTCTATTGCCCAGGCTGGAGTGCAGTGGCACAATCTCGGCTCACTGCGACACCTGCCTCCAGGGTTCAAGTGATTCTTGTGCCTTAGCCTGCCGAGTAGCTGGGACTGCAGGCACCCACCACCACACCTGGCTAATTTTTGTGTATTTTAGTAGAGATGGGATTCTACCCTGTTTGCCAGGCTGATCTCAAACTCCTGGCCTCAAGTGATCCTCCCACCTCGGCCTCCCAAAGTGCTGGGATTACAGGCATGCACCACTGCGCCGGCCTTAGTAAAGTCTTTCTCTTGTTTTTAATAAGAGGAAAGCCCAGCTTTTGCTTCACCTAGTTCACAACACGCAGGATATCATTGTTCTACATGGAAAATTTGTGTCCGTGGAATTAAATAATATAATCCCTGGGAACTTCCACTGGTTCCCGGTCTCCTTCTTCAGATATTTTATCTGCTAAATCCGAAGTCGGAATCTCAGTTAAGCTTATTAGTTAAGTCCCAAATGGAGACAATTGAAGCCAGAAAAAAAAAAAAAAGAAGAAGGAGAAAAAGTCCTAATTATAGTTTTTCTTCTTAAGTGCTGCATGCAAGTATGAATAGGGTATTAACTGTGGTTTTCAACATAAAAGCATAATAGTCAGTAGCACGTATGTCAAAATGTAGGCATATTAGAGGCTGTTAGGTGACTCAGGGGCCACATCTGTGGAACAGGTACATATTTATCTTGAGATACCGAGTCATTAAGAGGGGCAATAAAAAATCAAGTGTAAATTGAGAGCAAAGGTCACAATCTGTGGTTGGTGATTTTTTATATGTCTAGCACCAGCCCTTGCTACTTTTTCTTTAGAAAATGAGGGCCGAGTGCAGTGGCTCACACCTGTAATCCCAGCAGTTTGGGAGGCTGAGGTGGGAGGATCACTTGAGCCCAGGAGCTCAAGACCAGCCTGGGCAACACTGGGAGACTGCATCACTGCAAAAATACGCACACAAAAAAGTAATAGTTATCCTGCGGTCACCAGGGCCCAGCTACTCTGGAGGTCCAGGAGGTCGAGGCTGCAGTGAACCATGGTTGTGCCACGACACTCCAGCCTGGGCAGCATAACTGAGTTGGGAGGGAAAAAAGTAGAAAATATGTCTCGGTCAAGTCTGAGCTTCATTTTCTATTGATCCAGTCGTGGTCTTTTCCAAGGAAATTATTGTATGGAGTGAACTCGGGCAATTCACTTAACCTCTCAATTGCTTTATCTGTAAAATGAGAATAGGCTGAGCGTGGTGGCTCATGCTTGTAATCCCAGCATTTTGGGAGGCCGAGGTGGGCAGATCACTTGAGGTCAGGAGTTCAAGACCAGCCTGACCAACATGGTGAAAACCTGTCTCTACTAAAAATAGAAAAAATTAGCCAGCTGTGGTGTTGGGTGCCAGTAATCCCAGCTACTCAGGAGGCTGAGGCAGGAGAATCACTTGAACCCAGAAGGCGGAGGTTGCAGTGAGCCGAGATTATGCTATCGTGCTCCAGATTGGGCAACAAGAGCAAAACTGCATGTCAAAAAAACAAACAAACAAAAAAGAGAATAAACTAATTCTCGTATCGATTGTGATAATACATGAAAAGCTCTTAGCACAAATGTAACATAAGTATTCAGTAAATAGGTGTCCGTGTGTGTGTATCATCCATCATCTACTATTTATCTTTCTGTCTTCATCTGTCATCTGTCTGTTTCTATATGAATATATAAATGTATTTATCTATATTTTTCTATATGTACATATATAAGGGTATTTATCATTTATCTGTATATCATCTATCTCGATATAGGTATCTATATGTGTGTGTATATATATACATCTCTGTGTGTCTGTGGGTGTGTGTATATGTATATATACATTCATCTATCCATTTATCGTCTATTTCTCCATACAAACAGACACACATAACATACATTTACTTTCTTGAATTGCTAAATTGACTAATGCAGATACATGTTCATTTTTGTCCCATAGATACTAGGCCCACCCCTTTATTCTTTAAGACTCCTTTAACACAACCTGTTGGATTTAGAAGACTCCACTGACACTGGAGGGATTGAAACAAGAGAAAAGGAGGAATTATACTTGGTAATAGCTTTCATTTCTCCTAGATTCCCTCAGTCCTGTAGACTATATTGAGTTATAAGTCTTTGATAATTTGTAATTTGTATCATTAATATCTCTCAGTCAGTGAGATCTTTTGATTAACCAAAACACAGTGAAATTTCTGAAAAGCCTGTTTTATTGTAGCCATAAACTATGTTTACAGAGCTGTTTCTTCTAAGAGCTTCAAAATGGTTTGTGGTGTGTGTTTACTGTAGATGTATTTTTCATTAAAAAGTAAGATAATGCTATGACTAACCGCCCCCCCCCAGTGGAAAATAATGAAGAAAACAAAAGCATTCATCACAGTACAATCAGCATTAAATTTGTGGTGCCTTTCTTCCACCCTCAGATGTATTTTTTAATTTATGTGCCTATGATCATAATGAACATTTAACTTTTTTAAAATAAACATTGTCCTATATGAACCAAGTAATCTAGTCTCTATAATCATAACTTAACCTTAACTTGTAATGGCTATCAAATACTTCACTCTGTGTGTGTGTGTGTATGTGTGTGTGTGTGTGTAGCTATATAACATTTAATTGTCATTATATTAGGTGAAATTAAATTTTACTCTTTTTATTCTAAATAATGCCCCAACGGGTAACTTTTTCCATATTTAAAATTATCTCTTTAGGCCATATTTCCAGAAGTGTAATCATAGGATTAGGGAAATGGAAATATCTTGCACAGTACTTTACATGTATTTCCAACTTACTTTTCAAAAGGGTCATAGCAATGTATATAACTACTAGCAATGCATATAAATGCTAGTTTCTCTACATCCTCACCAGCCTTGGGTTTTATAATTACTTTACATTTTCCTAATAGAAACTGTATCACTGCTGTTTAATTTGAATTTCATTACTAGTGAGGTTGATTGTTTTTATATGCTTAATCTCTGGGTTCATCTTCCTAATAGAGGCCTGCCTTGTGTTTTAACAATTCAGCTGCCCAGATAACACTTAGAGAGCCATGAGTAAAAGCACTCTGTTAAGCAAAACAAAAGCCACATATTTCCAAAGACTGTATTGTATAATTTCAATATGAGTCAGTATTCCAATGTGTCATCCAAACATTTCCTATCATTTGTTAATATGATCTTAAGCTAAATTAATGTATTAGTCCATTCTTATACTGCTAATAAAGACATACCTGACAATGGGTAATTTATGAAGGAAAGAGGTTTCACTGACTCACAGTTCCACGTGGCTGGGACACCTCACAGTCATGGCAGAAGGTGAAGGAGGAGCAAAGTCACGTCTTATGTGGTGGCTGGCAAAGAAAGCTTGTGCAGAGGAACTCCCATCTATAAAAACCATCAGATCTTGTGAAACTTAGTAACTACCACAAGAACAGTATGGGGGAAACTGCCCCCATGATCCAGTTTTCTCCATTTTGTACCATCCTTGACCCAAGGGAATTATTCAAGATGAAATTTGGGTGGGGACACAGCCAAACCGTATCAACCAATATATGAGAATTGATTTATTTACTTTAGTCCCTATCATAAGGGAAGCAGTGGTCCTTCTTCATGTTTCCTCATGTCACTTTTTAATGAGCAAGTCATGCACAAGACACCATATTTAAGAAGTATGGAAGGGCACACAGTGAAAGATGAGTGACTGAAGACATGTTTATTTCCAGCATGATGTCTTTCCAAACAACTAGCCAAATATGTAGTCCAATGGAAATGAATGTTTTAGACTAGAGAGATATTTCTTTTATAAAATACAATGTTATGAAATAACTCTCGTGGGTCTTTGGTATTCAGGTGTGGCAAATACTGTTAATTTGTAAATCAAAATTATTTCTGACCTTCTTCTATACCTTGCTGTCTTCCGCTCTAGAGGCTGAAAGACTAATTTAAAAAATTTCATGCAAGCTTGAAACTTTCTGGAGACAAAAACATAACAAAAAGGGTTAGACAAGAGTGATGTACGTTTTCCCTTCCCTCCTTCTGCTTGCCTGGAGCATAGAAGTGATAACTGGAGCTGTGACAATTGCATCATGACCATGAGGAGAATGTCAGGAGGATTGCAGATACATCAGCTCTGACATAGCAACCATCGGCTTCTAGATGAGGACTTCCCTAACTTTAGTGCACATAACAATCACCTGAAGGCTTTGTTAAGCCCTGGATTGCTGGGCCCCTGTTCCAGAGACTGTGATTCAGTGATTCAGTAGGTCTTGGGTAGAATGTAAGAATTTTCTTTTCTTTTATTATTATTATTATTATTATTATTATTATTATGCTTTAAGTTTTAGGGTACATGTGCACAATGTGCAGGTTAGTCACATATGTATACATGTGCCATGGTGGTGTGCTGCACCCATTAACTCGTCATTTAGCGTTAGGTATATCTCCTAATGCTATCCTTCCGCCCTACCCCCACCCCACAACAGTCCCCAGAGTGTGATGTTCCCCTTCTGTGTCCATGTGTTCTCATTGTTCAATTCCCATCTATGAGTGAGAACATGCGGTGTTTGGTTTGTTGTCCTTGCGATAGTTTACTGAGAATGATGATTTCCAATTTCATCCATGTCCCTACAAAGGACATGAACTCATCATTTTTTATGGCTGCATAGTATTCCATGGTGTATATGTGCCACATTTTCTTAATCCAGTCTATCATTGTTGTACATTTGGGTTGGTTCCAAGTCTTTGCTATTGTGGATAGTGCCACAATAAACATACGTGTGCATGTGTCTTTATAGCAGCATGATTTATAGTCCTTTGGGTATATACCCAGTAATGGGATGGCTGGGTCAAATGGTATTTCTGGTTCTAGATCCCTGAGGAATCGCCACACTGACTTCCACAATGGTTGAACTAGTTTACAGTCCCAACAACAGTGTAAAAGTGTTCCTATTTCTCCACATCCTCTCCAGCACCTGTTGTTTCCCGACTTTTTAATGATTGCCATTCTAACTGGTGTGAGATGGTATCTCATTGTGGTTTTGATTTGCATTTCTCTGATGGCCAGTGATGATGATCATTTTTTCATGTGTCTTTTGGCTGCATAAATGTCTTCTTTTGAGAAGTGTCTGTTCATATCCTTTGCCCAGTTTTTGTTGGGGTTGTTTGTTTTTTTCTTGAAAATTTGTTTGAGTTCATTGTAGATTCTGGATATCAGCCCTTTGTCAGATGAGTAGGTTGCGAAAATTTTCTCCCATTTTGTAGGTCGCCTGTTCACTCTGATGGTAGTTTCCTTTGCTATGCAGAAGCTCTTTAGTTTAATTAGATCCCATTTGTCAATTTTGGCTTTTGTTGCCATTGCTTTTGGTGTTTTAGACATGAAGTCCTTGCCCATGTCTATGTCTTGAATGGTAATGCCTAGGTTTTCTTCTAGGGTTTTTATGGTCTTAGGTCTAACATTTAAGTCTTTAATCCATCTTGAATTAATTTTTGTATGAGGTGTAAGGAAGGGATCCAGTTTCAGCTTTCTCCATATGGCTAGCCAGTTTTCCCAGCACTGTTTATTAAATAGGGACTCCTTTCCCCATTGCTTGTTTTTGTCAGGTTTGTCAAAGATCAGATAGTTGTAGATATGCGGCGTTATTTCTGAGGGCTCTGTTCTGTTCCATTGATCTATATCTCTGTTTTGGTACCAGTACCATGCTGTTTTGGTTACTGTAGCCTTGTAGTATAGTTTGAAGTCAGGTAGCGTGATGCCTCCAGCTTTGTTCTTTTGGCTTAGGATTGACTTGGTGATGAGGGCTCTTTTTTGGTTCCATATGAACTTTAAAGTAGTTATTTTTTTCCAATTCTGTGAAGAAAGTCATTGGTAGCTTGATGGGGATGGCATTGAATCTATAAATTACCTTGGGCAGTATGGCCATTTTCACGATATTGATTCTTTCTAACCATGAGCATGGAATGTTCTTCTGTTTGTATCCTTTTTTATTTCCTTGAGCAGTGGTTTGTAGTTCTCCTTGAAGAGGTCCTTCATGTCCCTTGTAAGCTGGATTCCTAAGTATTTTACAAATTCTTAGGCAGTGCTGATGTTGCTGGTCTATGGACCACACTTGGAGTAGTAAGATGCTCGATTCATTATGTGAGAACAAAAAAGCCCTATTTTTAAAGTCACTGCAGTTGGTGTTGCTTGTACCCTAAAAAAAGTGAACTGATTCACCTGCTAGGTCTGCGTATTTCTGCTTCATATGTACCACCTACTCTAGAAAGAGATGAGATTATCAATCTAATTGAATGTGTGTGAAGATGACAGAAGCAACAATCAGATGGTCAAAAGCAGATTAAGAATCACTTACTTGGCCAGGTGCGGTGGCTCACGCCCATAATCCCAGCATTTTAGGAAGCTGAGGTGGGTGGATCACCTGTGGTCAGGAGTTTGAGACCAGCCTGACCAACATGGGAAACCCCATCTCTATTTAATACAAAAAATTAGCTGGGTGTGGTGGTGGGCACCTGTAATTCTACCTTCTTGGGAGGCTGAGGCAAGAGAATCGCTTGAACCTGGGAGGTGGAGGTTGTGGTGAGCCAAGATTGTGCCATTACACTCCAGCCTGGGCAACAAGAGCAAAACTCCATCTCAAAAAAAAAAAAAAAAAAAAAAAAAATCACTCACTCCAGGAATTTGGGGCTGTCCCCAGTCCTGTGTAGGCTCCTTTCCTTCTGGGAAGTGATGGACTACAAGAGAGGTAGAGAACAGTGGAAGAGTTTGAAGGTGATCTTTAACAATGGAAGGAATAACAGCTACAATCCCAATACGTGCTAACTGAACTGCTAACTGAAGTAGGAGAGTTATATATATATATATAAAATAGTGCCCCTGTTCTGAAAGCTTGGTATCAAAAGCTGCAGGGTTTGATGTTTAGCAGGAAAGCATTGCTATAACTTGCGTATCTTCTAAAAAATGTGCCCACATCCTCCCGGTTTGCCTTGGGAACAGAGAGAACTTGGTTATGAAGCCCCTTTCTCCAAGGATTAATTGAATCAAGATCAACCCTATCTGGAATGTACATTTAATACCCGGGAATGATGTCAGTAATATATGTAAGAGATTTTTATATTAGATAACTGCTCATTAAAAGTCAATCCTTTCCCCCAGGGTTTTAAAATAGAAAGTATTCACCTTTTGCAAATGAGGATAGTGAAATTTACTTTAACTTCTGCCACAATGAAAACTGGAAGAAAGGGAATTGCTCACAATACAATATAACTCCACCAAATTTGCATAATTTAGGCATAAAATGTAATACCCTGCTCACACTCTTTTGTCTTGAATGAAATTGGTTTTCAAGTAATGTGGGGAATCATAACCAGCTTTAACAAAATGGATCATGTCAGAAAGCAAAAGTTCCTACTAGCCTAGGAGACATGACTGAAGTGTGAATGCAGTGTGCAACATCTTTACAAAAGTTGTTCTTGTGATTTAATGCAAAAGCCTTTGTAGACTTTACAGAAACACTGAAGCCGTGCTTTTTGATAGTTAATGGGGGAATTAACCATTTGAAACCTTAAGACAATCTTTTTCTAGGATTCTTAAAATCATGGGATTGTAACAATTCTAAGGATGTTAAAAGTGATATACATTCCTGCAGTTCCTTTCCAAAGATCACAGAGTTCTTTGTGTAAATTAGTATTTCCCAGGCCTGGTGCAGTGGCTCATGCCTGTAATCCCAGCACTTTGGGAGGCCGAGGTGGGAGGATCACCTGAGGTCAGGAATTCGAGACCAGCCTGCAACATGGTGAAACCCAGTCTGTACTAAAAATACAAAAAAAAAAAAAAAAAAAATTAGCTGGGCATGGTTGTGGGTGCCTGTAATCCCAGGTACTCGGGAGGCTGAGGCAGGAGAATCACTTGAACCCGGGAGGTGGAGGTTGCAGTGAGCCAAAATCATGCCATTGCACTCCAGCCTCGGCAACAAGAGTGAAACTCTGTCTCCAAAAAAAAAAAAAAAAACAAAAAAATATTTCCAATAAATTTTCAGCAATGTGAAGTAAGCCTGTCTATGTCTTTCCTGTGGCACAGGTAGTGAAACTGAGGTCAGGAAAAGGAGTGCATTGCCCATGACCACTCATTGAAGCGGTGTTCAAGTTTTCAAGGCACAGACTTTCTGAAGCATATTGTATGAATTGGTTTTTGATATATTATGGATAGTGATATAGTAAAGGTATGAAAGTCAAAAGAATTACTCATTGAAAGCATTGGCCTCCAAGAGCATTTTCTCCCCAAACCTCTTAAGGGGTTTATATGAAGTTTAAATGTTGATGTTTTCCATTATCTTGCTGGCTGTAGGCTTTGACCCTCACTTTCTTTCATCTTTAAAATGAAGTTGTAACAGTATATGCCTCATGTGTTTCCTGTGATAATTCAACAGTTAAAATGATAATATTGTGGCTGGACATAGTG
Source organism: Homo sapiens (assembly GCF_000001405.40). Lineage (NCBI taxonomy): Eukaryota > Metazoa > Chordata > Mammalia > Primates > Hominidae > Homo > Homo sapiens. Next base: position 6,226,842 of record NC_000016.10, read on the forward strand.
CCACACACCTGTAATCTCAGCAGTTTGGGCGGTGAGGCGGCTGGATTGCCTGAGCTCAGGAGTTTGAGACCAGCCCGGCCAACATGATGAAACCCCATCTCTACTAAAAAAAAAAAAAAAAAAAATACAAAAATTAGCTGGGTGTGGTAGCAGGCACCTGTAATGCCAGCTACTTGGGAGGCTGAGGCAGGATAATCGCTTGAATCTGGGAGGCAGAGGTTGCAGTGAGCCGAGATTGTGCCACTGAACTCCAGCGTAGGTGACAGGGCGAGACTCTGTCTCAAGAAAAAAAAAAGTAATATTATTATTACTGCCTCATATATCTTTTTGTTGCAGACACTATTAGCTGTCTACCCTGGCCCTCCTCAGAGGTGAGCATGAACCAGAATTCCCTGGAGGCCCTCTTAAAACGCACCCTCAGAGCGTTTGATTCAGTGATTCTAAAACGGAGTCTAAGAATTTGAATTTTTTAAAAGTTCTCATGTGTTGCCGGTGCTGCAGGCTTTGGGACCACATTTTCAGAAAGAGTGTTTTCTCTTGTGACCATTCTCCAATGTTCTGTGTTTGTTAGGTGTGACAATGGGTCCATCTAGAGCAAAAACAAACAACAGTAGCAAACCTTGATTTCTCAGGGTTTTTTTTGCATTTGGGAGTGGCCGTGGAGCCAGTGATACAGAAGTGGAAGTCTGCAGGGTAGGGACAGAAGTGAGCTTGTACACACCTTCCAGCCACACGCCCTTCTCCTTTCAGGCTTCCTCTTGCCTGGAAGAAGTATGCTGGTCAGAAAGTAGGGCAGCCATCTATGACCATGAGTCCAGAAGCCACACTGGACAATGGAACAGGAATATTGGAGCATAATGAGTTCCTCAAGAATAGCTGAAGTAGCTCTATAGGGCCAACCTCCAAACTTGTGTTTTGCGATAAAAAATGAATATGTGGTTACTAACTATAGAAATCCTTAACTGAATTATTTCTCTCAGGTACACACAAATCTTTTGGACTTCTTATTTTAACAAAAGGAGAGGTAAACAGTAGGGAGGTTCCTCAAAAAATTAAAAATAGAACTACCATATGATTCAGCAACCTCACTGCTGGATTATACATCCAAAGAAAATGAAATCAATATATCGGAGAGATGTCTGCACTCCTGTGTTTATTGCAGCACTATTCAAACTAGCCAGGGATATGGCCAGGCACGGTGGCTCACACCTATAATCCCAGCCCTTTAGGAAGCTGAGGTGGGTGGATCACTTGAGGTCAGGAGTTCGAGACCAGCCTGGCCAACATGGTGAAACCCCATCTCTAGTAAAAATACAAAAAATATCTAGGCTTGGTGACACGCGCCTGTATTCCCAGCTACTCGGGGCCGGGGGAGCAGTGCTTAGGTGGGAGAATCGCTTGAACCTGGGAGGCAGAGGTTGCGGTGAGCTGAGATCATGCCACTGCCCTCCAGCCTGGGTGGCAGAATGAGACTCCTTGTCAAAAATAAAATAAAATAAAAACTAAACAAAATAGCCAGGATATGGAAACAACCTAAGTGTCCCTGAACAGATGAAAAGGTAAAGAAAATTTTTAACACACACACAGACACACACACACACACACATACATATACATGCCATGAAATACAATTCAGCCTTCAAAAAAGAAGGAAATTCTGCCCTTTGCAACAATATGGTTGAACCTGGAGGACATTATGCTAACTGAACTAAGCCAGACATAGAAAGACAAATGCTGCATTATCTAACTTATATATGGAATCTAACAGAGTGAGACTCATAGAAACAGAGTAAAATGGTGGTTACCAAGGGCTGGTGGCTGGCAGGGGAGAGTTGTTGGTCGGGTACAAAATTTCAGGTAGGCGGGAGGAGTAAGTTCAAGAGATCTATTGTACAATATGGAGAAATCATAGTTAGTACCAATGTATGGTGCTCTTGAAAATCACCGAGTAGATTTTAAGTGTTCTCACACAAAACACAAGGACGTGAAATAATGTATATATTAGCCTGATTTAGCCATTCCACATGTATACATGTTTGAAATTTTCATGTTGTACCTGATAAACATATATAATTTTATTTGTCAATTAAAAATAATTAGAAACAAACAAAAGTAGAGGTGAAGGAAAAAAGTTCTTGGCGTTTATATTAAATGATGCACAAATCCCCTGCTGTGCCCCACAATTGTTGGAGGACAGTGGGTGGATGAGACACACAGAATAGACTCTTCCTTGGCCCATCTTATTGAGAGACCATGTTGTGCAGCAGTGTCATCCTCTGAGACGTAGTTAAGATAAATGACATCTCCTTACCTTTTACCCCCCGAGACTATAATGTCATTCTGTAGTCTGAAAGGTCATTTGTAAAGCTCACAGGATTGCTTTAGCTGTTAAAATAGAGAGCAAAACTCAAAAGCAAACCTCTTTCTCCAAGGAAAATACTATACTTTGAACAGTCTCATCGTTCTCCTGTGATTCTAAACCAGTTCCTCTGCACGCAGTGCAGAAACTAGATCTCTCCTGCCACTAGGCTCACAAGGACTCTTGTGGATCTCGTTTTCCCCCTATCTTTTGTCTTACAGTTTCCACCCTCCCTTTTGTTCTGTGTGTTTGAATCAAGAACCGGCAAAGCCCACAATGATGTTTGTGAGCATTAAGTGACGCAAACACAATAAAGGATTTTGCTTTTTTGAGCCGCTCATAAAAAGAGATAAATTGCTTTAGCTTTTTATGCATGTAGAAAAATAGAGTATGAGCTAATAGTACTGACTGAAGAGGAACCAGGAAGAAATTTAGTATGCATATAAATTTAATGCAAAATAAAAAGCCAAATGTAAATATTGGTTTCCTTCCAGATTTTCAAGGCTTAAAAAAAAAAAAAATAAGATTTTCTTTGCTTGTTATATTTCTGCTGATGGAAAACATCCTTTCCACTGTTGGAAAATGAATAGTTATAAATATAGAATACATATATCTTAGACTCGGTGGTCTTTAAAATTAAGAGTTTGGACTTTTCTTTTGATAGAATGTGGCATGTAGCATATCGCATGTCTTAGAATATTATTTGTCCTCGCGAAAGTGATCCTCATCCCTTATTTTAAAGGAAAAGAAAAGGTATGATTCTCCTTTTGTGCATTCAGTACACAAAAAATTGCCTGTTATCTAGGGTGTACTTGACTATGGATCTCCTTTTAAGTCAAGACTACACTTACATGATGGAAATAATAATGGAAAATTGTAGATAATAATAAATATATTTTTACTCCATCTTCTTCTTAAAAGACTTTATCGCAGAGAGCAAATAGCTTTTCCCTTTGCAAAAACAAGATGCTAGAAGCATAGAAGAGATGAAGTTAAGCAATTAGTGATTGGAATGAGTTGATCTTTTAATTTTTTTAAATAACAATAATCACCAATCTCGATTGGACACTTACTATATGCTTGGTAATTCATGTGTATTAACTCAGTTAATAATTATAACAATGTTGTTATAATTATAAGGAAAAAATATTTATTATCTCCGTTTCACACATGAGAGAATTGGGGCTTTAACTAATATGCCTCTGATCACGCTATTATTCTGTGGAGTGCTCAGAATGGAAGGTCAGACCACCGCGTTCTAAAACTTTTGCTTTTAACCTGGTAGTGTATTAGTCAGTGTCTGCTGCATCAAACCGCCCCAAAGCCTAGAGGCTTAAAACCACCATTTATTCAACTCACAATTCCGTGGGTCAACAGTTTGGACTAGGATCAGCTGGGTGGAGGAGTGAGCAGAAGTATAAAGAGGTCTGATGAGGGAGTGAGATTAGCAGCTTAATTTCTTCACGCATAACAATTCAAGGGGACCTTCATTTGCCTGATTGAGCAAATATCTTATGCGGATAGCTTAAGGAAAGAGCTGCACACCTGGGCTGTGACCTTCTGGGAGATGAAGTCCAAGGACATTTTTAGATATGGATACGCATAGTACAAAGAGATGGAATAGAAATGCTAAAGAAACATATACATAAACTCCTTGGTGTGGATGATTCACTCACTGACTGTATCGTGTGCCATCCTTTATGCAGACAGTGTCAAATGTTGGTAGAAAATGAAGTAGATGTAGCCCTCTGACTTTATAGGGGCTTGCAGTCTGGGAGGAGAAATAGTGAACCAGTAAACTGTTACATCAGTGACCACTTGTGGTACATGTTAGGTATGAAATAGACTATCCAGATAGAAACTAATTAAAGAAGGGTCTATTTGGGTAAGTTGGCCAGGAAAGGTTTTTTGGACGAATGATAATTAAGCTGAAATCTGAATGTTGAGAAGGGTACAGTCAAGGAAAAGGAAGTCGGGGCTGTTTTAGAGATAGAGGGGTGTGTGTGTGTATGTGTTTGTGTGTGTGTGTGTGTGTGTAGGTGTGTGTGTGTGTGTGTGTTCCTTATAAGCCAACAGGTACCGAATTTAGTGTAGGTCTAAGGGATATGTTGAAAGATGAAGGTTATAAGTGGAGGTTTCCGTGTTTAAATTCAGTGATGAGACTCTCTAGCTCTTCTCATTTTCTTAAATGTTGCCCAAAGAATCCCATAAACATGGAAGGAATCCTACCCAGGTGCTATATAAAGATAAGGATAGGGAGCCTCTTGGAGATATAATTGAGGAGCACCAGATGGGGAGTAAGATTTGGCTTCTCATGTTGGCATTAACGCTAATTTACCATGTGTCCTTGGCAAGGGCACTCTGCCTGTCCAGAATTTAGTTGCCTAGGCTACAGTGATTGCCTGTTCTGAATGGTTGATGAGAGCTATGTGGAGAAAAGAGTCTGAGGCCACTTACAATCACTGTGAGCCAGAATTCTGTAATTGATTAGGCATGTCTGCCCTGGACTTGGAAGGAGCAAGTGGTGTTGTGTATGCTGTATATGTGCCATTCTCTGATGGCCTTTTATTTTCCAGCACAATGTTTTCTATGGCTTTTATGACTAATTGGAAAAATTCTGTAGCTTTCCAGTTTTTTTTTTTTTTTTTTTTTGTCCTGGTATTTTAAAAATGCAGCAATAATTGAAAACAATGAGGGAGGAAAATAAATACATCAAAACAATAGTCTGTACACTTACTTCAAAGGGATCAAATAAAGCAAATTATGCACGGGAGGGAGGTGGATTTGTACTTCCCTCGTTTGCAATATTATTAGTGTGATTAATATACAAAGACCAATATTTCCTGAAATTCATAATTTGCCCTATTCCTCCGTGAGCTTTGTGTTTCCCAGAATAATCATGCTGATCCATTTCCTTAAAAATGTATTGAATGCCTAAGTGCTCATTTTGCAAGGGCAGCAGCATAATTGGACACAGTGGGGAAACAGCAGAGAAGTGGTTTGCTTCCTGAGGAGAGGAGAATGTGGTGTGAGTACCGGCTGGACGGAATGTCACACCAGGAGGGACCTCATCTCTGCACCAGTGTCACTGAGCAGAATGCTTAAGGGCTATTTATGGAATTAGGGCTGGAAAACTGCAGCTAATTCTCAAAGAAGGGAGGGCTTCCCTGGATTATAAAATATGTGTTCTTTTGAATAATGGGACCGAATGAGAGTAGAATGTTTCAGCATTTTTTTCCTAACATGACAGCCCTTTGGGGATCCTGGTGATTTTACAACTGGATTTCATCTTCATGAAATTCTGTTATGTGTGATCGTTTCTGCTCCACCCTTCCCCTTAAATAGTCACTTTAAAAGCATCTCTATCTTGCCTTGGAGATTGACTTTCTTGTTCCAGTTGTCTAGAAAAGTATTTCTATAGTGTGAGCTTTAGAAACTAGGAACAGAGGAGGAAGATCGGAGTCCTTAGGTTCAAACCTATTTAAGGTCCGTGCTCTGCCTTGTGCCTGCCTGTCTCTGAGTTTCTCTTAATGCTTTTCCAAAACAGTTCATTAATGCAGTGACCTCGAGGTCTTGCTCAGATTTGCTTCCACTTGGACTGGTGATGAGAATTGCTGGTGAAGCTGGGTCCCTATGTGTTTGCAGGTCTGTTTAGTAGACTCAACTTCTGCACATGTAGCATCCACATGTCCAGTCTCTTCTGTGAGATGTGGACAGCGTCAGTGCCAGCATAAGGGAATCAGGGTTTGAGAACTCTCAATATGGGCAGGGTAGCCGTACTGTGTAAACCCATGGAGCGCCATTCCCATTGAATTCTACATCGTCTGCTCATCACTATGTAGGCCCCGATACAGATCTAACAGGGAAATTCTTGTAGTTTACTGAGGCAGGGCCAGCTGCTGGGTGAGATAGAGAGAGATGAGGCTGGAAAGTGGGTATGAGCCCGATCACAAAGCAGGTTATGTATTGTGATTGGGTTTGGAATTTATTCTGAATTCACTTGCCGTCAGTGGCATTTCAGAGAGGCCCCTTTAGCTGCACTTGAAAGGATGAGTTAGAGAAGCCCCAAACTGGAGGGAAGATACATTAAGACATGATTGCAGGGTGAGGTTTCTGTTAATTCCTTGCATCTCTATGGCTAGCACCATCCTGATCCAAACCACCATCTCCCCCGGGTGGTTGCAGTGGGGATCTGACGAACCCCTGCACCCCACTCGTCCCCACCTCCACACCGCAACCCAAACAGCCTGATTATATTACCCCATAGGCAGCCTTTCAGGGACAGGGAGTTCACATTGCTCTCAGGAAGGAGACAAAAATCCTTCGTGTGGGTGGAGGCAAGGTCTTGCAAGATTTAAATGTCCTCACCCTCTACATTGTTCACTAAGTCTCCACACCACACCAGTCGCCTTGATTTTTTATCAAAGAAATGGGGTCTCACTGTGCCACCCAGCCTGGAGCACAGTAGAGCAATCATAGCTCACTGCAGCCTCCACCTCCTGGCCTCAAGTGATCCTCCTGCCTCAGCCTCCCAAAGTGCTGGGATTACAGACATGAGCCACCATGCCCATCCCAACTTTATTTTTTTTCCATCCGTCCTCCATGTTCTCTGTCACTAAATGTGGTTCACTCTCTCTGGAACTTTCCTAAACCATTTTATTACCCCTGTCTTAGTCTATTTTGTGCTCCCATAATAGAATACCTGAGACTGAGTAACTGATAAAGAACAGAAATGTATTTTATCACAGTTTCAGAAGCTGGGAAGTCCAAGATCGAGGCAATAGAAGGTTCCATGTCTGGTGAGAGCTGCATCCTCTGGAGGGGAAGAATGCCGTGTCCTCACATGGCAGATGGGCAGGCTGGCCAAACACTGTAAAGCTTCTTTTATAAGAGCATTCATCCCACTCATGAGGGGAGGAGCCTGTATGAACCAGTCACCTCTTAAAGCCCCCACCTCTTTTCACCATCACAGTGGCATTAAGTCTCATTGCCCTTCACCACGCACTTGTTTAACTTGCTTAATTTTTATTTATTCTCAAAATTCCTGCCCACTGTCAATTTTTTACAGAAGCTAAATTTCCCCTGTGTTATCTATCGAAAAGCAAGTATCTCTCCTTTTTGGCATTTAGTTCAGTTGTAAATTTACATTTGTTTATGTGATTCTTTGATTATTATCTTCCTTCCAAAACTGTAAGTCCCATGAGGATAGGGGCTATTTTTATTGGATCCTTATCATTTACCCTTCCTGCCACTTAGCATGGTGATGTCTCATAACCAGCAGCATTCAGAAATAGTTTTGAAAGAATGGATAAGAGACAGTAGAAGTCTGAATGAAGGCTTCAGGAATAGGAGCAGAGAAATGGGGTGGATGTGTGGGGTTGGTACTTTCTGTGTCTTAATGTTCTGGAGAATAATGACTCTCAGGTTTTTATCTGGGTGACTCAGTAATGGTGGCATTGTAAACTTAAGTAGGAATTTTTGAAGGAAAACAAGGTTAGAAATGAATACAACAAAGGGGCCTTTTCATGGTGAAGAAGTTCTGCATCTTGATTTTGGTTGAGGTTACATGGATCTATACATACACATGAACCACACATACGCATGAACTACACACAGACACACACACACACACACAGGCACACATGCAGTGAAATGTGAACAAGGTCTGTAGATTGCACTAGTATCGGTTTCCTTGTTTGGATATTTGGTTACAGGTTTGGAAAATGTTTCCATTGGGGGAAACTGGGTAAATTGTGCATAGGAGGACTCTGTACCACTTTTGCAGATTCCTTTGAGCCTGTAATTATTTCAAAATAAAGGTAAAAAGAGAGGGATCTAAAGATTGGCAGGGACATTGGTAAATTCAGTTTGCAGGATATGGAATATAATTTGCTCCTTACAGACTCCACTAAGACCTCACCTCTCCTTTTTGACTCAATTATTGGCCTGAAATTCTTGTTGGCTCTTCTTGCATTCTAAGAGTGCAGGGCTCTGCTGACCTGTCCACCTGGCTTTGTTTTCACCCTTCTTCCATGTGGTCATTCACATCTCGGAAGGCCTAACTCCCCTCCTCCACACAGAATGAATCACAAGGTGCAATACTTACTTTCCACCTATTCAGCAGCATAAAAAGTCCAAGCAGGTAGGATTCCCTCCCTTTCCACCAGCCCCAGCTGTCTGTCTGTCTGTGTGCCATGCCGCATATCTACCCAGAGGAAAAGAGGTCATCATATGAAAAAGACACTTGCACATGCCTGTCTATAGCAGCACAATTTGCAATTGCAAAAATATAGAACCAGCCCAAATGCCCATCAGCTGAGTGGATAAAGAAACTGTGGTGTGTGTGTGCGTGTATGTATGTGTGTGTGTGTGTGTGTGTGTGTGTGTGTGTGTGTATACATGATGGGATATTTATACATATATATATACTTACATATATATATACACATATGTATATGATAGGATGCTACTTAGCCATAAAAAGGAATGAATTAATGGCATTCACAGTGATCTGAATGAGATTGGAGACTATTACTCTAAGTGAAGTAACTCAGGAATGGAAAACCAAACGTGGTATGTTCTCACGCATAGTGGGAGCTAAGCTACGAGGATGCAAAGGCACAAGAATGATACAATGGACTCTGGGGACTCAGGAGGAAAGGGTGAGAAAGGGGTGAGGGATAAAATACTACAAATTGGGTGCAGTGTATACTGCTCGGGTGATGGGTGCCCCAAAATCTCACAAATCACCATTAAAGAATTTACTCATGTAACCAACCACCTGTTCCCCAATAACCTATGGAAATAAAAAAAATTCAAAAAATAAAGTAGGAAAGAATGACACTGACAAAATCTATAGGAAATGGGAGGCTATTTGCTGGACTAGAGTTTCTCATAGGCATGATTTATTCCATTGCTTAAAAGCAAAACATATTCCATACTTTATTTTTCTAATAAAGAAGAGCAACATCTGACTTTTACTGAGCTCAGTATGCCTTTGTTGTTGAAAGAGCAAGCTCTGGAGTCAGCCCTGATTGAATTCAAATCCTGGCACCACCACCTTGACCTTGGGAAAACTACTGCATCTCACTTTGTCCTGGTCCCATTTGTGAAACAGGACTAATAGTACCTAACTCATAATCTGTGGAAATCAGCTACAATGATGAGCTCCAAGAGCTTAGCAGAGTACCTGAAATACAGGAAATACCCAGTAAATATTAGCCTTTATTATGATGTTTATTTTTTTTTTTTTGAGGCAGAGTCTCACTCTGTCCCTCAGGCTGGAGTGCAGCAGCGCCATCTCGGCTCACTGCAACCTCTGTCTCCTGGGTTCAAGTGACTCCCCTGCCTCAGTCACCCAAGTAGCAGGGATTACAGGCACGTGTCACCATGCCTGGCTAATTTGTTTATTTATTTATTTTTGTATTTTTAGTAGAGGTGGGGTTTCACCATGTTGTCCAGGCTGGTCTCAAACTCCTGAGCTCGGATGATCCACCCACCTCAGACTCCTAAAGTGCTGGGATTACAGGTGTGAGCCACCACGTCTGGCCTTATTATGATGTATTTTTGCCAGATGCTTTTTGTGTGTTATGTCCACACGTTTTAAAAATGTATCCGTAAGAGCAACTTTACCCATTGGATATTTTATTCCTATAGTGTAAGTGAGGAAATAGAGGCTCAGAGTATTCAAGCCATATGCCCAAGGTCACACAGTGGCACATTGTACCATGGAGATTACAACTCAAGTCTATTTGGCCCCATTGTAGGTCACAATATTCTATTTCATCTCTAAACAAACTCAGGGGACCCTAGCATTATAAATGCAAAAGAATGTTTAATGCAGATAATTCCTCAGCAAAATGGAGTGTCTAAGGAAGTCTTCGGGTTTGCTTTTGTTCTGCCTGAGCCAAAATCATGGTACTTACTAAAATCTTACTGGAAGTCCCTAAAATCTTACTGGCAAGGGTACTTTTATTACGAACACATCTTCCTATAAATTTCGTTAGGTATTTCGTCTTTGTTATCTTGCTAAAGCAGAAGGCTGTTGTTCTGGAATGTGAAATTTATGAAATTGCAATGTTAGAAGGTGGAAGTAAATCCTACTTTTCCCTGTGGAAGAAGTTTGAGAGGCAGTGCTTGGGCAAGTTTCATCCTTATATGGCCAGGTCTGACCCTATAAAGGTGAAGGGCTATTATAGTGGGGTTCAGAGAGGTAAGCCAACGTGCCTCAGGTTACCTAACTAGTAACTGAGCCCCACTTTCATCAGTTCTAAAACCAGAAAAAGAAATACCTGCCTTATTGGGAGGCCAACACAGGTGGATTACGAGGTCAGGAGTTCAAGACCAGCCTTGCCAAGATGGTGAAACCTCGTCTTTACTAAAAATACAAAAATTAGTGGGGCGTGGTGGTGAGAGCCTGTAATCCCAGCTACTTGGGAGGGTGGGGAAGAGAATTGTTTGAACCAGGGAGATGGAGGTTACAGTGAGCCACGATCACACCACTACACTCCAGCCTGGGCGACAGAGTGAGACTCCATCTCAAAAATAAAACAAAATAAAATTAAAATTAAATTAAATGAAATTAAATTAAACAAAGAAATACCTGCCTTATGGCTGGATGCGTTGGCACACACCTGTAATCCCAGCACTTTGGGAGGCCAAGGTGGGCGGGTCAGGAGGGCAAGAAATGGAGATCATCCTGGTCAACATGTGAAACCCTGCCTCTACAAAAAGTACAAAAATTAGCCGGGCGTGGTGATGCGTGCCTGTAGTCCCAGCTACTCGGGAGGCTGAGGCAGGAGAATGACTTGAACCTGGGAGGCAGAGATTGCAGTAAGCTGAAATCGCGCCACTGTACTCCAGTCTGGGTGACAGAATGAGACTCTGTCTCAAAAAAAAAAAAAAAAAAAAAGAAAGAAAAGCCTGCCTTATAGGGTTGTTGGGAATTAGAAATGTCTGTGAAGTATCTGCCACTTAGATGACATAAAAATATTGCTATTACAGTGATGGCATTAGGTCTGCATTCACAGTGGAATTACAGTATGGCCAGGCATATTATAATGAAGGTTTTTAACTTTCTTAGAAACGAAATTTGTCCTTTTGAAACTCCCTCTTCAGGTTTGCCCTTAATCCAGGAACCTCTATCACATTACAGGCGCCCAGCAGCACATCTTAATATATGTTAATTCCCTTTATTTCTGATACTGGAGAATTTAAATAGTGACTCTCCTCGTAGGATGCCTCCTGGCATGGTGGAAATTGCCAGAAGACAAAATAACAGATTTTATGGTACTTCGCTGTGGTTTTTCCATATGTCCAAACCCTATCCGTAGCTTTCATGACCCAGATAAAGTGTCATTAAGTATGTATTAGTGATTCTCAACCCTGGCTTCAAATTCGAATCAGTTGGGAATGCATTAAAAACTATCAAAATTTGGCCGCACTCCACACCAAACAAATGAGAATCCCAGCAGCTTTATGCTTTTTTTATTCTCTGGTTTTTATTGTTTGCAATGTCTTGCTCTTGTTACATTTTTCTGACTGACTATTTTTTTAAAATGTTTTTAATGTTTAATTTTTGTGGTTGTATATATTTATGGGGTACATGAGATGTTTTGATATAGACGTGCAATGTGAAATAATTTTATCACGGAGAATGTGGTCTCCATCCCCTCAAGCATTTATTCTTTGTTTTATAAACATCCAATTATATTATTTTAGTTATTTAAAATGTACCGTTAACTTATTTTTGACCATAGTCACCCTGTTGTGCTGTAAGGTAGTAGGTCTTATTCATTCTTTCTTACTATTTTTTTTTGTACCCATTAACTTATTTTTTACAAGCTCCTTAGTTAAGTGATTTTAACATGAAATCAAAGGTAAGAACCTCTAATATAAAGCTTACCCTAAAGCCCACCCCATTCCCACAGCATACACTGTCCACCATCATGTCGCTTATTCAATGATTGGAATAAATAACGGTATGAATGAATGAATAGCCCTCTAGGTCACTAAATGATGGTCATCTTGTGCTTTGCTTTGATGTTCGTCTTATCTTTAATCTCCCCTCGCAGACTTGAGATACTTCTTACAGTCCTTGTTGGGGTTATTTCTGGGCCCCACCGTGTCCGAAGGGACCACAGTGTCCAAGGGAGAGTATATGGTCAGTAAATGCTTGTCATATGAATGAAAAATTTATCATGAATACCCGTCCCATGGCACTCATGGCAGAATTGTTAATGGAGTCCCACCTGTTAAGAATAACTTATTCTTCTCCAACTGACTCTTTTTTTTTTTTTTTTTTTTTTTTTTTTTCTGAGATAGAGTCTTGCTCTTTCACCCAGGCTGGAGTGCAGTGGCACAACCTCGGCTTACTGCATCCTCCGCCACCTGGTTCAAGCAGTTCTCCTGCCTCAGCCTCCTGAGTAGCTGGGACTACAGGCACCCACCACCATGTCCAGCTAATTTTTGTGTTTTTAGTAGAGACGGGGGTTTCACCATGTTGACCAGGCTGGTCTTGAACTCCTGACCTCATGATCCGCCTGCCTTGGCCTCCCAAAGTGCTGGGATTACAGGGGTGAGCCACCATGCCCAGCCTCCACCTGACTGTTAAAACATTTTCTTTTTTTGAATTGATACGACAGACTTTATTGACATCATAAAAATAGGTACGTGAGTGTCTGATATAGTTTGGGTAGTTGTCCCCGCCCATATCTCATGTTGAAGTGTAATCCCCAATGGTGGGGGGTGTTTCGGTTGTGGGAGTGGATCTCTCAAGGTGGGAGGTGTTTCGGTCATCGGAGTGGATCTCTCAAGGCTTGGTGCTGTCTTCATGACAGTGAGTGAGTTCTCATGAGATCTGGTCATTTAAACGCATCTCGCTCTACTCCTTTTTCCATCATTGCCATGTAAGATGCCATGTCCTGCTTCACCTTCCGCCATGAGTGAAAGTTCCTTGAGGCCTTCCCAGAAGCCAAACAGATGAGAGTGCCATGCTTCCTATACAGCCTGCAGAACCTTGAGTTAACTAAACATCTTTTCTTCATAAATTACCCAGTCTCAGGTATTTCTTTATAGCAGTGCAAGAGTGGCCTAACACGGTGTCCTATATGGGGACTAATTGTCTCCAAGGTTATTGAGGTAGTTCTTCAGCTTATCTTAAAGTAACTGTTGGCTTTCATCTCTGGATGGTGTGTAGTGTGGGTGGGAAGAACCAACTAAGCTCCAGATTAGTTGATGCATGGTGAGGGAGTGAACCTTCCTCCCCTCCTTGCTTGAAGGTACCCCAGGCCCTCACTCAGGCATGAAGGTGCAAACTCACTCTTTGGCACAATTTTCAAACTCTTCATCATCTTATACTTTGTCTGCAAGTACAAACCCCTACTGAAACTTCACCCCAGGCCCTTTCCCAATATAAACCTTGCTTGACCACATGCAGCTGCCCACAATTATCACTGACTTCATTTTTATGATTTTCTTTTTCCTAAAAAAAAAATGCCATTGCTGTAGGGAAGGGGTTCACATTTGCAGAACACTGACGTCTTGGCTACTTACAACTCAGCCACATTTGGACTTTTCTATTCCATTTGGTCAGTCTCCAACTCTTTCTTGATTCACCTGATATTTTCAGTCAGAAATATGCACACGTTATGCAGTTTTCCCTTTTTCAATTTACTTTCTCACCATGAAGTTCCCATTGACCTCTCCCTGTTCACTGTACTCTGTGACATCACACATTGTGTTTCTACCGACTCACCCTGATGTTTTTCCCCTTTACCGTAGATACTCCTTCTGACCACCTCCTCTGATCAATACTTCGCATTCATAATAAGGTGTATTGATGTACATATGCACAAAACATCTTTCATAACTACTCAACTTATCCCTCCTGGAAATAAAACCCAATCTCAACAGTCTTTGGATATCAATAATTAATGTAGAGGAAAGCCCAGCACCCCAACGCCCCTGCCAGAGATAAAAATAAGCGAAATATGCAAATTCCCGTTCAGACGGGGCACTATTGTAATGTGCAATGAAGCCATGCCTATTTAAAACAACAACAAAAAATGAATCTGGCCTATGGATTGCTGGAATGTTGCTGGCACAATTCTTGCTGTCCTCATGGGTGGCAGACGTTTAAAATGTGGAAGATGAAACATACTGTTGTGAGCATTGAACATCGCATTACGAACGTGCTCATGGTACTTAATAAATTGTCAAAAATAATAAGACTGCTGCCAAGTCTGAAAGCTATAAATAGCTAAAAAAAAATCAGACATGACTGCTGTGGATTCTTTTGAAAGATAATTTTCCTCGTAAGTAATTTCTATGAGCAAGAGCAATACACAGTTAGATGGTAAAGTCTACATTCCTGGCTCCTGAAATGAACAGCCTGTGAATTAGAATGCTCCCAAAGACGTGGTGTTAAATAGAGTTGCAACTACAGGGTGGCCATTACATTAAGTAATTTAATGAACACTGATACTGAGGAAATAAATCAAATGCAAACAATCAACACCAATCAAGGAAGCTGAGCATTTCAGGCACTTAAAATGTATTAAATGAGTGTTTCAATCACAGTGGGTAGTTTTTCACAAACTCTCTTAATCAGCTAGCATCATTCTCAACAAAGTGCCCATGCATGTAAACATGGTGAACTGCAAAAGCCCAACACATTGACACATGGACACTTTTAGGAATGGAAATTCTGCTTAGGGTTTTCACTGATAGGATAAACAACAGCAGATAAATTGGGAAAGGTCAGTGGAAGTCAATGTTGTGAAACAGAAAAGAACATTCATATTTTGCATGTAGTTAAAAAAATAAGAATTTCAAACATAGAATAAAATTTGAAATTGAATTCCAGGCAGCTAATGCACCTCCCAAAGGTGGTTTTTAATGTATCTTTGCGTAAAATTTCCATTCATGTATAAGTCCTGATAGGTGCATCTTTATTTGTATATTTATTATGTGTACATGTTATATGCATATATAGTTATCAGTACTATAAGACTGATAAGTACATTCTCTCTATATATAAGTATATGTTGTTTATTCAAACAGGATCATATCCAAGCTCACTGCCTTTGCTACTTAATCAAATATCTATCATGATCTTTCCCTATCAGCCTGTATAGGTCTATGGTCTATTGCATTCTGCTCAAGGTTTTCTTTTTTTTAAAAAAAGTCTTTATTTTATTTTATTTTTTTGTGGAGACAGGATCTCACTATGTTGCCCAGGCTGGTCTCAAACTCCTGGCCATAAATAATCCTCCCACTTAGGCCTCCCAAATTGCTGGGAGTACAGGTATGAGCTACAGCGCCTGGCCTGGTTGGAATAATATTTTACTGTATGAGTCCATCATCACTTATGCAACTCTCTGCTTGTTAGGCATTTACGTTCAGTTTGAGAGAGGATAATTTATTGCAAACACACACACACACACACACACACACACACACACATTCCTTAAAATGTATTATTTTATTTCATTCTCCTTCAAGTATTAGCATTGCATCTTTTTATAGCCTGTGAAACTAGGGAAGAGAGAGGTTAAGTAATTTGCCAGAAGGCACCCAGATAATAAACACATAACCCTTGTTTTAAGCCCAGATGTCCTTTTAATTCTGACCCTATGCCTTTAATCACTACACTGAAGGTTGAGTTTTTAACCAATGTTAAAACTTTATCAGAGTCGTGATATATGTGTATACACTTCAAAAGATGTGTATGTTTGGAAATATTGAAGAAATATATGTCCTTGTTTTGTTTTCTTTCTAGAGAAAAAGCCAGGTACATTACTGTAATCAAAAGGGGTTTCTGAATTGTAAGAGATACTATCATTGTTAACAGAGAGTGAAGGTAAATATTCCCACTCATGTAAGAGTCTTATGATATTCTTATTAGTAGCTGCAGTTGGATAAATTGATATTTATACGTGTGTCTGTGTGTGTGTGTGTGTGTGTGTTTATGTACAGTTTCCTCTAGGAGAAAGCTTTTTCATTTGAAAACATTAGGTGAGTTAGAAGTGCTTTGCTTGTTCTTTCATTTCCACTCTACATCTTCACATCTTTGAAGAGATTTTGTTCTTTGTACTTTCAAAGAATTTTAGTTGAATTGGGAGAAATAAAAGTATTTTGATTCTTTAAACTCCAAGTACTTCTGGAGGTTTGGAAAGCATATTCCAATGTTCTTCCAATAATGCCTGTTATAAGTGCACTTACAGTCATGGTGCTGCTGTTTAAGCTTACGGTTTATGAGGAGACCTGCTTTCCAGCTGCAGCCTCCCTCCCTCCACACTCCTGAGGGAGGCATCTTCTGTGTTATCCTGCCCAACAGTCAGTCCTCGTTCAGCAAGAAGCAGGGTATCATGTCCTCTAATCATGGTCCGTATAGACTCGGGTCAGGTGGACCCACCTCAGATTCCCCTGTGGCCCGTAACCCGGGCCTGTCTCATCAGAGCATCCCAACCCCTGACCTCAGTGCATGGCTTGGGGATGAGAACCTGGTTCAGCCAGGCTGGTGCCACTCCATTCAGAAATTGCTGGGGGCCCTAGCACCTTGGTTTGGTTGGTAGGAGTTGTGATGGTGGGAACTTAGAGTCGTCATGGCTCCAGTGATGGGAGATCCTGCCTGAGATGAAAGACCATCCAGAGGGGAGTATATCTGAGATGAAGAGAGGACGTGTCCAGAGGCCATTGTATCAACACTCATGTTGGATCTGTAAGACACCCTTCAATGTTTAGTTGTATAAGCCAGTAAACTCCTTCTCATTACACTCCTTTAATGAAGTTTTAGTTGGATTTTCTTGCACATTATCTCTTAGAGCCGTGAGTGATGCAGTCTTCTCTCATTTAGGGAGTTGTATTTCCATATATCTTGCCATCTTTACTAAATTCCTTGGAGAAACTTTGACTTTTTAATATAAAATAAATACAGTCTATCACTCCATTATCCCTTCTAGTCTACCTTCTCAGTCACTGTCAACATTTTTTTTTTTTTAACTAAAATGGAGATTTGGTTATATCCCTCCTTCCAGCAAAAATGTTAGTGGCATGCCATTTCCTGCAGAATGAAATCCACGTGTTTTTGTTTGGCGGTCAAGGCCTTTGGACATCTGCTCAACCCAGCCTTCAAATCTCAGTGTCTCACTCACCTGCAGTCTTTGTTCCAGGGAGATCAGAGAGTCCACCCTAGCTCAAGATAGCATGCCCTCTGCCTCTAGGGATAACATGGTCTGCAGTGCAACATCTAGCAGGTTTTACAGTTGGGTATCCAAGTTTGGCGTGTGTCTCTGTAACTTCATACTTTTTTGTTTTTTTGAGATGGAGTCTCCCTCTGTAGCCCAGGCTGGAGTGCAGTGGTGCGATCTCAGCTCACTGCAATGTTCGCCTCTTGGGTCCCAGTTCAAGCAATTCTCCTGCCTCAGCCTCCCGAGTAGCTGGGATTACAGGCATGTGCCACCACTCCTAGCTAATTATTGTATTTTTAGTAGAGACGGGATTTCACCATGTTGGCTAGGCTGGTCTTGAACTCCTGACCTCGTGATCCACCTTCCTTGACCTCCCAAAGTGCTGGGATTACAGGCGTGAGCCAACACACCCGGCAAACTTCATACTTTTGTTCATGCTTTTGGTGTGCTGTTTTCTCCTTCACGGATTTGTCTCTCCTGCTGGTCTGTTTTGCCACATTCTGGTGTCCTTTGGCAAACTGAATACCCAGTTTTGTTTTGTTTTGTTTTGTTTTGTTTTGTTTTGTTTTTCGTTCTGGAGTCCTTAGTACCTCTGACAGTATGATATTTATTATATTTGATCAGAGTACCAATTAATATTAATATTCTTCCTCGTCCTCTTGTTTGATGGTTTCTTGGCAGAAGCTATATCTTCCCTGGGATGCAGAACATTGCTGAATCATAGTAGAAACTGATAGGTGTATGTGAATGAACTCACAAATAAATGCGTGATTGAATGAATAATGCACTTTTTAACCTCTATTTCTTTGTAAGCAAGTCATGTGGGTTCATGAATATAAGCAGAAATGATGGCTTTAAATTTTTTTTCTTATTTGCGCTTTCTTGTAGGCTTTCATTGCTTTAATGAAATCTGGCCCTGAATACCTTGCCAAATACGTTTTCCTTGAGGATATTGATAATGGCTTTTTATGGTTATTTAAGACTCCCTCTAAGGCCATGTATCTGCACCAATAATTCCAGTTTTCATTTATCTATTCATTCACTTTTATTAAGCACTTTGTAGAGTGCAGACCCTGGACCAGACCACAGCAGACCAATGACAAGATAGCATGCCCTTTGCCTCTAGGGATACCACGGTCTGCAGTGCAACATCTAGCAGGTTTTACGGTTGGACCTGTTTCTTTATTGCCCTCTACACACTAATAATAATACAAATAACCTTCTGTGTGCTAGAGTAGTGGTAGGTGCTTTGTATGCACTCTTGATGATTCTCTTAACAACTCTTAGTGGTGTTAGAATTCTTTCTTCATGAAGCAGGGCACAAAAGCTCTGAGAACTAAAGACACCTGAGAATAACATCTGCAGCTACTCAGCAGTGAAACAAGAATTTAAACCAAGTTGTATTTGAAGCCAAAGCCACTACACTGTAATTCCATTCCTTGGTCATTCCCTGCCTTCATCAGGATCTCCGCTTGGTTTTGTTGAGACACAGAGTATCTTATTCTCATGTCCTTATTCATAGCTTTAAGCTCTCTTAAGCCTACTCAAACTATTTCAGTCAAAATATGCAGTTTACTTTTCCCTCTCTTTTTTCTAAATGCTCTTTAACTTCAATGTCCCAGCTTTCTTAGAGGTCCTGTATATCTGAATAATCAGAATTATTGTGGTTTTAAGTAACAGAAACCCAGTTTACAGTAGTTTTAACAAAACAACAAAACCCAAATGACTGTAGGATGTATTGAATCATGGAGCTGAGATCCTCATCATGGTGGCTCACAGAATCAAATGCATGACTCGTGAAGTAAGGGTGTCTAAGGCTGTACCTCAAGCTTTGTGACTGGAACTGATGGCTTGGAGTTTCTGGGACATTCTCTCTTGCCAATATCTACTTGTTTCCAGCTCTTAGTGGGCTATAGTTACTCTTGCTGTAGACAGACATCCTCCAAGTAGCCAAGGAAGAGTGAGCAGGCAATTCCAACATTTTATCTTTTAAGCATCATGATCTCCCCTTTCCCCAAAAGCAAGGGATTGCAAGTAACAGAACCCCATGCCAGCTCCAGCATAAAAATTCCTGGGAAGGACTCCAGTTGGCTTGGCTTTGAGCTCACCCATCACCCAAACTTTGAGGCTAGGAAGAAGAGTGTTACTATGATTGGCAGCTCTGTGGTAACACCATGGGTTGGAAAAGTAATTGGCCAAAAGGAAAAGGGGTGATTCCACCAGAAGAGAGAAAATGAGAAAATATGCCAGGATGCAAAATGTTAGATGTCACAGTCATCTATGGAGGCAAGTGTCAGACTTTGTGTTAGTATAACTGCGGACTGGATAGGGAGCGTTTGTCCAGGCTGGTGCTGCCGCGGTCTCTATCTTGTTTCCTAAACTCCAGTCCATTGTAGGCTGGGCATTGTGGCTCACGCCTATAATCCCAGCACTTTAGATGGCTGAGGCGGGCGGATCACCTGAGGTCAGGAGTTTGAGACCAGCCTGGCCAACATGGTGAAACCCTGTCTCTACTAAAAATGCCTAAAACTAGCCAGGTGTGGTGGCAGATGCCTATAATCCCAGCCGCTTGGGAGGCTGAGACAGGAGAATCGCTTGAACCCAGGAAGTAGAGGTTGTGGTGAGTCGAGATTGCACCATTTTACTCCAGCCTGGGCAACAAGAGTGGAACTCCATCTCAAACTAACAAACTAAAAAAAATTCTGACCACTGTAGCATTGGTCACTTTCAATCATATCAAGGTTTAGATCAGAAATGATATAGCTACTATAACAATTAAATTCAGTATGTGAAATTGCAACTGTCTTGGAAACGTCAGAGACTCACTTTCTTCCCCTTGTCTCCCAGGATCTTGCTGGACGTGTAATAGTTACCCAGCCTTCAATGGATTGAGGAGCAACCCAGGACAGTGGACAAAGCCTTGGTCTTGAATCACGTGGTCTCTTCTCTTGTTCAGACTTTGGCAGCTGGTCACATGTGTGATTTGGACCCTATTACATCAACCATAAAATGATTGAAGAACCAGACATGCTGTCTTTTTCACAGAAGATTAGGGAGAGGCAGTTAGCTCATGAATGAGAAAATATAATATAATTTGAACAGTTCTGCAGTCATTAAGATAGTGGTAGTAACAGCCAATATGCATGTTGAATGCTTAGTCTGTATAGCCTGTTGTGCCAAGCTTTGTGCAAGAATTACTTTATTTTATCTGCAAAACAACCCTACAGGAGTCATAGTTATTATCTCTGTATCAGAGATACAAACACTAGAGCATAGAGAAGCAAAGATACTTGCCAAAGTCATGTAGCAAAAACTTGTCAAAGCTAGGATTCAAACTCAGATCCTAGTCCTTCCCCACCAGGCAAGGCTGAATTACTCTACAGAGAGAGAGTGAGTGCGTGCGAGAGACAGAGAGGGAGAGAGAAAATTCTTTCCTAGCTCTGCCTTATTTCTCTGGCTCTGATGATAGGAAAGCAGTGGCCACATTGTCATAAGCTCCAGTCACTCTCCAAGATGGCAGAACATTCCAACACTGGTTAATGGCTCTGGGATCATCCCATATTGAGGGACATCCATCCCTTTGTGTTCTGACATTGATGTTACTGTCAGTTGACAGTGAGCTTTATCATCAATCCCTTCAAGTACAAAAGGCCACTGTTCAGAAACTGTTATTAAAAGCAGCCTCTCTTTTTAAAAGCCGTCTCTCTTTTATTCCTTCCATAATAGGAGCCAGTGTACCAGAAGAGGCTGACCTTAAGTTGCGCCTGTTTAGTTAAACAAACAACAAAAAAAAGGAAATAGAATAGGTTATGTTTTTAATGTATTTAAGATTGGAGGCCTAGAATTAGAATGGAACTGGGGGTGGGAGGAGAGGTGGAAGGCAGGATAGGAAAAAAGAGAGGTGGCCTTGGATTTTCTTTGCTTTTGGATAATGGGCATTTCTAGTTAAATCAACACAGTCTATTTCACAGCCTGTCTCCCGGTGATGTATATACTCTTTGGACAGTGTTGTGGGCTGCCTAAAGATCTCTTTTAGCCATGGGACATGGGTATAAATAAGCTTTATGTAGTCACAGCTACTAAGAGCAATGTGCGTAGAGTATATTCTGAAAGGAGAGGGCAGGATGCTCATTGTCATGGCGGATGAGGTCAAGAGAGAAGGGGGAAGATCCCCGAGGGATGCAAATTGGGGAGGGTTTTACCAAACAAACTTCCTCCAGGGTTTTTATTCACATTTTAATACACTTTGGGGGGAGGTATTTTAATTTTAAAAAGATGCATGTGATGGAGGGGTGATTTGATATAGAGGTTAAGTATGGGTTTTATAATTGGGCTTCCGAGATTCAAATTCAGCTCTGCCATGTATGAGTCAAAGAAGTCACATGCATATTATTTAACCTCTTTGTGTCTGTCTTCGCATCCATAGCCACATGCATTAGCTGTGAATATTAAATACGTCAACACATGAAAAGAGCTTACAAGAGCACCTGGCACACGGGGAGTGCTCAGAGAGCATTTGCTGTTATTACTTGCATTGTCTGGGTGCTTTCTATGTACGAGGTACTGAAGGAACAGTGGTGGATGAGACAGCCACAGTCTGCCTCCATGAGCCGTATGTTCATAGATTAAAATAAGGCAACAAACATAAATTGATCATTATACATTTTGAGAATGCTGTGAAGGGCCCTCAGTTGGGATTAGTCCAGCCCCCACTCCCCTCCCCACCAACCTACTCAAGATCGTTAAGAAAGACTTCCATGAGAAGGTAGCATATGGGCAAAGATCAAATGCATGACCAGCTATGGGACCAACACACCAATGGAAGGAAACAGAAGATGCATAGGTTTTGAGAGCAGGAAAAAAAGAGACTTGTGACCATAATCCCAGCACTTTGGGAGGCCGAGGCAGATGGATCACGAGGTCAGGAGTTCAAGACCAGGCTGGCCAAGATGGTGAAACCCCGTGTCTATTAATAATACAAAAATTAGCCAGACATGGTTTTGGGTGCCTGTAATCCCAGCTACTCGGGAGACTGAGGCAGAGAATAGCTTGAACCCGGGAGGCAGAGATTGTAGTGAGCCAAGATCGTGCCACTGCACTCCAGCTTGGGCGACAGAGGGAGACTCCATCTCAAAAAAACAAACAAACAAAAAAACAAAAACCAGAGGAGAGACTGGTATTTTAGAGGACCTGAAAGCAGCCAGCATAGGTAGAGAGTAGTGATCAGGCAGGGAGTGGCCCCTGTGGAGGTAAGGCATGCAGGCAAAGGTGAGATCTAGCCAGGGCATCCATGCCAAGTGATGACATGATTTTAATCTTAGAATGATGGGAAAACACTGGGAAGGTTGAAGAGTGTCCTGATCAGCTTCACATTTTTTTTCTTTTTTTTTTTTTTTATTATACTTTAAGTTTTAGGGTACGTGTGCACAATGTGCAGGTTAGTTACATATGTATACATGTGCCATGTTGGTGTGCTGCACCCAGTAACTCGTCGTTTAACATTAGGTATATCTCCAACTGCTGTCCCTCCCCACTCCCCCTACCCCACAATAGGCCCACATTTTAAGGTTACTCTGGCAGTGGAGCAGGAAATGGCTTGTAGGTGCGGTAGAAAGGCCAAAAGGAGGTTCTTGCAGCTGACTAAGCAGGAGGTGATGTTAAGTTAGCCCAGGCACGTGGCAGGGTGAGAACAGCCCCTTGCAGATAAGGCATGCTGGTTCAGCTCTGTGTTCTCTTCACCCTGCTTACCTAACCACCTTCATCTGCTGTTGCTTAGTTGCTTGCTTTCACCAGGCTATAAGAGCAGGGACTATCTTTTTTTCCCTTCTTCTTTATACATTCTGTTTCTAGTCCTGTGTCAAACTCAGGCTAGGTGCTCAGTATGTGTTTAATGGATGAAATATGCAGTCCACTGCTCATTAGAATGTTTAATTTTGCAAGCCCATATTATTAGAATATTAAGCGAACTACCTCATGACTAGGAAAGTCACTCCTCTTGACATTGCAATGTTTGTGATGCGGAGGTGGGATTCTAGATTATCTTTATGTCAAAGAAAATGAGCAATGCTATGGACCTTGGGCAGAGCACAGGCAGTACATGGCTTGGCAATGTATTTTCTGTAGGAAGATGTCCCCTTAGCTCCTTATCTGTGGTATTTCAACCAGGAGCCCTAGTTAATTTTCATGCAGGAGAAGCCTTTGAAACCCAGGCCTCTTTTATGCTCTGGGAAGATTTGAGAGGGGTCATCCCTGTTTAGATTGGTTCTCTGCACCAGTCGGGGAAGCCTGCCGGCTGTTCTCAGCATGGAGTATGTTGCAGAGAGGAAACAGACCAGAGAACCAGGGCACTTCCCAGCTTGAATCAGGCCTGTCTTGTGTGGGTTCATTATTTTGTTGGAAATTAATCCCCCAAATGGCAGACATAGTATATTTGAATGTGAACTGACCGTGCATTGCTTGGCCAAGTGAGAGTGGTTTTTGGATTATCCAACCTGGTTGATTGTCCCTGTCTCTGAACCCTTCCATTAGTGTAGATAATTGAAAGATACCTGATTTTGTTTTTTCACACCCAATTTGATGTCCTTATGGCGTTTGAGATGGGGTGGGGAGTGTGAGATGGTCAGAATCAGCTTGCTGTCATTTGCAATGGAAGCGGTGAAGTTTGCAAACAGCAGTACCACTTAATGAGAGCTTGTCATGATATAGCCATTGTGTTCAGCTCTTAATCTTAATGACCACATTCACTCCTCACAACAACCCTACAGTAATAATAACACTAGCACTTATTTGGCATTTACTATGTGTCAGGTGCTGTTCTAAACACTGACAAGTATTAACTAACTTAACTCACAAAACAAACCCCAGAGAGTGAGAGTCACATGGACTAGGATCTGCACAGCACCCTTGATATTAAACTGGGGGGAAGCCCTGCTTGTGACATGGGTACCATTATTATTCTCCTGTTACAGGAAGTTCAGAGGGGTTAAGTCACCTGCCCAAAGTCACACAGTCAGTGTGTGGAGGGGGCAGGAACTGAACTAAGGTCCTTAGGTCTCCAAAGTCCCCTTGCTTTCTTTTCATTGCAGCAGCCTAAGAACCAAAAGTTAGATATTTATTATACATGGGTTTGGGGCTCTTTACAGTATGATAGAAAAATATACTGCTTTGCTAAAGCCTCCCCCTACCCCTTGGAGGTAGGGGGAGAGAGAGAGAAAAAGAGAGAGAAAAAAATGAGAATAGCAATGCCAGCTAAAACTCTGCTCGAAGCACAGAGTTTGGTGCATCAGTACATGTGAGTTAAGGGAACAACCAAATTACAAATTAAATGAATGAAAAAACTGGACCCAAACTGATGCTTCCTCTTCATGCTGCCCCTAATGACGTAGCTGGAGTCACTTCACTTCGGGACTTCTCAAAGCCCTGCCTCTCCTTGCCAGAGATTTACGTCCAGTCTGAGGATCGTTTAAACTTCCTCCTCTGTCCAGGATTCTGTGACCTTACTTACAAGGCGGCTGTCTGCTTTCTCCTAAATTCTGTCTCCTGGTTCCGAACTCATTATTTCTGATCCAACCAATTCTGTAATGTCAGCCTGTGTAACATAATGGAAAAACAAACTTAGGGTAAAGGAACTCCAGCGAGAATTTTAGGTCTCCTTGCTTGATGGAGGTTCGTGGCCCTGAGCATTTCTAAGCATCCTCATGTTCTTCTCCAACTTCCCCTATGACAGTCCAGTCCTCCACATGGGGAAGAGAATGTTTTATCTGTACCTGTCTTTGGTTTTGCGTCCCTGCACCCATCCCGCAACTTGATAGAAAAGGCAGAGAGCCCTTCTGCCATTTCTTCTCTCAATACGCCCCCACCCTAAACCTGAAAAGAAGAAAGGTAAAATGGGCTATTCAATGAGGAGTCTAGGTGTTGGGAAGAAGAATCTATTTCGAGGATCTGAAATTGGAACCTGCATCAGACCTTAGGATAAAGATAATTATCATGTGCAGAAAATTCAATTAAAAACAAAACAAAAAAGAAGAAAAAGCATCTTCCAAGTTGTTCTTAAAGTGTAGTTTTGCAATGACTATCACTGAAAAGTAAGTGTGGAGATCTGTTCAGTTCTGTAATTGAGTTGGGAAGTCGACCCGAAGGAATTCCAAAAGCCCCAGTTGGCCAGAAGAACAGGATATGATAGGATGCTGTTGATCTGCTTTCGTTTCCATGCCAAGGTGTTTTGTTTTGTTTTGTTTTGTTTTGTTTTTGGTAAACTTCCATTCATGACTGTGTACAGCCAGAAGCCAGTAGGACAACAGTGGCTTTGTAAATTTGCAACAGATATTCAAACAAGATAAGTACATAATTAGCATGGAGCAGCAGATGAGGTAGTGTGGAAGATTTAAATTCTGCGTAGGGAATTAGCAAACAGTTCCTGATAACCACATTCTGAACATGTTGCTGTTCGATGGGTGTGAATGGATCGTGTAGGCACAGCCCATCTAGATGGCTAATAATAGAAGGGATTGTTCAAGAACAACAATGTATTGTGTGCTTACCATGTGACAGGTAATATGCTAGACTACTTAGTGATATAATGCTTTCTTCGTAATATCTCTGTGAGGTAGGAACTATTATAATCCACTTTTACAGATAAGGGTGCTGAATCTCTGATTGTTGAAGGGACATAACCCTGCCATCTCTCCTTCTTGATCTATATATGTATCTCTATCTATCTCTATCATACACACACTTACATCTCTAATGAATGGCAAAGCTTGGATTTGAATACAGGTCTCATCTAACTCCAAATTCTATTTCTCCTAGAGGAAGTTCAACATGAGGGATTTCGACAAAAAGGTTGTTAAAAGCAGTCTGATTGACTTTCACCTAACAGATCTTTCCTTCATCATCGCCATCATTTTAGCTCTCTGCAAAGTCATCACATCTGTCACTGACGTTGCACCTACTTTGACACAAGCTGTGGGCTACGCAACTTGCATGCATGAACTCCTGGGGAACTCACAGCAAACCTTCATAGGTAGGCACCATTATCCTGATGTCTGACTCAGGTGAGAAGCCAGAGGCTCGTTTTCCAAAGTCACATACGTAGAGGTCCTGCCAGGACCCAAATTTGGTGACTCTGAGTCCTACATTTTGCACTTTTATAACCACACACTCTTTTGTTTTCCAATCAAAGCTTGATCAATGGTTGATGATAGATAGATAGATGGATAGATGGATGGATGGATGGATGGATAGATAGATAATAGTTAAAAGAAATAGATGTGTGTGTGTGTGCATGTGTGTGTGTGTGTGTGTGTGTGTATATATATATATATGTACCTATACAGAATATATACCTGTATCCATATCTATATAAATTTGGAATTCAAAATTGTGCTGTCTTTCTCTTTCTTCTGAGTCGTCTGACCAGCTTGCTGCATTTGCAGCCGCCACAGTGCATTTAACTCCTTGCTTGCATTGGTATTCCTCTTTGGAGCAGCCCCGTCACAACAGCAATTGGAATAAAACCCCAAAGAGTAGTGCAGAGAATATAAATGGGTTATTTTTCACCTCAACTCAAGTAGGACAGAACTCTTATAAAGAACCAGGGAACAAAGGTTCCATGACAAACATACACCAGGGGACTTTAGCTCTCTCTGATACAGCCTGTGTGACATAATGGAAAGACAAACTTACGATCAAGGAATTCCAGTGAGAATTTTAGGTTGCCTTCCTTGATGGAGGTTCGTGGGCCTGTGTGTTTGTAAGCACCCTCGTCAATAGCATTTATCGAATATCTACTCTGTAAGTGAGGCTACTGGATATTGCCTGTCTGTATAGGTTATCATGCAGTGAGCCTGGATCCATGTGAACTAAACAGATGTATTCAGGGAGAACGTTTATCTCTCTAAATAAGCAATTGTTTATCAACAATATAAATATCTATCTACATAAGTGATTGTTTTTATCAAAATCATGAGAATCATTAAAGAGAATTTACGGCAATGAGATTGGAAATAAGAGCTTTCTGGATAATTAAAAGCTGATGTGAAATTAAATCTTTTATTTTCAAAGGCAGAGTAGCAGAGTGCTTAAGGATATGGGATTGGTAATAACCCTTGCTGAGTTTGAAGCTTGATCCCAAGGTCATACCATCTTGGGCAAGGTGACTATGTATTCTTAAACTTGGTTTATTTTCTGTGGTAGGAAGACATTTTAACATCTGTGCAACCTTCATAAACCTTTGACTGATGCAATCTAGTCTCTGCGTGAAATTCCATTCAATGGGGGAAAGCAATACAAAATGTTAAAACTGAACATTTTTTAAATTTTAAAGCATTTTGAAAAACCTCTTTTAAAATTAACATAAATTAAAACAATATATTTCTGTCTTCTGAAAAATATACATGTGAAAGGAAATTCAATTCATTATTTTTAGTAACACTTCTCATGTCCTCTTTCCTGCCCTGTTCTCTGGGATTTACATGGTGCAACAACTTTTTCTTGGCTTTCCCCCCATGCCCACCCCCACTGTCTACCGTTGACCCATTCAGATTCTCTCCCTTTATTTCCCAGATTATTAAAATATATATGGTTTTGGCCTTTTTTCAG
This sequence comes from Homo sapiens, assembly GCF_000001405.40. Taxonomy (NCBI): domain Eukaryota; kingdom Metazoa; phylum Chordata; class Mammalia; order Primates; family Hominidae; genus Homo; species Homo sapiens. The sequence continues at coordinate 6,254,991 of NC_000016.10, forward strand.
TCAGTGCTTTTATTCCTTCTCTTCTTCCTTCCATCTCTCCCACCCCTTCCTTTTATGTCATTCTTAAAGTTCAGCATCACATATGTCCGCGGACCTGTTTTTCAGCTCAGCAGGCTGGGGAGAGAGATAAACAAGAAAGAAAGTCTGTGGATTAGAAGGGTGGTGAGAACCTGGAAACATTTCCATATCAATACTTTTTGGTTTAATCACCCCATTTGCTTTGACTTCTACCTGTCAACAGCACACAATGAAGACCAAGCCACAGAGCCTCCATTCCCAGGCATGGGAAAACTCTGTGGGTAGTTGAGATGCAGCAGTACCCAGGTTCACTTGGGGCCCTTTTCTCCATGGTCCTGATAGGACAGATGAGATGCGAAAGGATGGCTGGTATTTTGCTCGGCCAAGAGGTGAAAGGGCACAGGACAGGAGGAGAGTGGAGGAAATGCAAGTTGGTGTGAAGCTGTAGCTCTGGTGAGAATAATGTATGAGATGAGTGCATGCATGGTGATTTTGACTATAAGACCCAAGAGGACCCCTCCTCATACAAATGGATACAGGTGGGTGCCAACAGGAGGAATGCGCTGTTCAGTGTCCTATAAGGTTAGCAATCATGTCAGTTTTCAAAGTCCACAGAGAAGTGGTGCCTGTGGTCAACCTGGAAGTATGACGGATTGGATAAAGAAAATATGACATATATACATCATGGAATACTATGCAGCCGTAAAAAAAGAATGAGTTCATGTCCTTTGCAGGGACATGGATGAAGCTGGAAACCGTCGTTCTCACCAACTAACACAGGAACAAAAAACGAAACACCGCATGTTCTCACTGATAAGAGGGAGTTGAACAATGAGAATACATGGATACAGGGAGGAGAACGTCACACACCGGGGCCTGTACTTGGTGGGGTGCAAAGGGAGGGAGAGCGTTAGGACAAATACCTAATGCATGCGGGGCTTAAAACCTAGATGACACGTTGATGGGTGCAGCAAACCACCATGGCACATGTATATCTATGTAACCTGCACATTCTGCATGTGTATCCCAGAACGTAAAGTTAAATAAATAAGTAAATAAATAAATGGAAAAAATGAAAGTAGGATCATTTCCACATAGCAGTCTCTTATCTGTAACAAATATATATATATGTGTGTATATATATATATATGTATATATATATGTATATATATATATACGTATATATATGTATATGTATATGTGTATATATATGTATATATATATGTGTATATATATATGTATATATATGTGTATATATATATGTATATATATATGTGTGTATATATATATGTATATATATATATGTATATATATAAGGCAGTCAGAAAGAAAGGATGGTCCAAGAAGGGGAAGAGGTTGGGTAAGAGGACTGAGGCAGAAGGAGGCAGGCATGCCCAAGGTCACCTGGAACCCCTGACCCTTCGAGAGCAGAGTTCATCCTTGGAGCCCTGGGACAGAGATGTGAATCAGAGAAGTTGATGAGACCAGATTGTATGGATTTGGAAAGTTAGTCTAAGTCTTTGAACTTGACATTGGTTGCAGTTGTGAATTTTGAAAAGCGATTAAACCGATATAATCAATATGTCAACATGTGCTTAGGACAGGTGCTGGCAGTCTCAGCACCACTGACACTTTAGCCAGAACACTTTTGCTGTGGGATGCTGCCCTGTGCATTTTAGGACACTTCGTAGCATCCCCGGCTGCCACTCATGACATGCCAGCAGTGTCTTCCTCTCCCGTTTTGACAACCAAAAATGTCCCCAGACATTGACTAATGTTCCCTGGGAAGAAAATCACCTTTGGTTGAGAAACTCTCATTTAGGAAGATACTGCTAAGAGCAGTATGTGGGATGGATAGAAGGCATATGAAACCAGAAGCAAGAGGACCCCTTAGAAGGCTGTAGTAAAACTTAGGTGGAGAAGTCCTAATAATGTGTGCACCCCAAAGCGTAAACCTTACACCTGCATTCCATGAGTAGATGTGAGATTTGTAGGAACTTTGAGAAAGAAGAATGACTGGTTGGAGTATTTAGCAGGAAGCACAGGGGTCATTTTTTGATGTATTTTATTTATTGAATGATTTGGTTACTTATTTTTCTTTTTTTAATTTCATTTTAAGTTCCAGGATACATGTGCAGGACATGCAGGTTTGTTCCACAGGTAAACATGTGCCACAGTGGTTTGCTGCACCTATGAACCCCTCACCTAGGTATTAAGCCCTGCATGTGCTAGCTATTTATCCCGATGCTCTCCCTCCCCATGATGTATTTTATTTTTCTGAATCTATTAAAAATGGCCCCTCAGCCAAAGGAGCAATAAATTCACTCCCAGCAGGGATGTTAGCCAAATCTCTTTTCCCCATTCAAATTAAAAGACAGCATCAACAATATTTGATGTTGAATTTCTTCTTCTTCTTTTTTTTTAAACTTTTAAGTTCAGGGGCACACGTGCAGGTTTGTTACATAGGTACACTTTTGTCCTGGGGGTTTGTCGTACAGTTGATTTTGTTGCCCAGGTTTAAACTTACTACCCATTAGTTATTTTTCCTGATCCTCTCCCACTTCCCATCCTCCACCCTGAAGTAGACACCACTGTCTGTTGTTCCCTTCTATGTGTCCATGTGTTCTCATAATTCAGTTCCCATTTATAAGTGAGACCATGCGGTATTTGGTTTTCTATTCCTGCATTAGTTGGTTAAGGACAATGGCCTCCAGCTCCTTCCATGTTCCTGAAAAGGACATGATCATGTTCTTTTTTATGGCTGCATAGTATTCCATAATGGATATGCGCTACATTTTCTTAATCCACTCTATCATTAATGGGCATTTAGGTTGTTTCCATGTCTTTTCTACTGTGAATAGTGCTGCAGTGAACATACACATGGATGTGTCTTTATACTAGAATGATTTATATTCCTTTCGGTATATCCCCAGTAATGGGATTGCTGAGTCAGATGGTAGTTCTCTTTTTTGGTCTTTGAGGAATCGCCACACTGCCTTCTACAAAGGTTGAACTAATTTACACTCCCACCAACAGTGTGTAAGCATTCCCTTTGTGTCCGCATGATGTTGAGTTTCTTAATAAAATTCCCATGCCCTTATCCCATCATCTTTTGTAACGTTTTATTTATTTTTAAAACTCCTTACAATTGTCCATTTTTGTCTAGGGTTTACTCAGTTCTTCACTGCCAGCTGGCCATTAAAGACATTTGGAAAGAAAAATGCTGATGCAACTGTGCTCTTGTACATATTGCATAATCAACCAAAATAGCCCCAGAAGTGATTATGCTTGAAGCTACAATGACAGCAAAGATACACTGTCATTCACCTTGACCCCATTTGAGATCATATCATTTACTCAAGTTCATTGTGTTTCTAAAACAACAATTTCTCTTAGAATGAGTGTGTTTTTGATTGTGTGCCCGTGTGTGCACATGAGCATGAGTGCATGTACCGATGAATTTTACACTCTGTTTCCAAATAATCTTCCATCACAATTCTGTTTATCTCACTCCTCTGCTCAAAAACCTTCAGTGGCTCCCTATTGCTTATCAGATCAACTCCAGGGCAGTGTCATACTGAATACCTTCCATGGCCCAAACTCTGTTTTCCTAATTTCATCTTGTCCTGCAATATTTTCTGCATTTCACTTTTTAACTAAGCAGGATAATTGTTTAAATGTTTATAGTATCAACAGGGGGACTATAGTTAATAATCATTCCATTGTAGATTTAAAAATAACTAAGAGAGTTTAGTTGGATTGTTTGCAACACAAGGGATGCATGCTTGAAGAGATGGAGACCCCATTTTACATGACGTGATTATTATTCATTTCATGCCTGTATCAAAACATCTCATGTACCCCATAAAGATATACAGCTATCTATCCACAAAAATGAAAATTTAAAAACATTTAAATGTTTATAAAAATGAAGAAATGAATCAATGCAATTCCGAGTTCATTTACAACATTAGATGACTGATACAGAATAACAAGATATAGACTTTCTTATGCTCACTTTCTAAATCAAAATTGTTATTTGCTTCTGACAGGGTATTCGGTATTTAATTTTACTATGTCAGACAGGAAATCTAGAGCTGAACATTTCAAGTGTGCGTGTTTATGAATTTTTCATTAATTACTCTGACTGAAATTGGATACAAGCCTAGCTTAGAAGATCACCCATTGCTTATTTACTCAGATTGTTATCCAGGTCACCTACTATCCAGTGAAATCTATCATTATTCCTTTACTTTTGCTTGTTTCATTTGCCACATGCTTTGCTGGAGGTCTTTTCAGTCTCCCTCCTCTCCTCTCTAGCCGTTAGGCAGAGTTCAATAACTGATGTCTTGAAAAACTTCATCAGGACTCACAGCCTAAGCAAGTGAAATAAGCTGCCTTCTTGGTCAGTGGAGACAGATATTTTCATGTGTCTCTGTGTCCACTTTCTTCTTTTAAATAAACTTGTGCAAGAACTAGGTAAAATATCTTTCTTCTTTCTCTCTCCTCAAACTCACTTTGCCTTCCTGATTCACCTCCATGAGTTCCCTTTTATAGTTTCTGGGACTTGGGGAGGGTGGCCCAGTAGCGACGAAAGTGCAAGTGGATTGGTGACTGAAAAATATCTGCGATCATGTACGTAGAACAAATAAAGATAAAAACACTGGGGCCGGGTGCAGTGGCTTATGCCTGTAATAGCAGCACTTTGGGAAGCCAAGGCGGATGGATCACCTGAGGTCAGGAGTTCGAGACCAGCCTGGCAAACATGCTGAGACGCCATTTGTACTAAAAATACAAAAAAAAGTAGCCAGGCCTGGTGGTGCACACCTGTAGTCCCAGCTACTCAGGAGGCTGAGGCAGGAGAATTGCTTGAACCCGAGAGATGGAGGGTGCTGTGAGCTGAGATCGTGCCACTGAACTCTAGTCTTGGTGACAGAGTGAGACTGTCTCAAAAAAAAAAAAAAAAAGCTGATGAAAATAAGTCCATTCCCA